>NC_000018.10:42122947-43334688 GCF_000001405.40 Homo sapiens | reverse complement strand
GAAACTATTTGCAAACCAAACATTCACACTGGTTAACAAAAGACTAATATCTAGACTATATAAAGTACTCTGTAAAGTCTCTAAACAAAACAATCTAATTAGAAAATGGCCCCAAAACATCAAGAGAAAATTCACTAAATAGGCTAAATAATTGAATATAAGCACATGGAACTGTTGTCAATATTATTAGCCATCAGAGAAATGAGAATTATCATGACAATAAAATATCACTATATGCCTATTGGAATGACTAAAATAATTTTAACAACACTAAATGGTGGTGAGGATTTGGTGAAATTGAATCACTCATTTAATTGGGAATGTAAAATAGTACAACCATTCTAAAAAAGAGTTTGGCAGTTTACGGCTGGATGTGGTGGCTCACGCCTGTAATCCCAGCACTTTGGGATGCCAAGTCAGGTGACCTCACCTGAGGTCAGGAGTCCAAGACCAGCCTGACCAACAGGGTGAAACCTCGTCTCTACTAAAAAGACAAAAAATTAGCTGGGCATGGTGGTGGGCACCTGTAATCTCAGCTACTCTGGAGGCTGAGGCAGGAGAATCACTTGAACCCTGGAGGGGGAGGTTGCAGTGAACCAAGATCGCACCATTGCAGTCCAGCCTGGGCGACAAGAGCAAAACTCCGTCTCACACACACACACAAACACACACACACAGAAAAAAAAAGAGAGAGAGAGAGTTTGACAGTTTATAAAATAAGATGAACACGAAACTATCATACTAAGTGCCTAGTATCCCTAATAGTCACCAAGAGGGCACCAGCATGAGATGTCTTTCTTGGCTTCTCACCTGATCCCAGTGGAGGATGGTCCACCTTCATGCTCTTTACAAGCAGAGCTAATAATTTTACCAAGTAGAGAAAAGTCTCTTCCACCATTTTATTGTGTAGTTTTTCATTGTGCTAAGAAGTGGTATTGTCTTGTCCTGTAAACTTACAGTAATTTCAGGGTTTCTTTTGACCGTTATTATGGTTTTTAATCTGTCAAACATCTACTACCACCCTAATAAATTCTAATAAGATTTCAAGAGCTTTCTGCTGCATAATCACCTGAGTTATATACTATACTGCTCTCAGAATGCTGCTTTCTTTTTTCTTTAACCATTTCTAGTGGCTTTTCCCTTAGGTTGCCCTTCATCATCTATTTCTATATAAGCATGTATGAACAGCCCTCCCCACATGACCAGGCAGGTAAACTCTCAGGATGAACCTGCCTTTGCTTCCAGCTGAGACTGCCTTCTACAAAGAGACCAAACCACAGATGATTACCAATAAAAACTGAAAAACTAAGCTTGTGCCTTTATAAAACACTATTGAATTTTATTCTAGCAAGACATGAGGAGTTTCCATTTTCTTCTGAAAAAATAAAAACAAGAGTGGATGGCAGCAGCATTCATTACTTAGTAACCATATCCAAGACTACCTACTAGAAATGAGAATTGCCATCCTCGAGTTGTTCAAAGGATATTAGTAAATTGTGTTAATTACAAGGATATCAAGAAACACCAGGTAAGAAATTGCCTACCAGATTAAAATTTCCATTATTTCAATTATATGAAGCTATTGCACATATGAATTCAATGAACCTTGTAACACATATGAATTATGTTCTGGCTGTGGAGAATACCATCACAGTGTCTTTTGTTGGTAGAGTAAATAGCATCCCATTCATTAATAAAGACTCCCAATATAAATGCTAAAGGCAATTGGAGTAAATTCACAGACAGCACTTATCAACTGTATACTGGTCTCCTAGGTCAGATCCTCTTTTGCCCTCTACCTCTCTGTTATGTGTCAATGTCAAACATTATCTTTGTAAAGAAAAGGAACTTCCTTCTGCTTTCCTTCCTAATTTCAAGTAATAATTAGATAATGATTAGTTGAACTGGGAAAAACTATTCGATCCTTTAGTTACTTTTTATTTCTCTAATATCAGCCCTCTTGCTTTCTTATAATAAAATACATGGATGGGTAATTTCAGCCCAGTTGTCGTGAAGACCAACTTTCTGAGAATTTATGTGAGAATTTAATGCATCTTTTCAATGATTCAGTATATTTCTGCATGTGTGATTCATGCTTTTATTTTCCCTAAATTGATTTAATCATTTAAGGTCATTTTCTTTGTTTTATGATAATATGCCATATGAAAATATATTATAACTTCTCATTGTTTCATGTATTTTTTGATAATTAATAGAGTGTGTTAATATCCTTTTGATAGGTTCAAGATGACAAGGATAATACATGATAATGGTGAAGAATTGTTACAGTAACAAACTTTTTTTTTTTTTTTTTTTGAGACAGATTCTCACTCTGCCACCCAACTGGAGTGCAATGGCATGATCTCGACTCACTGCAAACTCTGCCTCCAGGTTCAGGTGATTCTCCTGCCTCAGACTCCAGAGTAGTTGGGATTACAGGTGTCCAATACCATGCCTGGCTAATTTTTGTATTAGCAGTAGAGACGGGGTTTCACCATGTTGACCAGGCTGGTCTCGAACTCCTGACCTCAGGTGATCCACCCATCTTGGCCTCCCAAAGTGCTAGAATTACAGGCATGAGCCACCATGCCCAGCCCAAACATGTATTAAAAAGAAAAGTACTATGTAATCTTACTCACTTTTCAGAGAACACCACTTTGGCTGTTTTGCTACAATCAAGCCAATATTTTATTTCTTTCACCTCAATACCTTTGTTTATGACGTTCCATCTACCTAAAATTACCACCATCAACATTGTTGTAGCCCATCCAAGACCTACCGGTTTTGATTCTCTTGTGTGGGGCCCAGAAGTCCTTACATTAACAGGCTCTCCAGGTGATTCTTGTGCACACTAACATTTGAAAAGTGCTTTTATTGCACTTTTTATCATTGACTGGTTTGGGAAATATTTATCGAGTGTTCTCCAAATCAAGAAGCTCTTCTGAATCATCAGATTTGAATTTCTCCTGAGAAAGTACACTATCTAGCAGAGATGACAACTCATACAAATAACACTACTAAATGCTTTAAGTGGATATTTTAATAAGAAATTTAGACAAAGCAGAATGGACAATTACATGATACACAAATTATTTCCAACTAAAATGCATATTAAAACGTTATAGAGGAGTGGGATCAATTAGGACTTTGATAGATGAATGGGCTGTGGAACTACTGATGTAGGAAAAGGAAACAGCCAGTGATATGAAGACAGAAAACACAAAAATGTAAGGTGGGACCATTTGGTAAAGGTAGAGAATGGCAAGTTGTTGAATCTGGGTGAAGCATGTCTGCAAATTCTTATGGTTGAAAATAGAATTTAAAGAGAAGTTTGGGCTATGCCAGAGAGAGCTTTGAAAGAAAGTCTAACACCTGAATATTCTAAGTTAGTTTTCTGTGTTTTCAACTTAATCTCAGGAAAAAAAAAATGCTCTCAATGGACACACCTTGAAAGTTCCTCAAAGGCTTGCCATCTTTCTATCTGCAGTGCCTGCACAGTTCCTAGCACTCTAGAGAGGCTCGGTATACATTGTTGACTGAAGAAGCAAATCTTTTGTGTTTAGCTTCCAAATAAACTAACAGTAAACAGAAACTTTTAACTTTGTATTTGACTTCATACATTTGTTTGAAAAATTAAAACTCCCAAGAGAAGTCGATATGGTCCATTGCATCCAATTAGTGGGCATGGGATAGCAAAATAATGGGGTTTTGTTTAAATACTGAATTATTCTTTTGATTTATAAAAGTGTAGCTGTAATGACATACTTTTTGATAAACAAGAAAAATGTAACCATATGCTTTACATTTTTTATAAGGCTAATACTGTATTCTACCTCACCCATTGTGGGGAATAGGCTGTTACAATTTTGGTCGAATTCTGAAACTTTGGAACAAAAGAGAAGGTTGTAAGCTTTTCTAGGCCCCAGACCACATATATTTATCTCTCTGTCTCTCATAGTATCTTGCACATAATAGGCAATCAATAAATATTGTCTAATTGAATAAACCCCCAGGGAAGAGCTTGAGACAGTCCAGATTTTAGGAAGTTTTAAAGATATTATAAAATGATAATAATTATGATAAAAATTAAAATTTCTGGATTGAAAGGGATATATTTGCAGTAGTAGATGGGGTGAGGATTTTTATTACTATACAGGAAAAAATGCAGTCAGTTGTGCTGGGAAGTCAGAAGGTCAGCAGAATGACCCACGCACATCTACAAGCATAATTTTATTGTTGCTCTGGGATTTGGACATCAAATGGAGAGAGTAATAAAGCCTCATTTTGTGAGCACAGTACCTCCATCTTCAATGAGCTAGGGTAAGTGCAGTAATGCTCCCTTCCTTCTCAGGAAGAGGCCAGGTTACATCTAAGGCTTCAAGACAGAAAGCTAACAAGGACAGACCTGTTTTCTTCTTCTTCTTTCTCTCTTTTTCTGCAGCTGTGGCTCAGCAGTATAGAAAAGTTGTGGCTTTATTAACCCTGTATGAGTCTCCAGGGAGAATTTCTTTTCTTAGAGCTTCTAGAAGAAATGAAAATAAAAGTAATGACAGTCTCACCCACTTTTTTGTTATGAAAATTAAATAACGAGTAGCCACCTCAGCCTGTCAAGTTGCTAACAGGCAAATCTGTTCGCTACAATGGGGCTGGAATTTCATAGTCTTAAAAAGGAAATTATGGTTTTGGGGTAAAATGAACAAGTTCTTCCATGCACTTCCTTTTTTATTTTTTATCTTTTCTCTTCCAAAAATGATTGACAGCTCTATTAAATATCCCCTTGACTAACCACAAAGACAAATGTTTTATCAACAGAGATTGCTTATACAAGAAGACATTAAACCTTTGTCTACTAGGTTCTGCTGTCAGTTTGAATGAGGAAGGTAGCCGGCTTGTTAGAATCCAAGTCCCTTCCTCCTTTCTGTAGTCCCATTTCATATGGTGGGGCTAGCTAACTTTAGACCCTCAGATCTTTTCTTGGGGACTTCGAAGCAAGCATGAAGGGTAAAAACTGTCAGTTTGAATTGTTTGTAGGCTGTAATTTGAAACAGTGTGTCCTTTTAATGATTTGAAAACCATTTACAATGTAGTGGCATATGAGAATACTTTGAACTTACTAGAATTGAAACATGCCCTTTTCCCAATAATGTTCCGTATTACAATTTCCATATATAAAAGCCTATTTAATTCCCTATTATATGTCAAGGAGAATGCTAATAAATCATATAGTTTATTTTCTACTCTCCCACTTTCTTTATCTCTCTGTCTCATTTCCAGGATATCTTTTAAATACCTTTAAATATCATCTTTAATTAACTATCACCTCTTTACCACTCCTTTCCCCCAAAAAACTACCACCACCCAGAATATAAGTTCCAAGAGAGCAGAGATTTTGTCTGATTTGTTGACAGACAACTGCCTCCTCAGTGCATAGGACTGGACCCAATCCTTATTTCTTATAATAAGTGAAAGTATATTGCACAAATTATTCCTGTGTTATAGTGTGAAAGGCAAATACCTTGGGCCTCCAAAATTACTAAGCTAAAGGGAAAATTCAAGCTGGGGACTGGTCAAGGCAAATTGCCTCCCATTCTATTCAAAGTCATCCCTTTACTCCCTGAGATAGATGCATATTCTTATTGCCTCCTTTGGAAAGGCTTATCAAAAACTCAAAAGAATGCAACCACTTTTTTCTCACCTACCTGTGACCTGGATGCCCCCTCTCTGTTTCAAGTTGTCCCTGCCTTTCTGGACGGAACCAATTTATGTGTTACATACCTTGATTGATGTCTCACATCGCCCTAAAATGCATAAAACCAAGCTGTGTCCCAACCACCTTTGGCACATGTCATCAGGACTTGCTGGGGCTGTGTCATGGATGCGCATCCTCAACCTTGGCAAAATAAACTTTCTAAATTAACTGAGATCTGTCTCAAATTTTCAGAGTTCACATTAATAAGAAGCATGTAGGCTACACTACACCTTCATGAAGTCACACAACCACAGAGGCTGAACTGCATTCTGTGCCTGATGTGGGTTGCATCAACCTGGAAGAGAAAAGTATTCCTTTTTGTGATAGTCACAAAGATATCCTACTTCCTAGCAGCCCCTATGCTGGACACTCTCTGAGCTGAAGTGATTAGCAGTTTTCTAGCCCTACAAACATTGGGCCAATGGAGCAAAACAAGTTCTGTCTGCCTCCAGTGATGGCCCTTCCATTATATTAAAAGCTAAGTGTTTGCTTTTGTGTCAATGACTTGTACTCAATTCAGAGGTGTATAGTTGTGAAAATTATGGCAGTTTTCTTTGAGAAACAAATCAAAGCTATTAATTCTCCATACATACACACACACAAACACACAAACACATACATAATTATGTATACAATTTTTAAGCATTCACAACAGAACCTAAAGCAAAGATTAAGAATTCTTGCCTTTGTATAACCATTGCTGTTGCCGGTTTGGGACCAGTATGGAGATTACATTAGAGTAGCTCCTTTTTCTGATACATAGGTATGCTTTATATGTAATGTAGAATCTGCAAACAAGCTTATTTTTCTCACCAGCTGCAGAAGTGTCACAAGTCAGTGTTCTAGAGTTCTAGCACTCCCTTGTCCACTGATGAGGTTCCAATACTCCTTCCCTCCCAAGCTGAGCACCAAGTGCTCTGGTCAATTATATTCATCTGCACATTGCCAGTTTTTAGGAGTCCCTCCTTTTGACTAAGAAGGCATGGATATCCATGATGTCAGCATTCTGACAGTTGGTCCCAAATATAGATAAACAGTGTAGTTGATTAATTATTAAATGGAGATTATGTATGGGGTTCTTAGCTTTAAATCTCAGTAGAGTTTTTTAGTATTTGTAAATAAAATATATTCATGAGTTGTATCATCTCTTAGAACTGAACTTTATATTTTTATACCTAAAAATCTAAATTAATACAATTGTAACAAACTTTTAAAAATTAGAAAACATTTATAAGCAGGGCTTGAGATCCTAAGAGCTGATGTACTAATCTAATAATTGGTCAGGAGTACCTCTAACCAAGGAGCTTATTTTTGACCTAGAAGAAAATTAAGGATGTTTTCTATAGAACCTCATAGTTCTACTACCATTGAGAAATATGCTTTAAGTGGTAAGGATGTCACTAAGAAAATCTTTACTGCCAAAGGACAAAATTACAGGTTTACTTATCTATGCAATTGGCTTTTATTCACAGTTCATGAATTTGGGCAGTCTCTGTTCCACAAAATTGAATGAGAGCACCCACTTGACAATGGCAGAACTGTGGATTTTGTTAAGGTGGAAACAAGAAAACAGAACAATAGAAAAAAACTGATTAACTGATTGCTTAACATCAGGTTTGCTCAGGTTACTTTCTTTGTAAGGGTTAGAGTGGAGTGGACATCCTATTACACTGACTCAGTGGAATCCTCTATTTTTAGGAAAAGAAAACCCTCTGGAATCCTCTATTTTTAGGAAAAGAAAAAGTTCTGTTTTCAGATCTATCTGCTTCCTTCAAGTTTCAGTTTTATTTTGTGGCATATGGCCTGAGTGACTTCAATTTGGTTTAGTCTGGTCTGTTAAGGTCTATTGCAGGAGCTCAGTCCAAAACAGTGGTCTTCCACAATTTTTATTTAACATAACTTAATAATTCAGTGGAGATCTACCAGTTGAATTTTATGTAATGTCTTTGTGAAACTTTTTTTTTTTAATGTAAAAAGAGAAGTAGAGCAAGATTTTCTTGCATAATAAATTTGTGTTAGATTCAAGATAAAGTATTACTTTCACAGTGGCATTTCCTGGATAGCTTCATTATACCCAGATGTGAAGACCGTGTCCTGGACAATAGTTACTTAATTTGCTTACATCTTGAATGGCTCATGGATTTTTCACCTCGTTTTTAAATTTCCGAAAAGCAAAGCTGTAATGTGATACATAAATGAAATGAGAATATGATATTTAGCAAGGTGTGTTCTTCTTTTTTTTTTTTTCTTTTTTTTTTAATTTTTTTTTTTATTATACTTTCAGTTTTAGGGTACATGTGCACATTGTGCAGGTTAGTTACATATGTATACATGTGCCATGCTGGTGTGCTGCACCCACTAACTGGTCATCTAGCATTAGGTATATCTCCCAATGCTACCCCTTCCCCCTCCCCCCACCCCACAACAGTCCCCAGAGTGTGATATTCCCCTTCCTGTGTCCATGTGATCTCATTGTTCAATTCCCACCTATGAGTGAGAATATGCGGTGTTTGGTTTTTTGTTCTTGCGATAGTTTACTGAGAATGATGATTTCCAATTTCATCCATGTCCCTACAAAGGACGTGAACTCATCATTTTTTATGGCTGCATAGTATTCCATGGTGTATATGTGCCACATTTTCTTAATCCAGTCTATCATTGTTGGACATTTGGGTTGGTTCCAAGTCTTTGCGATTGTGAATAATGCTGCAATAAACATACGTGTGCATGTGTCTTTATAGCAGCATGATTTATAGTCCTTTGGGTATATACCCAGTAATGGGATGGCTGGGTCAAATGGTATTTCTAGTTCTAGATCCCTGAGGAATCGCCACACTGACTTCCACAATGGTTGAACTAGTTTACAGTCCCACCAACAGTGTAAAAGTGTTCCTATTTCTCCACATCCTCTCCAGCACCTGTTGTTTCCTGACTTTTTAATGATCGCCATTCTAACTAGTGTGAGATGGTATCTCATTGTGGTTTTGATTTGCATTTCTCTGATGGCCAGTGATGATGAGCATTTTTTCATGTGTTTTTTGGCTGCATAAATGTCTTCTTTTGAGAAGTGTCTGTTCATGTCCTTCGCCCACTTTTTGATGGGGTTGTTTGTTTTTTTCTTGTAAATTTGTTTGAGTTCATTGTAGATTCTGGATATTAGCCCTTTGTCAGATGAGTAGGTTGCGAAAATTTTCTCCCATTCTGTAGGTTGCCTGTTCACTCTGATGGTACTTTCTTTTGCTGTGCAGAAGCTCTTTAGTTTAATTAGATCCCATTTGTCAATTTTGTCCTTTGTTGCCATTGCTTTTGGTGTTTTAGACATGAAGTCCTTGCCCATGCCTATGTCCTGAATGGTAATGCCTAGGTTTTCCTCTAGGGTTTTTATGGTTTTAGGTCTAATGTTTAAGTCTTTAATCCATCTTGAATTGATTTTTGTATAAGGTGTAAGGAAGGGATCCAGTTTCAGCTTTCTACATATGGCTAGCCAGTTTTCCCAGCACCATTTATTAAATAGGGAATCCTTTCCCCATTGCTTGTTTTTCTCAGGTTTGTCAAAGATCAGATAGTTGTAGATATGCGGCGTTATTTCTGAGGGCTCTGTTCTGTTCCATTGATCTATATCTCTGTTTTGGTACCAGTACCATGCTGTTTTGGTTACTGTAGCCTTGTAGTATAGTTTGAAGTCAGGTAGTGTGATGCCTCCAGCTTTGTTCTTTTGGCTTAGGATTGCCTTGGCGACGTGGGCTCTTTTTTGGTTCCATATGAACTTTAAAGTAGTTTTTTCCAATTCTGTGAAGAAAGTCACTGGTAGCTTTATGGGGATGGCATTGAATCTATAAATTACCTTGGGCAGTATGGCCATTTTCACGATATTGATTCTTCCTACCTATGAGCATGGAAAGTTCTTCCATTTGTTTGTATCCTCTTTTATTTCATTGAGCAGTGGTTTGTAGTTCTCCTTGAAGAGGTCCTTCACATCCCTTGTAAGTTGGATTCCTAGGTATTTTATTCTCTTTGAAGCAATTGTGAATGGGAGTTCACTCATGATTTGGCTCTCTGTTTGTCTGTTATTGGTGTATAAGAATGCTTGTGATTTTAGTACATTGATTTTGTATCCTGAGACTTTGCTGAAGTTGCTTATCAGCTTAAGGAGATTTTGGGCTGAGACAATGGGGTTTTCTAGATATACAATCATGTCGTCTGCACACAGGGACAATTTGACTTCTTCTTTTCCTAATTGAATACCCTTTATTTCCTTCTCCTGCCTAATTGCCCTGGCCAGAACTTCCAACACTATGTTGAATAGGAGTGATGAGAGAGGGCATCCCTGTCTTGTGCCAGTTTTCAAAGGGAATGCTTCCAGTTTTTGCCCATTCAGTATGATATTGGCTGTGGGTTTGTCATAGATAGCTCTTATTATTTTGAAATACGTCCCATCAATACCTAATTTATTGAGAGTTTTTAGCATGAAGGGTTGTTGAATTTTGTCAAAGGCTTTTTCTGCATCTATTGAGATAATCATGTGGTTTTTGTCTTTGGTTCTGTTTATATGCTGGATTACATTTATTGATTTGTGTATGTTGAACCAGCCTTGCATCCCAGGGATGAAGCCCACTTGATCATGGTGGATAAGCTTTTTGATGTGCTGCTGGATCCGTTTTGCCAGTATTTTATTGAGGATTTTTGCATCAATGTTCATCAAGGATATTGGTCTAAAATTCTCTTTTTTTGTTGTGTCTCTGCCCGGCTTTGGTATCAGAATGATTCTGGCCTCATAAAATGAGTTAGGGAGGATTCCCTCTTTTTCTATTGATTGGAATAGTTTCAGAAGGAATGGTACCAGTTCCTTCTTGTACCTCTGATAGAATTCGGCTGTGAATCCATCTGGTCCTGGACTCTTTTTGTTGGTAAACTATTGATTATTGCCACAATTTCAGATCCTGTTATTGGTCTATTCAGAGATTCAACCTCTTCCTAGGGGTGTCTTCTTCTTACAACTGTAATGATTATATGTCTTTGCTCATTTGCTATATAAATCTTGATTGCATTTCCACTCTGAATCTTGACACAGTGACTTGTATTTCAATGCATTCTTAAGCATTTAAAAAAAAGGCAATTTAAAAACAAAAATCTGTTTTTGGTTCTTGAATAAAAAGCACCGTAATTGTAATTAGGGACAACAGCTGATTTGGTTTTCTTATTAAAGTGATAGATAAATACTGTAACTAAATTGTTGGCTCTTAAATGAAGTATAATAATCACTGTCAGCAGAAGAGCTTCTCTTATAGATATGAATACATTCTGCCCCATAAAACCAAAAATTAATTTTGCTTCTATCACTTTCTTAATTATTTATTATACAGAGCATATTAAAGCCATGCTCTATGAGATAAGAGTTAACATTGCTTGCATTCTTTGGCCCCAAAGAATTCTCCTTTTCTACCAATGCATAATAACTCAGATAACAGAAAGTCAGTTAATTAGAGTATTAAGGAGAAGCCTAGGAGTTAATTGATTGAGAATGGCTGTTATTTAGTCCCTGTACTTGGGTAGTGAGCAGCATGTAGCATCTAGAATTATTCTTTGTGGGGTTTTTTTTTGACAGGGTATCACTCTGTTGCCCAGGCTGGAGTGCAGTGGTGCAATCTTGGCTCAGCACAACCTCCACCTTGTGGGTTCAAGAGGTTCTCCTGCCTCAGCCTCCCAAGTAGCTGGGATTACAGGCACGTGTCACCACATCCAGCTAATTTTTGTATTTTTAGTAGAACGGGTTTTCACCATGTTGGCCAGGCTGGCTTATTCTTTGTTAATGTGCTGATTTTGTTTTTTTCTAATATGTAAAGTGGTAGCTTGCCCATATAAAGATGAAATAACCATAGGAACAATCTCCTCTGGCTTTAGTGTAATTTCTCACTAATTTAAAAGTGATATCCAAAAACGTAGTGCAATCACTGGTATGTAGACACTGTACCACAAAGTGCTTTGCATGTCTTGATTCTGATTGAGACCCCTTTTCCTATAACAGGCCTTTGGGAATATCATGGGGTCATTGATTTTCAGTTTGCTTTTACAGCAAGATTCCTCATGCTCACAAAGAGGGAATTGAGTTCTGCGCCCTTTGGTAATTTGATTTTTTTTGCGTTTGGATTTGAGGGCAGGGGAATACATGGGAATGTACTTAGTTTCAATCAATATCTACTGCTTATTCAACATGATAAGGTAAGGGTTGGTCACAATTAAGCTGTAGGATGCTAGAATCTTCCCAAATTCTGATATATGAGCGACTGGAGGAAAAATGAGTAAAGGTATAATTAACCCCACATCTTAGAGTTTCTTGGTGGAGATCAAATGGGAACTAAGAAAACATCTGTGGTATCATTGACTTTGCTTTCTCCAACGCCTGCATTCTCTATACCTACATATATGCAGTCACAGCTTTCTGGGCAATGTGTAGCATACACATCATTCCAGATAGCAGACAACCTCAGCAAAGAAATATAGCTGCAGAGAATAAATTTTGAACACTCCTGCAGCTGAAAAGATATTTATCACAGCGATACACTGTTAGAGCACTGGAGATTCAAGTCAGATACACTCTGCTTATTTGCATCCCAGAAGGCAGAGCCCACTCAGAGCCTCCCAGCCCACAGCTGTTTCAGAGGACTACTTTTCTGCTTCTGAGTGCAGAGGGGGCCATCTGCACTGCTTGAGGTTTACTTGTGGGCACATTCAGTACTCTGCTACAGGATTTTTAATTAAGTGAAAGCTAGCTAAAGGAATGTTCAGTTATTGAAACTAGACATTAGGAAAAACAAAATCAAAGAAAATGCACATTTTAAAATTATTACTGGATGACTCCTGTTGTGCAATGATACCCTAGATACAGGCCCAATATTTTGAATCAGCCACTATAAGAACAAGATCAATTGCATAAGGAAAAAAACATTCGTTCTGTATTAAGAATCCACATGTTCTCACTCATAGGTGGGAATTGAACAATGAGAACACATGGACACAGGAAGGGGAACATCACACACTGGGGCCTGTTGTGGGGTGGGGGGAGGGGGAAGGGATAGCATTAGGAGATATACCTAATGTTAAATGACGAGTTAATGGGTGCAGCACACCAGCATGGCACATGTATACATATGTAACTAACCTGCACGTTGTGCACATGTACCCTAAAACTTAAAGTGTAATAATAAAAAAAAAGAATGGGAGCAAATCATTATGTTTATACAAAGTAGACCAATCATTGTGCTATAGGGTCTTATTCATAAAACATGTGTTTGATAATTTAAGGTAAAATGCTTTCACGATAATACAGTGCCCTGGAAAGTGGAATGCACCACATAGTTTACTTTTGATTTTGCTATAGATGTTTTTCTAAGTAGTTCAATTAAAATAATTTTATCCACTTATGATTTAAGTTCATGTAAGTACAAATCCATGGATAGAATGGCATAATACAAACTCGCATCTATATCCAAGTATCTTAGAAGGTATTTCATAATTTTGTTTCTTAATGAATTTGCCAGCTCTCCACTCTGCTCTGTGATCTACCTTCAGAATATTCTCTCCCTGCACTTCTTAGTCTTCCTGCTTGTCTGGGATTTTGGTGGTTGTCTTATGGATGAAACGTCTGTTGTTTAAGTTTTCTTTCAACAGTAATAAGAGCTATTCAAAGGAGAGTTTGGATAAATATCTAATAAATAAATTGAAGTGTAATACTTATTTCTTATTAATCACAATGTTTTAATAATACAAATACTCTTAATCACAACCCCTTTTTCAGGCTTCCACGGTGAGTAAAATTGAAAAAATCTCTATGCCTAGTCTTATATTACCTCTGAGGCAGCCAAGGTGAATTTTCCTTCCATTCTAAAATAAAACAGAGAGAGAGAAAGAAAAGAAAGAAGGAAGGAAGTAAAGGTGGGAGGGAGGGAGGGAGGAAAGAAGGAAGGAAGGAAGGAGGGAAGGAAGGAAGGAAGGAAGGAAGGAAGGAAGGAAGGAAGGAAAGAAGGAAAGAAGGAAGGAAGTTAGGTTGGGAGGGAGGGAGAGAGGGAGGAACATCAGGAGGGAGGGACATCAGAAGGGAGGGACATCAGGAGGGAGGGACATCAGGAGGGAGGGACATCAGAAGGGAGGAAAAAATGGAGAATTGCTGTCAGATTTACTTTGTGTAAATAATCCACAATGTTGACAAGGAAAGATTTCATTAAAACATAGGATTTGGAGTCCAAAAATTTGAATCAGTAGCCTTGGCTCATATATGTGCCTAGAATTGAGCAGTATATACTGAACTTAGTAATCAACTAAATCACTATTTTTTCACAGATTTTTTTTTCTTGAACTGCAACTTCAAACCTGTATAATAACCTTACCTTTCAGAAGATTTATTAGGTACTTTTGTTTGCATTTAATATTGTTCTCTAACACTTACCATCACCTTTACCACTAAAACCACTTGCCCTATGACTACTATAGGTCCCATTTGCATCACTAATGAGGTGAGTCTACCAGCAATCAGAATTTAAAATGTTGGCGATGTTCCTATCTCCCACTGCCACCTACATGACATTGCTGCAATCCTTGCTTTATAGTACTACTTGAGTATATACATTCTTGCCTATTTCCACTGCCCTCAGCCCAATGCATGAACCGCATCCCTCATGAAAATAGAAATTATAATATTATAATAGTTTTCCAAAATGTGTTTATATCTCCAGTTTCTTCTGGGCATATAACAGCCAATGTGTTTTCATTTCTAAGATTTTTTTTTTTAACTTGTGGCCTTCCCATACCCTAGTATGCATAGGTTAATGGATGATTTTCCTTCTCCTACTCTACAGATATATGTCACAGCTAGAAAAGAGGAGAATGAAAGTAATTGTTTTGTTTTATTTTTCCAAAACAGACTGTAGAAATTAATGGCAGAAACAATATAATTTTTAAAATTTTGATTTATCAATTTCAGAAGAAAGCCTACCTTTTCCCTCAAAATAATTAATATTCTATGGCCTGGGAGAAGGGCATGTTGAAGAAAGGGGGATGAATGATACAGGTTAGTGTGGGGCCTGGATGAAAGGCCAGGAATGTATGCTCTGAGGTAGGCATCACATTTTAATTTATTTGCCAAGTGGATACCAATTATTTAAGCATCATTTATTAATGAATCCATGCTTTTCTCAATAATCTTTAACACTAGTTTGGCAACTTTATAAATGAATTTTCCATATAGTTATGGCTCCTTCAAGGGCTCTTATTCTATAGCTTTGGCTTAAGTGTTAATCTCATGCTCTATTAATACTTTGTGCTCTTTGATAAGACAAGTCTTTCTACCTGGTTAATTTTCTTAACAATTCTTTGTTCCTTGCTCTCTGCTATAAATTATAGAGTGAATTTGTTGATTTTATGAAAACAAGCAAACATAAGGATCAATTTAGATTGACTGTTATAACATTAAAATGTATAGATTCTTCTGGGAGCATATTATATCTTTATTTAAATTTTCTTTCATTTTTATTAATAAAGTATTATACTTTTGTCCATTTCAGTCTTGCATCTTAGATTTATTTCTGGAACTTTGTATATTTTATTCAAATTCACATTATTAAGAGTCTTAAAATTATATTTTCTAGCTATTTATTCTAGTGAATGTGCAATTGCTTTTTGTGTGTATATATACATATATTTCATATCATGTAACTTTGTTGAACTTTTACTAGTTATCATATTTGATCTGCAGATTCCAATGTTTGCCATTATGATTATTCACAAATATTCCAGTCACTGGGACCATCTGGAGGGCTGCATTTTCTCATCCATTTGATGTTAGGCATATTCCTGACTTGCTTTGGTCAGTGAAATAAAATGTGAGTGGAAATTACACTTGTCACTTCTGGGTGGAAAAATGTAATTGCTGGTGATCAATTTTAATTTTCATTCTCACTCTCAAGATAATGATGAAATCATGTGTCTCAATTGGGCCACCATCATCTGCAGTCCTTGAGAGAATTCAGTGAGGAATTCCCTATTCACTTTTGTTAGAATGTAGTGTGAACAGAAGATAGGTTTTTACTATTTTAAATTTCTGGAATTTAATGTGTCTTCATTATCACAGGATAATGTAACCCATTTAAACTAATACCATTCAGCTGAAATTTTCCATACACAATTGTGACTAAAGGGAAATATCAATTTAATGTCTTCCTTTTCTATAGTCATATTTCTATTGATTTTTCTTGCCATAAAGCAACAGCCAAGACCTCTAATATGTTAGTAACGAAGTGAGGGTATAAGAAGTGTGTTTGTCATACTTCTAATTATAAAGAAAACACTTTACGTTTTAGTATGAGGTTTGCCTTGGGCAATTTTGTAGACACCTCTTATCAGATGAGAACTTTTCCTCTTTCACTTCAAATTTGCTAAAAAGGAGTTTAGGATTTTTAAAAAATCATCAGTGCGTTGTTGAATTCTATCAAATGCCTTTTCTATATCTACTGACTTGAAGACATAATTTTTCTCGATTAATCCTTTAATGTGGTAAATTATATTATTTTATTTTTTAATATTAAATCAAATTTACATTTATCAGCTTAACTCAACTTTAGCATCTTTTAAAATGTACTGCCAGTTTCCGTTCATTAACATTTTCTTTATAATTTTGACATTTAGGTTTTTGATCAAGATTGGACTATAATGTTTTTTCCTCTCTTTTTCTTGAAAGGTTCAGGTATCAAGATTTGAAAATGAGTTAGAAAGTATTCCCTCTTTGTCTAATTCTGCAGAAGTATATTGATTGAGCTGTGTGTTCCATGTTTATGTAATTTATAAATGAATAAATATTTACATATTGGGGAGTATACTTAATTTTTTAATGATGAATAGATGTCAAAACAGTTTGGGGATTATATAGATATATGATCTATATATATGGTGTGTGTATATATATCATCTATATGGTGTGTGTGCATATAATCTATAATGTGGTGTGTATGTATATGATCTATAAATGTGGTGTGTATGTATATGATCTATAAATGTGTATGTATATATATAGATCTATAATATGGTGTGTATGCCTATGATCTATAAATATGGTGTTTGTATATATAATCTATAAATATGATGTGTATGTATATGATCTATAAATATGGTGTGTATGTATATGATCTATAAATATGGTGTATATATACGATCTATATGTATGATGTGTATGTATGTGATCTATAAATATGGTGTGTATGTATATGATCTATATATGGTGTGTGTATATACAATATCTGATGTGTATATATATCACCTATATATAGTGTGTATATAGATAATAATATGTATGGTGTGTATATAGATGATCTGTATATGTTATACACATGATCTATATGTGTTATATAAGATCTATAGATGTAATATATGATCGACACATGATATAAATGTGATCTATATATGGAATTTATAGAATCTATATATATGGTATAGATTCTTTAGTTTCTAATTGAGGCTCTGTAGAGTTCAAACTTAGGCCCTTGTTGCAAATCTTGAGCCTAAGAAAAAATGCTGCTCTCGATTTTTATTAGCTATATTTCTTCTTTTTTCATAAATTTATAAAATTTATATTTTGAATTCATAAGAGAACTTGTATGGTCTGTGTTAAATCTTATCCTTTTCCCTATAAATTATTTTAGGCTCAAAATGGTTGAGTTAGTTCTCTAAGGTCATATGAACAAGAATTCATCCTGTAAATTCTGTCGTTTTAGAAATTATTTCTGGTTCCTCTATCCAGTCTCCGAGGGCAAGAAGGCATCCCACCCAGGCACTGTTACAACACACTAAATTAAACTCATCCCCACTCACAATACATGACCACCTCAGAAAACATATAATATTTATTACAGTTCATTGTTTATGTGTGTAGAATATACAAGGCATGTTCTACACACAGAATAAATAGTTGTGGATTAGATCCACTGTTGAATGAGTATCTTCCATTAGATTGTGTACTTCCTGAAGACAGATTTAACACACAAAAAGGTACTCAACAAATGAATATTAAATTTAGAAATGCATGGAATAAGCCAGTTTAAAACCAACCCAGTGATTTTTTTCTGCTCTATTTTGCTACTTTGTAGACAACGTAAATTTGTAAAAATAGATATATTAAACAATTTGTAATGTTTTTCTGAAATGAAACCAATTATGCAGAAGACATTAATTTAAAAAATTCCTAAGGAGACTTTTCTCTGAAAATAGTCTGTTTTAAAGCACTGCCTTAGGGATTGCAACACAGAATGTTCACAATAAAATGCAGGACAATGTAGCTTCTATGTATTTCTCACATAATCAAAAGAGTCACCTTATTGTGTGTGCGTGTGTATGGATGGATAAATAATTTAAAGGATTTTCAAAATATAATCAAAAGTGACATGTGGTTCCATAGTTAGGGACCATGAGACATGCAAAAAACAAAAGTTTATTTTTGTCTTTAATTTAGCATTAATAAATTAAGAACACAACCAAACATATTATATTTTAAAGTTAAGCCTTTAAGTAATTAGAGATTATAATATGCTTTTTGAAATTTATCTATCAATGCATTTTCAGAATTCCTATTATGTTTTAAGGATTCGAATGTAATTGAGATGGCACTCCAAAATTTTTTAATTCGCACTTTACAGAAGACACTAATGCCAACAAATTTCCTGTATCAGGTTGTGATCCTTCCAGTTATCACCAAGTTATTAGTCAAATCATGTAGAGATTTTCTAGGGAAGTGGGAGCATTATGTGTCCAGACTCAGTGTCAGAAGAACCCTTGGGAAGCTGGAGACAAAATATGATGCAGTAATATTTGAACTTCTTTGTATTCTAAGCTGAGGAGTTTATATTTTATTCAAGAAGTGATAGAAGTGGCAAGAATAATATGAATTTATATTGTTAATTATATGATTTTGGTAGAGCATATAGTTAAGAGAGGCAGTATTGGGCAATGGATAAGAACGTGAACCCTTTAATCAGATTTCATGATACATACTCAATTCAAGTACATATACACTCCATCACCCTGAGCAAGTTTCACATCTCAGTTTCCTCATCTCCAAACAAGGACAACTACTTCCTTTGTTGGTTTTGGAGACTGGATGAGTTAACATATGTATAGGATTTACAATGCCGGACATTTTGAAGCAATGTATGATTGTTAGCTTTATCATTACTATTTTACCATTTTTGTTGTTACTACTGAAGGCATAATATTTAAATTGAATTAACAGTAAGCTGCAGAGTTGTGGAGGAGTAAATGGAGAAGCAAAATTTTATCTTAAGAAAAAATTGCTTGGAATACTAAGCAGAGATGTTCATTATATTAACTCCTTGTCTTCTTTTCCCAGCTCATCAAATTGGTTCCAGACATAACTCTTGTTAAAGAAAGATGTTGGAAAAAATGTGACTGGAATAGGAAGTCTGGAATTTGGGTTATTAATATTTGGAATACACAAAAAATATGACATTATAGTAGCAACTTCTCCTGAGAAGTTCTTTTATTTCCTCTTATCAAAGAGATGTGAGAATTATATTATAAGAGGAGAATATTATTGAAGGAAGTTTATTTGGAAAATTAACACGGTAAAATATTTGTGAAAGGCTCTCTCTCTGTTTCTCAGGTGGCTTTGGTCTTAATTAGTATTCAACTCCTTTGCGATGACAGGCAACACATTCCTTCAAAGAGTCCAAAAAGAGTTGCTGTCAAATCTTACATCATACATCATTGTTGGTGGTGAGAGCATCATGGGCTAAATCGTTCTAAGTATGCAAAACAACCAGATTCCTTTTCTGTAAGATCATTCCACAGCACTGTGGAACATGGACAGGAATTAGTAGACATTGAGACAGAGTAATCCAGATAAGATGTCCAGTTATCTAAGGCAGGAGGTGGTAAAGTTATGGATCATATAAGTGGAGAGGAAGAAACACCTGAGGAGAGTCCATGTGCTGGGTTGTTGACTACATGTGAAAGATAAGGGAAGTATACTGCATAGATGTTGACAATGTTATTTTTTCTTGAGAGTTCAGAGGTTGGGGGTGTTACTTGGGTTAAGAATATTAGATGAGTATTTGACATTTTAAGTTTATGTTGTCTGCAGCTGGACCTATTTATATTTAACTGGAAATACATTAGAGTTTCAGAAAATAAATAGTGTATGGAAGTTTCATAAACTTGGTGCCAAATGTATAAATGGATAAAACTGTCCAGAGAAAAAACTCACAGAATGACAAAAGAAAGAGGGGAAGAACGACAGCAACCTGGAAAACTTCAAGGTTCGAAGGGAAGATGAAAAAGGTAATGAGAAAAACAGTAATGCAGATCTTCCACTAATTCCATCTTCCTTCATCCTTCCCTTATATACTGTTGCTCACAGAGTTCCATGCTCAATTCACTGTTCTTTGACATGTACACCTACCTCTTAAGCTCAGAGGCAAAATGACCAACAGCCTACTAGACATTTCCACTTTAATACTTCACAGGCAATATAAACTTCCAGTATCTTAAAAGGAGCTCATCACTTTACCCTATTAAATCAGATATGCCTTTTGTGTCTTCTCTTTTAGTAAAGGGCACCAGCATTCACCCAGAGGCTCAAGTCTAAACAAAGCTCTGGATCTTTCTAGGAGATTTTCACTTGCTCATTTTCCAACTCTAATTAGGTTCACTGCATCCTGGAAATTTTAAACCTATTAGAAGATGCAAATCCAACCTTCCTCATAATTACCACAATCACTTTCTCTTGAGTTAGGCTTTCATATTTTGTTAACCTGGTTGCTGAATGACTTCTTAGTTGATTGTTCTCCAGCTTCACCTCCCTCTCGTTGCTCCTGTGATTGATCTGTAAATAAAGATTTGTTTGTATTATTGCCCTGCTTGAAACTCAGTAACAAATTCTCATTGATACAATTCAAATTCTTTGGAATTGATCATAATAATGTTTTAAGATTTGGGCCTTGGCTGCCTATTGAGCTTCATCTAAATATGAAATCCCTAATTTATACTATGCTGGCTTGGATTTCAGATCGATCTGACATAACCAACCATGTATGTGTCTTTGATTACTTGAAATGTCTAAATCAGTGGTCAGTGAACTGCAAATTTTAGCCTGCAGGCCAAATCCAGGCTGCCACTGGCTTCCGTAAATGAGAATTTTTTTTTTTTGTAATACAGCCACAGCCTCTTCATTTACATATTATCTGTGACTGCTTTCACACTCTATGGCAAATTGAAAAATTGTGATAGACACCATTTGGCCCCCAAATCCTATGATAATTACTTTCTGGCCCTGTACTGAAATTGCATCCCTACCTCTTGTCTAAATCAATGCTATAAATACTAGAGACACTTGATCCATAACAGGATTCGAGAAGGCAGGAAATGTTGTTTTTATAGGGTGCTACTCCTCAACTTCATAAAGTCCATTAAAAAATTCAAGACAAAAATCCAAGTCCAAGGAAAAAAATGCTTTAATTGGTATTTATTAAAGGTATACACTTACTCTGTTGAGCTCCATAGTGGAGAATTTTCAGTGAAATGATGTAACAGAGACATTGTGCACCACATTACCTTCTTAAAAGCATCACAGTCTATAGAATCTGACTAAGGTGCACATTATTCTGTTGTGGCCCACCCACACAGCTTTAGAAATATCAGGCAAATCAGAAACATACTTATCTATTTTCATTTGGGAGTTTTCTACTCTGATTAATTAAAGAAGTGCAGAGCACTAAATTATGCTATCCTCACAAGGTACTTATTTGTTGATTCATTAAGCAAATATTTACTGGGTGGCTGCTGTGTGTGAGTCAGGCACTGTTCTGGACTGATTCTGAATGAATCAGTCCCTAAATCTAGCAGCCTTTAAGAAGTTAGTATTAAATATCTCCTACTATGCTGTGCCTCTTGTGGAGAGCTCAGATGGCTCAGAAATTAGTTGAGAAATTTAAAAATACCTTTTGCTAAAATCTACTAGCCCACGTATTCTATAAATTAAAAGTCTATTTGTTTCTTACTTTTAAATTACAAATATACCTTTGAAAGAATTAAGATTAAAATTGAATCACAACCTAGAGTGTTTTGATTCAGTCAAGCAATTATATCTCAGCTGGTCACTTGGAAATACTAGTGATTTCACAATGCCAGTGTGAAGATTAGCCACATAAAATAAACTCAAGAAAGCGTAAAAGAACTAAACAGAAATGTATGAAGAGTATAATACCTAAAATTCATTTTAAAAACAAAAAGATGAAGTACATCTGAGGAATGAATTAGCAAGCTATAAGATCAGATTTAAAAAATAAATTTACCCTCAATAAAAAAGGAAAAAATAAAGAAATAGCAAAACACAGCTAAGATATAAAGAAGTTATAAATAATAATTCTGGCATGCAGCTAATCTAGAAAGAGAGAAAAATAAAAGGAACAAACACTTGAGTAAATAATGGAGACACATTTTCTATAATTTAAAAAAAGATGATATGCCACAATTTGAAAGTGCGTAGAAAGTGCCAACAAGGAGAGACACGTAGACATAATAATGAGATATGCTAATACTGTAGACACCAAGAAAATTTCTGAAGTTTAGAGACATTATAGATCATATTCAAAGGCAAAGATATTTTTTAAGATTATGCTACATGTAACATGCAACATAGTCTTCAAAGTATTGAAGGACCCTAAATGGTTACTTAAAACTACTCTCAAATTAAATGTCTCAGTCATGCAAGTCCTCAGAAATTTTTGTCTACATCACTGACAAAGGATTAGTATAAAAATGCATAAAATCTCTAACAAATAAAAAACCCAATAACCTAACTTTAAAATAAGTGAAAAAAATAAATATTTTATAGGAAAGAGCACGTTGACCAGAAAACAAACAAGATATGCCCAATATCACTTGTAATCAGGGAATTGCAAATCAATATTATGCAATTAGAAAAAAATAGATAAAATTTAAAAATTTAACAATGTCAAGAGGATGTAAAATTACATAGTTTATTATACATAGTTTCTAGGGATATAAATTTGTGCAACCACTTTGGATGATAATTTTAATTGATCTCTTATGTTTGACCATTTGCACATCCATAGACACAGCAATTTCATGTTGAAGTAAATACCAAAGAGAAAAACTTGCACATGTGCAAAAAGAGGTGTGTACAGGAATGTTCTCAGAATCACTGTTCACAATACTAACAGCTTAGAAACAACACAAGCATTCCTAAATGGGAGAGTCAAAGAGTGATGTGGTAGTTTTCTATTGCTGCTGCTACAAATTACTACAGACTTTGTGAGTTGAAACAATACAGATTTATTAATTTACTGTTCTGGGGGTTCAGAAGTCTGAGATAGTATCACTGTGTTAAAATCAAGGTGTCAGCAGGGCTGTGTTTTCAGAGATAAATCCTTTTTTAATTTTTTTGCTTTTTCAGCTTCTAGAAGTTTTCTATATTTTTTGATTCATTGTTCCCTTCCATATTAAAAGCCAGCAATGCCTAGTAGAGTCTTTCTCACATAGAATTACTCTGAAATGCTTCCTCTAGCCTCCCTCTTCCACTTGAAAGAATGCTTATGATTACACAGGGCTCATCCTGATAATCCAGGATAATGTCCATATCTACCCCCACCAATTCCATATACAACCTTAATTCTCCTTTGCCATGTAATTTAACCCATTCCTACATTCTGAGTATTAGGACCAGAACATCTTTCTTTTCCATAATCCTACCTCCCACAGTATGCAACCGTCAAAACAAATAAACAGCAGTGATGTGGCATCATCCAGATGAACCCTAGCAAGTAAGTGGAAATAGTCATCCTCAAAAGATTATACATATCATGATCTCCTTCTTATAAAGTAAAAGTTTAAAAGTTTATATACTTTACAAATGAAGAATTCTAGAAATGATAGGACCTATAGATGTGTTGTAGAAAGTGGTGAGTGGGGAGTGGAGACTGGGATGAGGCAGGTGAAATTTTGGAACACCTACAGTGGTGCCCCAGGTGTATCTTAGCTTGTAAGGAAACAGGTGTCTTGCTCCATCTGATAATTTTTAGCAGTGTGGATTTTAAATCCGCTGATGATTAGTGATATGAAAAATTTTCTACATCCCTCAAAAAATTTAAATCAGCATGTTTTTAAGTTAAAATACATATTTTTACTTTATATATGAAAGTCAATATGTTAAATAATTAATAGAAAAAATGAAAAAATGGATTGATGAATTTGAAACGCTTCTTTAGGTTTTCAGAAATGAACCATTAGCATCATCTTCCTGAGTGCTTACATCACACTTTGGTGTATTTTTCACTTAAACATCTACTGCAGAGATTAATGTGATTTAGACCTGAGTGAAGTTGTAGACTAGATTATAATTGACCTTTATTTGTAATTTAGTGCTTTCACTTTGGACAATGATACACAGGGGAGTATTTCCACATTGTGGTGTAAGAGGCAGGGCTACATGAAGCTATGTGCTAACCATCTCGTCAGAATATCATGATGTTCCATCTATACTAATTAGAATTACAAAAGCTGAGCAGGAAATCATTCATATGTAGAAGAAGCAGGATCTGTTTTTCACAGAGTGGATGTATTAATTCAATTTACTGGTCACTTGAGAGACATGGGCACCCCAAATTATTTTATAGTGCTTTGCATTCATATCATATATCATGCCTTGCAGTGTACTCTCAGATCCATTATCTTATTAGGAGTTTCTTCTGATCCTGTATGATGGGTTGAGAAAGCATTATTAGTTCCATTATACAGATGAATGCTGAGATATGACAAAATTAAATACCTCATTTGAGTTTAAACCTCATCATCATCTAATGGTAGAACCCATACCAAAATTTAAGTCTTCTGAATCCCAGCTATATAAGTAAGGTTGTTGCTATAAATGCCAAAATATATAATAGTTCAATATAACAGAAGTTTATTTATCATTCATATAAAGTCTAAAGTATGTGCTCATAACTGATGTGCAATTTCCTCCAAGTGTAATTCAAACACATAGGTTTTACCAGCAGCTTCCATAGTCACAGTCTTTGCCTGCATCAAGCCGTGTAAAAGGAAAGAACGTGGGATGTTTTTATAGGCCAGGCTCAGAAGTGGCATAATTTCTTCTCACATTTCATTAGTAAAACTCAGTCTAATGTCAAGAAAGGCTGGGAAATGTCATCTAGTTGTGTCTCCCGGGGAAGAAACAGTTCACAAGTTCAGTGAACAAGGCTGTTCCCACCACACTAGCAAAGCATTATTCCCACTATAACATGTTGCCAAGTAGGTACATCCATATCTATAGATATATTTATATCTAAATCCCCCTCCAAAGTCAGGAAACACTGATGATTGAGAAATATTTTCTCTGTAACAGGTCAAACGACCATGTTCAATGAGTGTTACGAATGTGTTTGTTGACACAGATCAAAGGGGAGGTTTTGAATAAGGAAACAAAGAAAATTCATGTCAACCTTACTGCAGTGGACTGAATGTATATGCTCTCCCAAATTTTACATGCTAAAATACTAGCCCCCAGTATAATGTTATTAGGAGGTAGGGAACTTGAGAGGCAATTAGGTTAGAAGGGCAAAGCCCTTATAAATGTGATTAGTGTCCTGATAAAAAAAAGACTCCAGAGAGATGCCTCACCCTTTCTGCCATGCCAGGTTACAGTGAGAAGACAGCCAGCTATGAAGAAGTGGGACCTGCATCAGACACCACATCTGCCTGTGCCTTGAACTTGGACTTTTCAGCCTCCATAACTGTGTGAAAAAAATTTCTGTTGTTTGTAAGCCACCCCATCTATGATAATTTGTTATAGCAGCCTGAACAAACTAAGGCACTAGCCATGGTTTGCATTGCAATGGCCACCTGAACAAAGATAGACATAGCACACACACCAATTTTTCAGGTGCAACAAATTAGTAAAAGTTAGTTAATGTGAAATATCTGGAAATGGAAAAGACTTCCTTATGATATTGTATTTAATAACAGTGTTTATTTTTATTAAATGCATTTTATGTACCAAGTATTGAGTCCAGTACTAAGCAGATGAAAATATATTATCTCCTGAGAGAGGTAAGTAGAGTATATTACTGTTATTTATGGTAGTTATGTTCTATAATGTTGTCATGAGTTATCAAACACTGAACCAATGCTCCTAGGGAAAATCCAGGGTTAGGTTCCTATGAGTCTCTGGTTATAACACTTTTACTAACCAATAAATACATAACCTTGTCTTATAAACATTTCTGTTTAAAGACATCTTATTTAATATAGAATATGGATTAATTAACATTGAATTCACAGCAAATAGCAGTATAACTCACATTGGAATAAAGCTTATCTAACACATTTTTCTGCATAAGGAATATCACAGCCGTCTTGTGCTTAGGAATACTAGATAGCACTTCAGCACTATGATTGGGGACCATTTTTAATTGGTGAAGACAGCAACAAATAACACAAAAATAGGTACATCATGGCACTAAATATATGATGAAAACTACAGTCGTTTGTAGTAGGAGAGCTGAAACAAGAAGGCAGAGAGTTGCCTTGTTTGACCCTCAGCTGGGGATGTACACATTAAGCAAGTCAAAGTTTTTGTTGCTCTGTGCATGATCACAAATGAACATGGAAGTACCAGGAGTATCAATTTTGTGGTTGCAGATAAGTTTTAGTGAGTAAGCAGATTCAAAATATAGAACTGGTGAATAAGGAGGATCAACTGTTCTATTTTTATACCCATTTTACAAATGCAGAAATTGAGGCTTAGAGAGGTCAAGTCACTTGCTAAAGTTGTATTATTGGTAAGGGGTCTGCTTAGCTCTTGAGGCTGTGAGTTTAATCAGAATGCCATTTCCTCATGGTCCCATAGGTAGGTTCAGGAACCAATGGCCTTCTATATGGGATCCCACTTGGGATGTTTGAAAATGGAGCCACTAAGCCAATTGACTTTTAAAATCCCTTGAAATCTTAAAATTCAGTTGTTTCAAGAGTGCTTCTCTTATTTGTGTAAATTATAGTACATTTGTGGCTAAAATTTTAACAATTTTCCTAACATGATAGCATATTTTTCTATAAGCTCTCAATATTTTAACTAGACTTCATTATGACTTATTTCTTTTGTAATATTTATTTACTTTTCACTATAACGTACAAACATTAAGTTTGAACTATTTTACTAAGCCTCTTTTACAAAATCTATACCAGGAATTTCTCTGGATTTTGTTGCTGTCATTTACTGAGAACCACAGACCCTATGGTTTGCTTTTCATTCATAGTACATATCTCTAGTGACCCTCTGGGAGTCATGCACAATCGCATGGTTAGCAATCACAAATACTAGGTTGATCTCTTTTTTTGGAACTCAATTTGACCTCAGCCCTCAAATACAGGTTTTGAAATTCTTCATTAGATATGACTTCTTGAAACATATTTTCAAACTTTAAGTACTCATATGAACTACCGTATTTCTAATCAGATAAACCCTCTTTCCACGAACCTGTCTACAAACTTTCTTACTGAGGAAATTATAACTTTGAAGGGAACTTCTTGAGTCAGGGAAGGAAGGGACAGGAATCGAATAGAAAAATGACACATCTCAAATACATATTTACTATACATTTTATACACAAACTTTCCAAATTCCTGCTTCTCCATGGTTATAGCAGTAGATATTTGGGGAAAATTTTTTAATAGACTGAGTTCTACCATGCAATGTAGGGGAAACCAAAAAGGACTTGCTTGTACAAGGTATAAATGTGTCCTCTTTGGCACATTTTTGAAACAATATAATTAGAATTTTTCCAGTGCAATAACCTGGCTCAATTTGATATTTTTATATGATAAAATCATTATCTTTTCTGATTCTCTGCCAGAATATTTTTTGGAAGAAATATATGGGTGACCTTTAGAACAAGTTTGCCCCAGTTAAATTATTTCATTGTTCTTGACTTTTCTTAAGCCATGCTTGAATGAATGAATATTTCATGAACAGCTGTAGCCACAATTATCTATAGTTCAGGGGCAATGTATAAAGAAAATAATACAGCAATCTGTGATGCTTTTAACCTCTTCACAAATTTGATTAAATCAGTGGATTGGATGAAGAACCCATGTATCTTTTCTTGTAAAATCAAAGGTCTGATCAAATCTCCTGCCACTGGCAGAGGTCATGCACAGGAATCTGTTCGCCAACCTTGGTTTCTGAGAGTATAGCAGACATCAGTGCATGTACTCAACCCACTCATCATTCTACACTGTAGAGTGTTGTACAGATCTCAGGTGCCCTTGCCTGTCTTTTTGCCCATCACTTTTCCAGACAGCCACCTCTTTAAGGGCTATCTCAGTTTTTTAACCTGCCATAACAGCACAGAAGCCTAAGTGCCATCAACCATCCTTGGGGGCAAAACATGATGCTCACCAGAACAGACTACAGTCTGGTTTCTGAGATGCTGCATTCTTATCGCCCTTATTGTCTAGTCAAGTAAACTTTTAGAGGCTTTTTGATTGAATACTTTCTTCAAATGGAATTTTTCATGGAAATCTATTATGTAAAACAGATAGGAGGTACTTGTTAAGCAACATAAAGTAGATAGAACCCAGTGTGGAACACCCAGATTTCCCTTGTACAGCTGCAACCTTGCACGTGGTACCTGAAACATTTCCATAGGCTCGCAGGACTTTACGGCATGTGGCTTAGATGCGTTGGCCTACTCCAGAGACTTGGGGTTGAGCATTTTTTCCTCTTTTTATCTTTAAATTCTCAGGCACTCTTCCTGATGTCCCAGACTTCTCTTCAGGCCAAGATCTAATGTGGATCCCTAATAACTTGGATAGAGCGCCCAGGCTTCTTGCATGGCCCCTCCCAATATGGGAGTATGCCACCAGGGCCTTAGAGCTGACTCCTCCTTCATGTTCTTCTTATTGTGTAACCCAGCTCATGTTCTATATGACATACATTGGGCTGAGCTGAGTTATGTGTGTAACAAGATCTGATTCCCTTCAGTCCTTCTTCAGTCCTTTGGGTTGTGGACCAGGGCCTCACATTGTGAATTTAAAATCACACAGAACTATAATGCAACCTTAAATGTCCTGCCACCAGCCCCCTCTCTACCTCATTAGACCTTGCAGGTTACTCATGTTGTTTTGCTTTTACTTTGATCCTTCCAGCTTGAACTCCACCAAAGGACACATTAGCTTCAAATGGATAGAAATAACCAATACATGTGAAGACAAAGATATCTAAATCAGATATAGTCTAAGCCTTGAGAACACTGCCTGAGACTACCGTTAAACCTTCATTCTCCACCCTAGTTTCACTTTGATTAGGTTATGATACTCTTTGTACCTGACCCAGAAGTTGTTTTAGCAATTCCTTAGGCCCCTTGCTCATGAAGTACTATTAAGCATTTTGTCACTGGCTACTAAAGTATGTGTCTAGGTGGCAGAACCCCTTTTGGGCTGCATTCTGCTTCATGAAATGGCATAACGGGCACTAATTTTACACAGTATGTCTGTTCATGTGGAGATGTTGTGACAAACCATACAACCTGGACAAGGCTACTTGATGCTGCAGGTGACCTCCCAGGAGATTGAGCTGCCTCTGGCTCTGCCCCATAACCAGAGGACTGAGAAGAATTAGATCTTGGTACACATATAATTCAGCTTTGCCCAATGATACTCTAATGATACGTTAGAGTATATGACATGGATAAACAGCAAAAAAAAAAAAAAAAAAAACAAGGAATAAAAAGGTGTCAGCTCTGGGGCCCTGGTGACATAGTCCCACATTGGGCTTAAGCAGTTGTGTTGAGGATACAGTAGGTATATGAAGGCAATTTATGTCCTGGTGAGATAACAATGGTGGGTCACTTGAGAGTATTCCTGGTAGTTACCTCTACCCTCATTTCAGAAACTCTCTTAAACTTTATAATACAGAAGAAGGCTGTCTATACACACACACATACACATACACATATATACAGGTGCACCTGTTTGTCTCTGAATAATATATTTACCTAATTAGTTAACATTTGGCATTTGCTATAGTTAATATGTTGAACACTGCTTTTTGTTCTGAACATCTGACCTTGAGGTTCAATCACTTTAACAGCACTCTTATTATTATTCATGAGATGCATTCAAGGTGAGTTTTTACTGAAAAATTGTTTTGGGGTCTGATTATGATGCAAAAACCCAGTTGACTACCCTCTAGTTCTGATGGCTTTGTCTTAGCTCTGAGAAGAGTAGCTGTTGATATTATGGCAATTAAAGCAACAGAAATTCCAGTAGTTGGGGTATGAAAAGAAACCAAATTTTTCCATTGAGGGGAACCCAATCAATGATGCATGACTTTAGAACCAAGAGTGAAAGGAGGACAGCCATAGAAGCATTTCTACCACCACATGGTGTTTGCCTGCTTCTGTGTACTAATTGTTATCAATAATTAAACACAGGTCTCTGATTCATATGCAGAGAGGCAGTGATTCTTAAATTAAACATTTTTGAATCATTATGGTACATTTTATAGGTTCAGCTAAACACAGCACTCTGGCTGATTATGATTAAACATACTGATGCTAAATTACATATTGATCCCATAAATATCAAGACATGCAGAGAAGCAATGAGAAGAATGCTTATAACTAGAAGCATTTAAATTTTAGATGATAATAGAGGCAGTTGTTAATGAAACATCAGGCAGAGGTTTGGGTTCTCCCAGTTGACTTTCTTCACATAGGAAATGTTTTATTTTTCCATTCATAATACTAAACATTAATTATAAATTGTACCTAATTTTCCAAAGTACATAATTATCAATAGTAGATTCAAATATCTTGAAAAATGAAAAGAATAAATAATTTGGGTTTCTCAGTATTTTCTTAGAACTTTAAACATGGTAACAACTTAAAATTGTTTTTACTTTCTTGAATGCTTATCAATAAAAGAGGCAGATAAACTGCTTTGCATTCATCAAATACAGAAACTGAAAGTTATTTTGAAAAGGACATAACATTGATTTTTTTAAATTGTGGTTCAGACTGGCCACTACCATGCTATGTGACCTTGTATCAAAATTCTTAACTAAACTGAGTATTTGTGCCTTCACCTAGATTTTTAAAAGGAGGGTTTAAAGATCTCTGAGGTCTCTAACAGCTATAAAATTATATGGTTCTCTTATACTATTAAAGTCTACAGCTATTTAAGAGGAAGCTGCATTAGTACAAAGGGAAACATATTGCTCATAGAATCTACAGGTTACACTTGATGATTGACTCATTTCCAGTCATTTCATCTGCAGATGCATTGACTGTTACAGACACTTTCACATTCTGCATCATCATCCTCAGTCCCAGCCATCAGATGATGCAACGTGTATAAAGGACTATCTCTCAATTATGAGTCATGAATTTAAAGGTGCGTGAGGAGACAATAAATAATGAGACATTTATATTAAAAGAAAAAGGGTACTCTTCTTTTAAAAATACATAAATGGATTGTTATTCTTATTGCAAATTTGCTAACTGCTTTGAAACATATCATGCCTTGATGTTAGCACATTGATTAAAAATATTGGGAAATTACAGTGTGTGAGATGCATCAAGAACAGAAAATCCCTTCTTAGAGCTTTTATCTTCAAGGAGTTCCAAACATTTTGCAGTAGATTTTTCAATTAGAGAATGAATGTTTGATTCATTTCTCTTCGTTTATTTCTCACTTTGGTTTGCTACCAGAATGCCTGTGCCAGATTAAAGACAAGTTCAACAGCAGAGTAACACAGCACATGATTTCAACAAGGTCAAAGGATTAACAAAAATGAATGCAGTTGTAATATCAACTCAATTTACTCAGTTTTATCAGGTTTCTACAGTATGGCCTCAGGGGACTTATCAATTCCTTCAACCACTATAGGATTCATTTTCTAGGGGTAACTTATTTTCTAGGGGTAAGTAAGCAACAAAAGAGAAAACTCTACTACTTTTCATGTTAGGCCTTAATATATTTGTCTATAAAATAAAATTATTAACACTATAATTAAGAGTAAGTTTTGCCAATTAATGGAATTAGGTTAATTTCATTTCATGTTACTTTCAGCATTGCATTTTATCCTTTTCTGTTTCATTTAGAGATAAATTATTGTGCCCACTGTCCTCAGTAGACGTTTCAAACTCCTTTTACTATCTAGTTGTAATAACAATGCTTAGGTTTTATGTTTTGGAAAGTTTTGCTTATGTACATGAAATGTTTATTCATTTTAGTTTGATGGAATTATCACAAATAAATATGTTAGGCTTCAACTTCAATGAAAGATTATTTTAGATTACTCATTTAGGGTCTTGAAGTAATCAAGACAACAGTGTAACACTTTTAATATATTGGTCTATAATGTATTGGTTAAAAAAAGATACTGCATATAAAATAAAAATTAAATGAAAATAACAGGAGTAAATTAAAAGCACAATAGGTTCTACATATACAAAAGTGGTCATGAATGGAATGTAAGTGCCATCTATACCAAATTTAGTGATGCAGTAAAATAAAAAGAATATATTTAAATAGAAAGAATATTTTTATTTTTCTAACGCTTTGCTTTAGAGTGAAATTCCCATGAATTTTCATTGACAAGAAGTCAATGAAAGCAAACATCATCACATCACCAGGGGCCATTGGAAAGATGCAAAGATTGGATGATTGTAATTAAATATACAGAGAACTGAGAGAAGAAAATGCATGTACATTCATGGCACGTGGAAAGATACAAACAAAGAACCACATTACACATGTGCTGCTGCCCAGGCAGGCAAGGAAACATTATTCATAAGCTCACAAAAGCCATTTGAAATGTAGAAATAGCCAAAATGCAAGACTGCATAGAGCAAGTACACTGTGATACACATACTCATGTACAGATGGGCTTTGGAAAGAGATAGAATTCTCAACAGCCTTTCCCATTTCAGAATGAATTTCTGAGTGGATGAGAATGTTATTAGCTTGTGGGTATCTACATAAAGGTACCTTTATCTGTATGGAGAATTAGTGCCAAGAATGACAGATAAGGAGTCCATGACAAGGAAACACTTTGGATATTGATCCTGAAACATGTTTAGGAAGAGTTACAAGAAACTCTGCAGTTCAAAGAATTTGGGCATATACCCTGTAATCATTTAGTAATCAGTTCTGAAGAAAACTCAATAACTTAGCATCCCTAGAGAAAAGGAAGTCACTTCAGCAGGTACTTCATTTACTGTGTGTCGTGCTTCCAATCCGATGACTTTTATTTAGTTAGGCCAATGTACTTACTTTCCATTGCATGTAGAAATTCACAGAACTATGATGCACATTTCAAGCAGGACACAAGATTTTTTAAAATTCTTATCCTGAGTGCAAATTCCTAATTTGTGTCTGAGAATTTATTTCCAGGTATCTGTCTTCAGATTTTAGTTTGGATTCCAGAGTTATTGAAGGTGGTGCAAAAGCAACAAAAGAAATTTACCTATATCCTTGCCTTCTTAGATGAGAACTTGTTTTCAAGATTCATCTGAATTTTTTCTAGCTGCTCCATGAATTCAAAATGTTCTGACATAAAGAAAAACAGGCAAACAAACATATGCCTGATCATGAAGAAAAGTGAGTTAAAGGATAGATTCAAGGAAACTTCAAGGCAGGGAAGTGTTTTACAAAAAAAAATTGTCAAGGTGATGTTTTACATAGTGCCCCCACCATGGCACTGAGTTGTTTTCCCACCTTTTCTTACAAGGTTCATGCTGCTTACTTCTTTAGATGGTTTCGCAAATACAGTGACAATTAATTTATAAATAGGGCCAGGCCAGGTATGGTGGCTTAGGCCTGTAATTCTACCACTTTGGGAAGCTGAGGCGGGCAGATCACTTGACCTCAGGAGTTAGAGCACAGACTGGGAAACATGGCAAATCCTTGACTCTACAAAAATAAAAACACAAAAATACAAAAAATTAGCCTGGTGTGGTGGTGCACACCTATAGTCCCATCTACTTGGGGGATTGAGGCAGGAAGCTCTCTTGAGCCCAGGAGATCAAGGCTGCAGTGAGCTGAGATCACACCACGGCACTCCAGCCTGGGTGACAAAGTGAGATCCTGTCTCAGAGAAAAAAAAAAAGTTATAAATAGTACCTGAGGGGAGAAACTGCAGAAAAGCCATTATGACCTAATACTAAATTGAATCTAATTAATCAGATAAGTCTGGGCAAGGAGAAGGAAAAGCCCAGGAAGGTGAAAATAGAAATGAAAAAAGTGAAGGGGAAATGAAGTTTGGGTGCAACTAAATTCCTTACTCCGTGTGAGGCACCGTGTGGTAAATTCTAGGAGTCCTGTATGCCTGAAAGATGAGAAAGTAAAAAAAAAGGAGAAAATGTAGACAATGAACAAAGAAATGCTGAAGACAAAATTTTTCTTTCTTCATTTTTTATACCAACAACCACCCTCGAGTAATGCTCTTTTTTTTTTTTTTATTCTTTTTTTTTTTATTATACTTTAAGTTTTAGGGTACATGTGCACATTGTGCAGGTTAGTTACATATGTATACATGTGCCATGCTGGTGCGCTGCACCCACTAACTCGTCATCTAGCATTAGGCATATCTCCCAATGCTACCCCTCCCCCCTCCCCCCACCCCACCACAGTCCCCAGAGTGTGATATTCCCCTTCCTGTGACCATGTGATCTCATTGTTCAATTCCCACCTATGAGTGAGAACATGCGGTGTTTGGTTTTTTGTTCTTGCGATAGTTTACTGAGAATGATGGTTTCCAATTTCATCCATGTCCCTACAAAGGACATGAACTCATCATTTTTTATGGCTGCATAGTATTCCATGGTGTATATGTGCCACATTTTCTTAATCCAGTCTATCATTGTTGGACATTTGGGTTGGTTCCAAGTCTTTGCTATTGTGAATAATGCCGCAATAAACATACGTGTGCATGTGTCTTTATAGCAGCATGATTTATAGTCATTTGGGTATATACCCAGTAATGGGATGGCTGGGTCAAATGGTATTTCTAGTTCTAGATCCCTGAGGAATCGCCACACTGACTTCCACAATGGTTGAACTAGTTTACAGTCCCACCAACAGTGTAAAAGTGTTCCTATTTCTCCACATCCTTTCCAGCACCTGTTGTTTCCTGACTTTTTAATGATTGCCATTCTAACTGGTGTGAGATGGTATCTCATTGTGGTTTTGATTTGCATTTCTCTGATGGCCAGTGATGATGAGCATTTTTTCATGTGTTTTTTGGCTGCATAAATGTCTTCTTTTGAGAAGTGTCTGTTCATGTCCTTCGCCCACTTTTTGATGGGGTTGTTTGTTTTTTTCTTGTAAATTTGTTTGAGTTCATTGTAGATTCTGGATATTAGCCCTTTGTCAGATGAGTAGGTTGCGAAAATTTTCTCCCATTCTGTAGGTTGCCTGTTCACTCTGATGGTACTTTCTTTTGCTGTGCAGAAGCTCTTTAGTTTAATTAGGTCCCATTTGTCAATTTTGGCTTTTGTTGCCATTGCTTTTGGTGTTTTGGACATGAAGTCCTTGCCCACGCCTATGTCCTGAATGGTAATGCCTAGGTTTTCTTCTAGGGTTTTTATGGTTTTAGGTCTAACGTTTAATCCATCTTGAATTGATTTTTGTATAAGGTGTAAGGAAGGGATCCAGTTTCAGCTTTCTACATATGGCTAGCCAGTTTTCCCAGCACCATTTATTAAATAGGGAATCCTTTCCCCATTGCTTGTTTTTCTCAGGTTTGTCAAAGATCAGATAGTTGTAGGTATGCGGCGTTATTTCTGAGGGCTCTGTTCTGTTCCATTGATCTATATCTCTGTTTTGGTACCAGTACCATGCTGTTTTGGTTACTGTAGCCTTGTAGTATAGTTTGAAGTCAGGTAGTGTGATGCCTCCAGCTTTGTTCTTTTGGCTTAGGATTGACTTGGCGACGTGGGCTCTTTTTTGGTTCCATATGAACTTTAAAGTAGTTTTTTCCAATTCTGTGAAGAAAGTCATTGGTAGCTTGATGGGGATGGCATTGAATCTGTAAATTACCTTGGGCAGTATGGCCATTTTCACGATATTGATTCTTCCTATCCATGAGCATGGAAAGTTCTTCCATTTGTTTGTATCCTCTTTTATTTCCTTGAGCAGTGGTTTGTAGTTCTCCTTGAAGAGGTCCTTCACATCCCTTGTAAGTTGGATTCCTAGGTATTTTATTCTCTTTGAAGCAATTGTGAATGGGAGTTCAGTCATGATTTGGCTCTCTGTTTGTCTGTTGTTGGTGTATAAGAATGTAATCCAGCATATAAACAGAGCCAAAGACAAAAACCACATGATTATCTCAATAGATGCAGAAAAAGCCTTTGACAAAATTCAACAACCCTTCATGCTAAAAACTCTCAATAAATTAGGTATTGATGGGACGTATTTCAAAATAATAAGAGCTATCTATGACAAACCCACAGCCAATATCATACTGAATGGGCAAAAACTGGAAGCATTCCCTTTGAAAACTGGCACAAGACAGGGATGCCCTCTCTCACCGCTCCTATTCAATATAGTGTTGGAAGTTCTGGCCAGGGCAATCAGGCAGGAGAAGGAAATAAAGGGTATTCAATTAGGAAAAGAGGAAGTCAAATTGTCCCTGTTTGCAGATGACATGATTGTTTATCTAGAAAACCCCATCGTCTCAGCCCAAAATCTCCTTAAGCTGATAAGCAACTTCAGCAAAGTCTCAGGATACAAAATCAATGTACAAAAATCACAAGCATTCTTATACACCAACAACAGACAAACAGAGTAATGCTCTTATCCTGGCCATATGGAAGGAGAATGTTGCTGCAAAAGCAGGGAACAGAGTTTGAATCCGCCCTTCACATCTTCTATCTCCTTTAATTCTTCATCATTCACTTTGGAAGACATAAGTAAATGAGAAACTTTAGAAGGAGTTTGGAAGAAACTAATATAAAGTTTAAAAGATGAAAATGCAATATCAGGAGGAGAAGCCTGCAGAATTGGATTTCTCCGTTCTCTAAATTTCTTCAGTAATTTTAATCTAGAATGTGGTAACAAAATCTGTTTATCCAATAGAATGAGTTTCTGAAAACAAAACAAAACAAAACAAAACAAAAGAACTGTCAATCTCACTTCATAGGGGAGATGAGATCACTTAGTCCCATTTTCTAAAACATACCTATGTTGCTATATATGCTCCATAGATGAATATTGATTGTCTTTGTTAATTCCATCAACAAGAGAAGAGAGGAGACTAACAAAGGTTTACAATGCCAGAAATGAGCTTGGTTTCTAGATTGAAATGGGATGAAAAGTTCGATGAGGACCTGACTCAAACTTGAGATAGTTCCAAATACTGCTAATAATAGCATCAAGCCTGGTTGATGTGGATCAATACTTTCTGGACGGATAAAGCATAATTCATAAATGATTGGATTTGGAAGGATATTGATAATAGACTGAAATAAAACTTATTTACTCTCAAGATGGGATTAGATTAATTTAAAGCTACATTAAACATATCACTCTTTATCCCTGTAAAGCATAAAATGCTTTCAAATCATCAATAGGCTAGAATGAGTCAACGTCCATATCCATTTATAGCACTGATGACATGTTATTGTACTTTTTGGTTGTTAATAAACTTATCTTTCTCACTGGAACATATTCTCCTTAAATGTAGACTCAGATATTTTAATTCATCTCTCTATTTTCAGTCCTTGAATGTCTATGGGTTGACAGATGCTTAATAGATGCTTACTGGATGAACAACTCAAACAAGTACAAGCCCATTATGTTGGTGTTCAGGCTGTACCACAAACTCTTGCTAAGCTATTTCCAATATTTTAGCCACTACTGTCTTGTACAAACACTACTAAGATTTACCTTCTATACTCACTGAATCTGTTTAAATCTTTCCTTTTCAGATAAACTTTTGTTGCAGTTACATGATGCAGAGACATTTGTACATTTTCCTGTGCTTGCTCCTGAGTAAATCAGCCCACTAATAACAATTTATTTTGGAAACTAATATTCCAAAATGGAATTTTGTTCTACTCTACAACCATACAGATGAGATGTTTTTGATGCAGAAAATCACAGTGAATAATAAAAAATAAATCTTCCAGCACTAACAATTGAACTTAATAAGGTCATAGGATATAAAGGCAATGCAGAAAACTCAATTGTTTGTTTCTCCTCACAAACAATGAACATTTAAAACCCAAAATTTAAAACACATTATCATGATAATATATTTACAAATAATAAAATACTTAGGCATGAATCTAACAAAATATGTACAGGGTTTGTATCTGAAACACTACAAAATGTGGATTGAAAAAAAGAAAACAAAGAAAACTTAAATAAATAGACTTACCAGGTTCATGGTTTGGAAGATTCAGCACAGTAAAGATGTCAATTCTTCTCAAAATGATCTTTGGATTTAATATAATATCAATCCAAACCCCAGATGAAGTTTTGTAGATTTAGACAAGTTCATTCTAAAATTTATATGAATGGGCAAAGGAACTAGAACAGCTAAAAATTTTGGGAATGAAATGTTGGAGGAATCACATTAATAGGAGTTAAAACTTAATATAAAGCTACAGATATACAGTGTGGTATTGGAAAAGTTATACATACATAGATAAATAGAATAGAGTCCAGAAATACACCCATGCAAATATGGTCATTTCATCTTGACAAAGATACAAAAGCAATTAAATGGAGAAAGGAAAGTCTTTTCAACAAATTATGTTGGAACAGTTGGTAATCCATATCTAAACAAAACTGAACTCAGACCTAAACATCAGACCTTAACTAAAATTAACTCCAAATGAATTATAGATCTAAATGTAAACGCAAATAAATATAAACTTTTAAAATAAAGTCTTTCTGACTGAGGTTAGGCTGAGTTTTTAGAAATGATACCAACACCATGATCCATAAAGAAGAAACATGGTAAATTATACTTTTGACAATGCAAAGACAAGGTACAGATTGGTAGGAAATATCTGTAAATCACACCTGCAACAGAAGGTATCTACATATCTATAGTCCACTAGAATATGTTAAGGAATCGCAAAACTTAGCAGTAATAAAATGAAACATTCTATTTTAAAAAGTGGATGTAGAATTAAAAGAGATACCTCACCAAAGAGCATAGATGGCATGTAAGCACATGAAAAGATGTTCAATATCATTAGCCATAAAAGAAATGCAAATGAAAACCGCAATAAGGCATCACTACGTAGCTTGCATACCTAGTCGAATGACCAAAATTAAAAATACAGACACTACCAAATACTGATGAGCATATAGAGCAAATGGAACACTCATGCATTATTGATGGGAATGCAAAAATCATAGTCACTTTGGAAAATGGTTTGGCAATTTCTTTTCTTTTTTTTTTTTTTTTTTTCTTTTTTTGAGATGGAGTCTTGTTCTCTCACCCAGGCTGGAGTGCAATGGCTTGATCTCAACTCACTGCAACCTCTGCTTTCCCGGTTCAAGCGATTTTCCTTCCTTAGCCTCCTGAGTAGCTGGGACTACAGGTGTACACCACCATGCCCGGCTAATGTTTTTGTATTTTTAGTAGAGACAGGGTTTCACCATATTTGCCAGGATGGTCTCAAATTCCTGACCTCAAGTGATCTGCCTGCCTTGGCCTCCCAAAGTGCTGGCGTTTCAGGTGTGAGCCACAGCGCTTGGCCTGGCAATTTCTTATCAAATAATACACAAACTTATTACAAGACTTCATGGTTTATTTTTCATCCAATGAAGGACATTTGGTTTGTTGCCAGTTATACTCTCTCTTTTTTTCCCTTCTTCCCTCCTCCTTTCCTTTCTTGCTTGCTTTCTCACTCATCTTTCTGTCTAGCTTCTTCCTTTCCACTATGGTCTTGCTATCTTCTCTCCCATCTCCCTACTCCTTTACCATTGTATCTGTTTTTGCCTTTTCTTCCTTTTTGTCTTTTATTTGTTGGCCTATGCTATATCCTGGATATTGGCAAAAATTTAACCTTAGATGTTTAGATGACATTTAATAATTTTCTACAATTTCAGTAGAAATAATCAGCAATTTTGAAAGTCATGACAGCGCATCAAATCCACTAAATGTGGCTGTATGCCCAAAGTGGATAAGTAGATTATAGTTCAATTAAAAATAATTAATTTCAGTAAAGGAAGGAAGGGGTTAGAAAAATGTGCAAACCAGACTAAATTAATTTCAGTAATTCCTAACTGGGATTAGCCACTGTCACCTAAAAAAATAACATTTTAATAGTTGTGGTTTGACTCATTAAGCTATCATTGACTTTTCCTTTCTTTATTGGAGGATATCTTCTCAGATATTGAAGATTTCCCAAGTTAACCTTTCAATATTTTTTCTTTTTTCTTCCTTGCCACTATTAAATCATATTGTTAAATTTTGATCTTAATTTCTCCACTATTGCTTATGAGTGTGTGTCCTGCTTTCTAAGGAAATATACTGTAAAAATAGACAAAATAGCATGACTATTACATGATTTTAGATGCTCAAGGAAGGACACAGATGATTTTGCCCTTTTCATAACTTCCTGGAGTATAGAACAGTATTTGGTTCCATTCACAGACATAAGTCTTTAAAATACATATATACTCAAGAGCAGTCACAAAAATATTTTATTTCAAGATGTGCTATAAGTAACTGTTACTAGTTTTTCACTTGAGAGTAGATATAAGTTTGTGAAGGGAAGAGGAGAAAAACGATAAGCAGGTGAATGTTAAATTCGTGTGAAGAAGTGACTACCGTGAAGTAAGGGAAGTATATATAAAGCAAGGATGAGGAAGCAAAGATATATTTCATCTTTTTGCGGGGAGACCGGGCATGTTGATTGCTACATGTGGATTTTTGGCTTTGGAAGTAACACCCGATAGTGTTCAATGATGTGGAAATCAGAGGTATTTTATCTGGGGTAGAGAAAAGGTTATAGCACCTAATAATTGAAAGGAAGCTTGCAGGTCATGGAGTTCTATACTTTCAAATCCTTACTCCACTATTCTGATGCTACATAATTATTCCAGCTCCTTGAACTTTATCCCTAGCTGAGTTATATATATAATCGGACTCCTCACATGCTATGCAGCTCCTACGATTCTTGGGTGAAATCTGGGACTTTCATCTTCTACGTTTCATTTGCTAAGGCTGAGACCACGGTGAAGAACATTTGGAAATGAATATTCATTTTATGTAAAAGTTCAAGAAGTTCACATTTCATATACATTGTCTTCATACAATCTTTATGCAGAGTTTTTTCTTACTTCTTTCCTCCTACTAACCATCTATTTTTACAATATGTATACTGGGATAAAAGAAACGGCTCAGAGTTAATATGTTACTGTAAATACAAAAGGTAAGTGCCAATCTTTGACTCTGAGATAGAATTTAAAGTGAGTAGATAGCTAAACAGTTAAAGATTGCTCAGAAGAATACTAGGTTTTATTTTTAAAAAACCCATAGATACATCTTAAATCTACACATAGTTCATCTCTAATTTTACTTATTTTTTTCTTTAAGTCCAATTACCAGTCACATTCTTCTCCCTTATAGGCATCTATAAGCATGTGTAGGCATTTATAAACATGTGCTTAAAAATATATTTACCTTTGTAAAACATGTAGCAATGTTAAGTTTATGTACACACATAACTTCTGTTAAACTTTTTGACATATATAAAGAAGAGTACACAAATTATAACATGTCAACTTAATGAATTAAAAACAAATAAAAAACCTTATATCCTCTTCCCTGATCAATATAGAGAATATCAACAACCCAGAAACCGCCTATGTGCTCCATACCAGTTACTGACCCCTACAAATATAATCACTAAATGAATTTTACCACTATTGACTAGTGTTTCTTGTTTCATAAAATTTAAATAAGTGGAATCACTTATTATGCACTCTTTTTCTGCTTAACATTTAATATTATATTTACTAAATGTATTTTTGTTATATGTAGCAGCATTTTCTTTTTCATTTCTGTATAATAGTCTACTGAATACACTTATTTATCCAATTTAATACTGATAGGAAAAGCCAGCTCTTTCTAATTTTTGGCAACTGCAAATAATACTACTATGAACACTCCAGTCATTTCAACTTAGAATTTAGCAATAGGTGGAATTGGAGGGCCTTAATGTGTGGCTATGTTCTGCTTACTAAATGCTGTAAAATATTTTTTATAAATGTTTGTACTAATATAAACACCCTAAGACAGCTTCCCTTGTTGCCTTATATTTTTGTCAACCCTTAGTATCTACTCCATCGATCCTTTTAGTAGGTGTTTAGTACCTACATTATGTGTGATTTTAATTTGCATGGTTTTAGTGACTGCCGATGCCAAGCTACTTTCCTATCATCATCTACCTTTGGGATATTATGTCTTTCTTAGTAAAGTGTCGCTACAAGACTTTTGTCCATTTTTTATTGAAATGTCTGTCTTTTAAACATTGATTTTTCTTTAAATATTTTGGATACAATTCCTATGTCAGGATTATACATTGCAAATATACTCTCTAACTTCTACCCTGTGCCTTGCCTTTTTTATTCTCAAGTCATCTGTAATTTGCATTCTTCCGTCTTTTTTCCCGTCAATGTTATCAGGAATTGTATACCTGGAGAGTATAAACCATATACTCTCTAAGCACATTTAGAGCTACTTTCTGTAGATCTTGATATGACATGTTATCATTATCATTCAGTTCACAATATTTTCCTCTAATTTCTTTTTTTAAATTTTATTATTATTATACTTTAAGTTTTAGGGTACATGTGCACAACGTGCAGGTTTGTTACATATGTATACATGTGCCATGTTGATGTGCTGCACCCATTAATTCGTCATTTAGCATTAGGTATATCTCCTAATGCTATCCCTCCCCACTCCCCCAACCCCGCAACAGTCCCCGGTCTGTGATGTTCCCCCTCCTGTGTCTATGTGTTCTCATTGTTCAATTCCCACCTATGAGTGAGAATATGCGGTGTTTGGTTTTTTGTCCTTGCGATAGTTTACTGAGAATGATGATTTCCAGTTTCATCCATGTCCCTACAAAGGACGTGAACTCATCATTTTTTATGGCTGCATAGTATTCCATGGTGTATATGTGCCACATTTTCTTAATCCAGTCTATCATTGTTGGACATTTGGGTTGGTTCCAAGTCTTTGCGATTGTGAATAATGCTGCAATAAACATACGTGTGCATGTGTCTTTATAGCAGCATGATTTATAGTCCTTTGGGTATATACCCAGTAATGGGATGGCTGGGTCAAATGGTATTTCTAGTTCTAGATCCCTGAGGAATCGCCACACTGACTTCCACAATGGTTGAACTAGTTTACAGTCCCACCAACAGTGTAAAAGTGTTCCTATTTCTCCACATCCTCTCCAGCACCTGTTGTTTCCTGACTTTTTAATGATCGCCATTCTAACTAGTGTGAGATGGTATCTCATTGTGGTTTTGATTTGCATTTCTCTGATGGCCAGTGATGATGAGCATTTTTTCATGTGTTTTTTGGCTGCATAAATGTTTTCCTTTGAGAAGTGTCTGTTCATATCCTTTGCCCACTTTTTGATGGGGTTGCTTGTTTTTTTCTTGTAAATTTGTTTGACTTCATTGTAGATTCTGGATATTAGCCCTTTGTCAGATGAGTAGGTTGCAAAACTTTTCTCCCATTCTGTAGGTTGCCTGTTCACTCTGAGGGTAGTTTCTTTTGCTGTGCAGAAGCTCTTTAGTTTAATGAGATCACATTTGTCAATTTTGGCTTTTGTTGCCATTGCTTTTGGTGTTTTAGACATGAAGTCCTTGCCCATGCCTATGTCCTGAATGGTATTGCCTAGGTTTTCTTCTAGAGTTTTTATGGTTTTAGGTCTAACATGTAAGTCTTTAATCCATCTTGAGTTAATTTTTGTATAAGGTGTAAGGAAGGGATCTAGTTTCAGCTTTCTACATATGGCTAGCCAGTTTTCCCAGCACTATTTATTAAATAGGGAATCCTTTCCCCATTGCTTGTTTTTCTCAGGTTTGTCAAAGATCAGATACTTGTAGATATGCAGCATTATTTCTGAGGGCTCTGTTCTGTTCCATTGGTCTATATCTCTGTTTTGGTACCAGTACCATGCTGTTTTGGTTACTGCAGCCTTGTAGTATAGTTTGAAGTCAGGTAGCGTGATGCCTCCAGCTTTGTTCTTTTGGCTTACGATTGACTTGGCAATGTGGGCTCTTTTTTGGTTCCATATGAACTTTAAAGTGGTTTTTTCCAATTCTGTGAAGAAAGTCATTGGTAGCTTGATGGGGATGGCATTGAATCTATAAATTACCTTGGGCAGTATGGCCATTGTCACAATATTGATTCTTCCTACCCATGAGCATGGAATGTTCTTCCATTTGTTTGTATCCTCTTTTATTTCATTGAGCAGTGGTTTGTAGTTCTCCTTGAAGAGGTCCTTCACGTCCCTTGTAAGTTGGATTCCTAGGTATTTTATCCTCTTTGAAGCAATTGTGAATGGGAGTTCACTCATGATTTGGCTCTCTGTTTGTCTGTTATTGGTGCATAAGAATGCTTGTGATTTTTGTACATTGATTTTGTATCCTGAGACTTTGCTGAAGTTGCTTATCAGCTTGAGGAGATTTTGGGCTGAGACAATGGGGTTTTCTAGATATACAATCATGTCATCTGCAAACAGGGACAATTTGACTTCTTCTTTTCCTAATTGAATACCCTTTATTTCCTTCTCCTGCCTGATTGCCCTGGCCAGAACTTCCAACACTATGTTGAATAGGAGTGGTGAGAGAAGGCATCCCTCTCTTGTGCCCATTTTCAAAGGGAATGCTTCCAGTTTTTGCCCATTCAGTATGATATTGGCTGTGGGTTTGTCATAGATAGCTGTTATTATTTTGAGATACGTCCCACCAATACCTAATTTATTGCGAGTTTTTAGCATGAAGAGTTGTTGAATTTTGTCAAAGGCCTTTTCGGCATCTATTGAGATAATCATGTGGTTTTTGTCTTTGATTCTGTTTATATGCTGGATTATATTTATTGATTTGCATATGTTGAACCAGCATTGCATCCCAGGGATGAAGCCCACTTGATCATGGTGGATAAGCTTTTTGATGTGCTGCTGGATTCTGTTTGCCAGTATTTTATTGAGGATTTTTGCATCGATATTCATTAAGGATATTGGTCTAAAATTATCTCTTTTGGTTGTGTCTCTGCCCGGCTTTGGTATCAAGATGATGCTGGCCTCATAAAGTGAGTTAGGGAGGATTCCCTCTTTTTCTATTGACTGGAATAGTTTCAGAAGAAATGGTACCATCTCCTCTTTGTACCTCTTGTAGAATTCGGCTGTGAATCCATCTGGTCCTGGACTTTTTTTGGTTGGTAAGCTATTGATTATTGCCTCAATTTCAGAGCCTGTTATTGGTCTATTCAGAGATTCAACTTCTTCCTGGTTTAGTCTTGGGAGGATGTATGTGTCGAGGAATTTATGCATTTCTTCTAGATTTTCTAGTTTATTTGCATAGAGGTGTTTATAGTATTCTCTGATGGTAGTTTGTATTTCTGTGGGATCGGTGGTGATATCCCCTTTATCATTTTTCATTACATCTATTTGATTCTTCTCTCTTTTCTTCTTTATTAGTCTTGCTAGCAGTCTATCAATTTTGTTGATCTTTTCAAAAAACCAGCTCCTGGATTCATTAATTTTTGAAGGGTTTTTTGTGTCTCTATTTCCTTCAGTTCTGCTCTGATCTAAGTTATTTCTGACCTTCTGCTAGCTTTTGAATGTGTTTGTTCTTGCTTTTCTAGTTCTTTTAATTGTGATGTTAGGGTGTCAATTTTAGATCTTTCCTGCTTTCTCTTGTGGGCATTTAGTGATATAAATTTCCCTCTACACACTGCTTTGAATGTGTCCCAGAGATTCTGGTATGTTGTGTCTTTGTTCTCATTGTTTTCAAAGAACATCTTTATTTCTGCCTTCATTTCATTATTTACCCAGTAGTCATTCAGGAGCAGGTTGTTCAGTTTCCATGTAGTTGAGCAGTTTTGAGTGAGTTTCTTAATCCTGAGTTCTAGTTTGATTGCACTGTGGTCTGAGAGACAGTTTGTTATAATTTCTGTTCTTTTACATTTGCTGAGGAGTGCTTTACTTCCAACTATGTGGTCAGTTTTGGAGTAGGTGTGGTGTGGTGCTGAAAAGAATGTATATTCTGTTGATTTAGGGTGGAGAGTTCTGTAAATGTCTATTAGGTCTGCTTGGTGCAGAGCTGAGTTCAATTCCTGGGTATCCTTGTTAACTTTCTGTCTCATTCATCTGTCTAATGTTGACAGTGGGTTGTTAAAATCTCCCATTATTATTGTGTGGGAGTCTAAGTCTCTTTGTAGGTCACTAAGGACTTGCTTTATGAATCTGGGTGTTCCTGTATTGGGTGCATATATATTTAGGAGAGTTAGCTCTTCTTGTTGAATTGATCCCTTTACCATTATACAATGGCCTTCTTTGTCTCTTTTGATCTTTGTTGGTTTAAAGTCTGTTTTATCAGAGACTAGGATTGCAACCCCTGCCTTTTTTTGTTTTCCATTTGCTTGGTAGATCTTCCTCCATCCCTTTATTTTGAGCCTATGTGTGTCTCTGCACGTGAGATGGGTTTCCTGAATACAGCACACTGATGGGTCTTGACTCTTTATCCAATTTGCCAGTCTGTGTCTTTTATTTGGAGCATTTAGCCCATTTACATTTAAAGTTAATATTGTTATGTGTGAATTTAATCCTGCCATTTTGATGTTAGCTGCTTATTTTGCTCGTTAGTTGATGCAGTTTCTTCCTAGCCTTGATGGTCTTTACAATTTGGCATGTTTTTGCAGTGGCTGGTACCGGTTGTTCCTTTCCATGTTTAGTGCTTCCTTCAGGAGCTCTTTTAGGGCAGGCCTGGTGGTGACAAAATCTCTCAGCATTTGCTTGTCTGTAAAGTATTTTATTTCTCCTTCACTTATGAAGCTTAGTTTGGCTGGATATGAAATTCTGGGTTGAAAATTCTTTTCTTTAAGAATGTTGAATATTGGTCCCCACTCTTTTCTGGCTTGTAGAGTTTCTGCCGAGAGATCCGCTGTTAGTCTGATGGGCCTCCCTTTGTGGGTAACCCGACCTTTCTCTCTGGCTGCCCTTAACATTTTTTCCTTCATTTCAACTTTGGTGAATCTGACAATTATGTGTCTTGGAGTTGCTCTTCTCGAGGAGTATCTTCGTGGCATTCACTGTATTTCCTGAATTTGAATGTTGGCCTGCTTTGCTAGATTGGGGAAGTTCTCCTGGATAATATCCTGCAGAGTGTTTTCCAACTTGGTTCCATTCTCCCCATCACTTTCAGTTACACCAATCAGACGTAGATTAGGTCTTTTCACATGGTCCCATATTTCTTGGAGGCTTTGTTCATTCTTTTTATTCTTTTTTCTCTAAACTTGTCTTCTCGCTTCATTTCATTCATTTCGTCTTCCATCGCTGATACCCTTTCTTCCAGTTGATCACATCAGCTACTGAGGCTTGTGCATTCATCATGTAGCTCTCGAGCCTTGGTTTTCAGCTCCATCAGGTCCTTTAAGGACTTCTCTGCATTGGTTATTCTAGTTATCCATTCGTCTAATTTTTTTTCAAAGCTTTTAACTTCTTTGCCGTTGGTTCGAATTTCCTCCTGTAGCTCAGAGTAGTTTGATCGTCTGAAGCCTTCTTCTCTGAACTCATCAAAGTCATTCTCCATCCAGCTTTGTTCCATTGCTGGTGAGGAGCTGCATTCCTTTGGAGGAGGAGAGGCACTCTGATTTTTAGAGTTTCCAGTTTTTCTGCTCTGTCTTTTTCCCATTTTGTGGTTGTATCTACCTTTGGTCTTTGATGATGGTGACATACAGATGGGTTTTTGGTGTGGATGTCCTTTCTGTTTGTTAGTTTTCCTTCTAACAGCCAGGACCCTCAGCTGCAAGTCTGTTGGAGTTTGCTAGAGGTCCACTCCAGACCCTGTTTGCCTGGGTATCAGCAGCAGTGTCTGCAGAACAGCGGATCTTGGTGAACCGCAAATGCTGCCGTCTGATCGTTCCTCTGGAAGTTTTGTCTCAGAGGAGTACCCAGCCATGTGAGGTGTCAGTCCTCCCCTACTGGGAGGTGCCTCCCAGTTAGGCTACTCAGGGGTCAGGGACCCACTTGAGGAGGCAGTCTGCCTGTTCTCAGATCTCAAGCTGCGTGCTGGGAGAACCACTACTCTCTTCAAAGCTGTCAGAGAGGGACATTTAAGTCTGCAGAAGTTACTGCTGTCTTTTTGTTTGTCTGTGCCCTGCCCCCAGAGGTGGAGCTACAGAGGCAGGCAGGCCTCCTTGAGCTGTGGTGGGCTCCACCCAGTTCGAGCTTCCTGGCTGCTTTGTTTACCTAATCAAACAACTAACTCGGCAATGGCGGGCACCCCTCCCCCAGCCTGGCTGCAACCTTGCAGTTTGATCTGGGACTGCTGTGCTAGCAGTGAGCGAGACTCCGTGGGCATAGGACCCTCCAAGCCATGTGCAGGATATAATCCCGTGGTGTGCCGTTTTTTAAGTGCATTGGAACCGCGCAGTATTAGGGTGGGAGTGACCCGATTTTCCAGGTGCCATCTGTCACCACTTTCTTTGACTAGGAAAGGGGATTCCCTGGCCCCTTGGGCTTCCCAGGTGAGGCGATGCCTCACCCTGCTTTGGCTCGCGCACATTGTGCTGCACCCACTGTCCTGTACCTACTGTCTGGCACTTCCCAGTGAGATGAATCCGGTACCTCAGTTGGAAATGCAGAAATCACCCATCTTCTGCATTGCTCAGGCTGGGAGCTGTAGACCGGAGCTGTTCCTATTCGGCCATCTTGGCTCCTCCCCTCTATTTTCCTCTAATTTCTATTGAGATTCTTCTGTGATCCATGTTCAATGTTTTCTTGTAAAGATTATTATTGTATAATTATCAACTTGTATGGTAGTTGATAATTAGGTCAAATTTATTAATTCATTTAAATATTCTATATCTGTACTGATTTTCCTTGCTTTTTGTATCAGTTATAACAAAGTTTGGGTGAGTTTTCTTTATGATGTGGATTTTTTTATTTCTCATATAGTTCTTCCATGTTTGGCTTTATATCTTCTAAAGCTATATTAATGGGCACATACAAATTTAAAAGCTTTATATCTTCCTTACATAGTGAAAAATTTATCACTCTACCCTGTATAGCTATGATAAAATGTTATTTTTTTCTAATTCCAGTTTGTCTGAATTAAAAATCTACTTTTCTTACACACACATATATCAGAATATATAATTATATAGATTGGTGCAAAAGTAATTGCGGTTTTTGTGGTTAAATGTAATGTCAAAAACTTCAATTACTTTTGTACCAAGTTAACAGAATATATATTATATATATGGTATATGTATATATGAATATATATAATACATATTCCACCCTTCGGTTGGTGTACAATAGATAGGATATTTTTCTTTTCACTTTGTTGTTTTCTCATTTTTAAATTTTGTCTCTCATAAGCAGTATAGAATTAGTGAGTTGGGTTTTTATCTTTTGCCTAGTCTGACAAACTTTTTTTTCTTTTTAAAAGGAATGTTTAATAATTGCTTAATATAATGTTATTTTTAGGTTAATACACACCAAATTGTTACTTATATTCTATTAAACCACTTATTTCTCTCTCTTTTCTATTCTTTTTTTCTTTTAACTTTTATTAGCTTTTTGGCACTTCTTAATTATATTTTTTCCTGCTGTTGTTTATAACTACCTTGGAGATTACAAGTCAACTATAAGTTATTACTTTTAACATTTCCCAGATTTTAAAACATTGGAACTGAAATCATTCCATTTTACCCTTTAAATTATTGTTGGCCATACATTTGAAATTCCTCTATATGTTAGCTCACACCCTGAATATTTATTATTAATATTCATTTATACCTAGATGTATTTTACCCTTTTCCATGTTCTTTGTTTTGCTCTGCATTTGGGTTTTGTCTGTGATCACTTTCCCTTTATAAGTCAACATTTGCCATCAATGGATTTTCTAAGTTTCCACTTTTCTAGAAAGTTCTTTCTTTCACCTTGATTTTGCTGTCATTAAATTTTAGATTGGCAGTTATTCTTTTAGCATTTTAAAGTTGCTATTCTACTGTCTTCAGACATCTGTCATCTCTATTGGGATGTTGGATGAGTCTTTTTGCTGCATTTTAAATGTTATTATCTTATTCTCTAATTGTTTTCAAGATGTTTTTCTTTGCCTTTTGGTCTTAGTCATTTAACTATGAGGCTTTATGTGGTTTTCTTTTAATCCTGCTTGGAGTATTTAGTGTCTTTTGAATGTACAGGTTGATCTTTTTCATTGTGTTGAGAAATTTCATTGTCATTATTTTTTCTTCAAATATTGCTTCTACTTCATTTTTTCTTTCCCTCACTTCTGGGTTGCCAAATTGTACTTCTGCTACTACTGTTTACCATGTTTCATTATGTCTCTTAAACTCTTCTGAATTTTCCACACTTTTAGTGCTCTATTTTAGTCTGGATGTTATCTATAGACTTTTCTTCTGGTTCACCAATCCTATTACTTTATTCAACTCTCTGTTCATTATGCCCATTTACTTCTTATTTCAGTCAAAACTGTATTTTCTAGGTCTAGAATGTTAGTCTGAGTTTTCTAAATTCTAATTATCTGGTAAATAACTTCATCTTATTATCTCTTATCAATATTAATGACAGTTGTCCATGTCATTACTCTATTGACCGATTTTTATTGCATACTTTCTCCTTATTTTTTTTTAACTGTATGCTGGACATTGTGTATAAAAACTTGTAGCAGCTCTGGGTGATATTATCTTTTTCAGATTGAGTTTGAATATCCCCTGGTAGAATGGCATTACATTTATCCACTCAGGAACTAAACTACATGGAGCCAGGATTATGTTTCTATAGGGTTCATTCTACAGATGATTTATCTGTTCTCCTTGGTGTAGTTCTACAGTAGTCCCAACTACAGCCTGTGGAGATTACTAAGAATTCTTTTTTTTTTTTTTTTTTTTTTTTTTTTTTTGATGTAGTCTCACTCTGTCACCAGGGTGGAGTGCAGTGGTGTGATCTCGGCTCACTGCCAACCTCCGCCTCCTGGGTTCAAGCGATTCTGCTGCCTTAGCCACCTGAGTAACTGGCACTACAGGAGCGTGCCACCATGTCCAGCTAATTTTGTATTTTTAATAGATACGGGGTTTCACCATGTTGGCCAGGATGGTCTCGGTCTCTCAACTTCGTGATCTGTCCGCCTCGACGTCCGAAAGTGTTGGGATTACAGGCGTGAGCCACCGCGCCCGGCCAAGAGTTCTTTTCATTGATGGATAATACGGCATACATTTTATATCCTCAGCACCATGAGGCAGCTGAAGCCATCATTTTGTTTCTCAGTGGCTTTCTGCTTAGCTTCTAAACCTCTCACCTGAAAGTTGAAATATTGAGCAAATGTCTGGAGTCTAAAAATCACTCAGGGCAGTGACAATTTCTGTATCTTCTTCCTTTTGAGGATTCCAGCTCCTTCTTTCCTAGCTTTCTAGGCATTCCCTAACTCTAATTATTGCTTCTTCAGTCCTGTGAGATCGGTAAAATATCTGCTTGCATTTCTATTTTTTAGCTCTGTTTCTTTTCCTGATTTCTCAGTTTTTTTAAATTTTCTTTTAAGAATCAGATAATTTCCTGAGAGGAAAAGTGACTTGCAAACTGTCAGTTCACCTCTCTATAGTTTCCCTTGTATCTTGGCCCTAGAATCTTTAGTTGTCTCATCAATTCATAAATGCTGTAATACAAACTTTTTCAAACACATTTCATATGGCTTTCTAATTATTTTTGGAAGGTCTGACATAAATAAAATCCACTATAACGTAAGTGGTGTTTTCCTATAACTCTAATTCTCTAACATAATATTTTATAAGATATAAGTGTGTTGGAATATGTATGTATTTTAGATATAGATAGATATAGATACAGAAACAGATGTAGATATAGATATAGTCGGTTGCTTTTAACTTCAGAATTACAGAATCCTAACTCAATTTAATCATTCGTGTTGCAACGGGCATTTATAGGTTGCCTTCCACTTCCAGCTATCAGAATGCTGCCATGTATATTACAGACCATGGACCCTCCTGGCCCTGTGTAAAAGTTTCTCTGTTATTTATATGTGCTAGTGAGGAGATTGTTGGTTTGTTGGTTTGTTGGATACATACACACACACGCACACACACACATATATATCTATACTTCTTTCAATGGTGTTCTACTACATAATCATTGAAGATTATAGTTTCTTGATTTTTAAGTCCATTTCTTTTAATAAAATATCATATATTTTAATATCTTCTCACTTTTCTTAGAATTCCTAGTAATCGTTTAATAAATATTTGAGGAAATATCTCTGTTCTCTAAGAGTTTTCATGCCTTGAAAACAATTTGAATTTTACAGTTTGAATTTTTACAGAATGACAGTAAGACTTTGTCATCCCAGATAAAAGGCCCAAGCCTGGAATTAAAATAGTCTGTAAGTGGTTGGAAGAAGTAATAATGTCTACAATTAACAGTTATGTTGCTGTATATTTCTCATCAATATTTTTCACAATTTTGCTTTACGCATTTGATGGTAAGCTATTTGGAGCATAAGCCTTAAAAACGGTTGCCTTTTTATTGTCAGTATATACTTTCACATAGTAAAACTGTATATCTTATTTCTTTTGATGTTTTATTGTTGACTGTTTTTTTTCCCTGAGACAGGGTCTCACTCTGTCACCAAGGCTGAAGTGCAGGAAAGCGATCGTGGCTCACTGCGACCTTGGCCACTTGGGCTCAGATGTTCCTCCCATCTTCACCTCCCAAATAGCTGGGACCACAGGCGCATGCCACCATACCCAAATATTTTTTGTAATTTTTGAAGAGATGGAGTTTTGCCACGTTGCCCAGGCCAATCTAGAACTCCTGGGCTCAAGCGATCTGCCTATCTCGGACTCTCGAAATGCTGGGATCACAGGCATGCCAGCATGCCCAGCCCTCCAAAAGTACTGGGATCACAGGCGTGCCACAAAGCCTAGCAAGTTTTATTCTTGACTTTTTAACTTAATCCTTTACATTTCTCTATGTTTAATAAATCATTGTGCATTCTGTTATTTAAGTATTTTTACTATGAGCAGCATATGGTTAAACTTTATTTTTTAACTCAGTGTAAGATCTTTTACCTTGGAATTTGTCAATCTTCCATGCTTACTTAGATGATTAGATTTTGCTCAATTTATCTGCTTGTTTTTCTTTTGTATCATTTTTATGATTCATTTTAACCTTACTCTTGCTTCCTGTTTTTTTAATATCTGTCTATTTTATGTAAGAGTATATATAATCCAGTAATTTTTGAGCTTTAATCCATGCCAGTTTTACCAGTGTTTATCTTTATATTTTCAAAATAAATATTGTCTAATAATAAAACATTTTTTACATCTCCATTACCTGAAATGAATAATTTAGTATACTTCTGCTCTGCCCAATCCCAGTTTTTTAGTGATAATGGAAGGCTAAGAGAGGTCTCACTTAGGAATAGATTGGAAAAGGAGGTAGAGGAGCTAGCAAGAAATACATTCAAGATGAACTGAAAGAGAAAAATCTTCTAGGATGGCTCTAGATCAAATTATTGTTGAGATATCAAGACTTAGGAATTTGAGAAGTGTATTCAAAGGCCGCAGTGTGAAGGCAGGCCTAAAAAGTAAAAATAAAATGGAGATAGAAGTCCTAAAAATAAATTAGTGCAGAGAAGATAAAAAATTAAGAATCTTGTGGAATATTTGGGGTTAGCATTAGTGAAGGCCTTTGGTTTATCTTTTTGGGATTGTTGGTATGTAGATCAAGGATATGTCAAGCTGGCTTAAAAGACTTCACTAGAGATAGTGTTGTAAGAATTTAAATCAGAAGAAATCCATGAGTGCTGATAAGTCAGAAACTTCATAGTACAAATGAAACTTCAACTGATTCTTAAAGGATAAAGAATTTATAGAGAGATACAGGGAAAGAAAAAATGCAATCTGTGTAAGAATCATAATGGATCCATAGTGAGGGGGAAAAGGTCAATAAGAAGAGACTGAATAAGATAGGTGTGATGGCTGTAGAATAGTGCTGACCGGAGTTTGTAGAAAGAACAAGGCAAAATAAATATGTATGTAACGATGATCTCATAAGTTTCTTTGTCTAGTTCTAGAGAAAAAAGCTGTCAACTTCTTGTATAGTCTGTAAGCTCCATGAAGAAAAAGATCATTTTTTCTCATTTTGACAAATATAAATCACTCACTTAGTAAAAATCTAGTGATACATGTTTAATATGTGTTGAAAGAAAATAAAGAAAAGAAGAATATAAGCTTTACTTATTTATTTGGTGGTTTGGTTTCACTGTCATATATGAACTATTAAATGCACATAGTAAATGCTGAATATGTTGAAGAAAAACAAATGTAGTAAAGGGATTTCTGTGATACCAAATGAAGAGGGATTTGTCTTGCAAGATTTTTACTTGGGTGTGTTTGTAATATAAATCTATTCCATTAGCATTATTGTCAGCATTCATAATATAATAATATGGAACATTGAAACAATTATCCATTTCCCATCATCAGATACTTCAGTCTACTCCACCCACATACCAGTAGGTAAAATGATATTTTAGTAAAGTGATATTTTATTACTAATGTAGGTATTACTAAAGATTACTGAAGATCATGGCAACATTTTCAAAACTTTTTGAAATTATATTTTTCTTAGCATGAGGTTCTAAATACTTTCACCAATAATATTTTTCAAAGAAAAGAGAAAATATAGACTGAACTATACAATTAATAAATAACATAAACAATAATTTAAAAATCAAAATATATACTAAATTTAATTACGTTATAAAATAGAATAAAAACATATAATTAGTCATCAATAGCTTTCAGATTAAACTGAATTTCTTAAAACTAAATTCAAGTGTTCTATTAATTGTTTCTCAAATTATGTATAGACATTTGCAATTGGAAAAGAAAGTAATGTGAAAGTTGAACCATTTTAACAGTGAAAAAATCATTCTGAAGTAAATACTGCCGCCTGCACAGAATGGTCTGTGTTTGCCAAAGCAAGAACTTGTTTGAGGCTGTGTGTTTTGGGTGGTGAAAAAGTGGTTACCTAGCAACAACTCCTCCTCCCAAGTCTCCCCTGCTAGAGCGGTATTTTGCACGTCAGTAAATTGGTTACTTGTTTGATGGATCTAAAAAGAATAATTCAGTAATGTGGTAGGGTGTGAATCTCAATCATAAAAACGTACAGGTTTTTCTCTGTGTGGGGTCTGTCTACTGCCCACTCCTCATCTGGTGTTGCTAGAAGCTTGTCTAAAGAGATTGAATAATACCTAAAATGTTATTCATCAAATGAAAATGAGGGAAACTTCAGGCATTTTAATTAATAACAGTTCTTTTCAGTTTGCTTATAAAGCAAGCAATGAAATAGTTACTTAGTCCACAATAGCATTAGCTCTGGGCAAGAGGTAATCTTATCACGATGTTTCCTCAGATGTCAGACAGCAAAGGATGGGGTGGGTTCCGTAGAAATAGAGTTTAAACAATCTGTACAGTTTACAGATAACAACATTATACCATCTGAAGGTAAAATTAATGAGATACTAATTTATAGAACAAACACATAAGGTATTTATGTTTACAACAAATGAGCTTAAACATATGTTAGCAATAACTTAGCTAGAAAATATATACTTTAGTAAACATCACACCATGTATTTGGTCCACCTATGATATGCATCACAAATAAATGCCACTTATTCTTTAACCTAATGGATATTTGTTTCTAGGGACAACCCTACAGGGTGCATGCATGCATAATTAAGGAAATAGGTAATCTGAATAAAGTGAAATGATAAAGACACAACCACAGACTCTGCCAGCAGAAAAATTAAATACAGCAAATTAGTTTGTGTGTTTTCAAAGCATGAAGATATAAAGTTTAAAAAAATCTGTTAGAGGAACACTCCAATGCCAAGTATGTGGGAGCAAATAGAATAGCAAAGAAAAAAGACTGGTTTATAAAATTTTCCATGATGCAAAGAACTGAAGCCAATTTCTCCCCAGACAGAGCCCTGATGCTCTGGGCTGCTGCTAGCCAATGTGCAGGGACCTGTCACTTGCACAGTAGCTTTCTGAGACTCACCCTGTATCCCTTCTCCCACATCCCAGCACACACTGAATGCCATTTCCTTATTAACTCCAGAGCAAAGAAATTCTTTGCAGAGCAATAATTGACAGTTGGAGTTACAGCTTGACTTCTTTCCTTTGAAAAATTGCTAAGCATTTGTTTTAGAAAGGCACACTCTTCAGATTCCAATGAATCAGAATCCGACACCATATTTTTCACAGTTTTTCACCTCCGAGAATATCATCAGTTTAGAAAAAGGAATGCTTTCCTTTGAAATAACCAATGTTACCAATGTTACTTTAGATGTTGGCCTGATTTTGGAAACTATTTTGTACAAACGTACTAGAAGTCAGGCCTTTTAACCATAAATGTCATTTCAGAAGCGCCTTATTATTTGCAAAAGTCATAACTGAGAGTGACTCTGAATATCCAAGGAATTATCCCCATCTGTTCCTAAGTGCTTTAACTGGTCAAATGTCAGATATTAAAGGGAAGAGAGCTGAGAGACCAGGAAAGATCAACTGTTCCAGCAAAATATTTAGACTAATAATTTATTAGAACATAAAGGATTATACTGGGAAAACTATCTTATATCAAATGCATCAATTTGTAGTGAATCTTTTCTAAATGTAATAAGTATCATAGGTATAACATGTCAAAGAAAAAAATTAAAAAGCAAGAAAACATGTTTTTGCATGTTAAAAAGAGTAATTTGAAGCAGAAACTTCTCCTCTGTAAGTTACGTTATTCTGAAAACTCAGAAACATATTTTTATTCATCTAGGTGATCAGGAGATTTTATATTAGGAACTGACAGGGATCAGTTTCGGGGCTTATCTCGGTGAGCCTCTGAGCCCCCACAAAACAGCAAAGCTAATCTCTAGTGGTCCAACAGTTAAAATAATTGATGAGCATGTGTTGAATCCTCAAGAGAGGAGGGAGGAAGCAAGAAGGAAAGCTTGAAGGGAGGAGGGGAGGGGGGCAGGTGCTGATTTCAGCCCTGTAGCGTCAGGATTGCGTCAATTCGGGTTCCAGCCACGTCTGGAGTCTCGGAGACGAGCTTCTCAGAAGAGCCAAAACAGGAACCGAGGTGGCAAATCACTGTGCGAGGGCGAGTGGACCTCCCTCTTTGCCTCCTCCCTGTTCCAGGAGCTGGTGCCCTGGGCTCTGCGCTGTTGTTTTCAGCGCTCCGAAAGCCGGCGCTTGAGATCCAGGCAAGTGAATCCAGCCAGGCAGTTTTCCCTTCAGCACCTCGGACAGAACACGCAGTAAAAAATGGCTCCGATCACCACCAGCCGGGAAGAATTTGGTAAGCAAGTTACTGAACTTATGACTGCGGTTATTCCTTGAATACTCTGGGGTGGACTGTTTATTCATTTATTTTTTGCCCGGTTGTTGAATACAGATTTCCTAGGTAGTTAATTTAAAAGGAAAATGAGAATGGCAGTCAGGCAATTGTGGCTTATTTCTGCAGCTTCTCTCCCTTCCTTGGTATCTCTCTCCCTGAAACTGTCTTCTGTTAGGGAGAATTTACCTTCAGGAAGTTCTTAAATTTTCAGGTACTTCTGTAAATTGCAGCATGTACTGAGTAAAGAAAAAGGGGTCTGTTTTTCCCATGTTGGTTTCATCTATTTTGTAGGTGATTCTTATTTGTAGGTAAATCTATATTTTATTAGGAGAAGATAAATATATCTCTGGTTACATTGGGGTTTGATCTTGGTTAAAAAAAGCAACTTGTCTATTGGGGTTTGGCAATGTATATTTTATTACAGGGCGTACCATATGGGTGTTTTTCTCTGCTATGTTTTTCTTGTATCCTTGAAATATGTTGCTAGTGAAAGACAGAATCATATGGTAGCAGGGTTAAAGAGAGTTTCAAAATGAACTGGCTCAGCCCATTTCATTTCACTGCTGAGCTAACCAAAGCCCAGAGAGATGAGGGAAGTATTATAGGTTGCACAATTAGCTAAAAGCTGCTGGAAACTTGAATTAGGGCTCCAATTTTCCCGTTCAGTTTTCCTTTTCTCACACCAAGTTTTTGGTTTCAGTACATAAAATTAGACGTACTTCATAGAGTAAAAAAGTACTATTTTTAGATCTCAGTATATTCCAAAGGAAAAAGGTCAGAATTTTACTTACACGTATTTTTTAAATCATGAAATTTCATAGAAGGTTGTGAAGAGGAGTGATATCTACAGATGTGTGATAATTGTTATTAAGCTGAGTAAAATAACTATGATCTTGACTTTCAAGATTGTAAGACCTTATCAGTAGAGAATACATAGGGAGTAGATAAGTGTTTCCACGTTATAGAAAATGTTTGCCATTTGACATAACTATTCAATAGGGACAATTTGTGATATTATGTTCATAAATGAATTTCTTTCCCAGCCTTCCATTTGGGTTATTGGGTTTATTTTGGTATGACATTTATTCCCAATTCTTCATTTGAAACCTGAATGATTTTCTAATATGGAGGAATTTTTAGAGACTGTGCCAGTGAAAATATGTTCTAGCATGGACTATCAGTCTACTTTTAAAAAATGATTTTCTACTGTTTTTATTGTTTTTACATTGGCTAAAGAACTCTCTCAGTTCATGACTTTGCTTTTGCTCCCTGGCCTTGGGTTATTATGGTCCAGGAATGTGGGTGCATTTTTTTTTCACAAAGACTTGAATAGAAGGAAAAACTGAAAAGCTGATACCAAGTTTAGCTGATTATCTTTAGCTCTTGCTTTATACTGTAGTAGTCACTGTTTCTTTTTTCCACCTGGAGAAGTCAAAGGTTTATTTCATCTTTACATGATTCAGTTTCTGTACATTAAAATACAGGATTTTTATTGCGATTTTATTGGCCTTTTTATCTTCTATTTCATTTGTCTTTTCTTAACCTTACATTCTCTGAGTTCAGTTTTATAATTGTGAAGTAGATTGGCAGAAGATTTGGGGGGATGGGGAAGGGAAGTAACAAAAGACTGGATTTCTTGTGGTTATTTAGAAAAGTTTTAACCCTTTCTGGGCTGGAACTTATAACTTTATTATTTACTATTCAGGATAAAAGCATATTGCAATGGAACTAAATGTATATAATATTACATTAGTTATTTTCACTTTGATGATATTAAGCATTGACTCTATGGATTCACTATGTATAGATGTAGTAATACTGCTTTTACTTCCATAGTGTTACTAACCATTTGTTCAAGAAAGATGCTTACATATAAAATAGGATAAGCCTTATGCATAATTGATATTACCTAATGTCAGTAATTTAATGTGCCATCATTCAAGAAAATAATGACAATTTCAGTTTGATTATCATTTGCCATGCCATGTGCTAGAGGAAGAGACAGTTATAGATAAAATTGAACTCTAAATCTCACTGTTCTCATTACATGTTAAAGAATGCTGATTCACTTATAACCATTGTTCTGTTTTTATCTTATTTAAGTTTAATTAATTTATACTTTGTATAATTCAGTGTTTGACTGAGAAATTTGGGATTGTCATACAAAGGGATGATAGTGTTATAAGTTACAAAATATCGGTACCTTGTTGCTCTTCTGTTTTTGTTTTACTTTCTCTAATATATGTATATTTCTTTTACCACTGTTCCATAATTGGGATGAAAATTATTAATGAGTTTGTGGCAATGGCAAATATCATTTCACAATCAATTTCCTACAATTGAGTGAACCACTGAGTCCCTAAATGTTTGCTGCTTGAATTCTGAGTAAAGAACTACTTAGAATTCCAGTAAAAAGTGATGCTCTGGAAAGCCTCAAAATGACAATAAAAAATAATGAAGTTAGTACTGATCCATCATATTGTAGCTGTCTCATGTTATCTGAGAAAACAAAGATAGGTCAGAGTCATTAAGCATTCCCCCATATCTGATTCAGGACCATTTTCATCTTTTTATTTCATTAATGAAAAACCACTGAAATGAAGGAATTTCTAGCACACTTTATGTTTTTCCTGTGGGGATGTATTTGTACCCGAAGTTAGTGTGAAATATACACTTAACTCATACCCAGAACAGTTGGAAAGTAATTCAATCTATCCAACCTATAGCAATTGCTAGCTCTATTAGGCTTTTCAAAAGGCTCATATCTCCAGCTCTGCTTCTTTAATGTATATTATTGGTCATTTGATTTTTCAGATGAAATCCCCACAGTGGTGGGGATCTTCAGTGCATTTGGCCTGGTCTTCACAGTCTCTCTCTTTGCATGGATCTGCTGTCAGAGAAAATCATCCAAGTCTAACAAGACTCCTCCATACAAGTTTGTGCATGTGCTTAAGGGAGTTGATATTTACCCTGAAAACCTAAATAGCAAAAAGAAGTTTGGAGCAGATGATAAAAATGAAGTAAAGAATAAGCCAGCTGTGCCAAAGAATTCATTGCATCTGGATCTTGAAAAGAGAGATCTCAATGGCAATTTTCCCAAAACCAACCTCAAACCTGGCAGTCCTTCTGATCTGGAGAATGCAACCCCGAAGCTCTTTTTAGAAGGGGAAAAAGAGTCAGTTTCCCCTGAGAGTTTAAAGTCCAGCACTTCCCTTACTTCAGAAGAGAAACAAGAGAAGCTGGGAACTCTCTTCTTCTCCTTAGAATACAACTTCGAGAGAAAAGCATTTGTGGTCAATATCAAGGAAGCCCGTGGCTTGCCAGCCATGGATGAGCAGTCGATGACCTCTGACCCATATATCAAAATGACGATCCTCCCAGAGAAGAAGCATAAAGTGAAAACTAGAGTGCTGAGAAAAACCTTGGATCCAGCTTTTGATGAGACCTTTACATTCTATGGGATACCCTACACCCAAATCCAAGAATTGGCCTTGCACTTCACAATTTTGAGTTTTGACAGGTTTTCAAGAGATGATATCATTGGGGAAGTTCTAATTCCTCTCTCGGGAATTGAATTATCTGAAGGAAAAATGTTAATGAATAGAGAGATCATCAAGAGAAATGTTAGGGTAATTTATTTTCAGTGCTTAAAGTATTTATAAACAATCTTTTATGTAGCATTTTGGTGTCTAAGGAATTTTTATTAATATGATAAGCTTGTACATATCATCCTTACCATGTTTAATTATTATTAATTATAATCTAATGGAGATCAAGGGAATAGAACAGATGAAATAAAATTTAATCCATAACTGAAATACTCAAAGTGTTTTAATGATGTAAAATAAATAGGCATTCTTTATGGATATTTAGATATCACCTATATAAATACTTTTGTTAATCTCTATCATAAATATTTTGACAGACACTGCTACTTTAAAATACAGGTGAATATTTCTTATTCATAAGCAAGTTAACAAAGAGATTTCAAGGTCAACATAATTGAATTTAAAATTGAAATTTAAAATTAAATCAATTCTTCCTGAAGATTTGGAAATTGTATTGACTTTCCATGGAATTGCCTTTCAAGGAAGAGGCATCACGTCATTTTCAATTATAAATGCTCATCTCTAAATTGTATAGTAGGAAATGAGTCCCGCTATTTTTGTAGTTACACTACTCTGGTAGTTCTGGGTTTATTAGAAAATAGTAAGACATCAATGAAACAAATTTAACCCCATTTTCACTTTAAATTTGAAACTCGATTTCAACAGTGGTATATCAGAATAACTTCTCTCTATAATACAATGATTTATAAAAATCAATAGACATACTAATTTGTGTTTTTTAAACAACATAGTGTTTCAGAGCTGAAAACCTGAGAGCTCATTTTGACTGTCTCCTCTCCTATTGAAATTAATGACGGTCAAGGTTCAGATACATTCCACAGCTTGTTTGAGACACCCGGCTGGTTAAGTGATACAGTGGGAATAAGGATCTTTCTTCTACTCTTATTCTCCTTAGAGTGCCTACTTATACAGCTGTCCCATATTAGTTTTTGTATAAATATATTGCAGTTTTAGTTTTGTGTCAGCCATCACTCTCAGTTGCAAACAAACACCAAGTTAATATATTGTTACTTTCAGTCAAAACTTTTACTTTGAATTATTGTATATCTTATCTATTGTCTTTAAAGTACAAATGAAATCTAAGTAGCACGCAAAGAAGGACGCTATGACACTGTCCAAAAACAATGCTCTCCAATGCTTAAGATCAATTCATTCCTTGGCTTAAATGGAAACTTGCTGTTGTGAAAGAGGCAGAGAATTTTAACTCCATTATCCCTCTGGGCCAGGAATGTAGTTGGGATCAGAATAATTCTCACTGGGTCTGAGTTCAAATTTCAATATGTCGGTGCTAAAGAATTTGAAATCAAATCAAACTTATCTAATTTTTTGCATGAGTATGTGTAGTCATTTGACCCAACACATACTCATGCAAAGAATTAGATAAGCTTTATTACTATTAATAACTTTGAAAAGTAGAGATGTTATTAAAAACCAAAAGCCAAAAATAATCCTGTGTAGGATATAATTTAAATATCCTTTAAACATTTCTAAGTAATGGGTGTGGCCAATTTATTGCCAATTTTAACTTCCTGTAGTACCAAACAAGACCACAAGATGGCAGGCAGTGGTTTTTCAAGCAGCGATGGTACTGCTCAAAAGCTTTTAGTTACTCTTCAATTCCTTAGAATATTAAAATAAAAATAAGTAAGATTATATTTAAATGACGATGTTATTTAAACTTTAATGAAAGTACACACTTCAAAGTTAAAAAGATAGAAATACTTATATCACATTTCTCTTTCTGCAGAAGTCTTCAGGACGGGGTGAGTTACTGATCTCTCTCTGCTATCAGTCCACCACAAACACTCTAACTGTGGTTGTCTTAAAAGCTCGACATCTGCCTAAATCTGATGTGTCCGGACTTTCAGGTAAGAATGCTTCTGAAATATTCAGATTCACTGTATGATTGGAATGTATTTGACTGCAAATGAGCCCACCTACTCTTACTCTTCTATCTTTTCTCTAATACCTTATGTATCTGCTATAAAAGTTAGCTTTTAGTTTTATGACTAGCTTTACAAAAAATGAAACAAAACGCCAATTTTATGTTGTATAGCACAATGAGAAACAAAATAAGCTACAGTTTAAAATTACCTGAGTTCAAATCCTAACCCTTCCATTCACTAGCAAAATATGATTGGGTATGTTTCTTAAACTGTACAAACTGGACATAATGCTACTCATCCTGAGGGGCCTTGTGAGAACTAGAAATACATACTTCTTCAGATATCATCTAATAATATTATTATTATTTAATGATGGGAGTTGAAAACATGGTCTTAAAAGATTAGATTGTGAAGCTAAAATTAACTCATATGGTGCCACCAGAAAAAGGCAAAAGTAATTGTGATAAAGTAGCATGAACTTAAAATCTACATACTAACAATGACACAGAGAAGCTCAACACTAGGAAACAGAAAGCAAATCCAGCCTGTGACTAAAGAAATTCATAAAAGTTAAAACTAAAAAGAATATTGCCATTGTGGACTCTAAATCCTCATTCGATGGAAAACACAGCCAAAAGTCAGGGAAATAGACTCACCCAAAGTCATACAAGTCAGTAAAGCTACATGTTGTCTAATATATTTTTTTCCTTCTATCCTATTCTCTGGAGTAAGTTAATAGTAATCAGAATGGGTCCATAGAACATTCTATTTTCTTTCCTTTTGTGTTACTTCTTTTCCTATCATTAATTTTTTCCCTTATTCTCTAATTTAGAACTTTTTTCTCTTATTTTCCATATTCTTCCTTATTTTCAATTCTGTTGACAAGAGAAATGCCAAGTTTTATCCATATTTTTCTGTTGTTTTGACTTATTTTCCTGGTAACCACATGTCATTGGCATGCCATGATCTCTAAGGGCACTGTTATCTTGATATCAGCTCTCCAGCCCAGTTATGCCATTGTAATGCCTGTTATGTTCCACTGCAGATCCCTATGTCAAAGTGAACCTGTACCATGCCAAAAAGAGAATCTCCAAGAAGAAGACTCATGTGAAGAAATGCACCCCCAATGCAGTGTTCAATGAGCTGTTTGTCTTTGATATTCCTTGTGAGGGCCTTGAAGATATAAGTGTTGAATTTTTGGTTTTGGATTCTGAAAGGGGGTCCCGAAATGAGGTAATCGGGCAGTTAGTCTTGGGTGCAGCAGCAGAAGGAACTGGTGGAGAGCACTGGAAAGAGATCTGTGACTACCCCAGGAGACAAATTGCCAAGTGGCACGTGCTCTGTGATGGTTAGCATCCTAGCCGTGAGTTGGAACTTAAAGGTTTTTACTAGGCAAGGAGAAATTTTCTTTCTTTCTATATTGGATTGCAAGCTTGGGAAATCAAGCTACCTTTTTGTTGTTGTTGTTGTTGCTAGAAATGGATTGAATTAGTAGACCAGAAAGTAACTTCAAATGTGTATTATGATAATTTCCCTATTTATTAGAAGAGTTGGATAAATTTTCATAAGATATTCAATATCTCCTTCAGATTACCAGTGATATAACTAGGAATAGTCAGACATTTTATGAATACTGTGCCAGAATCCCAAATTATAAATGTGACAATCTCATTGGAACATGTCACAAAAAGTTAATGTGATTAAGATTTAAAAACGAAAAGTATGCCTTGCCTTGTGAAAATTTATCCATTTATCTTCAGGTTGGGGAAATCAATTTTTCTTTAAATCCAAAGATACTAAAAAAATGTCCTCCAGTTTGTATTTATTAATTCTGTCATGTGCAAATGGTTGTCCTGCATATAAAAGTATCTGGTCATTTCAGTTTGGTTTGTAATTATTTGATGCAATTTTATCATAAGAGTAACTCAGATTCATTTCAAAAGGACAGTGAACAAGCTGAGAAATTATTTTATCAAAGGGCTGAGTTGAGAACACTGTGGCTGAAATATAATTTTTCTCCCCCCTAAGGTTACATGTGAGTCAAAATTTTGTAAAATATAACCTCACATAAGAACCATGGCCTTGGATTATTCACTGCCTGTCACAAGCCTCAGTGTGGCCTGAGAAATCCCTATGTACCTTTGTGAAATTGTTGAATTAGTTAGTGAATAAAGAAATAAACTTCAACTAGAAATCCAGTTAGAAGTGCAATTTTCTTATAGGAAATAGGTATAGTGTGCAAGTGTACTTTTAAGGCCATCGTTTGTACCCAGAGTCGGCATGGCCACCTAAGTCTTCATTTAATTTATTGTCCCCCAGAAAAGATTAAGATGCTACTTGAAAAGACTGTGAAGATTTTTTACATTGCCAGATAAAAAGTGTTACTTAACCAACAAACAAATGTAAGACTACAAAATCGTTCAAGAGCAATTCTAATATAATTTACATATGTTCACGCAAAATATGCTTAGGCTGTCAAATTAGCACAACAAAGAATGTGTTTCACTATCTTTTCTAGGCTAATTTGTCTTGAGCTGTTGTCTATAGAGCAGTTTACAGACTTGTGTCTTGTATCATTTTCCAGTGCCAGGGTTCTGAAATTCATTCAGAACCTGTTAGATTAAAGCTGCACCCTGTGATTATTTGAAAAGAATTAGCTTGAGAGTAATGTCACTATATTTGAGTTCTTAGAGAAGTATGAGTGGAACTTGAGTACAGTTGAATTATTAAATATGCAAGTTAGAAATTAAGTCTACTGAAAAATTTACATTTTGAGTCAGGTTTTGTGTCAGTACTTTAGCAGTTTTTGAGAATGTGTTTGATATCACAGTGTTTGTAAATTCTATGAAAAATGCATTTTCCAAACAACTTATACATGCTTTTTATGACTATGCCTAATGTAAAGAAAATGTATTACATTCTGTATGTACAAAGATTAAAAATCAACCTCTTTTTTGTGCTTTAAAATGACTTTGGGATTAAAAAAGCATATTTCCCAATCATTGTCTTCATTCCACTACAAAGTCACCTCACAGCATCTTGCTCCACTCGGCATCTCTGTGAAAGCAACATGAAATGAACTGTAGTAGGTGTGTAGTTTGGGGAAGTCAAATGGCCATTTTATGTATGTGCATTTGGTATCATGGGCCGTGGAACAGAATATATGTTGGACCTCTGAAAAGTTGTAAGGGGCCAATTCTAAGTATTCTTCACGGCAGCCAGAAGTTAATGGTGGTAGCAGCTGAGGTATGGTTGTTGGACGAGGCCGATTTTTTTTTTTTTAACATGGAACAATGAAACCAACAACAAACATTTTTAAAATTAAAATGGATAATTTGTAAATAGTTTTTAGCTTTTAAAATTTAAAGTGTTTTTGAGTGTGAAAAGTTGAGTAAAACTATTTGCAACTGGTTTTCAGAAAAGAGAAAAGAAACAACAAAGGAATTGAAACAGGCAGGGAGATCTTAATACCTAATTTCATCATTTCTGAAAATGTACTGTTTTAGAATGTATTACAATATCAATGTGAATATCTTGAATCCTGTTACAAATCCTGCACTGTATTAAACATGTAAATTAATTGTTTGTCTGATTAGCCAATCTCACCACCCAAATGGGGAGGTATACATGTTTGAAGAACTGTGTAACTCAGTAATTGATTTGTTCTGATGTTGTAACTCAATAGAAGTGTTTTGGAAGGAAGCATGGTGTGTGAGACAGTGTCTGTTCTTTTGTGCCAGCTCTGTATGATGTTTGTAAGACCATGTTTGTAAGACATGAATAAATTGCTGCTTTTGCCCAACCCGTTTCAATGCAGACTTTCTGCCAATGGACTCTGTAATAAGGCTTCTCTTATTGCTGACTGAATTTTCAAGTTTCCCTAGTGGATCTCCTTGTATAGGTTAGGGACCATTAATTACTGAGCATCAGAATCTTTAATACACCTTTTAAAAAAATCTTCATAACAATCACCTGGAGCAGATATCATTAACCTTATTATACAGAAGCAAAACTTGAGGATCAAGGAGCATAGGCAATGGAATCAAGTAGGAAGGAATAGTACTCAAGAGGATTTCATGGCCTGCCCTGCCCTTCCCTCCATACCATTCCACTCTCCTCAAGGGGACCTCATCAACTGGCTTTGCTAGATGTTTAGGCTTATTCTCACATTCTTTGACTTTTTTCTAAATTTTATTCACTTTTCTATGTTTCATTTACTTTTCTCCCCAGTATTTTCAGCCACCATTCTTTATTTACTCTTCTATTTTTTTCCATTATCTCATTTCTTATTTTAACATCTTTCATTACCTATTTCATATCACTGCTTTTATATTCCTTTTTCTTTTTTTTCACATCCTGAGAAATATTTGATTAATAAAATGATGAGGACCTGGATGTCTTATTTTTTCTTAAAGAAGGAGGAAAAAACAGACCAGAACATCTATAATATATTATATTACCATTACACACCTGCTAAGGTAAATGGGAACAACAGGACCCACCACCTGGAGAATCAGACATTTTTCACAGCTCTAGTCTCTACAGAAATATTCTATGGTAATCACATGTTGAAAAAAACAGTCTTGCAAATGGAATAAAACTGGAATTTACTGTTAATTTATTTTGTTTCAAATTGTATTAATTGTAGTAAGAGTGTACATAGTTATGTTAAAAGAGACATTACATTTTAGAATTCAAGTATATTTTAAGAAAATGTACCTGCCAAAAGCAACTAGAGATGTGGAGGAGATTTTCTAAGGAAACTGGCCATTAGGGAAATGCTAACTAAAACCACAATAAGATACCCTGAACGCCAATTATAGTAACACAAATTAAAGTTTTGAAAATGTCGAGGGTTGACAAGGTTATGGAGGAAATGGACCCCTTGTACACTGCTAAAAGGAATATAGCATGTCCAACTGCTTTGGGAAGTAAGTTGTAATTTTCATAAGAAGTTAAAAATTTGCCTATTACATGACTTAGTCATTTTGCTCCTAAGTATTTACTTAAGACAAATGAATGCATACATTTATACAAAGACTTGCATTTTCATAGCAGCTTTATTTTTAATAGTAAAAAAACTGGAATCAAGTCAAATGTTCATCAACAGGTGAATGAACAAGAAAATTGTGGTTTATTTACACAATGGAATACTTCTCAGCAATAAAAGTTAATGACCCCTCGATACATACAAGTACCAAAATATCCATACGAGTACCAAAGTATACCAAACTGTATGCTTTAACTGTGTGCAGTGTATTATATATGAATTAAACCTCAATAAAGCTTTTTAATGGGAAATAGAAGTCAACTATAACCAAACCAAAAAAAGAAAACAATACTAGTATCACTGTCAAAAATATGATTCCCCAAAATTAATAATATTATATAACATATTTTAAGAGCAGTTCTTTTTGTTCTTAAGGTACATTATCCTAAGAATGATTAAATAGAGGATTGCTGGCAAGATGGCCGAATAGGAACAGCTCCAGTCTCCAGCTCCCAGTGAGATCAACACAGAAGGTGGGTGATTTCTGCATTTCCAACTGAGGTACCCAGTTCATTGCATTGGGACTGGTTGGACAGTGGGTGCAGCCCACGCAGGGTGAGCCAAAGCAGGGTGGGGCATCACCTCACCCAGGAAGTGCAAGGAATCAGGAAATTCCCTCCCCTACCCAAGGGAAGCAGTGAGGAACGGTGCACTGGGCCCAGATACCATGCTGTTCCCACAGTCTTTGAAACCCACAGACCAGGAGATTCCCTCCAGTGCCTACACCACCAGGGCCCTGGGTTTCAAGCACAAAAATGGGGGCTTCAGGAATTTTTATTTCATACCCCAGTAGTGCCTGGAATTCCAGCGAGACAGAATTGTTTACTCCCCTGGAAAGGGGGCTGAAGCCAAGGGGACAAGTAGTCTGGCTCAGTGAGTCCCACCCCCTCAGAGCCCAGCAAGCTAAGATCCACTGGCTTGAAATTCTCACTGCCAGCACAGCTGTCTGTGGTTGACCTGGGATGCTCAAGTTTAGGTGGCGGGGGGGAGGGGGAGTCTGCCATTGCTGAAGCTTGTGTAGGTAGTTTTACCCTCGCAGTGTAAACAAAGCCTCAGGGAAGTTCAAAGTGGCTGGAGCCCACTGCAGCTCAGCAAGGCCACTGTGGCCCTGCTGCCTCTCTAGATTCCTCCTCTCTGGGCAAGGCATCTCTGAGGAAAAAAAGGCAGCAGCCCCCGTCAGGAGCTTATAGATAAAACCCCCATCTCCCTGGGACAGAGCACCTGGGGGAAAGGGCTGTTGTGGGCACAGCTTCAGCAGACTTAAACGTCCTTGCCTGACAGCTCTAAAGAGAACAGCGGATCTCCCAGCACAGCGTTCAAGCTCTGTTAAGGGTCAGACTGCCTCCTCAAGTGGGTCCCTGACACCCATTTATCCTGACTGGGAGACAACTCTGAGTAGGGGCCGAGAGACACCTCATGCAGGAGAGCTCTGGCTGGCATCTGGCGGGTGCCTCTCTGGGATGAAGCTTCCAGAGGAAGGAACAGGCAGCAGTCTTTGCTGTTCTGCAGCCTCCACTGGTGATATCCAGGCGAAAAGGGTCTGGAGTGGACCTCCAGGAAACTCCAACAGACCGCAGCAGAGGAACCTGACTGTTAGAAGGAATACTAACAAACAGAAAGGAATAGTATCAACATCAACAAAAAGGACATCCTCTCAGAGACCCCATCTAAAGGTCATCATCATCAAAAGCCAAAGGTAGATAAATCCACGAAGATGGGGAGAAACCAGTGCAACAAGGCTGAAAATTCCAAAAACTAGAATGCCTCTTCTCCTCCAAAGGATCACAATTCCTCGCCAGCAAGGGAACAAAACAGGATGGAGAATGAGTTTGACAAATTGACAGAAATAGGCTTCCGAAGGTGGGCAATAACAAACTCCTCCGAGCTAAAGGAGCATGCTCTAATCCAATGCAAGGAAGCTCAGAACCTTGCAAAAAGGTTAGACGAATTGCTAACTAGAATAACCAGTTTAGAGAAGAACATAAATGACCTGATGGAGCTGAAAAACACAGTACGAGAACTTTGTGAAGCATACACAAATATCAATAGCCAAATCTATCAAGAGGAAGAAAGGATATCAGAGATTGAAGATAATGAAATAAAGCAGAAAGAAAAGATGAGAGAAATAAAATGAAAAGGAATGAACAAAGCCTCCATGAAATATGGGACTATGTGAAAAGACCAAATTTACATTTGATTGGTGTACGTCAAAGTGATGGGGATAATGGAACCAAGTTGGAAAACACTCTTCAGGATATTATCTAGAGGAACTTCACCAACCTAGCAAGACAGGTCAACATTCAAATTCAGGATATACAGAGAACACCACGAAGATACTGCTCGAGAAGAGCAGTGTCCTAGTCTCTGATAAAACAGACTATAAACCAACAAGAATCAAAAAAGACAAAGAAGGGCATTACATAATGGTAAAGGGATCGATGCAACAAGAAGAGTTAACTATCCTAAATATCTATGAACCTAATACAGGAGCACCCAGATTTATAAAGCAAGTTCTTAGAGACCTAAAAAGAGACTTAGACTCCCACACAATAATAGTGGGAGACTTGAACACCCCCTGTCAATATTAGACAGATCAATGAGACAGAAAATTAACAAGGATATTCAGGACTTGAACTCAGCTCTGAACCAATCGGACCTAATAGGCATCTACAGAACTCTTCACCCCAAATCAACAAAATATACATTCTTCTCAGCACCTTATCACACTTATTCTAAAATTGACCACATAATTGGAACTAAAACACTCCTCAGCAAAGGCAAAAGAAAGGAAATCATACAAACAGTCTCTCAGACCACAGTACGATCAAATTAGAACTCAGGATTAAGAAACTCACTCAAAACCGCACAACCACATGGAAACTGAACAACCTGCTCCTGAATGACTACTGGGTAAATAACGAAATTAAGGCATAAATAAAGATGTTCTTTGAAACTAATGAGAACAAAGACACAACGTACCAGAATCTGTGGGACACAGCCAAAGCAGTGTTTAGAGGGAAATTTATTGCTCTAAATGCCCACAAGAGAAAGCAGGAAAGATCTAAAATTGACACTGTAACATCACAATTAAAAGAACTAGAGAGGCAAGAACAAACAAATTCAAAAGCTAGCAGGAGACAAGAAATAACTAAGATCAGAGCAGAACTGAAGGAGATAGAGACATGAAAAACCCTTCAAAAAATCAATGAATCCAGGAGCTGGTTTTTTGAAAATATCAACAAAATAGATAGACAACTAGCCAGACTAATAAACAAGAAAAGATAGAAGAATCAAATAGACACAATAAAAATGATAAAGGGGATACCACCACTGATCCCACAGAAATACAAACCACCATCAGAGAATGCTATAAACACCTCTTTGCAAATAAACCAGAAAATCCAGAAGAAATGGTAAATTCCTTTGAGGCAGTAATTAACAGCCTACCAGGCAGAAAATGTCCAGGACCAGAAGGATTCACAGCCAAATTCTACCAGAGGTACAAAGAGGAGCTGGTACCATTCCTTCTGAAACTATTCCAAACAATAGAAAAAAAAAGAAACATTTTATGAGGGCAGCATCATCCTGATACCAAAACCTGGCAGAGACACAACAAAAAAAGAAAATTTCAGGACAATATCCCTGATGAACATTGATGCAAAAATCCTCGATAAAATACTAGGGAACCAAATCCAGCAGCACATCAAAAAGCTTATCCACCATGATCAAGTTGGCTTCATCCCTGGGATGCAAGGTTGGTTCAACATATGCAAATCGATAAACATAATCCATCACATAAAGAGAACCAATGACAAAAAACACATGATTATCTCAATAGATGCAGAAAAGGCCTTTGACAAAATTCAACACCCTTCATGCTAAAAATTCTCAATAAACTAAGTATTGATGGAACGTATCTCAAAATAATAAGAGCTATTTATGACAAACACACAGCCAATATCATACTAAATGGGCAAAAGCTGGAAGCATTCCCTCTGAAAACCGGCACAAGACAAGGATGACCTCTCTCACCACTCCTATTTGACGTAGTATTGGAAGTTCTGACCAGGGCAATCAGGCAAGAGAAAGAAATAAAGGGTATTCAAATAGGAAAAGAGGAAGTCAAATTGTCTCTGTTTGCAGATGACATGATTGTATATTTGGAAAACCCCATCGTCTCAACCCAAAATCTCCTTCAGCTGATAAGCAATTTCAGCAAATTCTCAGGATACAAAATCAATGTGCAAAAATCACAAGCATTCCTATACCCCAATAATAGAGAGCCAAATCATGAGTAAACTCCCATTCACAATTGCTACAAGGAGAATAAAAATACCTAGGAATACTACTTACAAGGGATGTGAAGGACCTCTTCAAGGAGAACTACAAACCAGTGCTCAAGGAAATAAGAGAGGACACAAATAAATGGAAACATATTTCATGGATAGGAAGAATCAAGATCATGAAAATGGCCACACTGCCCAAAGTAATTTATAGAGTCAGTGCTATCCCCATCAAGCTACCATTGACTTTCGTCACATAATTAGAAAAAAACTACTTTAAATTTTATATGGAACCAAAAAAGAGCCTGTATAGCCAAGACAATCCTAATCAAAAAGAACAAAGCTGGAGACATCATGCTACCTGACTTCAAACTATATTACAAGGCTACAGTAACCAAAACAGCATGGTACTGGAACCAAAACAGATATATAGACCAATGGAACAGAACAGAGGCCTCAGAAATAATGCCACACATCTACAACCATCTGATCTTTGACAAACCTTACAAAAACAAGCAATAAGGATTCCCTATTTAATAAACGGTATTGGGAAAACTGGCTAGCCATATGCAGAAAACTGAAACTGGACCCCTTTCTTAAACCTGATACAAAAATTAACTCAACATGATTAAAGACTTAAATGTAAGACCTAAAACCATAAAAACCCTGGAGGAAAACTGAGGCAATACCATTCAGGACATAGCAAAGGCATGGCAAAGGCCTCATGACTAAAACACCAAAAGCAATGGCAACAAAAACCAAAAATTGACAAATGGGATCTAATTAAACTGAAGAGCTTCCTTACAGCAAAAGAAACTATCATCAGAGTGAACAGGCAACCTACAAAATGGGAGAAAATTTTGCAATCTATCCATCTGACAAAGGGCTAATATCCGGCATCTACAAAGATCTTAACAAAATTTACAAGAATAAAACAACCCCCATCAAAAAGTGGGTGAAGGAGATGAACAGGCACTTCTCAAAGGAATAATTTATGCAGCCAACAAACATATGAAAAAAAACTCATCATCACTGGTCATTAAAGAAATGCAAATCAAAACCACAATGAGATACCATCTTACGCCAGTTAGAATGGCAATCATTAAAAAGTCAGGAAACAAAAGATACTGGGTGAGAGGACGTGGAGAAATAGGAACGCTTTTACATCGTTCGTGCGAGTTTAAATTAGTTCAACCATTGTGGGAGACAGTGTGGAAATTCCTCAAGGATCTAGAACCAGAAATATCATTTGACCCAGCAATTCCATTATTGGCTATATACCCAAAGGATTATAAATCATTCTACTGTAAAGATACATGCACACGTATGTTTATTGTGACACTATTCACAATAGCAAAGACTTGGAACCAACCCAAATGGCCATCAATGATATACTGGATAAAGCTAATGTGGCACATATACACCATGGAATACTATGCAGCCATAAAAAAGGTTGAGTTCCTGTCCTGTCCTTTGCAGGGACACGGATGAAGCTAGAAACCATCATTCTCAGCAAAGTAACACAAGAAAAGAAAACCAAACACTGCATATTCTCACTTATGAATGGGAGTGAAACAATGAGGACACATGGACACAGGGAGTGGAACATCATACACTGGGGCCTGTCTCTGAGTGGAGGGCTAAGGAGGGGTTAGCATTAGGAGAAATACCTAAAGTAGATGACGGGTTGAGGGGTGCGGCAAACCACCATGGCATGTGTATACCTATGTAACAAATCTGCAAGCTCTGCACATGTACCCCAGAACTTAAAGTATATTTTTTTAAAAAGAATGTTTAAATATATGTAAAATATTATATTTTATATAATGTTAAATGTATTACATTTTAAAGTAATTTGAGATACTTTCTGTGTGTTTATGACATCCAATCATTTATTTAAGTACATCTCTTGTTTGCTTTTCATTTCTACTTAGAAATTTTTCTTTCTAAAAATACAGTTCTATTTTATGGTGATGAAATTTTTCCATTTTTCTTATTTCAAATTTGTAAAAAAAATATATTAATTAAAGCTTATCTTCTATTTATACACTCAAGGTCTTCCCTCCTCTCCCATAATTTTAAACGTTTTGGGTTGATTCTTCTAATTTTTAACATAAATAAATATGAGTGTGTTTATATTTACACATATCTCTTTATTAGATGAATGAAAGCATGGAATACATGTTTTTTTCTACTTTATATTTTTACATAACAATGTATTCCAGAAAGAATTCCCTGATTGCATATAGGGATAGTCTTCCTTTACAAAGCCGTATAGTACTCTCTTAAAGCATCAATTTCAAATGCATCATGGTTTAATTTTAAAGGCTATCATTTAAAAAAAAATGTGTTTTATTAATCTTTATATTTCATAATAGCTCAGTCAGGGTTTTGTATATAGTAAGCTCAGTGACTATTTATTTAGTTAATGAAAGTTTGAGACACTATAAATGCCAGATTTGAATCAAATTTAGAAATAGTATTAGAAAAAATATTTACCCCACATGACTTAGAGAGAAAAGGGAGGAACTTACTGAAAGTATTGCCTTAGCTTCTGTTATATTCATATGTCATTTATCCAGTGGAGAATCCATAATGATACATAATCCTTGGATGAGAGATAAGCCTAGTTCTCATCCCCAAATCGTTTCCCGATCCAGGTCGCAGAGAGCACTGCGTTGCTAGTGCCACTGCTGACTTATTACTTCTTGTACAAATACCATCACGTTATAGTTGGGATGACTTGTTTAAAATCTATACTCTCACTTAAGGGGGAATCTTTCTGTGACATTTGTTTCCATGTTCTATCCAGATCTGTTCATAGTAGTAGGTACCTGAAACATATACTGGATTACATTTAAAACTAACCTATATAATGCATTTTCTAACTTATATTATCTCACTGAATTCATGGAACTACACAAGATGTTGGCAATATTCTTCTAGTTCTGCTGGTGATAAAGATAAATATCAGAATGCTATCTAATTTAAAACCCCACAGTGACAAAAAGAGATGCAACCCAGGGCTGTTTGAATCTAAAATCTCTGCTTTGCATACAGCATCATACTGAGCTGCTTCTAAGATAACACAGTACTGTGTGTTTTGCTTCTATGACCCCCAGTTTCTATGATAATGCTAGATATTAATATATAGCATATACTGAAAATAATGAGGAGTACTAATTGAATTGATTCCCCAGAGTTTTTTGTTGCTGTGGTGGTTGTTTGTTTGTTTGTTTGTTTTTTAACACAGATCAATAATACATAGGTAGTAGAAAATAAAACAACGTGGCTGGGCGCAGTGACTCATGCTTGTAATCCCAGCACTTTGGGAGGCCAAAGCGGCCAGATCACCTGAGGTCGGGAGCTTGGGATAAGCCTGGCCAACATGGTGAAACTGTCTCTACTAAAAATGCAAAAATTAGCTGGGTGTGGTGGCGCACCCCTGTAATCCCAGCTACTTGGGAGGTTGAGGCTGGAGAATCACTTGAACCCGGGAGGCAGAGGTTGCAGTGAGCCATAGTGGCACCACTGCACTCCAGCCTGGGCGACAGAGCAAGACTCCATCTCGAAAAGAAAAAAAAAAAAGAACATAAGAACCTGCATGAAACCATGTGAGTTGTGTTTCCACTGAACATTTTTAAGAACTACTATCTACTTCTCTGAACATGCATATTTGAGTGTTTGGTGCAGAGGTAACAATTTGATGTCATCTTGAATACTGATGACAATCTAGTGATCATAACTATGTGGAACATCATGTTGAGATGGATTATGAGACCAAATCACAGCTTCATAGAAAAGGGATAGGCTTGATTATTTATGAGCTGGGAAAGGTTTACCTGTTTTAAAGGAAATATTTCTATTCATTTTCTGGTAAGTAAAATTCCATAGTTCTTGACTTTTTGTTAATGAAATGTGAATTGATTAAATTGCTTTATTAGATCAACTTCTCTTTTTTTAATCTAAAACATTTTTTATTCTCCCTATATCTTAATGGATAAAAACATGAGCTCCATATTTAGACTCTCTTGGTGTGAATCCTGGCTTCATCTCTTACTAGCTGAATGAGAACTGCCTTGTTATTAAATATTTAAGTGTCTCAGTTTCTTCCTCTCTATAAAGGAGCTGATAATAATTCCACTGCAGCAAAATGTGGAGATTGCATGAGAGGATGGTAGAAGAGTGATTAGTTCTGAGTGGAAATGGGTTTTCAGAAACTGTGTATTGAATTTCTCTGAATCTAAAGAAGCAAAAAAGAAAATCTAGTAAATTAAACTGTGGGACTTTTAAAATAGGTATTGATATCTGTTAGTAGTCAACTGCTTCTAGAAGTTCACAACTATATTTTACATCACAGTAAAAAGAATCCTCACAAAAATATCCATCCATGAAGAAAGTAGGAAAGATACTGGTATTTTATCATTTGGAAATTTGGCAATTTATCAGAGGTTAACATTTGCATTTTATCAGTGAAGGCAATTGGGGATGCAAAAAAGGGCATGGTTGGAGGGAGTAAGAAATACAGAGAAAGCTTAGGTTTAAGGTCAGACAGAGCCAAAATTCATGAAAAAGAGAAAATCCATGTTGAAATCAAGTTGAGAACAGCAAGAAATTCATGATGACATGGCATGAATGATGGGGAGATCTGATGAGGTAGGGGGGCCAAGTAGATAATTCCACCTGTATGAAAAATGCTTTATTTTGAAGTAGTAACCAATTGTTTAGTTGGATAACAAACTATTTTGCTATTTTGATTCAGCTCTGCCTTTATTCATGCATATTAATGCATGTCTGCCAAATTCTGGATGCTTTTTATATAACTAAATATCAAACATGTTATTAGCTGCAAAAGCAAAATTTTCAACTTGAGTTTTCAAAAGCTATAAAAGGAATCACGCTAAGGCAAATGTTGCTGGAATATTTGCAAAGATGTACATGACTACAAACCAGTATTATAGCATGATAATTTTATTCAAATAATTATAAGGAAAGCACACAGAAAACAATATGAAGAATTACAGAGTGACAATATAAAAAACAAATACAGGCTTGCACTCTGAGGAATGTTAAAAAAAATAAAAACATAGGTGTTGGTGTAGTTTGCTAAGGTTGCCATAACTAATACCACAGACTGGGTGGCTTAAACAACAGAAATGTATTTTCTCACAATTCTGGACGCTAGAAGTCTGAGATTAAAGTGTCTTCAGGGCCACTTTCTTCTATGACCTCGCTCCTTGGTTTGTAGATGGCTGTCTCTTTCCACTGTCTTTATATGATCTTCTTTGTGTGTGACTGAGTCCTAATTTCCTCTCTTTCTAAGGACACCAATCGTTGGATTGGGTCCAGTCATATGACCTCATTTTACCTTAATTATCTTTTTTAAAGATCTTATCTCTAAATACAGTCACATTCTGAAGTACTAGGGGTTTGGACTTCAATAGATGCATTTTGTGGGGGACAAAATGTAGCTTATAACACATGGAGAAAAAGAGAATGACAGAGAAATTTACTTCTCCAGATGCAGACAGACATGTTGTTTTATATTCATTACATAACTTTTGGACACCAGGATATCAAGGCTTTTCTTGTTCTATTTGTTCCTCTCTTTGATGTACGTGGACCACAGAATCTGTATACTTACGCCCAAAAGCTAGCCACAGAAAGAGTAATTCATTTCCAAAGAGAGATAGTGTAAACATTGTAACCATATTCTGAAAACATATTTCACTGGAAGAAAGTAGGAGGAAGCCCTTCACTAAATTTTTAAATTTTATGTTATATATATACAACTACATATAGTTTTACTAAAATAGAAGAAGAAAAACAAATACCATGCTAGTTGGCTTTTTCACTACAATAATAGATAGAAAAACTATTTTTATTAATTATAGACCTGATTTTTGACTTAAAAAGTGATAATTAATTTGCCATGAAATAAAAAAAAAAAGTATTTCCATAGCTTCATCTTGCTATCATAGAAATAAGTACATTGCAAAAAATCATGAAGGGACAGAAATGCTATATTGAGAAAGGACTGGCAGTTACGATATCAAGGTCCCAGTCTAAACTCTGCTATTAGAACAGAAAGTCAATTTTGTTCTAATATTTTAAGGTTTCATATTCTATATAACCCAAGATAACTTAGTTCTATTTTGACATCTGGTTAATTGAGTCCTTCCACATTTTCCATGAAGAACAGTGTGAAAAAAAGAGATTTTTCAAACAACAATGTTGAAACCAAGATCTATATTTGGTTAATATAGATCTTATTTTTTATTCCATTGCTTGTTCTTTCTTAGTTTCAGTATCATCGCCTTCACATAATCATGCATCTGTGTCAGATGAAAAGTAACTGAGTCAGTTGACTTCTTAAATAACTAACTTGGGACCTGGGCTGCTGCCATGTTCCCTCAGTAACTTCCTTCAGACTGATTGAGACTCATCTTTTCTGAAGATGAAAGAAACCGCTTTCCAAAAATGGTAAAAAAAAAAAAAAAAAAAAAAAAAAAACCTTTACAAGTTCTTTTTATTAAATAAATGTCAGTCTGGAAATATTTCAGATTTTACTGTTTATTCTTTTGTGTTCAATAGTCCCTCTTCCAAAAGTCTACTTTAGAATATGCTGATGTATTGCTTAAGATTACTTAAGATATTTCAGAGCATAGTGTAATAATGCATTAAGTTGATAGGAACTGAAGTGAATGTGTGTAATTCAATCAGGTTGCTTTAGCCAAGAGGACCTGAGCTCTTAAGTGAGAATGTAAGGTGAACAAATAAAAATAGTGTGAAGAAGAGTGATAGGCTCTGAAGATAAACTTGATATTCCTCAAAATTATCCTGGAGATCTGACTTCAGAATTGTCACAGAATTGTTATCCCATACAGTGTCCCCACTAGAAAATTTTAAACAAAGCCAAGTTTTGTATATCAAATCTGATATAACACTGGCTTGACTTCACAGAGCAGTTTATATAATGAAATACAATTTTTAAAACACACTAAATGTTACAGATTTGGATCACAGAGTCTCAAAACTAGAAGCAAATTGAAAGTTGAGGGTTTTGATTTTTTTAGAACACTAGATTAACGAGCTTCATTCTTGAAGTTTCTGTCCCAGTAAACCTCAGGTCAAATCATATAATGAGGCTTAAAAGCAAACATACAAATAATAAGCCAAAATCAAAACAAACAAACAAACAAAACATCAGCAGGCAATTCTGATCAGCAGAAACTTTTAAGTAATATTCATTTAGAATTTATAAAGCACATTTATGCAATAACTCATTGAATCTTCAAAAAATTACTATGTGAACTATTTAGAAAAGTTATTTTTGAATCTATTTTACAGATAGGACACTGAGGTTTAAAGACATTATATAACTTATTCGAAATGGAAGAATTGTGGTTTGAGCCTAAATTTTCTGTTTTTAAATTTTATATTTATCCTTTAATACCATGCTACAGAGGGTTTCTTTTTTAATTATATTTGAGGTTTGAAGAATTGCCTTCTCATTCACATAAGAATATAGTTTTTTTTTCAATCAGCATTATCTTCTATTGATCCATTCTGGATTTCCAGTGAGATACTTAATTGGTATCTCAAATTCAACACACTCAAAGCAGAACTCACAATAAACCCGCTCCATCGGTTCTTCAGCTCCACCCTCTTAACTGAAAACAACTCACTGTCTCCACTACTACTATTCCACTTCAAGTTATCATCAACTCTTTATTGGACTATTTCTGTAGTCTCTTAATAGTCTCCCAAATTCCATCCTTGAAGCACTCTCCAAAAAACTCTTCTCTACACATCAGTCCTAATAAATTACTCTTTTAAATCACAAGCCATATTATGCCATTCTTGTGCTAAAAATCTTCCAAATACTTCCCACCTGAACATGACCAGCAAAACCTCCATGGTCTCCTCTAGGAGCCTCACTGACCACTTCTGCTCTTTGCTTTCTCCTTTACTTTGTTTTAGCCACTATAGGCTTTGCAGCTTATCAGAAACATCAAACATACTGCTCTCTTGCAGGTACTCCCCTTCTGTCTTGGATGCTCTCCCCACTAGAATTCCAGCAGGCTTTGCTGTTTCATTTCCTCTGGTTGTCTTCTCAGTGTCCTTTTCTACAAGGCAACTTTGTTGAACCCCAGCTTCTGCCACCTTCAATCTATTTATCCCCATAGCTCTTATTTCTTTCTGAGGAAGCATAGATTTGTTTGTTTATTTTCTGTTCCCAACCACTGATATGTAGACCTCATACTAGCAGTGACCTAGGGTATCTATTTTCCAGTCCTAGAACAATGTATTATATATTCTGAGTACCTAGTCAATATGTGTTAAATTGACGTATGAATGAAAGACATCAGGAAAACAAATGTCAGAAGCTAACTTTCTGAAACTGTGCTAGGTATTGATGACTTATGCACCTTTAGTCAAGATTCTTTTACTTTTGCATCTTAGAATAAAAGAAAATAGACCTAGAATACAGGATTTCCTACAATTCTCTAAGAAATTATTTGGATTTTTTACTGTCCAATAGTAAATTGGAAGAACCAGTCAACATACTATTTCCTCATGTCATCCTGCTTTCAATCTGGAATGCCTTTCATAAATGTACTTAAAAATTTAATGGTTGGGCATTTTTAAGGCCTGTGTCCCTAATTAGTCATAATCACATCAAAAAATATGAATAAACAGCTGAAAAACCAAATTTGGACTCTAATTTTAGCTTTTATTAAATTTCTTAATTTAGAAAAGCCCAACTGGAGAAAAATAGCTTAAAGAAAACTACATTCAGGATCTTCTGTCTTAAATCTTAGGCATACAATACTCTCAGAAATTGTGCCTGACCTTTGGAACATGACTGCCATCTCTTTTAAATTGACAGCTCTCCCCTTACAATGAAAACGAAAAGGCTAAATTTGTCATCAGTGCACTAGAAGCAAAGTGGGATGCAATAAAATTTCACTCAAGGTACACAAGACTGCTCCTTTTGTTGTGTTGTGATTTGAAATAACCTCTGAGAGGTGAAAATGTTACCAATAACATGATATGTTCCATACAGGCTTACAAGTCAACAGACGAGGGTTCCAGTCTGTGAGCTTAAAGATGGCTAAATACAGAGAGCTCCTCTCTACTGTAAAGAATGGCCACTTCCCACTGTGAAATCCTGCAGTCAGGAAATTCCCAAAAGTGGTAACAGATATGTAGGGCTTTCTTAAAAAAACTCTAACTTTAATCAGACTATGAATGATAGAACTTTAACACTTAAAAGACAATAGAGATCTAATTAACCATACGACCTCCCTGTATAGACAACAGGACTTTGGTGTTTGGTACCTAACAGCATCACAATAGGACCAGCTGGCATATAGATCAGAACATTATATACTATTTTATACAGGAGGGCTGGCATACAGGCAAAGCTGAAGTAGTCTTCTGGTACTTCACAATTAAGACATCTGAATAACTTATCCTTTGCCCTCTGCATTATTACAAATAAAGATCCTGGTTTAGTGTATGGTTTGTTTTGACATAGAGTTAGAGGTTCAGAAATAGATGCATTATTGAGAATCAGAAGTCACGTTCTTGGCCAGCTGAAGGGCAGCATAATGGTTGATGCCTTGTGAAAGTGAGGGTATAAAATAAGAGCTCTAGAAAATAATGCAGAAAGACTAAAGAAGGAAGCAACAGCTCTCATTTACTGGTTGTATAAAATTCATTTCTGTTCACTTGTGTTTCTGCATCCCTAAAAAGCTGTTACTTGGCTGGCCATACCGGCTAGAGATGACAACTACCACGCTTACAGTCACAATCAGTAGTTGGAATTCTTCCTCAAATGCTTCTGGTTCCAGAATTCTCAGTTGATCCTCTATCATCGATTCCCAAACCCATACAATTTTCTATTTCCGATAGCTTTAAGGGAACATCACCTATATGCACACAAGTACAGTTTTCAATGTACTAGCCATTTTCTTCCACTCAATGGTCAGCATCCCTCCCTGTGGTGATGCTCTGGAAGCTTCAAGGCCTCAAGTAATGCTGCCATAATGTGACAGTGAGATTCCTCCTGCTATGTATCAACACTGCAGAAAGTACCCACATTGCAGCTAATGAGTGCCTTCCTGCTTGCAGGTGTTTCATAGGCCCAAACCACCAGCATTGTCAGTGATCAGAAAGTGTGGTGTTTTTAAAGCCCCGATGTCACACTGCAACTCTTTTTTGCATGGAACTGGGAAAAATTTCCTCTCTGCTAACTTTGTGTCGAATTAGATGAGTCCTAGAGATTATCTTTCCCCTGTTTCCAAACAAAGATAGTTCTTTTCAGAGTCCTTTTAGTTTGCATGTTGCCAGTTAGCTATAGCCATGAGTTATATGTGCCAGTGCTCAGGAATAAGCCCATAGATGCTGTGGCAGAAAGTAACATGAATGAGTTATCCTTTGTGGTAATAACACTTTTTCTGCACCCCACTTCTCTCCTCCATCCCTGACACATTACTGAGAATCTAAACTAATGCTCTGATGTTTTGAAATTGCTCAGTTACCTAGATCTAAACAAACAGTTTCGTCTTAAAAAGATTTAGGGATGTTTTGAAGGTAGCAATGATAATTCATGTAATGGCTAGGTACTTTGAAGGCATGTGGTGTACTAGAAGAGCAATGGGAATTTATTTCAAATCAGGGAAAGTATTAGACACACAAATGCTTGTAGAATTTGTAACTGATGGGATTAAGAGATCAATAAAACACAATACCTGCCCTCAAGGTCTTCTCAAACACAGAAATAGACATATGTATGTACAAGACTTAAAGCACATGGTAAAATGTATTACATTCCATAATAGTGATATGAAGTACAATGGGATTATAGAGAATGGAAAGAGTAATTATAACAATAAATTTGCTGCTATTCATTGCAAATGTGACCTTAAGACAAACTTAAACATTTGAACATTTATAGGCATTTGTAAAAGAAAAAATGCTGATAAAGTTCATAGCTTGTCAATATCAACCAATTCATTGTTACTGAGGTAAACATGTTGGAGAAAAGAGAATTACAAATATATGTTTTAGCTAGATTTTGGAAGGTTATGAATGAGTTATCTACTGAGGCATGTGAATATTTCTGTACACACTAACTAAATTAAAAGTTGTTTGTTGTTATTTTTCTATTCCTTTGGGTTCTGATCTTTAACCAAAAAATCATAGTGGCAGATGTCGAGTTTCAAATACCAGGTGGTTTTATTTTATATATGCAGATATGCATGTATGTATGTATGTATGTATGTCTTCCCCCAACAAGACATAAGCTCAAAAGGTTGCTGAAAAATGATTTTTCCCTTGAAATTTGCATCTCTAATTCTAAGCATATAGAGAGAAAAATTAAAACTGAAAATTAAATTTCATATCATATACTTTTTCAGGCTTAGTTATAAATTTGGAATGGTGCAGTGACAGTACATCTTGATGAATGGTTGCTATTAAATCATAGAATTTCCCTCCTTCCATTCTCTCTTTGCTAAAGTACATGTTTTAGTTCTTTATTTTCTGTCTAAATGAAGTGTATTGCTTCTTGGGGCTATAACATATGTTAATCATATGAGCATGTAACGTAAAATTTCTAAGAATTTTCAAGAAAGTAACTTGTTCTGTTTTACACAGTTTTTTTTTTTTTTTAACAAGACCTGATGGGATAATGAATATAAATGCATAACATTTCCACATATAGGATTATAATTATTATCGTGATTACTAATGCTACTAATAATATTGAGTATTTTTCTAAAGAAGAAAATCCTACTATTTTCAGCAACATGGGTGAACCTGGAGGACATTATGCTATTTGAAATAAGGTAGTCGCTAAACGACAAATACTGCATGATTCCACTTATATGAAGTACCTATAATAGTCAAACTCATGGATACAGAGGTACAATGGTGGTTGCCAGAGGCTGGTGGGAGGAGGAAGTGTGGAGTTGTTGTTCAATGAATAGAATTTCAGCTATGCTGGATGAAGAAGTTCTAGAGATCTGCTGTACAACATAGTGCCTCTAGTGAACAGTATGGTAATGTGCACTTCAAAATTTGTTAAGAAGGTAGATTTCATGTTAAGTGTTCTTATCACTAAACAAGATAAAAAAGTGAAATAAAAACAAAGGAACAAAAGGAAACTTTGGAAGACGTTGGACATGTCTATAACCTTGATTGTGGTAATGGTATCACACAATTGTTTGCATGTGTTCAAACTCATGAAATTGTAACCTTAAATATGTGCAGTTCTTTGCATATCAATTATGCCTTAAGATATTGTTAAAAAAGAAGAAAAAGATAATTCATTCAAGAAACCATTCCACCTTATCCTTCTTTCGTCAAACTCAGTGCTTTAGGGTTACCCTTTCACTGCCTTCCGTCACTTGGAAAGGCATTGCATCCCCGGACATTGGCTGCTCGTGCTGGAAAACTTTCCCTCTCTCTTATGAAAAAAAAATATTTTTCCTATGTCTTTTTATGACCGAGCTTTGTTTCATGGAGTGATACAAATGGACATTAACGAGTTAATTCTGTAATCTGAATTATTCAATTTTATTGGCTGGTCTGTGCTACCTTCCTAGCATCAGGAGGGATTGATTAAGTTAAAACCAATATATTTTGGAGGCCTCCAAGAGATAACACTACTTCTGGCAGTGACAGTAGCTGTTGCAGGGACTCTTTTTGAACAAGAAAGTACTCATGCACAGCATCGCCTCTTCACTCTTATGTGTACATTCCCAGCAGTATGTTTCACAGGATGTTACAAAATAAACTTTATATTAGCAGGACTATCCAAAATCCCAAGCTTTTTCTACTCTAGCAACATAAAAGATCACACTTCACCTCACCTGAAGGAAGGTGGATGAGGCAGATGATTTGTTTGAGTATAGAAAAGTAATGTTGTCATTTTATGTGGAAGTTTTGAGAGCCAAGAATGTGTTTCCAGATTCTTTTTTTCCTGTATTATGTTGGTGTTTGGAAATGTTTCAGATAGAATTGTTGCTCTGTCACCCTCACTCCCATGATACGAAGATGAGCTCCCAGCTAATCCACTGTTGTTGAAGCTACTAAAATCTGTGACTTGCTTGTTTGCGAATATTATTCCCTAAGCCTTAAAACAGCCATTTAAGAGGTAGGAAGACTTTCTCAATGTCATATAATTGGTTGGAAGCCTAGTACATTAGAGGTGATGACCAGTTCTGTGATTTTTTTCACTCTGCTCTTCTCCCAGCATTAAATTCTAACATTGTGTTTAGCAACTCTGTTCATCTAAGGTCTCCTTTTTGGAACCATTATACTCACACCTTTAGTCTTTTCAAGTTTTCTACCTGTGTTCCCTTTTGCAGAGTTGCCTTCCTTTAACTCTACTAAATGTGTTCCCTTCAAACTAACTTTAGGATGCTATGAATTTTTGTAAAGGGTGAAACATGAGTGAAGAAATCAAATACCATTTATAAACCACAAATTCAGCACAATTCATTTGTACAAGATAGTGTAGAAAGGAAAACCTGGAAATGTTGGAATCATGAGTTGAAAGTCCAACTGGCAACAAAGCTCAGGAAGTATTTAGCAAGCACATTTATTTCCAGATCAGATAACAGGCTATTCAAATTTTACATGTTTCACTGAAATGTATTCCAGAGAGTAAAAAAGTATGCATAATTCTCTGAGAATACTAAAGAATATGGAAAAGAATGAACTAGTAAACATTTAATTGTGATAAGGGAAGAAATTGATGTTACAGTTCTTCAAGTGTTTGGGCATGTTTTTCTGGTTATATTTGTTGAGAAGATGTTATATCTAGGAATTTCAGAGTAAATTTTTTATTTTATTAATAACTGCAGTCACACTTTTCATCATTAGCAGCCTCACAGCTCTCTCAAACCTTTTTCTTGTTCGTTATTATTATACTTTGATGAGTTAATCTTGCTGTGTAGACAGCTCCCTTATTTTATGTAAGCATCCTTTCTGTCATAATATTTTATTCTTTTTCTTTACTCCAAGTTCTCATTAACTTCAGAAAATGACCTCTATTCATTTAACTAGGAATCTTACCAACCAAGAGGCAGCTTAGCATGGCTAGAAAATGTACAAACTTTGCCAACAGACACATCATGATTTTAACTTCATCATTCTCCATTATTGGTTAGGTGACATTGAGCAAGTTATTCTGCAACTTGGTTTCCTCATCTTGTGCAATGCATAACTACCTTGCAGGCTTTCATGAAACAGTATATGTAAAGTGCTTGGTAAAACACAGATGTTCAGGATTTGAATCTTCCCTCTACTATACTGCACTCACAGGCCTGGCTCTGCAAGGCTGGGTTTCTTTGGAGAACACGGCATAGTCATAAACTCTCCTGTCACTTTTTTCTCACACTGCAAAGGTGTTTAACATCAAGGTTAAGAATAGATAAAATATGGTTGGGGTCATCTTTTCCTGCCATTGCTATGCTTTTATATGGGCCTATCCATAAAAAACAACCTGGGTTCAGTAGTATTTAAACAAGTCTTCCTATCTGATTTTCTTTTCCTGTGTTTAATATTTTTTCCTCATCATATGTGGGAAGCAAAAGTCTTTTAAAATTCATAGACAATGAATTTTGTCTCATGTCTTCATTACATTTTGTTTCTTTTGACTCAACCTCAGCATTTCTATCTATTCACACTCTGTATCATAGTGTTTTGGCCCTTCTTAAGTACCAACGTGGGATCTGCCATTTTCCTTTATTCTATTCTGAATAGAAACTTTTAAGCTTTCACCTAATTTTTACCTCATGCAGCAGTTATGTTATCTGCACACACATTCTTGCTTTATTAATTCTCCTTGGAAATCCTTGAGTACACTGTCTCACAGCCATAAATCCATGTCTAGTCCATCCTGTATTTACTTGCTTACTGCTACCAACAGCTTAGTACTGATACTGGTAAATAAAAAAAAAAAAAAAAAAAAAAAACCTTGGACTAAAAGTCATGGATCCTCAACTGTGGATAAAAACACATTAAGCATGTAAACATAAGAAATGGAGCAAGTAAATTAAATTATGAAATCATTTCCCTTCACCTTATATATTTAGAGGCGATTGCCACAACTGCTCCCACTCCCCAAATGTTTAGATGATTCAACATAATTTAGGTCCTGTTTCCATCTAGGAATTGATCCAAATGGAATGTAGGGTACTGCAAGCTGAGCATTTCTGCCAACTTTTCCATCTGAGAACAGCCTGAGAAGCCCTGGGAATATTCACAGAGAGGCTGAGCTATGGCTCACTCAGCAACTTCAAGATTGTACATCATTTGAATAAGCAATTTTCCAAGGTTGAGTTCCTGACCTGTGAGGGTTCATCAATATCCATAATGTCAAAAGAGACACTATAATTGTGGTATGCCTAACATACAGACTTCAGGTCTGGTTTCTATTTTGACCTCAATGAAGGCTCTCTGGCTTTGTGTTAAATTTTCATTCATTGATTACTTATTTTTCAGTCAAACCCTGCCATTGAATTTGTGTAATTTAAACCCATTAGGTACATTTTCATGTAAAAAAAGATTATGTTTAATGTGACCTCAAATATTTGTAGAGAAACTTAAAACCAACAACAAAAATCTAATTCCTGGATGTTTTGAGAAGCAACTGGATAACTAGTGCATTTGCCACTACCCTCCCCATACGCCAGAATCATAGAGAACTCCATGTGGAGTGTGGAGCTCAGGCCTTCTTGAGCATACCAGTGTCTATCTAAGCTTGCTTGTATGTGTGTATGTGTGCTGGGGAGGAGTACTAATAAATATTTGTTAAATACATGGCCTAATTTACTGGATCATGTGAGATGTGGAGAGATTAAAAAAAATTACAGTCATTGATACGTACATGAATTCCCTAGTTAACATGACTTGATAAGAATATTTCACAGTTGTCTATTAGAATGAACCCAAGTCTTAAAACGAGAAGACATTGATTTGGAAGCTTAGATTGGGAATTCCCTAATTGTGACAGTTTCAACAAAGCACATAACCACTCTGAGTTTCAGTTTTCTCAACAGTAAAATAAGACAATAATGTCCTTTCATGCTATTCTGTTGGAAACACACCAGATGATATGCTAAAGTAAGTTTTCAAACCATTGTTGAGATTAAGAACAATACTTCTATTAAATGAGCAATTGTCTTTGCAATTTCCCTTTGCACGTATGTGGATCCTACAGGCCAAGACATTTCCTCATGCATGGTATATTCAATTTGATTTAGTTCAGTTCACTTCCATTTGTTAAGCACAAACTAAATCTTTAGTCCCGGACTACTGGTAATGTATAGTTTCTACCTGAACTAAAGAGTAAGTTAAGATATCAAAATTAACTAGAGTTTAAAATACATGTTTAAAGACTAGTGGAATGCAATAAATAAACATAGGCATATTAAAAAGTGAGCCATCATTTCCTTTGGGGAACATCCAAAGAGCAGAATAGATAAAAACCAGAGTGCACCTTGAATCTCTGGAGGAATTTTGATGACTGGAAGATAGGAGAGGCACTCTAAGCAAAGTCAACAGATTGAGTTGGAGGTTAGGAAACAGTTAGGGAGAAGTAGGAAATATTCCGGGAGAGCCAAGTTAGAGATAAATCACTGAGGATTTTGAATACTAGAATAAGATTTGTGGACATCATACCATAGGCAATGAAAGTATTTAAGAGTTTGAGAAGGGGCGCTGACAGAATCTAAGCAGTGCTTAGACAAACTAATTAGCAGTAGTTTATAGGATAAAACAGATTGGGTAAAAAATAAAAATGAGTAACTAGGATGGAGATGGGCAGTGGGGGAGATTTTTTGTTTGTTTATTTGTTTGTTTGTTTGTTTGTTTGCTTCTTCGCATTGTTATGACCAGAAGTAAGAACAATGCAAGGCTATACAATGTGAGAAAGAGACTGCGTGTAGACAGCTTGGTTTTATGTCTGTAATCACATATAATTCTCACACTGTTATTACTTGATGACACTTATATCTTACTTTTTACACAAGATGTTTGTTTGTTTTGTTTGTTTTTGTATCCTGCCCAGTACTCTCTACAGTTGGCCTTCTCTCTTTTCATATTATACATGGCCCTTTAATGTCAGATCAAGAGGCAACATTTCTATGAAGCCACCCACTACTAGCTCTTAAAGCTCTTGAAGCTCTTGTTATTCTTCCACTTCTTTGGATCCATTCTTTATTTATAACATAAAGCACATAAATAAATATGTAGTTATGTTTATATATTGCATAGTTAACCTATCTATTATGGGTGTATCTTGAATGTCTGGTTATATCTCAAGCCTCTTTATGTGCTGATCTGTAATTTACTCTAATTTTGTTTTGAGCATGTGGCAGATACTTAAGGAAATTGTGCAGAGGAGCTACTTGATTAATTTATGATAATCCCTTTCTTGTGCTATAATAACATCTATTCTCATTCTTTAGCATTAGGAAATCAGTCAATCTGCCAAGGTAGAATTTTCAGATTGAACAGACACAGATATATCCAACCAGCTACAAGTCTCCAATGTTATAGAAAAAAAAACAAAAAAGAACCAGAAAACAAGGACATATCCGGGAAACCACTTCAGTATGGTTTCCCTGCTTGTTGCTAGCAGTGTTAGTAGTACTCATAAATCTTCACATGCTGGAAAATCCTGGGTCTGTCGATATTTGTTTAATCATTCTGCTTCCTAAATGTTTGGATGTACAAACAGAACATTTTCCCCTCAGAGGTAAAGAAGAGAAAAGTTATTCCTTTTCAAATTTTGGAAGAAGATCTTATGAAAGGTAAAATTAATTAGTTACTACACTTACACCCATAATATGAAAGGCCTAAACAGAAATTCATCTACGAGTTTATGATTGCTCCTCCCAGCTCCATAGCTTGGAGAATTAAACTCTTTTTAAAGGATGTTTTAAATTTTATAAAAGAAAAAAAAAGATAACTTCATACTGAAGCCAATTAAGTTTAAATTATCTTGATAACTAATATATAAAAACAGACTATAGAAAGTTATCACTGAATAACATTGAGACAGGGAGATTAAGTGACTGATTCACAGTCACTATTTAAAATATTATAAAAATAAAATTAAAAAGGAAAAATGTGTTTAAATTCACAAGGCGATAGCTTCTTTCCACTTCATTTTCTGTTCATTTGATATGGCATCATTACTTCAAGGTTTCACACATTTTGAAGCATTCTGAGCCTGTATATGAATCCAAGAGGCAATGCATTTTCTTTATAAAAGCAAAGAAAAACATGGTACCTACCTCACAAAATTTGAGATGATGACTAGAAATTCACTCAGCTCTTGCATTGATAGTGATGGATGGATATACAAGTCAACCATTGCACTAATAGAATTGCAAAAGTAAAGGTGGCAGAATATTTTCTAAGTTCTTCCAAATTAATTTAAACTCTAAATTAATTTAGAAATTATTATTTTTTGAGAAATTTCTGGGGATGTACAGCAAATCCAATGTCTGAATTTAGTGATAATATTCAAGCTCCAGAAGTACCCAAGTCATAAAATTTGACTATGGGTTTTTGGATCAGTTATTTATTCCAAATAAGTAGACAGATTTTCCAGAAAAAGTGACAATAAATGTCAGATACAGAAGAGTAGGAGAGTTGAGTTGGAATTTAATAAAACGTTTGATACAGTACTATATAAAAAAGTGAAATTAAGTCTCACATGTACACAGCCTTGATGAAATAGTGAATGGGGTAAAAATTGGCTGGGGACCAGGTGCCATGGCTCACACCTTTAATCCCAGCACTTTGGGAGGCTGAGGTGGGCAGACCACCTGAAGTCAGGAGTTTGAGACAAGCCTGGGCAACATAGTGAAACCCTGTCCCTACTAAAAATATAAAAAAATTAGCCAGTGTGGTGGTGGTCACCTGTAATCCCAGCTACTTGGGAGGCTGAGGCATGAGAATCAGGTGAACCCAGGAGTCGGAGGTTGCAGTGAACTGAGACTGAACCATTGCACTCCAGCATGGGCGACAAGAGTAAGACTCCATCTCAAAAAAAAAAAAAAAAAAAAAAAAAAAAAACTGCCTGTGATATAGAGGCCAGACTGTGGTAGTAAATAGGCAATCTAAAACTGTTATCACTAAGGTCATTTACAGTAGAGTAGGTCAAAGCACTCGAAAATATTTTCTGGTAAGAACCCTTGAACAGATAAAGTAGATATTCTAGTAGGTTTTTCTTTTCCATACTTTGGGCTCCAAGTAGCTAAGAAACAAGTAAGAAGCTGACAAGATGAATACTAAAAACAGTAATTTCTGAGTACAAACCTGTTTACATAAGACAATATGAGAGTAAGAGAAAAAATGTTATCTAAAATGTTATCTAATCCTGCCTTTTAGGGCAGATAATGACAGCGTACTAGTCGCTTTAAACTTAGTAAATTCAGAAACAACAACAACAACAACAAAAGAAAAATAAAAGAAAATGAGAAAGAAAAAAAGAAAAGAAACCCCTTTTTCAAGTTTGTCTTAATTAAATATATATAAGCTCATGGAGCTCTCAACAATATCTACTCTATAAAACTTTTTATTCATCTTTGCACGTTCACATTCTAGCACAGTGTCAGACAATAAATACTATAATTGAAATAATGAATTGATTATAATTAGTTAGTGTACAGCACTCTAGGAGCTAGGAGCATACAACAAAGTAGAAGATGTGAAAAGGCCGGGAAAATGCACAAACATACGACAATAATGCTATTTAAGCTACAATGAGAATTAAAAGCAAAAATTGTAATGGAATTCAAGGAGGAGAAATGAACATCTGGCTAAGGAATTTGAAAAGACTTTATGAAACGCTTTGCTTGAAATAGACAGAATTTTAATAATCTGGAAGAGAAAATGTCTATGAAAAGCAGACAGATAACAGCAAAGATGTGCATATAATGTGTATTAACAATAGTGATTAATTTCATTGATTTATAAGTGTGTTTAGAGACATAAGAGGAGATAAGCTGACAGGAGAAACTACAGGGTACAGTGAATGAGAAAAACATGTAACAGTGAAGTTATCTGTTATAAAGTAATGTGGTATGAGGAAACCACATTTATACAGTATTAAGAAATTTCAAAATCCCACAGATATTTATAACTTTCTCACTTTCCAATATAGTAAGAAAACTTTCAAATATAAAAAAGTTAAAAAAATAATACAATGAATGCCCATATGCCCACTACCAAGAGCTAATAACAATCAAAGTTTGGCTAAATGTATCCTATTTCTATTTGTTTATTTACTGACGCATGGATGTATCTGGAAGTCAGATGCAGGTATTGTGATACATCACCTCTAAATACTCCAGCATGCATCTCATAAAAATAAGAACAAGCATAACAGTAACACTACCATCATATCAGAGAACTTTAATAATTTGCTAATATCCAATAATCCATCCATATTTACTTTGCCATATATTTTATTTTTGGTTTTGTTTTTGTGAACGAGAATGTCATCAAGTTTTACTCATATATTTTATTGTTAGACCTTTTTAGTCTTTTTAATTGGAAACAGATTCTTTACATTTTTTGTATTTTACGAAATTGACTTTCTAAGGAGAACAATTGTATTGCAGGGTGTCCTACTATTGTCAATTTATCTGTTTCCTTTAGCTATCCTTCAACTTTTTTTTTCCTCTGTATTTAGTATAAAAAATGGGCCTAAATTTTTGATTCGATTAGATCAATATTTTTAGCAAGAATGAATCATACTGATGCAAAATACTTTCTATTGCATCGCATCATGAGACAGGTAAAGTCAGCTTGTCCTGCTGTACGTATCAGGTATTCTAAGATTGCTTACTTGGTTAAAGTGATGATTGTCAGAACTTTCCATAAAGATACATATTTTTTCTTTCAAATTAGCTACTAATTTACAAGATAATGCTTTGACTCCAAATAGAATAATATAAAATAGTCCTAATAGTTAATGCAAAAATTGATGATCTTTATTTGAATTAATGATGTTATTGGAAACTGTAAAATGTAATTTAAAAAATTTACCCCTATTTGTATGTTTATTTGCTGGCATATTTCTATATTAGAATGGCTTTTTTTCAGCAAGTAAGAATTTAAAAACCCTATGGGGTGTGTGTGTGTGTGTGTGTGTGTGTGTTTGTGTGTGTGTGTGTGTGCATGTTTCTTTTTTAAAACGCAATTGTTACAGTGAGGACTTGATAAAATGAACTACTCCAATGACAGTAAATGAGTTTTCCCTTGATCCTCTTTTTTTGAGTAATGCTATAGTCTCATGAATTTTTATGTATTCATATTGGTACAGTTGATTAATGTTATAATTCTTCATTATGCTCCAGTTTTTAGAAATTTGGCAATCTAGACCCCCTTCAACATGGCTCCAGTGTTCCTTTTAAAACACCCCCATTAGTCTTTGAATGCTTCCTTGCTTTTTAGCACAGTATTACCAGGCTCATTTTATATTTTTCCTACCTGGGACTTAGAATAAACCACTTTTACAAGGAGTTGTTAAATTTTTTAAGAAACTAGCATCTGGATGCTGGACATACTCACTGCTGCTGTGATATTGCAGCTTCTAGACACTTTTTATTGAAACACACATTATATAGAGAGATACTTTTTATCAAATTATAACAAAATGTACTTTCCCTTTGGTTTCATAATAACATGAATATATTTATTTATGTGGTTCATTCTGCAATATACACAAAATAGTTTCACAATTCAAATTTCATTAATATTATTAACCATAAAGCTCAGGAAAGTTTAAAATTACTTTGCCACATTTGATGAAAATTACTTTGAATTTCTGAAGGTATTCTTCCAAGGACTGCTGAAAAGTCACTTCAAGTGATTTTATCATTAATATTTTATATATATATATACACACACAGACATATATACACACACACACGGACATACACACATACATATACATACATATAAGTCTATATAGGTTAATTTATTTCTCTTATTTAATATTAAGCTTTGTTTCATTCCTTTTCTATTTTTGAATATGTAAAATACTTACATAATTAAAATTCAAAACTAAATTTAAAAGGCATAGGCAGAGAAGTCTTGCTTCCATTCCTATTTCCTCCCTTCCAACTACACTTTACTAGAGAATATAATCCAACATCATTTACCATATGAAAAAACATGAAAACATGACCCATTTTCAAGAGAAAGACAACCAAGGCCTGAGTTAAGATGACCAACATGTTAGAATTAGCAGATAAGGGTTTTAAGTTAGCTATTAAAACTATGCTCAAGGATGAAAGAAAAATATGTTGATGAAGAAAAAGAAGAAATTCTAGCAGCAGAATAGGAATTATTTTAGAACTGAAAAGTACAATAACTGAAAATAACATTCTTGGGATCTAAAGTTTAGCATGAGTGGTAATGGATATATTAATTAATTTGATTGTGGTAATCCTTACACAATATATACAAATATAAAATTATCACACTGTACACTTTGAATATAGTCAATCATTGACAAATTAATGAATTGGATGAGTGTTACATAAGAATGGAGATGCAAAAGGTAAGTTTCATCAAATTTTGAAGATAGATCAATAAAACCTATCCTAACTGAAGAACAGAGAGAAAAATAATTAGTCAATGGAGCAAGCTGTCCTGAATCACAAAAAGTGAAAATCTCTCATACTAAAAAGAATTGATACCATATTGGTCTGATGAGAGCTAATTCAACCAAAATAACCACAATGAACAGTCTAGGTAGCCACCAGATAGAAAGAGAGCACCCTTCTCTGCAAATGGACAAATAGAAAAACATGGATCACCTACATTTTAAGATAGCATGTGTAGTTTTTTACCCCTTTCCCAAGGGAATGTGTGTGTGTGTGTGTGTGTGTGTGTGTGTGCATGTGTGTCTGTGTGTCTGTATGTATGTGTGTATATATGTCAATAGGAAAGTTTAGCCTAGATAGATGAGGTACATTTAGATTGGGTACCATGTTATTTTGCTGAATAATCCTATAATAACTACAAGTTATTTGAAAAGGCTCCTTCTCATTATTTTTTATTTATTATCTTAAAACCAGTGGAATGAATTTAATGAGACTTTCTCAAGGTTCTTTTCCCCTTAGAGCTTTGACAGTATGCAATAAGCTTTTTGTTGCTGTTGTTTTGAGGCTGTCCCTGTTATGGAAAATTGCTAATCACAACGAGTATATTTGAGATAAATCTAGGTTCCTTCTATCCAAAATGTCAACCCAATTTACATGTCAGTCATTAGCATTGGAAATAAAGTTTACCTCAATATCTTGCAAATGAGAAGAGTAGAACAGTGAAAGTCTTAATAAGATATTTATGAAACACCAAGGTTTCTAAAGCAATATCATAAATTAAAATAAAAATGAGAAGGGTGGGGCAAAATGCAGAATAGAAGACTACGCCATTTGTTCCCCGCCACCCCCACAGGAATATCAAATTTTAACAACTATCTGCACTCAAAAAATACCACAAGAACCAAAAATTAGGTGAGTAATCACAGTATCTGGTTTTATCTTCATATTGTTAACAGAGGAATTGAATAGGGTCAGAGAGACAGACTTGAATCACCAATGTCATGCCTCCCTTATTCCCTGGCAGTAGCCTTGTGGTGTGGAAATTCTCTGCACTTTGGAGAGGGGCAACACAGTGACTGGAGGACTTTGTACTGAATTTGGCACTGCCTTGTCGTAGCAGAGAGCAAAGTCGTGTAGGGCTCAGCCAATACCCATGTGTGAAAGGAGTATTTGAATAAGCCCTAGCCAGAGGGGAATCACCCCTCCTAGTAGTTGAAAATTGGGTTTCTCAGCAAGCCTTGCTACCACAGACCAAAGTGCTCTGGGATCCTAGGTAAACTTTAAAACACAAGCATAGCAATTTTTAAGCAAGTCCTAGGGCAGAACTGGGCTCAGAGACAGGGGACTAGTGTGGCACATGACCTAAGGAGACACGAGCCAGAGCAGCTAAGGAAGGGCTTGTGCCACCCCTACCCAAACCCCAGGCTGCACAGTTTGCAGCAATGAAAGTAACCCCTTTCTTCTGCTTAAGGAGAGGAGATCAAAGAGTAAAGAGAACTATACCAGCTCAGCCACAGTAGGATACGGCACTGGGTAGAGTTGTGAGGTCCCCATTCTAAGCCCCAGCTCATGGATGACATTTCTAGATACCCTGGGCCAAAAGAGAACCTGCTGCCTTGAAAGAAAGTCTAGAAGGACTCATCTCTCACTGACTAAAGAGCGCTTGGACCCAGAATAACCAGCAACAACACCCAGGTAGAACCCATGGGTATGCCATGGGCTTTGGGCTCTGAGACATGCTGACATCAGGTGTGACTCCAACACTGTTGCTGTGGTGGTTACAGTGAAAGACTCCTTCTGTTTTAGAAAAGCAGAGGAAAAATTAAAAGTAAAGGGAACTTTGTCCTTCACCTTAGCTACCAGCTTGACCACAGTGGAGTAGAGCAACAAGCCAGCTCTTGGGGACCCTGAGTGTAGGACTTGGATCTTTAACAACATTTCTAGGCTGCTCTGGGCCAGAGGGGATGTCATTTCCCTGAAGGTTGAGTCCCAGGCCTGGCAGTATTCATCACAAGCTGACTAAAGAGCCCTTGGGCTTTAAGTGAACATCAGGGGTGGTCTGGCAGAATGCCTATGAGCCAGTGGTGATGATACCCATAGGGAGAGGCTCCTCTGCCTGTGGAAAAGGAGAGAAGAGTGGGAATAACTTTGTATTGTGGTTTGAGTGCCAGGTTACCCACAGTAGAATAGAACATAAGGCAAATTTCTAAGGTTTTTGACTGTAATCCCTGGATCCCAGGAGTATCTCTGGACCTACCCATGGCCTGGGGCAACTTGCTGCCCTGAAGAGGATACAAACCTGGCTGGCTTCATCACCTGCTGATTGCAGTGCCCTATGGCCTTGAGTGAACATAGGCAGTAGCCAAGTATTGGTTGCAGTGAGCCTTAAGTGAGACCCTTGTGCTGGCTCCAGGTCTCATCCAGCACAGTCCCAGCTGTGGTAGCCACAGGGATGTTTGCATCACCACACCCCTAGTTCCAGGTTGCTCAGCACAGAGAGCGAGATTATATTTGCTTGGGAGAAAGAGGAAAGAACAAGAGTCTCTGTTGGGTAATCCAGGGAATTCCTCTAGATCTTATCTAAGATCACCAAGGGAGTGCCTCTATGAGTCTGCAAAAACAACAATGCTATTGGGTTGAATAGCCGTTGAATGCCTAGAATGCCTCCTCAAGAAGAACTGACACATACAAGCTCAGACTGCAAAGACTACAATAAATACTCTCCAATGTCCAGAAGTAGATAAACATCTATAAGCAAGCATCAAGTCAAGAAAAACATGACCATGACAAATGACCTGAATAAGGCAGTATAGACCAATCCTGGAGAAACAAGGATATGTGACCTTTCAAACAGAGAGTTCAAAATAGCTATGTTGAGGAAACTCCATGAAATTCAAGATAACAGAGAAGAAATTTAAAATCCTATCAAATAAACTTTAAAAAGAAATTGAAATAATAAAAAAGAATTAAGTAGATATTCTATAGTTTATAAATGCAATGGACATACCGAAAAATGCACCAGAGTCTCTTAATAGCAGAATTTATCAAGCAGAAGAAACAATGAACTTGAAGACAAGCTATTTAAAAATACACAGTAAAAGGAGACAAAATAATTTGAAAAAATAAAAACAATGAAACACATCTACAAGATTTAGAAAATAGCCTCGACAGGGCAACTCTAAGAGATTTTGGCCATAAAGAGGATTTAGAGAAAGAGATGGGGTAGAAAGTTTATTCAAAGGGATAACAACAGCAAGCTTCCCAAATGTAAAGAAAGATATTAACAGTCTAGGACAAGAGGTTATAGAACACAAAGTAGATTTAACCCAAAGAAGCATACTTCAGAGTATCTAATAAGCAAAATCTCAAAGGTCAATAATAAAGGATCCTAAAAGAAGCAAGAGAAAAGAAACGAGTAACACACAATGGAGCTCCAATATATCTGTTAGCAAACTTTTCAGTGGAAACCTTACAGGCCAGGAGAGAGTGGCGTGAGGTATTTAAAATGCTAAATAAAAAAACTTTTACCATAGAATAGTATATCCAGTGAAAACATCCTTCAAACATGAAGAAGAAATAAAGACCTTCCCAGACAAACAGAAGCTGAAGGATTTCATTGACATTAGACCTGTCCTACAAGAAGGGTTAAAGGAAGTTCTTCAAACTGAAAGAAAAAGATTTTAATGAGCAAGAAGACATCATGCAAAGGTACAAATCTCACTGGTAATAGTAAGTATACAAAAAAACACAGAATATTGTAACACAGTAATTGTGGTGTGTAAACTACTCTTATTAATACTTTCAGTAGAAATACTAAACAATGAACCAAAAATAATATTTATAATTTTCAAGACGTAGTACAATAAAACGAAATAGAAACAACAAAAATTAAAAAGTGAGAGGATGAAGTGAAAGTGTAGATTTTATATTAGTTTTTGTGTGTTTGTTTATGCAATTAGTGTTAAGTTGTCATCAATTTAAAATAATGGATTATAAGATAGTATTTGCAAACCTTGTGGTAACTTCAAGTTGATAAACACTCTAAAGATACACAAAAATAAAAAGCAACGAATTTAATCATACCGCCAGAGACAATTAGCTTCACTAAAAGAAAGACAGGAAGGAAAGAAGAAAGGAAGACAAAACCAGAAAACAGATAATACAATGGCAGGAATAAGTCCCTCCTTATCAATAATAGCATTGGATGTAACTAGAAAAGCAGGAGCAAAGCAAATCCAAAATTAGTAGAAAAAAGAAATAATAAGTATGATATCAATAATAAATGTATTTGAAAAAAATTCAAAAGATCACAAAAAACAGATACATAGACCAATGGAACAGAATAGAGAACCTGAAAAAAATCTAAATACTTATAGTGAACTCAAGGTGTCAAGAATATACACTGGGGGAAAGACTATCTTTTCAATAAATGATGCTGGAAATCTGGACACCCGTATGCAGAAGAATGAAACTAGATTGATATCTCTTGCCACATATAAAAATCAAATAAAAATGGACTAAAGGCTTAAATCTAAGACCTCAAAACTGTGAAACTACTACCAGAAAACATTGAGAAACTCTCCAGGACTTTGGTCTGGGCAAAAATTTCCTGAGTAATAACCCACAAGCACAGGCAACCAAAGCAAAAGTACACAAATCAGATCACATCAAGATAAAAAGCTTTTGCAGACTGGGCATGGTGGCTCACACCTGTAATCCCAGCACTTTAGGAAGCCAAGGTGGGCAGATTGCTTAAGCCCAGGAGTTTGAAACCAGCCTGGGCAACATGGCAAAAATCTGCCTCTACGAATAATACAAAACTTAGCTGGGCATGGTGGCATGTGCCTGAAGAGTGAGCTACTCAGGTGGCTGAAGTGAGAGGATTGCTTGAGCTCAGGAGTTCAAGGCTGAGGTGAGTTATGATCATGCCACTGACACTGCACTCCAGCCTGGGAGATAGAGCAAGACCCTGACAAACAAATAATAAACAAACAAACAAACAAACAAACAACAAACTTCTACACCGCAAAGGAAACAATTAACAATGTGAAAAAACAATCCACAGAATGGGAGAACATATTTGTGAACTATCCATCTGTGAAGGGATTAATAACCAGAATATATAAGGAACTCAACTCTCTAGAAAAAAATATCTAACGTCTATTTAAAAAAATGGGCAAAATATTTCAATAAACATTTCTCAAAAGAAGACATACAAAAGGCAAACAGATATATGAAAAGGTGCTCAACATCATTGATCATCAAAGAAATGCAAATCAAAACTACAATAAGATATCATCTCATCCCAGTTAAAATGGCTTTTATCCAAAAGACAGGCAATAACAAATGTTGGAAAGGCTATGAAGAAAAGAGAACCTTCATTCACTGTTGGTTGGAATGTAAATTAGTACAACCACTACAGAGAACAGTTTGGAAATACCTCAAAAAACTAAAAACAGAGCTAGCATATGATCCAGCAATCCCACTGCTGGGTATGTATCTAAGAAAAAGGAATACAGTATATTGAAGAAAGATCTGTACTCCCATGTTGTTGCAACACTGTTCACAACAGCCAAGACTTTGAAGCAAACTAAATGTCCATCAACCCATAAATATATAAAAGAAAAAACATGGTACTTATACACAATGGAGTTTTATTCAGCCATAAATAAATAAGATTCAGTCAGTTGCAACAACATGAATGGAACTAAGTGAAATAAGCCAGGCAAAGAAAGACAAACATTGCATGTTCTCAATTATTTGTGGGGTCTAAAAATCAAAACAGTTGAACACACAGAGATGGCAGAAGGAAGGTTACCAGAGGCTGGAAAGGATAATTAGAAGGGGTAAAATGGGAGGTGAGTATAATGAATGGGTACAAGAAAAATAGTTTGAAAGAATAAGTAAGACTTAGTATTTTATAGTACAAAAGGGGGACTATAATCAAAATAATTTAATTGTACATTTTGGAATAACTAAAAGAGTATACTTGGATTGTTTGTAGCACAAAGGATAAATGCTTATAGGAATGGATACCCCATTTCCCATGACACGATTATTGCATATTGGTTGCCTGCACTAAAATATCTCATGTACCCCATAAATATATACAACTACTTGTACTCACAAAAATTAAAAATTAAAAAATAAAATAAAATAAAATGACAATAAAAAACCAGCACACTGTAACAAATTGAAATGGGAGATTTCCTATATATCGTTAAGGGAAAATAACAGTTTTTGTTGACCTATATAAATAATGTGCTAAATTTTAAGTTATAAACTTTTCTCAAGCAAACATTCACTCAAAATTCATTGGAAATTAACCAAAGTTGTGACCTCTGATGAGAGAAATAGGATATAGATGTTCTATGAAGTCTTTAGCTTTATAAAATGAAGTTACTGATTTAACACGTAATTCAAATTAAAATTTGAAATTTTTTTAAAAAAGGATTAATTACTGTTGCTATACTATTAAACTTTATAAATTATAAAAGATTTCTGTATATATTAATTCATTTTCTTGTGCTGTCCTGAGCCACGACCTGTCAGCCCTTCTGATTTCACCACTTTTAGAGTGGACGGTTCCAAATCCTCTGTTAAGAGTTTTATCTTCCATTCAGATTTTCACTTAAGTTTCTCTTTGCTTTTCTGTCTAGGAAATGCATTCTCCTGTTTAAAGGGAGTTTTAAACAATTGTTCCAAGAAACTCTGTCTCAAAAAATATCAAAACTTCTTTCAAGAAAAGAGAACACAGTTTTAGTTTTTAAAGGTGGAACTTGACTACTTGAACTGAGGTCCTGCAAGTTGCATTGTTTTTTTCCCTTGTTGGATCACATCCAGAGCATTAAATTAACTATTGGAGATGAAGTTTGTCCAGAAAAATGAATATAGCTACTGAAGTCATAGAAAAACCATATCATGAAAGTCGAAAGAAACTAGATATGTTCAACTAGGTAGGAGGTGGTTTAGGTTTTTAATTATTTCCAGATATGTGTAAGGCTGAAGTTTTTAAGGTAGATTTATTGTATACTGTGAAGTGAAAATGAAACAAAGGAAAGTAGTTATAAAAGTATTCCTTTTTAATTTTTTTTGTTTTTCCGTAAGTTAATTGGAGTACAGGTTATATTTGGTTACACGAGTAAGTTCTTTAGTGGCAATTCATGAGATTTTGATGCACCCATCACCCAAGCAGTATACACTGCACCATATTTGTAGTCTTTTATCCTTTACACCCCCCAACTCTTCTCCTCAAATCCCCAAAGTCCATTGTATCATTCTTATGCCTTTGCATCCTCATAGCTTAGCTCCCACATAACAGTGAGAACATACAATGTTTGGTTTTCCATTCCTGAGTTACTCGCTTAGAATAATAGTCTCCAATCTCATCCAGGTCACTGCAAATGCTGTTAATTCATTCATTTTAATGGCTACATAGTATTCCATCATATATATATATATATATATATATATATATATATATATATATATACACCACAGTTTCTTTATCCACTCGTTGACTGATGGACATTTGGGTTGGTTCCACGATTTTGAAATTGTGAATTATGCTGCTATAAATGTGTGCACAAATGTCTTTTTTTGAAAAATGATTTCTTTTCCTCTGGGTAGATACCCAGTAGTGGGATTGCTGGATCAAATTGTAGTTTCTACTTTTAGGTCTTTATGGAATCTCCACACTGTTTTCCATAGAACCCTTCTAGACACTGGTTTAGGCAAGGATTTCATGACCTCGAACCCAAAAACATATGCAATAAAAACAAAGATAAATGGCTGGGATCTAATGAAAATTTTTCAACATAAGAAAATAGTTTTCTCTTCCAAAAGAATTTCATACGTATATTACATCCATGACTCTGTTAAATTTGATTTGTCTCAGGAGATCTATGGTAGAATGACTTATTGCCCTGACTTCTCAGAGGATCGAATAGTAACCAGTAAAGAAGATTTCTCTCTGGCCAAAGGTTAGAAGGTTCTTTTCAGCAGGAAATGGCTTTCATTGAGGAAGTTGCTTCTAAAAAACATGCAAAGAAATGTAACATAGACCATCTATTTTCTGTTTTTCTTTGGTATGAATTAAAATATAGACATGGAGGATTACATTTTCACATAATTTGATTTAACTATTATTTCTGTATTATCAGAAATGCCCATTATTTTCTTGAAGACTCCACTTTAGAAAAACTCCTTAGGAATAATATTATTGTCAACATATAAAGATCAAGACAATGATCTCCAGTACAGATTGGTCCAAGTAATTTAAATATGCAAAATATTAACTTCAAAGTGACATTCAAATTTCTCACTCTGCCTATTGGTATCAGGTCTGATAAGCTAACTTTAGATTCTGACCCTGACCTCCTGATTTTTTTGAGCATTAGCCATTTTTCCCTCAGTGTCCTCTACTTACATTTAATCTCTGATTTCCCTGGTTAATCCCTTAACCCCATCTATTTCTCATTAAGATCCTGTCAACTACAGGAATTCTCATCCTATGAGTGAGGAGAATTCAGATCTGTATATGAAATCTAATTACTTTATTAAACCAAAATATTCTATTCCAATGGTTTTCAGACATTAGTATGTGCAAATATTACACGGATGGAGAAACAATGTTCAAATGCAGATTTTAAGAATCTATACTCTTAAAAGTGGATTCGGTAGATACAAAGTGGGCATAGAAATTTGCATTTTAACAAGTATTTCAGGTGATCCACACTAGTTGCTTTATTAATAACAAGTATTCTGAGGCAGATGATTCATACCAGTTGCCTTTTTATTAAATTTTGTAATATAATAAAAACATCAATTCTGCCTATGTCAAAGGTTTTTAAGTGAAGCACAAAATAAGATAACATTTGTGTTGAGGACAAAACTGTTTATTATTATTATTAGAAATGTTTTTGTGTGTTTTGTTCTACACATTTGTGTTAGTCCATTTTCACACTGCTGATAAAGACATACCCAAGACTGGATAACTTATTTTTAAAAAGAGGTTTAATGAACTTATCATTCTACGTGGCTGAGGAGGCCTCAAAATCATGAGGGAAGGCAAAAGTCACATCTTACATGGTGGCAGGCAAGAAAGAATGAGCACCAAGCAAAAGCGAAAACCCCTTGTAAAACCACCAGATCTCATGAGACTTATTCACTACCATGAGAACAGTATGGGGAAAACCACACCTATGATTCACTTATCTCCCACTGGGTCCCTCTCACAACACCTGAGAATTATGGGAGATACAATTTAAGTTGAGATTTGGAGGGGGACACAGCCAAACCGTATCAACATTTTGTATCCATTATTATCTAAGCTTCCCCCCAGTATCTGGATGTCAAGAATTGTAGAATGTTAGAGGTACAAGTGACTGAATATTCTGTACCTCAAACCTATTTTTTCTTTAATTCACCAATTCATTGATTCATTTAGTCAGATAGATACTATTCTGAGACAGGTACAAAATTTAGGGAAAAGCCACAGAATAAAGTGACCAGCTTCCAGTTGAAGTTAAAGGAGAATTTGCAAAACCAGACCTTTGATATGAATTTGAATTTAAAGTGGAATTTTGGAAATTAAACTTAGTATAACCATAAGAAATGGTGTTAACCAAGAGCATTTTGATAGGGAAGTTTTATTATGTCATGCTGTTGTAGGTGGACTTGAAATTAGTCCAGAAGGCACCAGGGAATCATTGGAAAGCTCTTTCATTATTGACATACACGCCCACGCTAGTATGATGATTATCTACGTGTGATGATAACCATGTGAGGAACCAAGCAGAATGTGGAAGTGAGAAGACAAGGTAAGGGTTAATTGCAGTAGGTTGGTGCAAAAAGTAACTGCAGTTTTTGCCATTGAAAGTAATGGCAAAACCCTCAATTACTTTTGCACCAGTCTAAATAACAGTCTACAATATTATGTGAGTAAAGATGGGGAATGTAATTCAGAAAACAGTAAAATAAAATTAACATAACTTGTCAGTAACACCCACTAACAAAGGTAGAATCCAGAGCTTCCTGGTGTATACTACACCTCATGGTGACAACTGAACCAAATGCTGAGGCAATTGGATTAGCTAGAGGAGCTAGAAACTAGTGAGAATAAGGAGAATTCAATGGCAGACACTTGAGAGAAGGTACTGCTTACCAAAAGAGGTTAGTTCTGAGTCTAATGCTGAGCTTTAGATTCAATTTAGGATTAGATTCTCAAAAACAAGCCCAGAAAAATCAATTTATTAAAGCAAACATGAAAGCAAGGAAATATGGCCATAATAAGAATCCTTTGTCACTAAATTATATGCAATATTTCTTTGCTTCTTGTGCCTATTTTTTCTATGCAAATTGGTCATAAACCATTATATTTAAAATAACATTCTTCCACATATCCCTATAGCATGGTTTAAAAATGGTTGTCAATGTGGAAACAAATCTAAACAAAACAAAATAAAAAAGAACTCTGTTATGAAAGATATTACATTATTTCTTTAATTTTTCCTTTGTAATTTCACTTTTCTGTGTCTGTGTCAGTCTGAATCAAATTACTTGCATTTTGGACTTAGTCTAATGGTAAACACGTTCTTGCTTGTCCATGGAAGACAGACTATTGATTTTAAAGTTAAGATAATAATCTAAAAGTCTCTACAGGTGTAAATACCGGAGAAAAAAAGCTGAATTATTTGTGATTAAAAATGGTATAATTAAGTAACTGCATAATGTGAAGAAATTGAAAAAAGGTATATTGAAGAGTGAAAACTATTAAGGTTCTTATAGAGAAACTTCCCAGAGCATAGTGGAAACTCTGGCATTTTAACTGCTTTATTCTTACTGGAGAGAGTTTGAAATATCTGTCAGAGAAAGATGCTCCCCGACTAAAGAAAGGACAAAAAAAGTTAAAGTCCAAACATACCATGATTCTTGGAATCACCAAATTTTTATTTATTCCTTTTCAAAAAGAGGTAAGTGTTTAAGGTTACATATGTCATTACTCTAGAGGGTCCAACAAATGATGAGAAAATTGAACTGAATAAAGCAGAGTGTATATTGTCAAAGATGGCAAAGGTATTTTGTGGTTTGCATTTCTTCTCCATATTTCATTTTTTTGGAGTATTTACTGTAAACTCGACCCTCATGGTCTTGTTCTTTGTCTACACACATACACACACACACACACACCCTTCTCATCTCCTCTATACACATTTATCTTTCTGTGATAACACTGTGAGTCATTATAAGTATAATGAGAAAAAATAAATGGGAAAGCTGTTTTCAAACAACGTGTGGTACTATAGAAAAGCTTGCTAATAATTGAGGGCAATCAAATATTTCACAGTAAAACACCATGCCCATAGGTTGATAATTGCACTTTTTTTACCCTTATCTAAATCCAATTAGGTGAATTTGCCAGCAGTTGCCATTGTAATCTTGGTATCTATGGTAACCTCTGAGAAGAAGAAGAAGAAAAAAGGGCAGCCTCTGTATTGTTCTGTCCTCATATTTAAGGAGTTCCTGGAATGTATAATAATTTTAAGTTATAAGAACTATAATAAGTCACAAAGTGTTTTTGCTTAGCAGTGAATCATGTACCTTGGGGATGAAGGGTCATGTTGAAAGCAAGTGCTACTGAAATTAGTGGTGCCAAGAAGAGAGATAATGTAAGGATTCTTGCTCTTGAACATGTCCAGCCACAGCTGCAGAGGTGCATTGATAGCCTGCATTCTGATACGCAAAACAAATGAGACAATGGGACACAGGGTGAGGTGAGACATCTCTTTCCAGTGAATTCTGCCTCATGGAATTTGAAGGAGCATCATTTCTACAATGCTCTGTCTCATAAAGGGTAGTGAGGCAGGGGTTGTACGTATTCAGCCATTTTTCCATTTTATTTTTCCAAATAAAAGAGAACAATGCTTCTGATGTCTATCGTATCTGTTCACTTAAAGTTTCTATTTGCACCATAGTAGCACAGTCTGTTAAATGTGAGAGTAAAATGGAATATTAGAGATCTGATTAGGATTATAATTGTATCACTGAAGCCTGGACGTGGTGGCTCACGCCTGTAATCCCAGCACTTTGGGAGGCTGAGGAGGGTGGATCACCAGAGGTCAGGAGATTGAGACCAGCCTGGCCAACATGGTGGAACTCCATCTCTATTAAAAATACATAAATCAATCCAGCATGGTGGTGGGCACCTGTAATACCAGCTACTTGGGAAGCTGAGACAAGAGAATCACTTGAACCTGGGAGTTGGAGATTACAGTGAGCCTAGATCACACCATTGCACTTCAGCCTGTGTGACAAGACTGAAACTCCATCTCAAAAAAAAAAAAATTATATCACAGAGTAAAGGATGGGTGGTAATGTGTAAGGATTCGGCCCCAATGAGGAAAAGGCAGTCTGAAGATTTACAGAACTAATCAGTCGAAAAGCCTTTTCTGCTTTTCATTCTATTGCCGCATTCCAAAATTATTGCAATGAGACAAGCTATAAATACATGTCATGAGGCTCTTATAGGACAAAAATGACATCCAAAGTATACATTGATTGTTTTCATCACAGTTCAGTATGAACATGCTTTGATTCAAACCTGATTAGGATTTCTGGTTCGATTGCATTTTAATTCTCTAACAATTATTTGGGATTCAATTTTATCCTGAACTGCATCATTTAATTTTCCACCTGCAAATTACTTTGAACTCCCCAGAGATCATAGTAACTAAGCTCAGAACACCATTACAGTGTTCCTATTACTTGATAGCTACAGGCGCTAATGAAGAACTTCAAGCATGATACTATTTATTTTCTACATGATGCTTGATTCTAGCAGTTCTCCAATGGTCTGACTAATGTCAGAAATTCAAATCAGTGATGTAGGAAAGAGAGGAACATATGCTCTTATTTTCTCTCTAGATTTAAATATCCTTGTGGTAAACGATCATATCATCAGCAAACAGTGACAGTTTGACTTCCTTTTTACCAATTTGGATGTCCTTTATTTCTTTCTCTTGTCTGATTGCTCTGGCTAGGACTTCCAGTACTGTGTTGAAGAGGAGTGGTGAGAGTGGGCATCCTTGTCTGTTCCAGTTCTCAGAGGGAATGCTTTCAACTTTTCCCCATTCAGTATTATGTTGGCCGTGGGTTTGTCATAGATGGCTTTTATTGCATTAAGATATGTCCCTTGTATGCTGATTTTGCTGAGAGTTTCAATCATAAATACATGCTAGATATTTTCAAATGTTTTTTCTGAGTCTATTCAGATGATCATACAATTTTTTAAAAAATTTGTTTATGTGGTGTATCACATTTATTGACTTGCATATGTTAAACCATCCCTGCATCCCTGGTATGAAATTCACTTGATCATGGTGGATTATCTTTTTGAAATGTTGGATTCGGTTAGCTAGTATTTTGTTAACGATTTTGGCATCAATGTTTATCAAGGATATCAGTCTGTAGTTTTCTTTTCTGGTTATGTTCTTTCCTGGTTTTGGTGTTAGGGTGAAGCTTGTTTCATAGAATGAATTAGGGAGGGTTCCTTCCTTCCCTATTTTGTAGTATAGTGTCAAAAGGATTGGTACCAATTCTTCTTTGAATATATGGTAGAATTCTGCTGTGAATCCATCTGATCCTGGACTTTTTTTTTGTAGACAATGATGCCCACTCTCACCATTCCTCTTGAAGTTCCAACCAGAGCAACCAGACAAGAGAAAGAAATAAAGGGCATCCAAATCGGTAAGAAGGAAGTCAAACTGTTTGCTAGCAATGTGATTGGTTACCTTGAAAACTCCTCCAGAGTTTTCAGTACTCCTCCAGAAAGTACTCCTCCAGAAAGCTCCTAGAACTGATAAAATAATTCAGGCTGGGTGCGGTGGCTCATGACTGTAATCCAGCAATTTGGGAGGACAAGGCAGGCAGATCATCTTAGGTTGGGAGTTTAAGACCAGCCTGACCAACAAGGAGAAACTCTGTCTCCACTAAAAATACAAAGTTAGCTGGGCGTGGTGGCTCATGCCTGTAATCCCAGCTACTCGTAAGGCTGAGGCAGGAGAATGGCTTGGACCCAGGAGGTGGAGGTTGCAGTGAGCCGAGATCCTGCCATTATACTCCAGCCTGGGCAACAAGAGCAAAACTCCGTCTCAAAAAAAAAAAAAAAAAAAAAAAAAGAATTCAGCAAAGTTTCCAGATACAAAATCTATGTACACAAATCAGTAGCTCTTCTATTCACCAACACCTACCAAGCAGAGAATCAACCCCTTTTACAATAGCTGCAAAAAATAAAATAAAATACTTGGGAATATACCTAACAAAGGAGTTGAAAGACCTCTACAAGGAAAACTACAAAACACTGCTGAAAGAAATCATAGATGACGCCAACAAATGGAAACACATCCCATGCTCATGGATGGATAGAATCAATATTGTAAAAAATGACCATATGGCCAAAAGCAATCTACAAATTCGATGCAATATCCATCAAAATACCATCATCATTCTTCACAGAATTAGAAAACACAATTCTAAAATTCATATGGAACCAAAAAAGATCCCACATAGTCAAAGCAAGGCTAAGCAAAAAGAACAAATCTGGAGGCATCGCACAACCTGATTTCAAACTATACTATAAGGTCATAGTCACCAAAACAACATGATATTGGTATAAAAATAGGCACAAAGACCAATGGAACAGAATAGAAAACCCAGAAATAAACCCAAATACTTACAACCAACTGATCTTTGACAAAACAAACAAAAACATAAAGTCGGGAAAAGATACCCTTTTCAACAAATGGTGCCGGGATAATTGGCTAGTCACATGTGGGAGAATGAAACTGGATCCTCATCTCTTACCTTATACAAAAATCAATGCAAGATGGATTAAGGACTTAAACTTAAGACCTGAAACTACAAAAATTCTGGAAGATAACATTGGAAAAACCCTTCTAGACATTAGCTTAGGCAAGGATTTCATGACCAAGAACCCAAAATCAAATGCAATAAAAACAAAGATAAATAACTGGGATCTAATTAAACTAAAGAGCTTTTGCATGACAAAAGGAACAGTGAGCAGAATTAACAGACAACGCACAGAGTGGGAGAAAACCTTCACAATCTATACATCTGAAAAAGGATTAATATCCAGAATCTACAATTAACTCAAACAAATCAGTAAGAAAAATTTCTATCAAAAAGTGGGCTAAGGGCATGAACAGACAATTCTCAAAAGACGATATGCAAATGGCCAATAAACATATTAAAAAATGCTCAACATTACTAATGATCAGGGAAATGCAAATCAAATCCACAATGGGACATTACCTTACTCCTGCAAGAATGGCCATAATAAAAAAAATAAAAAAAAAAAAACAGTAGATGTTGGCATAGATGTGGTGAACAGGGAACACTTCTACACTGCTGGTGGGAATGTAAACTAGTACATCCTCTATGGAAAACAGTGTGGTGATTTATTAAAGGACTAAAAGAACTACCATTTGATCCAGCAATTGCTCTACTGGGTATCTACCCAGCAAAAATGAGTCATTATTCGAAAAAGATACTTTCACATGCATGTTCATAGCAGCACAATTCACAATTGCAAAATCATGGAACCAACCCAAATGCCCATCAATCAATCAGTGAATGAAGAAACTTTGGTACATATATATGATGGAATACTATGGAGCCATAAAAACGAACGAATTAACAGCATTTGCAGTGACCTGGATGAGATTGGAGACTGTTATTCTAAGTGAAGTAACTCAGGAATGGAAAACCAAACATTGTATGTTCTCACTGATATGTGGGAGCTAAGCTATGAGAACACAAAGGTATATGTATAATACAGTGGACTTTGGGGACTCAAGGGGAGGAGTGAGAGGAGGGTGAGGGATTAAAAGGCTACAAATGTGGTACAGTGTATACTGCTCAGGTGATATGTGCACCAACATCTCACAAATCAACACTAAGGAACTTATTCATGTAACCAAATATGACCTGTGCCTCAATAACTTATGGAAAAAATTTTTAAAAAGTCACTCACAAAAAAATAAATAAATATCCTTGCAGGAATGAACCATTCCTTACATACGTAAAATTCTTTAATGCCTAGTATTAATGGCTATCATTCATTGAATCTGTGTGTTACGGACTTAAAAAATCTCTAATCCCTATGCCATTGCTACAAAGAAGATATGATTCACCTTCTATATCCCTATTCCTGCTTTTTTTAAAACAAAATTTATAGAAAGTGCAATTAAGTAATTTATTCAAAATCTCACGGGTAATATGTGGTAGAACAGACTGAAAACTAAGTCTATAAGAGTTTAAATCCTACACCTTTTCCATTACATCACATTCATAGAATCTCATTTTATGTAACACAATTTTAGATTTCTGTGGTACACAGTGTATATTAACATTAAAGCTTACAGGTGATGAAAGGACTCTAAAAGGAAATAGAAGGCATAGTCAATTACACAAAATTTGCAATAATAATTTGATATTTTCCAAACCATTCTTTGAATATACAGTTATTTGTAGTAATTTCTTTTGTGGTACTTTATGTTAATACAAGTTATTATCTAATTGTTATACAAAAGGGTGATGAGTCACGAAAAATGAATAAGTAACATAATATCCATTACTTCAGTTCTAAAAAAGAGATGTTCAGGGTTATTAAATACAAATATATTATTTAACAATTAGTAATGATGGGGAACATCTGTTAATTGTTTATGTTGTGCTCATTACTACGTTAACCATGAAAAAAGCTTTATCACATTTAATTCTCACCTCATCTCTCATCATTAGGGAAACAAGGGTTTAGGGGATTTAAGTATCTTACCTGATGCTATGGTTTGAATGTGTCTCCAAAACTCCTATTAAAACTTAATCCCCATGTGCCAGTGTTGAGAGATGGGGCTTTTAATAGGTGATTGAATTGTGAGGGAGAGAGTTCATGAATGGATTACTCCATTTATGTATTAATGAATTAATGGCTCATGAATTAAGAAGAGAAAGGGAGACTTGAGCCAGCACATTAACATGCTCAGCTCCCTCCGCATGTGATATCCTATGACACATCAGCAGTCTTCAGAGGGTCTCCATTAGCAAGAAGGCTCTCGCTGGCAGCAGTGGCTCACAACTGTAATTCTAGTAGTTTGGGAGGCTGAGGTGAGAAGATCACTTGAGGCCATGAGTTCAAAACAAGTTTGGTCAACATACTGAGACTACGGTCTCTACAAAAAAATAAAAATAAAAAAATAAATAAAAAAGTTGGACATGCTGGTTGTGTATTCTTATAGCCCCAATTACTCAGGAGGCTGAGGTGGAAGGATCACTTGAACCTATGTGGTCAAAGCTGCACTGACCTATGATGACACGAATGATTATGCCACTTAACACAGCAAGATCCTGATTCTTTTTAAAAAATAGAAAAAGGCCAGGCGCGGTGGCTCACTCCTGTAATCCCAGCACTTTGGGAGGCCCAGGTGGGCGGATCACGAGGTCAGGAGATCGAGACCATCCTGGCTAACACAGTGAAACCCCGTCTCTACTAAAAATACAAAAAATTAGCCGGGCGCGGTGGTGGGTGCCTGTAGTCCCAGCTACTCGGGAGGCTGAGGCAGGAGAATGGCGTGAACCTGGGAGGCAGAGCTTGCAGTGAGCCGAGATAGCACCACTGCACTCCGGCCCGGGTGAAAGATCGAGACTCTGTCTCAAGAAAAATAAAAATAAAAAAATAAAAATAAAGAAAAGGCCAGGTGCGGTGGCTCACGCCTGTAATCCCAGCACTTTGGGAGGCTGAAGCAGGCGGATCATGGGGTCAGGAGATTGAGACCATCCTGGCTAATACGGTGAAACCCCATCTCTACTAAAAATACAAAAAATTAGCCGGGCGTGGTGGCAGGCGCCTCTAATCCCAGGTACTCAGGAGGCCGAGGCAGGGGAATCATTTGAACCAGGTAGGCGGAGGTTGCAGTGAGCCGAGATCGCATCACTGCGCTACTGTACTCCAGCCTGGGTGATAGAGTGAGATTCCGTCTCAAAATGAATAAATAAATAAATAGAGACCAGGTGCGTTGCCTGGCGCCTATAATTCCAGCACTTTGGGGTGCCAAGGTGGGAGGATCGTTTGAACCAAGGAATTTGAGACCAGCCTGGGGAACATAGTGAGACCCTGTCTCTACAAAAATAAATAAATAAATAAAAACTAGCCAGGCATGGTGGCTCATGCCTGTAGTCCCAGCTACTTGGGAAGCTGAGTCAGGAGAATCACTTGAGTCCAGGAGGTCAAGTCTGCAGAGAGCTGTGTTCGTAGTACTGCACTCCAGCCTGGGCAACAGAGCCAGGCTTTGTCTTTAAGAAAAAGAAAAAAAAAAAAACAACAATGCTCTCACCAGATGGAGTTCTTAAACCCTGAACTTCCCAGCCTCTGTAACTGTAAGAAATAAGTTCATTTTCTTTGTAAATTGCCATTTTAGGTATTCTATTATAAGCAACAGAAAACAGACTAAGACAGAAAATTGGTACTGAGAAGTGAGGTGTTGCTGTTAACAGTTATGTAAAAATGTGGAATTGGTTTGCGAATGGGGCATTGGGCAGCTGCTGAAAAAAATTGGAGGAGCAGACTAGAAAAAGCTTAGATTCTGGTTAGATGTTAGAATACAAGAAGACTAGGGAAATTTCAGAATCCTTACAAATTGGTTAAAGTTTCAGAACCAGAAAGCTGATAGAAATACAGGGAGTAAAGTCCATTCTGATCAAGTTTTAGATAGAGCTGAGGAAAAAGGTATTGGGAACTGGAATAAAGCCCATCTTTGTTACAAATTGGCAAATAACTTGACTGAACTGTGTCCATGCTTGAGGGCTTTGTAGAAGGCTTAATTTGAGAGTGATGGTCTAGGGTATCTGGCAGAAGAAATTTCTAAGCAAAATATAGAAAGAGGTGCATGATTACTTTCAGCTATTTAAACTAAGATTTGGGGAGCAAAGAAATAATGTAAATACAGAATTTATAATTAAAAAGGAAGCAGAGTAGAAACATTTGGAAAATTCTCAGCCTGGCCACACAGAGAGTCAAAAAATGTGCTCAGAAGTATAAATCAAAGGTGTAGTTTTGCTAAAGATATTAGCACTAATAGAAGGGAGCCAGGTGCTAACTTTCAAGACAGTGGGGAAAAAAAGGCCCTGAAAGCATTTCAGAGATCTTTGAGGCTTTTCCTTCCATTACAGGCACAGAAGCCTAGGAGTGCAGAATGATTTCAGGCGACAGGCCCAGAGTGCTCTTTATGAGCTTGCTACCAAGGACTCCTTCGGGACTCTCTTCCCTACATCTGGGCACAGCACTTTGGGGCCACACTAGCCAAGACCCTAGTGGCCCCAAGTGTGGTTCATGCAGCAGCTCCAGACAGTACAAGTCAGAAACCTTAATTTGTCCATGTGGTGCTGATTCTTCAAGCTTACAGAAAGTAAGAGCTATAAAAGCTTGGAAGCCTCCAACCAGATTTCAAATGATGTTGTCAAAAGCCTGAGAGCTCAGACAGAAACTCGTCATGGGGCGGAGCCACTGCAGACAGCCCTCACTAGAGCAATGCCCAGTGGAAATGTGGGGTTGCAACTGCTAAAAAGAGTCCCCACCAGGGCAATGTTTACTGAAACCATGAGAGCAAGATCACCACCCGGTCCCCATTGGGTAATGCCTGGGGGAGCTGTGGAAGCAGGACTGCCGCTGAGCCCCCAGAACTTCAGAACTATCAGAGTGCAATGACAGCCTGGGAGAGCTGGGTGAACCAAGCCCAACAAAGCCATAGTTGCAGGGTTGCCTGAGGTCTCAGGGCCCAACCCCTACACCAGTGTACAAAAGAATTATTGGATGTGGAGTCAAGGGAGAATATTCTGGAGCTTTAAGACTCAATGCCTGATAAGTTGGGCTTCATACTTGCTTGGAGTTTGTTACTCCTTTCTTCTTGACTACTATTTCTCCCTTTTCAAATGGGAATGTGTACCCTATGCTTTTCTAACCGTTGTACCTTTGGAAGCAGATAACTTGTTTTGATTTCACATTTTCATAGGTGACACTCTTAACTTTGAACTTTTGAGTTGGTGCTGGAAAAAGTTAAGATTCTGAAGCTATGTGATGGGATTTGTAGGTAAGAAAAACAAGAGTTTTTGTGGGGAGGGCCAGAGGCAGATACTATGGTTTAAATATTTGTGTTCCCCAAAACACATTTTGAAATTTAATCCCTCACGAGGCATTATTCAAGGGTAGGGCTTTTAAGAGGTGATTGGCAGAGCTCTCATGAATGGATTAATTCATTAATTGATTAATTGGTTACCAGGGAAGTGGGGCTGGTTTCTTTATAAGAAGAGGAAGAGAGACCTGAGCTAGCACATTAGCACTTGGCCGCCTCATCGTGTGATAACCTGCACTGCCTCGAGACTCTACAGAGAGTCCTCACCAGCAAGAAAGCTCTCACCAGATGCAGCCCTCTAACCTTGGACTTCTAAGCTTCCATAATCGTAATAAATAAATGTCTTTCTTTATAAATTACTCAGTTTTAGGTATTGTTTTGTAAGCAACAGAAAATTGATTAAGATACCTAAGATTCCTAACTAGTTAGAGGCAGTGTAAGTGTGAGTATTTCCCCTATCTTTTGGATTTAAGGCCCTTAGTTCTTGTTTATGTTCTTTCCTGGAGGCTGTTTCCACACTATTTGTAATAATGAAACTTTTCCTCAGGTAAATTCTCATAATTTAAAATGAAAAAAGAAATCTAACTCATCTGTCATCCCAGTGTGCATTTCTACAGCCTTTAGGTCCCAAGTAAAATTTTCTCCTGTGGACTAAGTAGCCAGACAACAATCTTGAATCTTACTTGAAAATATTTTTGGTATTAGGAATGAAATATTTAGGGAAGCAGGGGGTTTTGCTACCTTCTACATGTTTGGCAGTGATGGAAATATGCTTTACAGTGGTCCACACCTTAGAAGATATACTTCCTTGGAGATCTATTTCCCAGACTGAAACCAATGAAGTGAACTTGAAAACATGATTGCAAAAATTGCATTTCTTGCTTAATACTCATCTCTACCTCTCCATTTCAATACAAAGAGATCTGATCTCCTTTTCATGAAGTGACCATCTACTGCAGTTTCCATGATTATTTTTTCTCTCTCTTATTGGAAATCTATGACTTCGTCCATGTCAGCTCATGTGATTGGAGTAGGGCTGGCTTATCCCCATTACCACTTGAGTCAGTGCATATCAGCTTCATGGCCAAAATAAATGTTTTATCAATATACATGTGAACAAAGGTTAAACAATGAACATCTTTATTGGAGAGAAAGGAAAGATTACTTTCTCATCTGATAATGAAATTGGCTTGAGAGTGCAAAGAAGATGTAAAATGAGTTTCTAATGGCCATCTTTCCTACTATATGTGGATGGCATGGTTAAGAAGAAAGAAAGGAAAGGAAAGCTGGCCTGAGAAATAAAGGCAGAGAGAAACAAAGTCCTCACAACTTTCTTGCATTCCTATATCTTGCTGCTCTTTCAAGCCAGTTCCACTCTGGAATGTTCAGTGAATTAATATTACCTTTTAGCACTTTGCCTAGTTTGAGATACATTTCTAACACTTACACCAAGAAGAGTTTCATTTAACCAACATGGATCAGTCTTTGCTGGATCATTATGCTGCCTATGTTTCAACCTTTTGTGAGGTTGAAACACTTCTACTTGGTTACTCTGCTCTTACCACACTAACTTTTTATTTTCTTTTTTGTGCCCTTTTTTCTTTTCATTACTATTTATTTACTTATTTATTTGAGACAATGTCTTGCTCTGTTACCCAGACTGGAGTGCAGTGGTGCAATCTCGGTTCACTGCAACCTTCACCTCCCAGGGTCAAGCTATCCTCCCATCTCAGCCTTTCGAGTAGCTGGGACCACAGGCCCATGCCACCATGCCTGGCTAATTTTTGTATTTTTTAATAGATATGGGTTTCACCATGTTGCCCAGGATGGTCTCAAACTCCTGAGCTCAAGTGATCCACCCTCTTTTGTTTCTCAAATAATTTTTCATTTTCTGCAACATGGTTGGCCCCTGTCAATATTTATAAGTTGTTTCCCAGCTTTACACATGTGTCCATCTGCCTGAATTTCCTCCTCCATGATACTTTACATGGTTGGCCCCTGTCAACATGTAGATCTCCCCTCAAATATTGTCTGCCCAGACAGACATTTCCTGACCACTCTCTCCAAATATACGGCTTCAACATATTGTCAATTATAGTTTTGTGCTAGTTGCTTCAGAGTACTTTCCTAATTTTAATTTCACTATATTATTTGTGCATCTAATTTTGTTTTGCTTTCCCATATATGAAAATCTGTATCGTCTAGTTAGAACCGTATGTAAATTTTGCACCACTTTGTCAAAATGCTACACAGATTCTGTTGCGTAGTAGTCATTCATTTTTGAAGAAATAAATACAATCATTGTCCTCCAAAACATAGACTGAACCCATCTAAAGGAAATTACATTTCTAAAGAGAAAGAAATATGGACTAAGACAGAAAATGTGGAAAGTTTTCCTGTGAGAAAATCAGGTAGCAATCACATGATTTTAATTAAAAAAAAAATCTTCTGCCGGGTGCGGTGGCTCACGTCTGTAATCCCAGCACTTTGGGAGGCCAAGGCGAGCAGATCACCAGGTCAGGAGATCGAGAGCATCCTGGCTAACACGGTGAAACCCCATCTCCATTAAAAATGCAAAAAATTAGCCGGGCATGGTAGCAGGCGCCTGTTGTCCCAGCTACTCGGGAGGCTAAGGCAGGAGAATGGCGTGAACCTGGGAGATGGAGGTTGCAGTGAGCCGAGATCACGCCACTGCACTCCAGCCTGGGCGACATTGTGAGACTCCGCCTCAAAAAAAAAAAAAAAAAAAAAAAAAACAAAACTTCACACCTGACCTTTTTTTGGAAAGAAAAGAGATAATTTAGTTTGAAAACATACTATTCCACATAGGATAGTCAGTCAGATAACTTGACACTAGTTCCTTTTTTTTTTTTTTAACAGTTAGGATATATATTAAAGATTATTGTTTTTAATTTCTTAATTTTATAGTTAAGGAAATTCAAATAATAAAAAATTAGTAAGCTTTTCCAAGATCACAGCACTAGTTAGTAATTGAACCATGATAAAAACTCAGTGTTTTTTCTGTTAGACTAATGATCACTTCATCCCATATTTAATTTTATTTCAGTCATATCATAATTAATGTCTTCAGTATTTATGTTAAGATTGGATGTAAAAACTGTCACAATAGGAAAAATAATTCTTCCACTTTGAAGAGATGTACATCTTATTCTGTGAGATGTAGATTTAGATACCATGTATGGAGTCCAGCTAATTGAGTACTTAATGAAAACCATCTGAGCCAATTAAAGGGCCTCTATGGCATCTTAATATCACTTCCTATTCTACTATAAGTATCTCTGAATTAGGCAGAAAGCCCTAACTGTCTCTACTGCTCACTCACAACTAAAGCCAACTAACTCCCAACTTCATTGTCTGTACTTATTCCACGTCTCTCCCTAACCTTCTTGCCCCTTCTCTCACACTGCTCCTGAGAACCACCTCTCATGAGATTACCCACTTGTCTACTGCAATTTACACTGCTTCCTTCCTCAGCACTACTTCACATGGGTATTTTTTCTAATTATTTTAGCAATGAAGTTGGCCTTACTCCTAATTTGATTCCTATTCACAAAGGTCTTTTCAAAGTGGAAGAATGATTGTTCCTTCTGCGACAGTTTTTACAATGTTGAGCATATAAATTCTTAGCAATTTTGTTGTTGTTGTTGTTCATTGGTTGATTGGTTGGCCTCTCAATAAAACTATCCATGCTAACAAAGTTTAAGTAGGTTATAGTGAAATCCAGGGATGATCCCAAAACCTATATTATTCAGTCTAATCCTTCAAAAAATTGATAAAAAGAAACACATTAATTAAATTTCACCTGTGACATAATTAGAGACTAGAAATGAGACACAGACAATTCTTCCCTGGAGCTTCTAACCCATTAGGAGACCAGAGAACGAGCTTATGGTAAAGCTCTGGGCAACTGTGACTGCTCATAGTGCTAAAGTTTCATATTCTGAACCATCACCACATTTCAAATTCAGCAGCCAGTTTTCTGATAAGAAAGATAATTGCCAATGTACAGGTTTGAGGGACACAGACTAAAAAACACAATACAGCAAAGCAAAACCCACCATGGCTGAAGAGTAAGTGGTAGTTGTTGGCAGCCATGATATTAAAATAACCATCCTTCAATCAGGAAGGAAGATTTTACTTAGAGGATATATTATTCAATAGTGACTGTTTGAAATAAAAATCTTGTTGGGAAAGAAGAAAAAATTAAGCAATAAATAGACTGTCAGGAACACTGTAGCCTGTCTGGTTAGTGCTTCACAGTGAGAAAGTCATGACATAGATAAAGAATAATCTTTGGGAAATCTCCACCCAAGGCTTATAGAAACAATTATTTCTAATCAAATTATCTTATTTTTATAGATATAATATTGAATGATGAATTATTTATTGGATATAAGAGGCAAAATTCTGATGATAGTTTCTGTTTTTATTTAAAAACAAAAAACAATAACAAAAAACTTCACCAAGCTATTAATGTTGCAACAGGGACTAGGCTTTCCTGAGAAAAAAGATGTCCATTGACTTCTGTGTAAATTGAGGATTTTATTTATTTCTAGAGTTTTACATCAGAAAAGAAAGGTCATTAATCACTGCCACTTTTCTACATAACTGTTTTTGACTTATGTCATTGATGATCAGAGTAGGTGACTTACTCGAATAAAGTGTGCATCAAAGAGGGTCTAATTTTATTGAACAAGAATGACAATTTAAAACATACTTGTTGATAATTTTATTCAAACAAACTTACTTTACTCAGGGATCACATGAAGAAACACTACCTGTTCTTCTCTCAGTCTGTGTTTCAATACATTCCCACCCCTTCCTGCTATCAGGAATTTCCTCTCCATACTATTCTGAGGCTACTTTCATTTTCTTTAATTAAAATAAAATATAATTTTGTAAATAAATCTTGCTATTACTGCTATTGTGTTTTCTTCTCAGGAATTCATAGAACAATCGAATTTTATATTGGAAAAATAAAACTTATGTATGCAGTCAGCTTATAATGACTTCATTATCTCTCCTTAGAAAATAAGAAAGAATGAGTACAGTAGAAAAAAATTTTTTAAAGAAATCATAGAATCCAGAACAGACTTTGAAAATTGATGGAAGAATCATTGCCCATATCCGAAAGAAATATTTTAATGCAGGGAAAAGACAATGTCTTAAAGTCTTAAGAAGAAAAGCTTAGGAAACAAACACTTGGTGAGATAGCTCTAAACCAGGCATTTCATATACATCCTCAATTCACAACAACCTTACATAGTACATGTATTCATTCCTTAGAAAGTAACTGTATTTAAAGTTGGGAAGGCTGTGGTCCCCAAAGACTAAATGATTCTTCAAAAATCAGAGATCCGCTAATCGGAATTCAAGCCTTTTCAATCCTACTGCAGAGCCCATCTCATTACCGCAATCCACCCTGTCTTTGTTACATCTCATTGGCAATTACTGGGACCAAAGATTATCTTTTTAGTAATTATATAAGAGGAAGAGATTAGCTGAGACAGCAAATCTGCTTGATTTTATCTGAATATATGTGTATATAGAATATCTTTAAGCTTCTGTGAGATAGTGAAAAATGATAAAAGTTGTCTAATTTTTGCAATGATGTTATCGGAAAAATGTTTGTCACTGCTTGCTCTGTCTATTCAGTGATGGGTTTCTCATATGGAAACCTGGCATTTTCTCTGAAGCTGCTCTGCTCTTTTTTAATGCTGCTCCCTGAAACAGAGCTCCAGATACATGTCTCAAAGGCTGGGACAACGATGGGAATCTTCTTTTTTTTTTTTTTTTCACCGAGTCTCGCTCTGTCACCCAGGCTGGAGTACAGTGGTGCGATCTTGGCTCACTGCAAGCTCCGCCTCCCGGGTTCACGCCATTCTCCTGTCTCAGCCTCCAGAGTAGCTGGGAATATGGCGCCCACCACCAAGCCCAGCTAATTTTTGTATTTTTAGTAGAGACAGGGTTTTACCATGTTGGCCAGGCTGGTCTCAAACTCCTGACCTCAGGTGATCCAACCGCCTCAGCCTCCCAAAAGTACTGGGATTACCGGAATGAGCCACTGCGCCCAGTCCTCATCTCCATGTTTAAGACCAATAATTTTTTCCCCCATTGATTGAACTGTGCTAATGCCTGATTGTACTAAATTCACTGAGTGGTTTTATGAAAGAACATCTGTTGAAGCAGAGTAAAATTAAGTGGTCTCTACCCTACTTAACTGTAATTTATTTTTGAAAACAGAGGACTTGTAATATAGTTTACAAAGAAGATTCTTGCAGAATCACACAAGATAGATGCTAGTGATTATTTAGATTATTTAGATTCAAATCTCTGGTAAAGGTAAGTTCAGGCTTGGCCGGTGAATAGATTTGTTCATGGTATCCCAAGGAGTCAAGGAGCAACAAGAGAAAATTAAAAAAAAAAAAATACAGACTAAGATTAAGGAACTATAGGAGGAAATAGTTGAATACTGAATAAAATCTTCATTTACGTTACAATTTGCCCTAGAGCAGCCCCAGAAAATTGAAAAGTCTTCATAGACAGAAAATTGGAATTGAAGGAATTAGAAAGATTAACACAATAAGTATAATGCATGAAGATTTAAGGGGATAAGAGAGAAATCCCAATATACATATGTGTCATGTGACATTAAAACTTTTAGACCACCAGCTCAGAAAGGTCAAGTCAGAATCTGACAATAGGCTGAGGAAAAGCAAGGGAATGTGTAGGCTGAAGGGAGGAGAAACAATAAAAGGCCTGAAAAATGTGTGTCATACAACTAAGGGATGAGTTCCTGTGGGCCAAATGAACTGTGAATAATCCCCGAAATTCAAATGAACGCAAAGCAATCCTGCTAAGATGCATCTACATTTGTTGTGAGAGAAAATGGCCATAATAGAATGCTGAACTATTTCAATTCATATGTGCCTGATGGGAAAATAGAGGTTTCAGAAAGAACCAGTCAAACACCAGTCAATTGAAGAAATAACTGTTACCTAAGTTTCCTGAAGAAATCTCAGTGAATGCCACATTAACAAAAGGTCTTGTAGAGCAATCTCCTAGACAGCACTGAATAATCAAAATAAAAAAAATAACAAAACCCAAAAGTTCTGTACAGTAAGCAAGGTCCTAAACAGTTGAAAAACATTAGCACATGTCACCATTTCGGGGACCTGTATTGTCTGTGTATTTATAAATGGCTGAAGACATCTTTGAAATGCCAATGTAATAGAGTACAGTTGTGAGGGTAATTGAGATAATATAAATGAAACACTTTAAAGATTTTTATAAGTTATTTTGAGTATAAATATTAGTATAAAAGATGACTGGGATATGAAAGTAAGAACCAATTACTGTACAAAGCCAAATTATTATAATAAAAATAAATAAATAGTTTAGTAAGAAAATGGTGTTTCTCAAAGGTTGGCTTTCACCTCTTCCTTCGTGCACCTGGAAGCAAAGAACTGTGAAAGCCAGAGTCAAAATTTCTGAAACACTACATGGAAGAGAGTGGTCCTAGAGAACCTTATCAGCGTCATCCATGTTAAACATTGTATGTTAACGATATAAAACTTCGTTATGGCGGTCCACTTCTATTGGGGGTTTATTTGTTATTATAGCATAGCTTAACAAATTTGAACTAATATATTGCTAATTACATATATTTTTCAAGAATATTTTAGAATTGTCTTTTATCTCAGGATACACTTGTGAAGGTTTTTGTCAGACTAATATTGAAAAATGAAATTATATTGATGACACAAAGTCCACAGTGTCAGCTCTGCCCAGGAGTTTTATAATGAACTTTTTGTCTTCTTCTCTCACTCTCATGTGAAAATGCAGGAACATGTTCAAAGTGACATATGTCTAATACGATTTGACTAGCACATATTATATTGTAACTATTATCTACTTTAATACTCGACAAACATTTTTCAAGTAATGAAATCTAAGAATAAATGGAACATTTTTAGTACCTGCAATTACTTTTTATCTATTCAGCTCATGTTAGATTCATAGTTGCCTATCATATTATTAATATTAATTGTGGTAAAAATAAATTTTTCACAATTATCTCACAGTGTGTATTTTTACCCATTTCTTCTGAAGAGTTAATACAGGTTTTTAAAAATAGGTTTTACTTCTTTGGATGGTTTCCATTTCACAGCAAGTCTGAGCACAAAGTACGAGAGTTTTTATGTATTTCCTAACCCCTTAACACACATATCCTCACCTTCTGTCAACATTCCACACCAGAATGGTACATTGTTACAACATTAACATATCACTGTCACTCAAATCCAAGATTTACATTAGGGTCATTTTATGGATTATTACAAATGTATGCAAAAAAGAGTTTCACTACCCTGAAAACCTTTTACCTATTCATCCCTCCCTCCATACCAGATCCTGGCAACCACTGGTCTTTTTATTGTCTCCGTAGTTTCACCTTTTCCAGAATATTATATATTTGGAATCACACAAAATATACCCTTTTCAGATTGACTCATTCTGCTCAGAAATATACATATAAGTTTCCTCTATATTTCTTCATGCTAGATTGTTCATTTCTTTTAATGCTGAATAATATTCTGCTGTCTGAATATATCATAGTTTATTTAGCCATTCAGCAACTGAAGGGCATCTTGGTTATTTCTTAGTTTCATCAATTATGAATAAAACTGCTCTAGACATCTGTGTGAAGGTTTTTGAGTGGACATAAGTTTTTAATTTATTTAGGTAAATATTAAGAAGTGTGATTATTGGATTATATGATAAGAACATGTTTAGTTTTGTAAGAAACTGTCAAACTGTCTCTAAAGTTGCTGTATGATTTTGCATTCACACCAACAATGAATGGGAGTTCCTGTTGCTCTATGTCCTCATGAGCATTTGGTGGTGTCAACATTTTCAATTTTCATCATTCTATAGGTACATGGTGATATATCATTGTTGTTTCAGCTAATAAGTCTATAATGATATATGATGTTGAGCATCTTTTTATGTGCTCATTTGCCTTTGTATATCTTCTCTGATGAGAGGCCTATTCAGATCCCTTGCCCATTTTTTAAAAAGTTTGTTTATTTTATTATTGTTGGGTTTAAATTGTTTTATGTACATATAAAGTAACAGTTTTTTAATCAAATATGTCTTTTGCATATACTTTTTCCCAGTTCATTGCTTGTCTTATTCTCTTGACAGTTTCCTTCACTGAGCAGACATTTTTAACTTCAATGAAGTCCAACTTGTCAACTTAATTCTTTCATGGATCATGCCTTTGGTATTGTATCTAAAAGGTGACCAACAAATCCAAAGTCATCTAGATTTTTCCCTATTCTGTCTTCAAGGAATTTTATAGCTTTGATTTACATTCAGGTTTATGGTTCATCTTGAAATAATATTTGTGAAGACTTCAAGACCCATGTCTAAATTCATTTTTTTATTGCAAGTGTATGTCCAGTTGTTCTAACCATTTCTTGAAAAGACTACCTTGTTGTCATTGTATGCTGTCTTTGTTTTCTTGTCAAAAACAATTGACTATATCTATATGGGCCTACTTATGGGCTCTATTTTGTCACATTAATTTATTTGTCTATACCTTTGCTTAGTCCACATTTTGAATACATATCCTCCATAACTTTGGGTTTTGCATCACTGAATTCAACCAACCACAGGTCAAAAATATGTTTTAAAAATTTTAAAAATAACAATACAATAAAAATAATACAAATAAAAAAGCAATAAAGTATAACAACTCTTTATATAACATTTACATAGTACTAGGCATTACAAGTAATCTAAAGGTGATTTAATGTATATGAGACAATGTGCTTAGGCTATATGCAAATACAATGCCCTTTTATATGAGAGCCTTGAACATCCATGAATTTTGGTAACCACAGGGAGGAGGCTGAGGGGGTCCTGGAAACAATCCCCCGTGGATACTGAGGGACAACTTTATTACAACTAATTTCTATTACAGAGGAAAAAGGACTTTACTCTTTTGCAAAGAGAGATTAGGATGATTTCCAAATCTTCCAGAGACTTCTTATCTTTTGAAAGCCTTACCACTTTTCCAGCCCTGAAATCTTCATTCTATAATGGAATGTACACACTAACATTTAGAACGAAAGGTAATGCAACCTATTTTACTCAGTCTTCTAGAGAGTAAATAAATAGTCAACTCTCTTGGAAAAAAAAAAAATAAGCCCCCAAATCCAAAAATGACTCAGAGAGGAGGCTGATCTTGTTATCTACATGCTGTGGTTAACTGCACATTAAATAGAAAAAGGAGCTTGGTTAAAATGCCAATTTGCCAATTTTCTTGAAAGTTAACATAGTTCTTATCATCCAAACTGAAATGCAACCATTTTAACCTTCCTTTATCTATTTATAATTTAATCACTGAATGTGCTCAGAAATTGCTAAGAATTTCTCCAATATTCAGCAAGGTAGTGGCAGTATTTAATTGTTTTTATTTCATAAAAATATTCACTTCATCATATGGTGGTAAAAAAGTTTTATACATATATAAAATTGATTACATTTTTAAAATAGAAATACTGTTAAAAAAGAAATTCACTTTGGGTTGTTGTTTTGTTTTGTTCTTGTTTTTTATTTTGTTTGTTTGTTTTTTGCCGAGAAACAGCTATAAAAAAAAATTCTTTCTAGGTAGTGCATTTTGATGTATTGCTTAAGTCATTATATTTGAATAATTTAGGTGGTATTTTCTTCATTGTGAGTCCAATACCAGGTATGAATCCAGGTGCAAAACATCTCTGATGATTATACTCTTGGATAAATGAGGCTGAATTACTATGGTTATGACATTTTCTGCTATTCCATTCTAAGGGCACTCAAGTAACTGGGGAAGAAGCTTCTTCAACCTCTTAGCTGTGTTGCCTTCTGAATAATTGCCTGAAATATTGAATACTGATATTGTCAGCAGAAATAATTTATAATTTTTTAAAGTAACTTCCTCTTCAATTGTTGATTTTAAACACAGCTTTCAAGGAGTTGTGGTCTATTATTTTACCTTATATTTTATGTAAGTTGATTATACAGTTTGTGAATAGTTTATCATGATAAATATATTTTATTCTTTTATTGCAAACTCTTTAGGGAATGAAAAGTCTGGAAAACAAATGTTACATATGGAAACAAGGTAATGCATATATCCCAGACTCATCAAAGATTAGAACTGGTAAAGAACTTAAATTTTAATCAGTATTAAAGCTTTCATTTTCTAGATTAGAAACCTAGGGACCAGAGAAAAAAAGCCAAAGTCACAGAAAACAGGTACAATAAGATGACAAATCCTGAGAGAAGTAAAACTGAGGGGATAGACGCCCAAATTGTTTCAGTTCTTTTCTTGAAGAAAAGCTAATTGACTACAGCATAGTGAGCTGGAATCCAGGACTAACACAGCTGTCACACTGGGTTGAGGAAGCAAAGGTTTGTTATGAGGGGAGGCTAAAGCTGTTGGGATCCACAGTGCAATGGGAACGAAGGGATTCAGCAAGGTAGTCTCCAGAAACTTGTTTGGGTCCTGTGTGAGTCTTCAGCTGAGAGCTGGGCAGCACCTGTGCAGCCTTGAGAGTTACCAAAGAATAGCTTATAAAGTTGTGAGCAGAACAGAGATAACAGTGGTCTAGTGATGTTGGAAGTAATTGTTTTTTCAAACAGAGTGGAGACACGTAATAGTACTCTATTAGCATTTTAGGGATTCAGCTGAGGCTCTTGAAAATTCTTTAAGGAGCAAATCATACTCCCAAACAGGACCTACTTTAGATTCACTGAAACCAAATCGAAACCATCCCCTTATAAGACATACAATAGGCCGGCGCAGTGGCTCACACATGTAATCCCAGCACTTTGGAGGCCGAGGCAGGCGGATCACCTGAGGCCAGGAGTTCGAAACTAGCCTGAGCAATATGGAGAAACCCCATCTCTACTAAAAATACAAAACTAACCGAGCATGGTAGCGCACGCCTGTAATCCCAGCTACTCTGGAGGCTGAGGCAGGAGAATCACTTGAACCCGGTAGGCGGAGGTTGTGGTGAGCCAAGATCATGCCATTGCACTCCAGCCCGGGCAGCAAGAGCAAAACTCCATAAAAAAAAAAAAAAAAAAAAAAGAACACCAAAGACAGAGTTTGGAGTTTGGATATCATCTAGTTAGAGAGATTTGAGAAATATTTTACGTTTTCCACCCTAACAATTCATTATATTAAGTCCACCTATAAATCTTGCTGCTATAAAGACACATTCACACGCATGTTTCTTGCGGCACTATTCACAATAGCAAAGACTTGGAACCAACCCAAATGTCCAACAATGATAGACTGGATTAAGAAAATGTGGCACATATACACCATGGAATGCTATGCAGCCATAACAAATGATGAGTTCATGTCCTTTGTAGGGACATGGATGAAACTGGAAATCATCATTCTCAGTAAACTATCGCAAGGACAAAAAACCAAACACCGCATGTTCTCACTCATAGGTGGGAATTGAACAATGAGAACACATGGACACAGGAAGGGGAACATCACACTCTGGGGACTGTTTGGGGTGGGGGGAGGGGGAGGGATAGCATTAGGAGATATACCTAATGCTAAATGACGAGTTAATGGGTGCAGCACACGAGCATGGCACATGTATACATATGTAACTAACCTGCACATTGTGCACATGTACCCTAAAACTTAAAGTATAATAATAATTAAAAAAAAGAAAAAAAAAGTCCACAATAGTTCAAGGTAATCACTTAGTATTTATACTTCCTACTACAAAATCAACATTATTCAGAGGAAGTAACAGAATCTAAAATCTCTATGACATACTATTTTCATTGTCTTGTATGCAATAAAAATTAGATATGCCACAAAAATAAAAAACATTGACCCATAGTTCAGAAAAAAGATAATCAATAAAAACCTACCTTGAAATAACCCAGACACTGCATTTGGCAAGCACTTTAAAATAGATATTATAAAATGTGCTTAAATCATTAAAGGAAAATATGATTTAAATGAGAAAACAGGAAACTCACAGAAGAAATAAAATTATAAGAAAGAACAAAATGGATGTGTTAGAAATATAAATTGCTCTAACAAAAACAATACAAAATATGTGTGTAGAAAAAAAAAGAACTTTTAAGACTTCCTATAAAGTTTCAGAAATTCTTTAAAAAATGTTTGTGTTTACTTAGAAATAGACATACAAGTTAATGAAACAAAATAATAGTACAGAAATTGATTCACATCTATATGATCAACTATTTTTCAACCATAACACTATGGTAATTTAATGAGAAAAATTATAGTTTTTTTAAGAAGAAATGGTGCTGACATAACTGTATATATTAAAAAATATGAATTTTGAATTTTACCCACATACCATAAACAAAATATGAACTACAAATAAATAATAAACCTAGATATAAAAATAGATACATAAAACTACCAAAAAGAAACAAGCAAAAAAAAAGTGATAAGTTAAAATTCATCAAAATAAAAATCTCTTTAAAACACTATTGTAAACATCAAAGCAATTCATGGAGTGGAAGAAACTATTCAAATACATATATCTAACAAAAGATTTTCATCCAGAATATGTCAAGAACATTTAGACTTCAATAAAAAGAAAATGACTAACTACTTTCTTAAATGGGCTGAAATATTGCAGAGGCACTTTATGAAAAGAGGCATATGAATGACATGACAAGGTGCAAAATATCATTATTCACCTGGGAATTGAAAACTAAAATGCAATGAAATATCACTATACACCGTTAGAGTGGCTAATATTTAAAAAAATAATTGACAGTAGCAAATGTTTGTGGGAATTTGAAGCAACTACAGGTTTTATACATTGCTGTAGTAACATTATAATATTAAACAACTAATTTGGAACACAGTTTAGCAGTTCCTTAAAGAGTTAAACATATATTTACCATATGAGTTAGCAATTTTTCTCCTAGACATTTACCCCCAAATGAAAATATCTGTCCACCAAAAAGATGTGTTTGTGAATTTTAATAGTAAATTTATTTATAATATCCAAACCTGGAAACAAACTAAATGTTCATAGTAGATAAATGGATAAACAAATTATGGTATAGCCATACAATAGAATATTATTCCACACATTATAGACAAATACAACAACATGGATAAGACTCAAAGTGTGAGTAAAAATAAGTCACAAAAGAGTATAATTCTAATTATATTACATTATAGGATATGTTAAATTAATAGATAGTCATAGAAATTAATCTGTGATCTCCCAGAACCAGTACTGAGTTTGAGTGAATGAGGGGATAGAGGTGAGATTGAAAGCTGTATGTGAAACATTTTTGATGATTAATGAAATGTGGAAAGGTTCTATATCATGAATGGGAGGTGGTTACAAGATGGTATACATTTTGTTAAAACTCATCTAAGTGTGTGTGTTTAACGTTATGCACATTTTATCTAAATAAACTTGATTTTAAAAAAACACTAAATTTGAATGAATTAATCAATAAAGCAAAAAAGCAATGGACATAGTTTTTATTATGAATTTTATTGTTAAAGAAGCTCTATGAAAACCTCTAATCTAAGAAGACAATAAAAATAAATATAAAAACAAAAAAGAAACAGTCACAGGAAATATAAATCTGTTGTTTAAAATTGATGTAGAAAGGATAAAACTTTGAACAAAAGTTTGTAAATGGTAGGTAAAATATCCAAAATCATTTTTTATTTTCTGTTTGGAGCAAAGTGAATAAGAAAGAAAGATCATAAAATGTAGAATAGAGTGATGTTAGTTTATATAAGAGCTCCAGTACAAGAATACAAACTGTAAAATCAGCTTTACCTCTTAGCTTATTAATTATTATAAGTCAGTTATAACTGGACACATTATTATACCTAGTTAATTAACTAACTGGACAACAGAACTTTAAGCAGACTTTATAAATCAATCCAAGAGCCAGTGCTTGAAAAGACAGACACAAATGCAAAGAGGGACAGTTTAGAACACCAAGACAATGCCAATGCAGCAAAGGCAGATAAGTTTTAAGGGATAATCATATTCAAATCTGTGTAATACAGATAGATATAGCTATAAATTTGAAAATACTTATAGAGCTATGAATTTCATAAAAATATACAAATGACCAGTATTGATTAAAGGAGTTTCCAAAAAGCAAAATGACAAGAACAAGTAGTTGAAAACATAGTTTTAAAAAAATGAACAGAAAGGGGAGCATCACACTCTGGGGACTGTTGTGGGGTGGGGGGAGGGAGGAGGGATAGCTTTAGGAGATATATCTAATGCTAAATGACGAATTAATGGGTGCAGCACACCAGCATGGCACATGTATACATATGTAACTAACCTGCACATTGTGCACATGTACCCTAAAACTTAAAGTATAATAATAATAAAATAAAAAGAGGGACATGATTATTCTATAAAGTGCTTCTTAATTTTCAACCAAAATAAACAGAAGGAAACAAAAAAAAATGAACTAGATGATATAAAGGTAAGTTTTATTTTTCTACCTTCTTTAAAGATCTAATAATTTATCTGCCCTTTATGTTGCTTTGGAAGCTGCAAAATGAAAAAATATATACTGCACAAATTATTCTAGTAAGCTGAATACACCTGATTCCAACATTGCATATACTTAGGCAAATTTCATAAAGAAAATATTAGTAAATTAAATCTATCAGAATAATATAACAAGATCGATTAAGGTTTATTACAAAAATAAAATAAAGACTGAATATTAGAAAACATATGGTTATAATTCATTATATCAAAACTTCAGAGAAGAACAAACAAGTGATCATGATAATAGATGCTAGAAAAATACTTGACAACTTCAGCATTCATACCACTTACAAATCTAATCATAAGAGAATGTCCTCCTATTATGAATAAAGTGTCTAACCTAAACCAATAGTTACACTCATCTGAGCAGACAAATAACCAAAATCAGAGAAAACATAAAAGTATGTTTAATATTACTTGTCATTCTAGTGGGCAGGTCAATGTGACCAGACATGAAAAAGCACACAGAGAAAAATAAAATGATTAAATAACCATTATTCTCAAGTGATATAATTGTTCACCTGGAAAACTTGAAAAATCTCACTGAAGAGCTATTGAAATAATAATATGTTTAGTAATGTAATCAAATAACAAATATATGACACAGAAATCATTAGCTTCACCCAGGGTATTAACAATAATCTATGAGAAAAATTAATGCAAAACCAGATCCTTTATTATCCAGTATGATAAATATTTACTGTCATGTGCCTCATAGTGACATTTCAGTCACTGATAGACCACACATACGATGGTCCCATAAGATTAGAATGGAGCTTTAAACTTCCCGCCACCTAGTTATGTCATAGCCACTGTAATGTTGTAGTCCAGCACATCACTTGTGTGTTTGTGGTGATGCCAGTGTAAGCAAACCTTCTGAGCTTCCAGTCATATAAAAGTATAATACATATGATTATGTACAATACATACTACTTGCTAATGATAATATGTTACTGATTTATGTATTTGCCATACTAGACATATTAAATAAAGGAGAGCTGCCTGTGAAACAACCTCAGGCAGGTCCTTCAGGAGGCATTCCAGAAGAAAGCGTTGTTACCAGAGGACATGTCAATTCCATGTGCATGATTACCCCTGAAGACCCTCCAGTGGGACAATGATACTCATGATCCTAAGCCTATAGGCCTCAGATAATGTGTGTGTTTGTTTTTAGTTTTCAGCAAAAAAAAAAAAAAAAAAAAAAAAAAAAAAAAAAAAAAAGTTTAAAAAGTAAACAAAAAAAATTTTTTTAAATAAAAAGCTTACAGAAATACATAAAGAACAATTTTTATGCAGATGTATGTGTTTGCTTTTTTAAGCTGAGTGTTATTGCAGAAAGTCAAAAAGTTAAAAAATTAAAAAGTTGATAAAGTAAAAAAGTTACAGTTAGCTAAGATTAATTTATTATTAAGTAAAAATATTTGTAATAAAATTAGTGCAGTGTAAGTGTACAGTGTTCACAAAGTCTATAGTAATGTATAGTAATGTCCCAGGGCTTCATATTTGCTCAGCACTGATTCACTGACTCACTCAGAGCAACTTCCAGTTCTGCAAGATTCATTTACGGCAAGTGTCCTACACAGATACAGATGTGCCTTTTTAAAAATATTTCATACTGTATTTTTACTGTACCTATTCTATTTTTAAATATATTTAGATACACAAACACTTTCCATAGTGCTACAATTGCTTACAGCATTTAGTACAGTAACACTATGTACAGGTTTATAGCCTCAGAGCAATAGGCTATACCATATGACCCATGCGTGTAGAGGGCTATGCCAGCTGGTTTATGTAAGTACGCTCTATGATGTCCACACAACAAAGTCGTCTGATGACTTATTTCTCTGAATGTATCCTTCTCACTAAATGATGTATAATTACATTTGAATAGCATACAATTACACACTATATAAGTAATATATACCATTCTTGGTATATTTTTATTAAAATTATTCTACCTCCATGAAGGCAATTACACTATATTGAAGAACATAAATAATATTTGAAAAATAGTTGTTTCTAAGGTAGTAAAAATATTAAGAAAACCCTTGTTAAATTAAATTACTAAATTAAGGCAATGTCATTAAATGTCAACAAAAACATTTTTAAATTAATAAAATGAAACCAAATTTCATGAGAAATAATATATATGTAAAAGTGTCCAGAATTTTTAAAGAAGAATATTAGCCCATATATTAAAATATATTTTAATGTCTTGATACTTAACATCATTTTGCAGGATAATTCATTAGTATCTATCAGAGTTACCTAAACATGAACTTTGGCTAACTAGTAATATCAATTCTAGAAATTTTCTGTGGTATATTCTGTTAGCAACATATATCTAGCTCTCTTTTTCCTCTGGACAAATGCGAGAATTATAATTCTGCATCCTTTAGTAGTTAGGCAGACTAATGACAAGGACAATGTATTTGAAGCAGAAGTGACAAGAGTCACACACTAAGCCATTTAGTTGTTGATATTATTCTGGAGTTTCTCTTGATTTGCTGTGGTGATCATGGACTCGACCTATGGTTCATATAACAGAACCAAAAGTGCAAAGCAGCAGAGCCACTATGTCACTACTTAGAACAAGTTGCTTATGAGATTCTTTGGAAATGCAACAAGCTTTGTGGATGAGAAATAAATTGCTTGTTAAACTATTGAGACTGAGAAATTGTCTATTACCATAGCACAACATTCCTCACAAAACACTCTTCTTATGGTTCACTTTATAACAAATAAGTAATTATTAATTAAACATAAATACATTTATTCCACTCAAATAGTCATCTTCTTATGTGTTGTTCTCCTGCCTAAAGTTTTGTTTGCATGAATTGTTTTCCTAATGAAACTGATCACTATAGATCATTTTCCAACTCTAAGATTTGATGATTCTATGATCATTTTCTAATAATTATAAAACAGATTTGGTAATGTTCAATTTACTTAACACCTGACACATTAAGTATACTTCTTCAACAGAGCTGAATTCAGAAAATTATTACCTTTTTTGAGCACAAGAGATGAAGATGCATGATGCACAAATTGCTCAGTGCTAGAATAACTCACTTGGTGAAGAGAATGGAAAGAAAGAACACTTGACAGTTTTTAAAAAGCAGTCTTGAGGGGCAATACCCTGTTTATACTCATTTGTGAGGCTCCTAGTGATAATAGCGTCACTTAAACTACTACTGATTGTTTAACAAGGGAATTCTCACTGAATTGCAGACAGCTTACAGTTAAAATAACTCTTTGTAACTATTCTTGAAATGTTATGTTCACTTTACACAGCTTTTATTGGAGCCTCATTTCAAAGAAACTTAAACATCATATTAAAGTCCCAATTTGTAGACTCAAAGCATTAATCTTGTGGCTTTTAAAGTACGTTTTATGAACTACAAAACCATGTTATCTTAGGATGTGATTTTCTGTGGTAAATTACTGACTCAATAATGTTTCTGATGTCCTATAAATTATATTTTGGCCTATCACTCCAGCCATATTTTATTTCAAAAACCTCATATGTACCAAAACAATGCTAGGCATAAAACATAAGTAGATTAGGTCTTTGCCATTGAAGAACTCCCTTGTCTGTTATTCTAGTCTCTGTTTCCTCCCGTCACTCTATGTCTGTCTGTTTCTTATACAGACATACCCAAATACCTGCACAAACACATGCATGTACACACACACACATACACACACACACTATTGCATACAACACTGTACCCCTTTATTAGTCTTTGCTGAAGTTCTTTTTAATAGTTGTTCTTTATAATAGTTGTACTCAAGTAGAGAGGCAGTTTGGTTTGGATGCTGCTTAGTAAAGACATGGCTTCCTGTCATAGAACATATTAGTTTATCAGTCTGTTCCTCAATCCGACTGATAGGTTGTTTGCAGGAGGATAAATGATTTATATAGTTCTCAATGGAGTAATAACAGGACCATCTGTGGAAAGCATCAATGAGTCATTGACAAGGTTTGGTAGCTGAGAAGCCTTCAACTAATCTGATCTCCTTGTAATCATCTAGGTGTCTCCGAAATGAGTACAGATTATTATAATAGATTTTCATGAAGTTTAGACAGTTTATCTCTTTCTCTCTGCCTGTCTCACTTTCTCTCCCCACCCCCATCGGCTTATCTGCATATTATGCAGCCCACGTTTACTTTCTCCCCCCTCTCTGTCTATTTATATTGATTATCCCAATTATGGAATCTAATGGAAGGTGTGGAAATTTTGTTGAATATGGTATGGGAATTATAATAACTTAGTTTTCATTCAAACGTGCATTTTTCTTATTTTTTCATTTTCTGTTTCGTTGTTAGCAGTGATTTGGAAGTAGAATATACAAAAATACAGCTCAGAGCAAGAAGGAACATTTGGAAATTATGCAAAAATTGCATCCAAAATTTTACCAAGCATTTGAGTTAAACAAAGTAAAATTGTATCCTGAGATGCTGGCTGAATTTTAATGATATCATTTGGTTCCTAACTTACGTCTCAGGCAGAAAAGTCTAGAAAAATGTAAAATATCTTTGGAACTGATGACATAGCTTGACTACACCTGTCTTCTCACGTAATTTTGAAGCATTTGCCAGTTTTACCTGCACGTGGCATATCTTTTTGTTATTGCCTCACAGTAGTTAAGGTTTCTAGTTTCATACAGTCTTGCCTAAATTAGATTTTTCTATAGAAGATCATCCTCAGTGAATTAGAGTACTCCAAAATGCAAAAATAAACTCCACTGAAGTTTGGGTCTCTAGTGTAATAAAAATTAAAATTAGACTAAATGTTAAAAGAAAATCATAATTTTATGTACATTATTACCAAAGATCATTGAAATTTTTAAATAGGTATGCCAAAGTTAAATTAAAACAAAAGTAAGCCTTCGAAGTACCTCCTCTGAGAGGGTATACTTATTCAATTGGTGCTGCTTTCCAAAGCCCATTTTGGTGGCATTCTTGAAGAATATCTTTAAAATAAGACTATGAGTTGTATAAAAAAGTCAACCTAATTTACTTAGACTTCTACTTTGTGTCAGGCCCAATACAAATATACCCAGCTTTGATTGTTCAATAGTTAATTAACAAAAATCATTATGCATATGCCATCATGGGTCTTATCTATGGAGGATATAAAAGCAAACCAAATAGTACATTAATAAACATTCTGAATGCTTTTTTATGATCATAAATAATGCTACAATAAAGCTGACATTCTATTGGCAGAAAAATACATTAATTAACTAATAAAAAATAAGCCCTATATTTCCTTCATGATAAATCCTGTAAAGAAGATTACAAAGTGGTATGAAAGCATGTAATAGATAGACTTAATTTAGAATGAGGAAAGTGCCATTCTATTTACAATATAGAAGATAACTTTGCAATGTAGGAGAAGGCTTGAGATAAAACAAATACAAAATCTACCAGGAAATAAATCATAAACAAATTTTCTACGTTTGGAAAGCATTGTATATTCAAGGAACTGAAATATGTCCCTCATTAAGGGCCATGAGAAGACAAAAGCTTGGTGAGTTGTTAGCCTCCAGGGTCACTCAACAGAGCTTTTAATCCCATGCTTCCTTATTCTTTCCTCAAACAAGAAAAAGATTTCACCTGCTTCTGCAAGTATTGGCTCAAAATCCAGGTAGGCTGAATCCTGGGAGGAAGCTTTAGTTTCAATATCTGAGTGAGGCTGAAGTAGGGAAGGGTTTCCCCTAAAAAGGGAATCAAATGTATACTTTTACTAAATTAATTATGATTTGGGAAGGAAATGACATATACATGCATAATAATATTTGGTAAAAATTAGTTCACTATGTGCTTGCTGTATTATTTAGGAGTATTTTTTTCAACCCTAGCAGAGAAAAAAAAACACAGTAGGATGGAGGAAACTCAGGAGACATGATAAGAATAGATAATAAGTAGGTTACTAACTGGTGAGACACATTACTCATAGATAGAATAAATGGAGCACATGTGTTTCGAATACAGACAAAAATAATGGAACAATCAAGAATATCTTATACGTAGAAAAGAATAGAAATGCCAAGTAAAATTTAAATATAGAGAGCAGATTATGACAGCTCCAGATTGACAACTTATGTATATATTTTGTTGTTGTTATATATATACACATATATGTATATATATTTATTGTTATATATATGCATATATATGTGTGTGTATATATATATATATATTTGTTGTTGTTTACATGAAATTCAGATTTAACTTAGTGTGTACATTTCATCTGGAAAATATAAACTTATGATACACATTATGATCTATTCTGGCCCCATACAGATAAATCCTAGAGCTGCTAGGCACATTAGTTAGGGAGCTACATGTGTAGCAAGTGTCGTTGTAAGTCTATTTCTGCAATAGAGCAAGTGTGTCATGTTGACTCTAGGCACCTTCCATCTACTAAACCCCTGTCCTAAGCCTCATCTCTGGTCCTTGTAACCACACCATCCGTAGGGTAGCCTGATGCTGCAGAGTGACAGGACATACGACAATTTCATGACAGAGGATTTGGGCAATGCATTAGTACACTTGGGCTGCTATGACAAAATAACACAAATTGGGATGTTTAAATAACATAAATTAATTTCTCACAGTTTTGAAGGCTGTGACATCAAAGATCCAGGTGCTGGCTGATTAAGTTCATTGTGAGGGCACATGACATTTCTTCCATGTGAAATCAGAGAGGTAGGGGTAGGGGGAGAGCTCTCTGGTGTCTCCTCTTATAAGGACACTAATCTGCCAGGTGTGGTGGCTCATGCCTGTAATCCCAATATTTTGGGAAGCCAAGGCAGGAGGATCACTTGAGCCCTGGAGTTTGAGACCATCCTGGGCAACATAGTGAAACACCATTTCTACCAAAAGGAGGCTGAGGCTGCAGTGAGTGAATATAACACCACTGCACTCCAGCCTGGGCAAAAGAATGAGACCCTGTCTTTAAAAAAAAAAAAAAAAAAAAAAGACATGAGTTCTATTAGAACAGAGCCCTATCCATCCTTTTGACTTCATTCAACTTTTATTACTTCCTTAGCAGTCCCATGTCCATTACAGCCCCACTGCACACTGGGGTTAGGTTTTCAACACTTGAACTTTGAATGAACACAGTCTATTATAGTCTGAGTAGTATTTTAACCAACATATACATGATCCTATGAATATTTACTTACAATACCTCTTTCCCTTTCCTTATTGCTGTATGTTTTATATCAATTTAATATATATGTGTAATTTCAGTAACTTAATTTGGTCAGTTAGTTTTTCTGTCCTGTTATCAATGGATAGCTTGATAGGCAAGTACTTGTTGGCAAACCTTTCATTAACATAATTTTCCACATACAAATGTGGGAAATTGGGCAGATTCTTTGACCAGAAAGTTCTGACATTTTACTTCTAGAAATTTATCCAAAAAATAACAATAATAAATAGATTAAAGATCTTATTGCCTTGTGTTTAATGAAAAAGGTGAAAGCAATCAAAGATCTGATACACTAAAAGGATTTATTAAATGACTTATGACACATCAAAAGAATTAGACACCATGCAATCACTAAATTTGACATTGAAGAAGAATACAATTCAAAGGAAAAATGACACAATTTATGGGTAAAAGCAGGATGCAATCTGACAGAAATATAAATTGCTGTAGTTTTCTTAAAAAGCAATTTAGTATTATACGTTTAGGTTTGACATATATACCTGACAATGTATCTCTTACAAATCCAGCTCATAGAACTGAAAGTGCCAGTATATAAGTCTTTATGTGTGCAGGATGTCTTTTACTTTCTCCATCAAATCCATACTGCCCCTTCTTCATTCTGTTCCTTTCCCCCTCCCCACCAGACTAATCTGTAGAGATTATGTGAATGGTCTTTTGTGCCATTTCACTTCTGATTGGCGAACCTCAGGAGGAGGCTGGGGAAGAGCTGGGTAGAAGAGTGAGATCCTGATATTTAATTTCTTGACTCCTTTGAGAGGTAACTTGAGGCTGGCTACACTTATCAACCACAGGTCTTTTGTCACTTAAAGCAGTCTTTTTTATGTGAATCTCTTCTTCAATTTGTGGTAACATTTACCTTTCTATGTCCCTTCTGTTCTAGGGATGATAATAGCTTTAAACTAGTAGTTCCAAGTCACGGGTATGTCCTTTTTGGCTCCCTTACAATTTCACTTTTGAAATTATCTTTGAGATCTGATTGATTCAGTATACAAGGATGTTAATTGCAGCATAATTTGAAACTAAAAGTAACAAGAATTACATAAGAAGGATATTGGCCCATACAATGTAATTAACCTTTTATAGGGAACAAGTTAGATCTATGTTAGTAAAAGTAAATAGATACCCATAACATACTGTTGTTAGAATAGCAAGTTACAATGTAATTGATGAGGTACAAATTCATTCTTCTCTAAACAATCAACAATAGTTCCTATATTTGTGTGCTTATTCATATGCATATGTAATTCTATATATCTTCAAATACATATTTTATATAAGTTGAACTTTAGGGGGTGTTGTTTTATTGGTTGCAGTGAGCACATGTCAATTTTGTAACTGGAGAGTAACATTCCAAAAAATTTAAAAAATTGGTTTTAAAAGTAACTTAAAAAATAAAACATTTAAAAATGCATATACAGTGTGTTTCTATATATATATACTGTTATATATACACTGATATATATATATATATATATATATATATATATATATATATATATACACTTAAAAATACCCAAAGGGATACATCAAAATTCTAACAGCATTTGTTTCTGTGTGCTGGCATTGCAGGTGCCTAATTTTCTTCTCTCAATTTTTGTCTCTGCTTTTTCTTCTTGTTTTTGTTCTTCCTCTATCTCCTCCTCCATCACCACTAAACACAAAGCATATATTAATAAAATATGATAAAATAAATTAACATTAAAATTTTATGTTAATAAAATACTGTGACATACTTTTAAAAGTATGTGTCATAATATTTTTGACAGGAAGGAAGGTCAGACATGCCTTATTGTTAACTGTTTAGAGAAGACTGAGATTGTACTTTGCTCATTACATTGTAACTTGCTATTCTAACAACAACATGTTATGGATATCTATTTACTTTAACATAGATCAGCTTGTTCTCTATAAAAGATGAATTGCATTGTATGAGGATTACTTTTAAAAGTATGTGTCATAATAGAGCATAAATTAAAAATAAAATTCTAAGCTCTCACTGACTGAACAAACTCCCTCTTGGCCAAGGAGATCCCAGAGAAACCTTTAAAACTGAGTCCCCAGCCATGACAGGAAGGAAGGTCAGACATCCTTCATTATACCCCCTGCCACTTTAGAGTTCAGGCACAACTGGCCAGCATTAATGTTAAAATAGAGCTCATAAGACTGAAATTGCAGACTCTTTGTGGCAATAAAATAACAAATTATAAACAAGAGCTAAGGCCATTCCAAGCAAGGGTTAAGTCACGCCTGCTGGCCATCAATCTCGCTAAACAGGTCATATTGTGACTGAATCATCCTTATCTTAATTTAAACATTCGTTTCTGTTAACTCCAAGTTTTCAGACAAAGTCTTATTTCTTTAATAAATTGCAGGTTAAAGAATTCTCTGAATCCTCCTATGACTTGCAAGCCCTTGCTTCTAGATATCCTAACTTTTCAGTCTGAACCAACCTTCCACAAACTGACTGACATCGTTGCCTGTGACTCTTGCCTCCCTAAAACATATAAAACCAAACTGTCACCTGGCCACCTCAGATGAACTTCATTAGGACTCCTTCAGACTTTGATTCCCTAGGCTGAGGTCACTCATACTGGCTCATAATAAGCCTCTTTAAAATATTTTATGGAGATTGATTTTTCTATTCACGAAAGATACAGACAAAATAAGTTACAACTTAGTTCTGACTGGGTGCAACAGAAATGGCTTCCTGTAAAAGGTGTAATTTGAACCAACAAAAAGTGTGAAAAATCTAGACATGGAGAGATTATAGGAACACATAGCTGGTGAAAGAAAAGGTACAGATGAAAGCATTGTTCTTGTAAATTACATGATATGCATCTGTCTTGATAAGCCATTCATTTTTACTAAACTATAGAGTATAAGACTGAGAAGTAAAGTTTGAAAATCACATAGAAATAAGTTCATGGGAGGCCATGTCATGGAGAGATGTATAGAGAGAATGGAATGGAATGAAGGCTTATTTGGAGGAGGTATTTTTTAAGCATAGTAGTGGAATATTGGAAGTGGTAATTTTAGAAAATAACTCTGGCATGATTGTACTAGACAGATTGAGACTTGTAGGGAGGTGGGAAGAGAACCAAAGACACAAGGCCAGGGAGGAGGTTGCTGTGATGGTCCAGGAGAAAGAGGAGAGTTCTTTACGTGAACAGTGGCATCGGTAATGAAAATGAGGGTTAGGCATGAGAGGTGTAAAAGGAAACCATTTGCCTCCAAATGATTGTGGGTTTTTCTTTTTTTTCAAAATTACATTTTTAAGGTGAAAACTGTGAAAAGGGTGAGGAAGAGTAAAAGATGTGATGATTAACATTGAGTGTCAACTTGGTTGAATTGAAGGATGCAAAGTAATGTTCCTGGGCATGTCTGTGAGGTTTTCGCCAAAGGAAATTAACATTTGAGTCAGTGGACTGGGAAAGGCAGACCCATCCTCAGTCTAGGTGGGCACAATCTAATCAGCTGCCAGCTCAGCTAGAATTAAAAGCAGGCAGAAGAACGTGGAAGGACTAGACTGGCTGAGTCTTCCGACCTACATCTTTCTCCCATGCTGAATGTTTCCTGCCCTCAAACACCGGACTCCAAGTTCTTCAGCTTTTGGATTCTTGGATTTTCGATCACAGACTGAAGTTTACACTGTTGGCTTTCCCGCTTTTGAGGTTTGGGGACTCGGACAGGCTTCCTTGCTCCTCAGTTTGCGGATGGCCTTTAGGACTTCACCTTGTGATTGTGCAAGTTAATACTCCTTAATAACTCCCATATATATGTGTGTATATATATGTATATAAACTCCTATATATATGTGTGTGTGTGTGTATGTGTGTGTGTGTGTATATATATGGGAGTTTATTTATATATGTGTGTGTGTGTGTGTATATATATATATATGGGAGTTTATTTATACACACACACACACACACACATCTATCCTATTAGTTATGTCCTCTAGAGATTCCTGACTAATACAAAGATATTCAAAAGTTTGAGTGTGGGTGACTCAGAAAGGCCTGAGAGCATTACTAAAGCAGAGAACTTCATGAAAACAGCAGGTTTCACTGGTTTCGGTTCATCATTTTGAGCATTCAGTGAGCCTCCTTCATTAGCCTCTATTTTCTTCTTTTAAAGTAGCTGTTACCATGGTTGTCCAAAATTAGAAACTCTGATTGAAGATTTCTTCCTCAGGTGCTCTTAGAACATCTGCATTGGAATGCATAGGAGTCAAACCTTAGAAATGGTAGAATTTAGTCCAGAGGAAAGTGACTAAAGCCACTAAAATAGATGTGGGAGGTTTCCCACACAAAGTTGATGTCTGATACCTGATAATTGTCTGAGATTGTCATTGGAATGAATACAGCAGGACAAGATTAAGGCAGAAGCAGATTATAAAAGGTCAGAATGAGAAGAGGAACCAAGTATCATTTGAAAGAATGTCCCAGGCATGAAACACTATGGACAAGCTGAAACAAAATTTTTCTTTAACGTGCTGTTTTGTGTAAGTAAGCACGGAGTGGTTAAATGTACTACTTTGAGCAAAGTTGTAGTTATTTGTGTTCCTTTGAACTAGATCTAACTAGATCTAGTAGCACTACATTTTTACGCTTGATATTTGCCTTTTTGACCAGGGCTAGTGTGAGATTTAAATGTGCAATCAGGCATCACGATTCTGGGTTTTGTTCTCTTAACTGAGGGTGCTATTTTCCAGATTGTCAAAACGTTTTTTGAAAAAAAAAAAATAATAACAGCAATGATAAAGATAAAAATAATAGTGGTTGTAATAATGTCCAAAGGCCTGCATAGGCACCTTCTCATGTAATGGTCCTCTCCTCATTACGAGTTGTTATTTTGCCCCTCTTCAATGCTCAGAGCTTTAGTTCTTAGATTCAAAAATGATCTTTTCCATGAGGTAAATATTCAGATACCATATGAACTGGTCATTTTAGAGAATTTCATACAATAAATCTTAATGAAGAGTTAATTTGGAATGTTATCTTACTTATTTATGTAGCAGCTTAACTTTGACACCTATAGATTCATAAAAGAGCAATGCTTACTTGGGGGGAAGACATATATTCTTACAGATATTTTATTCTTTCTAACTGTGTAATACGCCAGTGAAGAGACCTGCTTCAATTCTTTGGGCATGAGACAAAACTTCAATGTGAGGAAACCCACTTTCAGTAAAAACAGGTGCTCTAAGAATGTTGATTTAGTGATTGTGTCTCCAGGGGTCTGCCACAGTCTAAATTCTAATTTCATTCACTTATATTAATGATAATTCTGTGTGTTTGTATACCTGAATTATATATATTTTAATTTCAGGTATATAAATAAAAGACACTAAACAAATTAATACAAAAAGGAAAAACCAGCCTAAGGTAGTTTGAAGTCATTTGAAAGACCCTAAGCTTAGCCACTTCAGGAAACCAGATAAATCCCCAAATTTTATTAGATGAATCAATAGCCATTCTATGCCAATAATTAGCTTATATATCTACATTTGTATCTTAGTATGCGTTTTGAAAAGTAGCTCTTTTTCAGTAAGATTGTTTTACAGTTTAAATTGTCTCTAATTTAAATTGGCCCTCTCTCCTAGTGATCTCCAATTGTTGAATGTAACTTGAGTCCCTACTGACAGCTGGGGCAGTTGGTTCAAGTGAGGAACATCATTTTAAGCAGTTCCAGGTTATAATGTAGAAGTAAAATTCTCCAAGCAGCAATATCTGCTGATATTTTGCTCACTTTACTACAATAATCCAATTTGCCTGTTTGGAAACCAGTATGACTAATTAACGGAATAAATGATCAGAACGAACTAGCAATAGAAAGTTTCTTATTTAATATAGCTTCCAGCTTTGTAGATAGGCATTTTCTCAGGGCTCATCTTTGGCGCAATAGTTACTGAGTTTAGGTGGCAAATTTAATCCAGACCTCACCTACAGTGGAAAAGACACTCATAAATTACCACTGGGATTATTTATTGGTTCTGTTAGTAAAATCTACAGACACTAAAACTCTGTAATAAAAGCTATAATAAAAAGTATGGGTACAGTCAACTTCCTCATACACACCATCTTGTCACAGTGAATTAGGGACATATTGTGATGTTATCAGTCAAATTAGTTTCCCAGTTCAATTGATTTTACTAATGATGTGTAAGTATAATTCTATAAAATTTCTATAAAAATTGAAATGAACCAAAATTCCAATTCAGACAAAAGAACCATTTTCCCTGACAAAAGTCAAAAAATAGAGATGAAAATATTTGCCTAAAATGAACCTAACTTTAATTCATAAAGATTAATCAACTTTAAAAGGGTGAGGGGCTGGGCACGGTGGCTCACGCCTGTAATCCCAGCACCATGGGAGGCCAAGGCAGGTGCATCACGAGGTCAGGAGATCGAGACCATCCTGCCTAACACAGTGAAACCCCGTCTCTACTAAAAATACAAGAAAATTAGCAGGACGTGGTGGCGGGCGCCTGTAATCCCAGCTACTCGGGAAGCTGAGGCAGGAGAATGGCGTGAACCCGGGAGGCAGAGCTTGCACTGAGCCAAGATCGTGCCACTGCACTACAGCGTGGGCGACAGACAGAGTGAGACTCCGTCTCAAAAAAAAAAAAAAAAAAAAAAGTGTGAAAAACTTAGACATAGACATGGAGAAATTATAGGAGCATGTAGCAGGTGGAAGAAACAGTACAAGTGAAAGATTTGTTTTCGTATAGGATTTACCCTTCATCCATTCCTCATTTTGATTTATTTATTATCTAAAATAAGAATAGGACTGTATTTTAACTTTAGCAATGTATTTTTATTTAAAAATAGACAGTGAAAACCAGATTATAACTAGACATTGTCAATACGATAGTCACTTTGTACATTTTAAAAAATATAATTTCTTATTCAGATATGGCTATAACTATTCAAAACACAAATAAAGCTCAGGCTTTATTTCTTAGGTTATTTGTCTATCCCATAAATTTTCACTGAATGTCTATTGTGTACTTGGCTCTACTCTCTATCCCAGGGAGAAGTTAAAGGGTATCATAAAAAATCTTTATGCTGTGAAGGAAGAGAACTGTGCGTGTGACCCAGAACCTTGCCTACCAGCTCTTTATCATTTAAATGACTTAATTAAACCTTTCATACCTCAGGAGAAGTTACGAACACTCATCTTAATATATCTGCAAAATGTTTAACACAATGTATGACAAACAGTAGATGCTGTTAATACTGGTTTATTTTCATTTTTTACCTGTCTGAGATTTAACTATGAACAATACATGATCTTCACCCATAAGGGACCAAAACAACGGGTAAGATATGAATGTAAAAAAGTACAAAGGAATATTATGAAGTGTTACCTTTGTTAAAATGGTTCTAAAGGCCAAACACAGGGCTATAGGGCCATATATTCACACACACACACACACAAATATATATGAAATCTTTCTGAATTTCAGAATGGATACATAATACACATCATAAAGAATATATGACATGGAACACCGTAATTCAAACATACAGGAAATAATGATGATGGTGATAATAATGATGGTACAAGCATTGTGAAAAACTTTGGGTAAAATGCTTTACATTATTTTGGATATCCCCAAAACAACAGAATAAAACTTATCATTATCCAATGAGGACACTGAAGATTGGAAATATAAAGTAACTTTTCCTATATCACACAATTAGGGAGTGTAGGATAAGGAACTAAACTCAGTTCATGTTCATCAAAAACAAATCTTTTATTAACATTGTAGCTCACCTCTACAACTCCAATGTGACTTTATTCATTCTGCGTTACTATTTGTTTATTTATTATTTGAAATGAGAAGAGTGCTATATTTTAACATTTCGTGATGTATTTTTATTGAAAAATAGGTAGTGAAAACCCAGATTACAACTAGACATTGTCAGTACATTAGGCACTTTGTCCATTTTGAAAAACACAATTATTTCTTCAGATATGGATATAACTATTCAAATTGTAAAGCCATTTATTGCACACTAACATTGCCTTATGTGGGAGACAACTTAAAAACAACGTAAAATACACACACATCTATTTGGGAATAACCTAGAAATTGCAGAATCCAGCTGACTAGAAGCCTTCCAGCTGTTTTCACATATGAACTAATCTGACTTTCATTTCTTTCCCACTGACTTTCTTCTAGAAGGTGATTTTTTTCATAATATCATATTGTTCTTTCTCTCCTGAGGAACCAACAATAATACATTCTTTATTCTTGCTGAAGAGCATGTATTTCTGTGATATCTTCTTGCCATTAACTTTCATTTATCAACTTAACAAATTTAGAGACTACTAGTAGTCCAAAATATTTAAAATAATATTGTTTTCATATTAACTATTAATTAATCCATATCATATAGAGTAAAAACCATGATTTCATAAAATCATCTACATGAGCAAACCTCAATTACTCATTGTTCTAAGGGACCAAGAGTGACAAGGAATAATTGAAATGCACAGATAATCCCTGAAGGCAAATATGTACGTTTTTAGGAAGTTATTACAAAAATACACGTAAGAAATAATGTGGGCTTAAATTAGCCCAGTGGCAGTGGGATTGAAAGAAAGCACAATTTAAGAAATACTACAAATACGGAATTTAACAAATTTTTAGAAATTTTTGGATATCTGTGTATGGAAGAGAAAGGAGATGAAGTTAATTTTGTATTCTGAACTGAGTGACTCGGGGGCATTATAGAATCACTGTAGCACAGAAATAGGAAGGATATTAGAGTTCACCTGGCTCCAGGATTCAGATCCAGATATTTGGCCACTGAATGACTGACTCAAGGGTTCCAAATGGCCAAAAGAAGATTTGGGATATTAAAATCAGAACCCCAAGCTGCCAAACACTCAGTTTTATTTCAGATATACTTAATTTAGAAACAAAAGTGAGAGAATCAGCACTTAGGAGCGTGTGTGCGTGTGTGCATGTGCGTGTGTGTGTGTTTCGGGGGCTGCTGGTGATGAGTTTGAGACAATAGATTGTAAGCAGAAGATTTATGTATGTTCTAGTCTACTCTCAGAAGCAACAAAATCTATGATATACTTTGGAAAGCTTTCCAATCTGATTTACCTTTAATGTTGGTATATTGGCATGTAGTGTGTAAGCTTTTATTATCTGAATGTTTAATTTTTGAGGTGAAGCCTTTTCTATAATATCTGATTCATACAGTGCTGATGTTGTTTTTCACATAATATATAGATATTTAAGTATTCAGCTATTCTAACTATAATACTACAACCCCCGGCAGGAACCATTGATACAGCCGTTTCATTCATCAGAATGTTTCTTCAGCTATACTGTATATGTTCAAAATAATAAGTTTATGGTACTATTGATTTTATTATTGTTTGTAAGAACAAAAAGTTAGCATCTTTCAATGTCTTAATGTAGCTTTTCAAAATGGAAAAGAACAGAAAATCTCTTTACATCTTAATATGGAATGCACTCCAAAGTACACAGAAAACTATTTCCCCATATTTCTAAGATAGACGAAGAAAAAAAATACACACACACACACTTGCATGTGTACAAAAACTCTGGGAGCATAAACAGAAAACTAGAAGTGATGGTTTACATGCTGGAGAATGGGAAGTAGGTGGACAGGAAAAAAAAATGAGTGGGGAAATTTTCACTGAAAACTTTATATTTTCAAGTCTTTGAAAGATGTGAATATATTATCTAGTCAATAAATAGGCAAAGAAACTTTAGTTCTACTTACTAGACAAAGTTTGTATATATGTACACATATAGTTTAAATATATGCATATATTTATGTATACACACACATATATACATATATATTTGTATATATAAAACTATTTCTCTGGTCAAGTTTCTCTTTTTTTCTCTCTTAAAATTTGTAAGAACATTCTAAAAAGCCTATTGTGGTAGGTCCATTTAGGAATATATAAATACACACACCAGACTTGCCTTCTAAGTGTTTGTTTAGTTATATTATGATGTATTGTCTGAAGTTCTAAAACCAAAAAATGTAATTTTGTTTATTTATTTACTCGTTTTTCAAGCTATGTTATATCAAAAGCTCTCCCCTCCCCCGTTGCACCTGATTTTTATGATGGTCAAAAGTAACAGAGTACTTAAAACAAAACTTCATATAAGAAGAAAAACATCAGGCAATAATATTTTTAATTAATGTTATTAATTATTAGCAATAATTAATCTTTCGAATTTGCAATTACTGTATCTTATTTGATTGTCTCAAGTAAATTTTATTACATTTATTATCTAGATAGGAAAACTAATGCTTTTCTTAACTTAGCCATTTGAGATTATACAGCTAGAATACTAAAGAGCAAAAGTAAGAGTGTAGGTCAAATTTCAAGTCACTAACTTACTGGCTTCATGAGATATTAGTTATATAATTATTAATAAGCTTCAGTACACAAGAAGAGTATTCACAAGAACTTAAAAGGAGAGGAAGATGTAGAAGAGTACCCAATCATTTCAAAGCTTCAGCAAAACTTCAGTTTAGGTTCAGCTGGAAAACTAAGCTACAGTGTTCCCCAAACAAGACTCTCCTTGATTCATTTCCACCCTACTGACCTCATAAGTCCATGGGTGTTCTCCACATCTTTACCTCTGTCAGTTTACTCCCCATTTCACTAACTAGAATCTCTTTCCTCTCCTTTTCCACCTACTTTTGACTTCTCAGGTCAAGTGCTTCATTTTTGATGTAGCACTTACCTGGAAGATGGTTCTGGGTAGGAGGGTAAGGGGAGAAGAGTGTTGAGTACCAACTAGTATATTAAATTACCTGACATTAGCATTTTTCTTGTCATGGCATTTACACTGAAAAATACTTCTATATGACAAAAGCTTAATGCATTGACTAAAGGTATTTGCATTTCACAAGCAGATACTGAATTTTTTTAACTTAAGCAAATAAATGTATATGATCTGACAGTGGACTAAAATAAGTTTGAAGGAAAAATCTGGGGAAAAAAATAGGAAAACATGTTTCCAATGCTGGACTCTGCAGTTTCTTGCTGTGCTACTTAAAGGCAGCATCTGGGAAGACACGGTAAATTCTTTTTGGGGTTATGTTCATCTGGCAGCACAGCAAGGTGGTTTGAGATAAATTTTGGAGCCAAACTGCCTGAATTTCAATCCTAACCTTATGAATGGGGACAAGTCACTTCAACAATTTACCCATCAATGGCCTCTTTTGTGGAATAAGAGGTAATATAAATGCCTACATCACAGGGTACTAGAATGGATTAAGAGGATTTAGAATGGTGCCTGGCACAGAGAAAGTGTAATAGATGTTAGCATTCAGACATTTGTACTGTTTCCTCTGTCTTCTGTTTCCTTGCTATTATGTTACATTTGCTTAAAAGTGGCTGAATTTCTAGCATGCCACGTGCAGTTGAGAGGACAAGATGCTGCATCTTTGCTGCTGCAACTTATGTTTTGCTGTGCGCTGCATTGCATGCTTCATATCTTTTATAAAATAAATTGGATAATATGTTGAGGGGGTAAGCAGCTGAACTGTACATCATGTATCAGTTATAGTTATCCACAAAGCTTAGAAGGTAGGATTTCATACTGGCAGTTCTCTATCCTATTGAGCGACACAGACTCAGACATATGGAAGATACTTTACAAATCATCTAGCACAATCACAAGTTACACGTGAAGCACTGAGGCTGCCTGGTGACTGGCCAGTGTTAGAAAATTATGGTGTATAGTGATGTGCGGCATCAGAAATTTTTAGTTAGAACAAATAGGCAGGGCTGTACTTGAATTTTGCCTCTTACTCCATATGGTAAATACTCCTGGGAATATTGTTTTATATTCCTCAACCGTTTATTTATATCTAAAATACATTTTGGGCATAGGTTGGGATGGGGTGGAAGGTCAGGATCATATATGAAAAAGTCTTTAATCCAGAGGGTGTTTATATTAATAGTATTAGTTAGAACAAGTAAGTTGTAACAAATAAGCCACAAAATGTAAAATTCTATGGTTGATTGTATTATTGTTCTCAGTTACTCACTCTAGGAAATCCTTCCTGGAAGGTTATAACAGCACCACTCCCAAAACTCCACACACATGCCTAGACATGGGGCTTGTTCATTGACTATTTAGCCTGTAGAACATGAATGGAAGTGATGAATGCCACACAACTATAAATGTGATTAACTACATTGTCTAGGATTCTTGAATTTTTCACTTTGCCAAGAGAACAGCATATCTCAGATAAAGTATTCTGCAACCTCAGCCCCATGTTGTAAAGACACACTGAATAAATCCAGAGTCAACCCCTGCCTGGGGCACAACTGCCACTAAACCTCAGTCCTCAAGTAATGTAAGTGAAAAATAGATATTTGCTCTTGTAAGACACTGGGATGTTGAGGTTTCTCCTCAGAAAAATCTGACTAGTAAAAAGCCTTAAGTGATAGTTTATTTTCTTCACATAGTCCATAACAAGTGTTTATGATTAGCGGGCAGCTGTCCTTCAGGGATGATTTTGTGACTCCAACTTTTTCAATATATGTTGTCCAAAGTCAGCTTACTTAGGATTTAAAAGCATGTAGAATTGGGAAGAGCATGAATACCTGAGAATGGGAAGGTTTTATGGGCAGGGTCTAGAAGGGAAGCACAGTATTAACTTACTTCATTGGCTGGAACTTAATCATATGGTCACATCTCACTGATTCAAGAGAAAATTGATTTTGTGAAATACTTGATAGCTTCTGCCACAATAGGCTTGCAAATAAATATCAGCTCCCTTTCCTGCCATGAAAATATACCTCCTTTATACTTCCCTTAAGAGGCAATTCTTTGTAAATATAGCTAGTAGAGTAGCTTTCCCAATGATTCACACTTCTCTGGCAATTGATTCAAACACTTTCCAATATCTATAATAAATAAATTTAAAACCTCTCAAATTTCATAACTTGTTATTTAAGCTCTTCTGCTATCTAATGCCAACTTAACTTTATAACATATATTTTACATGTTCATGCACCCTATGCTCAGTTTGAATAGAACAATAAAACTATTGTAGTAAAAGCATCATTCATGATATCCTCTTTTTTTCCATGCCCCTCCAGAAATTGACCCATTCCTCAGTTTTAATTTATCTGAATTTTGTCTTTAGATATCCCTCATGGACCACTGTGCCCTGCTAGTTACTCTTGGCTCAGACAAAAATACTGCTATTGCCTCTAGTTGTGCAATGTCATTCTTAGTCTAAATCATTAGAAGAAGGGATGCCAAAAGGTAATCAGGAAAGAACAAAAGATGACCTAATGATCTTAGTTATGGAATTTAAGCAAGAGTAGGTAGCATATGGGTTTCAAGTTAAAGGGCTAGGCAAATTAGAGTATCAATAAAAGAAAGACATTTTAAAGAGCTGAAGAATGGAATGCTCAAGCAAATGCTCTGATCCCAAGCATCAGTTACTCTTGCTGACATTTTTCCCGCTGCTCAGAGTCCAAATGTGAGCATTCAAGACTACTTAAGGCAGCTGAAATGGAACATATTCTCCCAACTTTTTAATCCACAGGACGTGTGTCACCACTTCCATAGAACTTTCCTTGATTCCTTCCATTGTAAGGTAATAACTTCTTTTTCTGAAGTCACTTTTAGCAAATAATTTCTGTAGATGACTTGATACTTAAGATATTTTTGCAATATTTTTATTTGTATACATATCATACCAGAATTGTATAAAATAAATAATATATTTAAAGTATCAAACACAGTACTGAGTACATAGGAGTAGCCCAAAAAAAAAACAGTGATACTATGTGCAGGAGGACACTCAAACTCTTTGCCTTCTTTATTTCTTAAAAAAAAGTTTTAAAAATAAGTTTCATGAAGAAATCAACAAATTAAGGTAGTATAAAAGATTAGGAAGCCAGTAAATGACAGTCACTTATAAACTATGACCTTAGCCAAGCACAGTGGCTCATACCTGTAATCCCAGTGCTTTTCAGAGGCCGACATGGGAGGATGGCTTCAGGCCAGGAATTCAAGACCAGCCTGGTCAACATAGTGAAACCCTGTCTCAACAAAAACTAAAAATTAAAAAAAAAATAAATTAGCCAGGTATGGTGGTGCACTGCTTGAGAATCACTTGAGCTCAGGGGTCCAAGGCTGCTGTGAGCTATGATGGGGCCACAGCACTCCAGCCTGGGTGACAGAATGAGACCCTGTCTCTAAATAAATAAATAAATAAACTATAGTCTTGGACAAATATTTTATTTTCCTTGGATTTCATTTTTGTCTTAGTCCATTTGTGTTGCCATAAAGGAATACCTGTTGTTCAGTATTTTATGAAGAAAAAAAATGTTTATTCACCTCCTCATTTTGCTGGCTGCCCAGAGAGGGCATTAATCTTTTCATGGATGTCCCCTGCCATGACACAAGCACCTTCTACTAGGCCCCTTCAACATGACATTTGGAAAGGTTAAACAAACTATAGCCAAACTATAGCAATGTTCCTTATGAATAAATGAGTGTTGAACAAGAAGCTCTCTAAGTTCCCGCATATTTCTAATAGATATTGTTCTTCTATTGTTGTTTACCAAATTACCACAAAAAAAAACACCCATTTGTTATCTTGTAGTTTCATGGGTCAAACAGAAGTCTGGGCACAGCATGACACAACTGTGTTCTCTGCTCAGGATCTCACAAGACTGAAATCAAGGTGTTGACAGGGCTGGAATCTTATCTAGAGACTGTGGGGAATAATCTACTTCAGATTGTTGGTAGAATTTAGTTGTTTATGATTGCAGAACTGACGTCCCTATTTTATTTTCATGGCCCATTGAACCTTTTCCATGCCTTAAATCTCTGATTTCCCCTTTTGCCTTTAATTATATCTGCAAAGTTCCTTTTCTCATGCAACATAACATATGCACAGGAATAAAACTAAGGAGCGAAGACTATGGGACCAAAATTTTACCTACCATAAATAGAGAGATATTCAAAGGACTTCTAGAACTGTACAAAGACAGAATTAGTAGCTTTCAGCAGTAATGATTACCTAGTAATTGCAGATTTTCAAGCAGAAACATTTTAGAAAAACAATGTTTGAAGCCCATATTTTTCCCAGTCCTGAAAATAAACACCTGCTATGTAATTGTGATTTAAACAATTAACTGATTGAAATTTTATTTGTTGAACTCCACTCATAGTTATTTAATGTCACGAACAGCCTAAGGAAGGTGCAAGAGGTACTCCAGGGCATGTCAGGGTCAACAAGCAAAGAGCTGTGTGAGTGTCTTTGTCTCATTCCAAAGCTAAGGGAGGCACAATAACATGTCTTCCATAAAATATCACATAAATGTGCACTTAATTTATGCCTTTTAGTTAATTCATATATCTAAGCCTGACATAAGCTTAAATATTAATGTGCATATTGCAATACAGCCAGCAAACTTGGAAAAGTATGTGAAATGTATTTAGAAATAATGCAAATTAGAGAAACTCTTCAAATATATCTGGAATGTCTCTGAATGCAGAATGAGCATCCTCTGGGAGTGTTCCAATTTTACCTGCTGTCATCGCTTTCCAAATTACTTTAGAAATGCCATGCATGGTTGAGTGCTGTATTCACAGGTGGCTCTGTATCAATGGTGTCTAATGATGGCATGCATAGGGAACAGAGAGGAGGAGTAAAATATCACCTTAGAATATGTGATTTTCGTAGACCTACATTAGCAAATGTGAAGCACATTCTAATAAAACCTCCATCATCTGTAAAGCTATTGAAGAAAGAAAAGTGTCTCAGCCACCTGAATTTCCTTGTCTGTCATTGATTACCTTGAATTCTCTACCTGCTTTCAAACTTGTTGAAATAACTTCTAAAGTGCACGTATTCCTTTCTTGGACTAAAAAGTTTTGTGTCATAAACATTATTGAATTACTGTTTGAGGAAATCTATCATAGATTTTTATCAAAGATTAAAGGAGAAATAGATAAACTATTGGTGATTGGATTAAATTGCTCTGAGTCCAACAGTTACCTCAGAAATTGTATGTTCAAGTGACATGCGTGAGTGGTCAAATATATTTGTAATACTAACCTATATTTTTACCATATAGCTCCAATGTTAATGTGTAACACTTTCAATTAGTTAAGGATACTGGTGAAAGGAAGTTTATTTTACAAAATAGAAATCAATGCTGGTGCTTGTACTACATTCTTTTAACCATTCCCAGCTCTATAACCACCTGGAAGTTGGTGAGAGACATGCATTGTGATTATTTCAAAATGCTGGATTAAATCAATGATTTTCAAACTTGAGTTATCTGTGTTGAATGACCATACATTCCAGTTTTCCCAGGAGAGATCTGATTTATGCCTGGCCTGACCTAAAAATTATTATTTTTGTTCCCTTTCACATTCAGAAGTGTCTCAGTGAAATAATAAATTACAATAATACATAATACATACAAAATACATAATAAATTATGCCCTATTTATGGATTGTTGAGAAAAAACGATAAAAGGTAAGGTATGCAAAAATAAAGGTAAGCAAAATCAACAAATGCTTATAATTCTTATACAACATTATGAACAAAATAAATGCACAAATAAGATAAAGGCTAGTTGGCAAAATTGATTCTAATAACACATATTTCTTTGTCAGAGATCATGGTATTTTGCTGATACTAAATCACTGATGTTGGGTCTAATGGGGGTAAAATACAGCTTTGAAGCAAGTTCTATATTAAATCTGTGTTTTGGAGTATTTTTGGTATTTTTATTGATACATCATAGCTGTACATATTTTGGGGTTGTGTGTGATATTTTAATACTTGTATATAGTGTGTAATGATCAAGTTAGGGTAATTGGAATATCTATACCTCAAACATTTATCTTTTTTTTAGATTGGGAACATTACAATTTTTCCTTTTCTAGGTAATTTGGAATATTCAATAAATTGTTATTAGCTACAATTTCCCTACTGTGCTATTGAATACTACAACTTATTCCTTCTATCCAACTGTATTTTTTACCCATTAGACAACTTCTCTTCAGCTACCTCCTCTCTCACTCCCTTCCCAGCCTCTAACAGTCACCATTCTATTCTCTACCTCTGTGAGATGCACTTTTTCAGCTCCCACACATGAGAACATGTGGGAGTGAGAACATGTGATATTTGTTGTTCTCTATCTTATCTCACCTAACATAATGACCTCCAGTTCCATCCATATTGCTGCAAATGGTGAGACTTCACTTTTTTAATGACTAGATAATATTCCATTATGTATATATACCACATTGTCTTTATCCATTCATCTGTTGATGGTCACTTATGTTGCCTCCATATCTTGGTTATTATTAATAGTGCCGCAATAAATATGAGAGTGCAGATATCTCTTCAATATACTGTTTTTCTTTCTTTTGGATATATACCTAGCAGTGGATTGCTGGATCATATTGCAGTTCCATTTTCAGTTTTTTGAAGAACCTCCATAATGTCCATATTGGCTACATTACTTTATGTTCCTACCAACAGTGTACAAGGGTTTCCTTTTCTTCCCATCTTCATCAGAACCTGCTATTTCTTCTCTTTCAATAATATCCATTCTAACTAGGGTGAGATGATATTTCACTGGGGTATTGATTTTCATTTCCCTGACGATTAGTAATGTTAAGCATTTTATCATACACCTGTTGCCATTTGTATGTTTTCTTCTAAGAAATGTCTATTCAGGTCTTTTGTTCATTTTTTAATCAGATCATTTGTTTTTGCTATTTAGTCTTTTGAGTTATTGAGTTATTTATATATTCTAATTATTAATTCCATGTTGGAAAAATAGTTTGCAAATATTTTCTCCCATTCTGCATGTTGTCCGCTCACTTTGTTACTTGTTTCCTTTTCTGTGTAGAAGATATTGTAGCTTGATATAATCCCATTTGTCTATTTTTGTGCTTGTTGCCTGTGCTTTTGAGGGCTTACCTCAAAAAATCTTTGCCCAGATCAATGTCCTGTAGCATTTTTTCAATGTTTTCTTCTAGTAGTTTCATAGTTTCAGGTCTTACATTTAAGTCTTTAATTCATTTTTAGTTAATTTTTGTATATAGTAAAAGATTGAGATCGAGATTTATTCTTCTGCAATAAATATACAGTTTTCTGAGTACCATTGATTAAAGAGGATGTCCTTACACCAATGTATGCTCTTCATGTCTTTGTTGAATGTGTTAGAAGTATATAGATTTATTTCTAAGCTCTTTATTTTGTTCCATCAGTCTATGTGTCTGGTTTTTTTTTTATGCCAGTAGTATGCTGTTTCAGTTACTATAGCTTTGTAGTATAATTTGAAATGTAAATATATCAAGAATACCTATTCTGAGAATGAGAAGGGTTTTTTTTGTATAAATATTACCAATAACTTTAAGGCTTTGTTTAATTGTTGGGAAAAATCAGATGTCAGATTTTACCAAACTCTACCAGTAAGCAATTCCTGAATGCCATTTTAAATGAAGTTTACTTGATAACTTTGTGATTTTTTGTTATTGTTGTTAATATTGCAACTTTATTAAAATATGTAATGAATGGTAATATAATAAAATTACTTACTAACATTAGAAACATAAGCACTTTATTAAATATTCAGAAATTATTGCTAAGAAAGTCCAAAAGCTTACTTACCTAAAACATGGCGGTTTTTCCTTATCTCCACATGCCTTTACCAGGGTAAGCATACCACCATACTCATTGCAATTATCCTTGTAAATTTATTGTAACCATCAGCTACTCTACTACTGAGATAATTGGGGTCTCACTGGGTGAAAATGTTGTCCCAGGTCCAGATGCAAATAAACGCACTAAAACTGAGTGACTGTATTGCGTTACAAATGTACCTAGACAATGCAGATTACACTCATAATATATGCCATCATTACAAATAAAGCACTGATTAAAACTTTAGAGACATTAACAGCCTTTCAGAATATGCTTGGGCATCCACTTGATTGCCAAGTTGAGAAGCAATTGATTTGGAAATTCTAGTTATAATTTGGGGAAATAATTTAGCCTGTGGAAACTGAATTACAACATATTTCTCTCACATACTAAAATTACTTATTTTAAAAAGTTTTGAAAATGTTTAAAGTTACATTTTAAAAAAGTGATTTGAAGGTTTTCTTAGGTCACATACTAAGATAATGTTAATTTTATAAACTTCTTAATTTTTTTTCAAGCTGAAACTGCCTTTGCAAAAACTATAACAGTGTGAAAATTATGATAGTAAAAGAGAGCTTACCTAATTGACTCCATCTTGCATTTAACTTCCAAACTGCCCTTGTTCATTCCTGGATATAAGCCCAGCTAACCATAGGAGGAATTTTGTTTACAGTTTAACTTTGAAACAAAGATGGTAACAGCCCTTTCCCAAAACAAATCCCCTCCTTGCCTGAGAACCATGCAGCCAGGGGCCACAAGATCCTTAACTTCCGCAATTGCTCCTGTGGATAACGTTACTATTTTAATTCCTGCGATTGGTAGTTGAGGTATTTTTCAGACCCCGCATTCTGATGGATCAGCGGTAACACCCAAACTAGTAAACTGGCTCATCTTGTCTTGTGGCACCCACCCAGGAACTGACTCAGCGCAAGAAGTCAGCTTCTACTCCCTATGAATTTGTCCCCAACCAACCCAACCAATAGGCATTCCCATTCCCTAGTCCTGCTGCCCACCAAATCTTTAAAAAACTCCAGCCTCTAAATTTTTAGAGAGGCTGATTTGAGTAATAATAGAACTCAAGATGCTTATTTAGCCAGGTCTGTGTGTATTAAACTCTTTATCTATGCAATTCCTGTCTTGACAAATTGGCTCTATTTGGGCAGAGGGCAAGATGAGCTAGTGGATGATTACAAACCAAGAGATACTGTAGGAAAATTAGAAGAAAAAAATCAAAAACCAACTTTAGAGGTAAGTTAATAAATTATTGTTGATAATATTTGAAAAAGTTGAAGATGTTAAACAATGTAGGACACACACACACACACACACACACACACACACACACACACACAAGTCCTGCAGTTGAGAGGCCCTAAGTCGGCCTTGTCTTTGTTTTCCACTTGTGATATTGCTTTTGACATGTCATATTGTGTGGTGTCAAATACATCATGAAATGCAAGAACAGTTGATATAATAAAAAAATACAGTATGAAAGGTCTTCAAGTAATTTGATAATTAAAATTTTTCAAATGAATCTTAGTCCCTTTTACACTTTCCTTCTTATATATTTTTCTTATTTACCTTTTCAGAGGTAAATCATGGCTTTGAATTAGAAATGTAATTTCCATTTTATCTTAATAAACATTCGCCCAATTCCTAATTCCTGTAAAGTTGGTATTCTGTTGGAATATGGAATATAATATAATCAGTTTTCTTATTTGTAAAATAATTATGACCATAAAGTTCTCCTCAAATCAAAATTGAAGAGTCTGTTTATTGTAAAAAACTATCGCAAGAACAAAAAACCAAACACCGCATATTCTCACTCATAGGTGGGAATTGAACAATGAGATCACAAGGACACAGGAAGGGGAACATCACACTCTGGGGACTGTTGTGGGGTGGGGGGAGGGGGGAGGGATAGCATTGGGAGATATACCTAATGCTAGATGACGAGTTAGTGGGTGCATCACACCAGCATGGCACATGTATACGTATGTAACTAACCTGCACAATGTGCACATGTACCCTAAAACTTAAAGCATAATAATAAAAATAAATAAATAAATAAATAAATTTCAAAAAAAAAACATTTATAGATATTCCAGAATCACTGAACTTAACTTGATATTTAAATTATTTTGAATATATTTTAAGACAAGGAGAAAAATATGAATTAAATAAAAGAAATCTCTCCTCAGCATTTTGAGAGAAGTAAAATAATGAAATATAATATTCTTAAGACACAGTACAGACTGTAAAATATAGTCTCAGATGATAAACCAGTGTAGGGGTTAATAGCTTGGACCCATTATTAACTTATAAAAATATTTATAGCACTAAATTGTAAACATCATGGGGTCAAATAATCTGTCTGCCTTGTTCGCTGTGTCTCAACAGTGCTCATATATTTCCTTGACATAGAACGTACTCATCAGGTGTTTTTGAATGACTCAGGGCTTATGACATAATACTCTGTGCTGGAAATCCAAAGTGAGTCCTAACATTATGCAGCTGGAAAGGCAAAAATGTAGTTATATGGCCTGGATATAAATTATCATGCCAACTTTAATAATAATACTGTTAATTTTAACATCCTTAATAGCTGTCTGAATATTAATTTCCTACTGATTTTCATCCAGTGTTGTACTATACCTGAAATTCAATCAAAGGGAAGGTTAAGATTCTTACAGACAAAAATAGATTGTGAATGATACCCAGGGAGTTTAAGCCATTCAGTAAGAGTCAAAATAATTATTACAGTGAAGAACATCTTCTGACTCCCTGTACATCATGCCAGCTGTGCCCAGGGAAAGCCCATTTTGTTCTTTCTTTCAGATCATCCAGATTGTTACTTGTTTGAGTTGCAAACTGATTGATTAAAGGGATTGTCCATGACTAGCTATCTGGATTTAGGAACAAGGAGTTGGGGCAAGGTGTTTATATAGATTGTCAGACAAGCTGTTCAAACAGAGAAAAAGCTGCAGTACAAAAAAAAAATTGTCAAAATGTCATTTTACGGCACTTCTTTTTAGTAAGCTGTTTTGTTTGTTAATTTGATCAATATCTTTTGAGTATATCAAGCTTAAAAGACATAATTGAAAACAAATTTGTTCAGTATGTGTTCCCTGCTTTCAAGGAGTTTCCAGTTTATTGCTAAGCTAGAAAATATTGATACAAATCTAGTGTCATGTGAATGATCCGATAAAGAATTACAGGGTAGAAGACAGAGTCACATGGTTATGTGGATGCATTTAGGGACAATATGATAAAGAGAACACAGATATTTGTTTAGAGATAGGTTTGATTAGATGGCCCCAAAGAATGATGAATATGGCATGCTCAATGTAAAAAAGGCAAGGCACAGTTTAGGTCAACGAGGTATCCAGAGAGATGGCATTTGTGTTTCATATAATAAGCTACTGGAAAGAAGAATGGAAGTGTTGTCATAATGTGGAAAGACTCTGCTTTCCAGATGCTGGCTCACTTATGAATTCTAATAGGTTGACTGTAGATCATTTTGGATATTCTTGGTGCACTCAAATGTTTTCTGCTAATAGTGACAGTTTTATTTCTTTTTTTTGCAATTCTTAAAAAATTTATTTTTATTTTTATTTTTATTTTTTGGCTAGTGTACTGACTAGGATCACCAACATAAGGCTGAAAAAAAGTGGAGATTGCAGACATACATTCTCTTATGAAAACAGGCATTCTTGTCTTATTTCCAATGCTAGAAACAACATTATTAATATTTCATGATTATGAATATTTGTTGTTTTAGATATTTCTGATATTAGAGAAATTACCCTGCATTTCTTGTTTTCAAAGCACTTTTATTATAAATTAGTGTTGAATTTTAAGAGAAGTTTGTTCTGAATCTATGGAGATAAGCCTATGATTATTCTTTTTCATGTTATTTATATTAACTTTTCATCCTTGAAATTCAGGAATATATTTTTCTTAATTTTAATATTGTCTACATTTTTCAATCTTTTGTTCATGTGTACTTACTTATATCCTGTTTAAAAATCTTTTGCGAAGCTCACGTTGTTATTTTCGTGTATTACTCTTTAGAAGTTGTATTATTTTACTGTAAGATTATATATATAGTCTACATGAGATTAATTATGGTTTACAATGTGAAGGTGGCTCAAGATTTATTTTTTGCTATATGGACATTCAATTGACCTAATGCCATTTACTGAAAAGATCGTCTTTCCTCCACTACTCAGCAGTATCACCTTTTTTGTAAATCTTATTTTCATATGTGTGTGGGCCTATTTTGTTCCCCTTGTATGTTGATTAATTAATGTTTTTATTATTATTTCATTGATCATTCTTGATAGTATACTAAATTCTTTTAATATTTTTCTTCACTAACACCGATTATGTTTTCTTGGTCTTTTTTGTTTTCTTACAGATTTTAGAATTAGTGTTACTGACAGCAAATTCATAGGGGTCTGCAGCAACCTCAATTTTTGCCCCCTCAGAAGAAAAAATTTGACCGAGGAGGAGAGACCGAGGCAAGTTTTAGAACGGGAGTGAAAGCTTACTGAGGAGTTTTAGGGTAAGAATGAAAGGAAGTAAAGTACATGTGGAAGAGGGCCAAGCGGGCGACTTGAGAAATCAAGTGTGCAGTTTGACCTGTTGACTTGAAGTTTTATACTTCCAGCGTCTTGTGTCCCTTCTCCCCTGATTCTTCCTTCAGGGTAGGCTGTCCACATGCTCAGTGGCCTGCTAGTGCTTGGGAGGGAAGCATGCAGAGTGTGTTTACTGGAGCTGTCCGTATGTTCCCTTGAGGCATTTTTCCCTTACCAGTCAAATGTTTCTAGCAGGTCATATACCAGTTAAACTCTTAATGCACATGCTTGAGCCCAGTCACCCAACTCCTGAGCTCATATTAGGAAGCTACTGATCACCAGGAAGCTGCTGATCACCAGGAAGCTGCTGATACCAAAGGACACTGCCTTTCCCTGGCTGTGACCAATCATTATTTTAGTGAGACAGTTAACAACTTCCTGAGCATCACCTGATGGTCACCTGACATTACTGGTGTGGGTGAGGGGAACCCTCTCCTGCCTGCCTTATGTCTATCTACCTACTGTAACATTAGCTTGTAAATACCTGCAAGAAATTTCTGCAGGAATGTTCATCAAGACTGCAATTAATGGCCAGGCGCGGTGGCTCAAGCCTGTAATCCCAGCACTTTGGGAGGCCGAGGCGGGTGAATGATGAGGTCAGGAGATCGAGACCATCCTGGCTAACACGTGAAACCCTGTCTCTACTAAAAATACAAAAAATTAGCTGGGTGTGGTGGTGGGCACCTGTAGTCCCAGCTACTCGGGAGGCTGAGGCAGGAAAGTGGCGTGAACCCGGGAGGCAGAGCTTGCAGTGAGCCAAGACCACGCCACTGCCCTCCAGCCTGGGCGACACAGCAAGACTCTGTCTCAAAAAAAAAAAAAAAAGACTGCAATTAATTGAGATCAATTTAACGAGACTGACATTTTGTAACATGAAGTATTTAATATATAATTTAAATTTATTTCAAAATTTTGTAATTTAGGGGTAGTTTTACATATCTTTCATTGAATTTATTCATATAAATTATTTTTATTTTAAATTTATTTTCAACATTTTAAATGGAATCTACATAATAGTTTTATTTTTACATTCTACTTATGTAAGAAAAATATGCAATTTTTCATATTGACCTTGAATCAGGTCATGAAATTTCCCCCAAACATTACCTAAGCTACATCTCAAAGATTTGGAGTCATATTTCTATTACAGTCATTTATTATTATTATTGCAAATTATTTCTTATTTCCTTTCTGGTTTCTTCTTTGTGATGGATAAATAATCTTTTGCTTAATTTCCAAGTGTTTTTGGTTTTTCTCTTTCTAGTTTATTTCCGGTTTCAGATAATATTTTCTGAATTACTTTGACCTTTTGAAATTTGATGAGATTTACTTTTTGCCTAAGGCTATAGTAAATTTTGGTAAGTTTTTAATGTAAGTTTTAAATAAATATGTATCTTGCAAATATTAGATTAGTTTAAATTTAATTACCTGTTATTCAACTACTCAGTTTCTCTACTGAATTTTTGTTGACTTACTGTATCATTTATTTAAGAAGATATGCTAAAATCTCCCAATTAGATAATAAATCCATGTTTTCTATTAATTATCTCATTTTTTCTACAACAAATTCTAATACCATGATTATTAGGTCACAGAATGAAGAATAGTTGTAGCTTCTTATTAAATTTATTCATCTATCATTTTGATATATTTATCTTATTTTTTATTCTTTTATTTCTTAGAAAGAAACATTTAATAGGGACTTATGAACAGAAGCCATGTTTATGTCTCAGGTGGACACAAGATGGCGGATCCCTCTACCATTACCCACCAGACCCAGGGCTCACATACCAAGGGAAAGGAGTGGTTGAGAAGGGATTTGTAGGACAATTGAACTGTGATAACATAGAGATTCCTTGACCCTAATGGCTGGATTTATGGTAGGAACTTGTTCTTACACAAGGAAGAATAGATAAAACTGGAAATTTTAGAGGCTTTCTGGAACAGGAGTTAACCAGAAGCCAACATGGCATAGTAGCTTCCAAGATGAAGCTTTGACCACTACACTCCACCCTCCTAATACAGCTCTTACAATGTCACACGCTCTTCTCTTCTGTGATGGTCCCTGAGCCTTTAGGGAGGGTGCTTAATATTGTATAGCTTTATCGGCAGTGCATTTGTTGTAGGAAAATCCAGGTACTTATTACATGACCAGGAAAGATTAGGCACACAGATACTTTGAAGGGTGAAAAGGGTGGAATTTATTGGGTTGAAAGGAAAAAGCGTTCTCCACCTCACTGGCCAAATCCCAGGTTACCACCCAAGAACAAGAGAGGCCAGGCTCCTCTCCCCAGCAAATGGTGTGAATTCCCAAGTCTTCACCCCATTCTCCCAGTGCTCAGGCTGGCTGAAGATTCTCCAGGGAGCCCTTTTTACTTGGCAGTCTCATTAATCGCTTTAAAGAAGTACATGTAACTGCCAATTGGAATAAGGGTAAGGATAAAAACAAAGACCAGTCTTAACTGCTTTCTGCTGACAGGCGGCGCTGTTTTGGGGAAAATGGCAGTCAGAGCTCCCTCAGAGGCCTATCTAAGGGTCCCTAGCAGAAAGGGCAATTTTTTGAGGCTCTGGTTGCATGACCTTTTGGAGTTTGATGGCCTGAAGGCGAGAAGAGACAAACTGGGTCATTAGAAAACATGTATCAAAATGAAACAAGAGGAGAGGTAAGGATAGCTAAAAAATCCAGAGGCCTTATATCACTTTGCATGGAGAGAGGGAGGCCAAAACCTCGACTGGTTAAAAAAAAAAAAAAAAAAAAAAATTTACCGTTTTGCCAGCATGTCAGGCTTCTGGGTTTCCTTCCCCTGAGCCCGATCCTAAGCCAACCAGTTTAAGGTTTGGGAAATTAACTTTTCCCAGTTTGGAGGATCCACCTAAGGAGAGTATCCTGTAGTACACAGATACAATCCTATCAGTGAAGAAAGGGCAGAGGAGGAGAAAGGAAAAAAGAAGGCATTTTCTTCAAAGGAATCCTAAGGGTTCAGGATGCATTCGAAAGGGGTACAGACTGAAGATGGATGGTTACACTATTTCCTAGAAAATACCCAGGTGTGTGAGAAAGGAAAAATGAGACATTCCTCTTTCTTTCTTCCATCCTTGTTTTGCCAACTCCCAGCAACTGCGACAGGGTGCCACCCATGGCACCCTGAAGTGGCTTGCACCCATGAAGCAGAGAGGGCCTAGACAATAGGAATTATCCGCTCTTACCTATGCTTCTATTCTCTCCACTGTCAGTAGCCTTAGAGATCCCTAGACCTAATTTATGCCATGGATACTAGCATGACTTTTATCCATGAAATGGGAGGCTTGGCTTAATCGGCAGGAATTAGCCATGGTCAGGTGTGCTTTGCATTTTTACCTCTATTATCTCTGACTCTGGATTACTTAAATCCAGCTTTCTTTCCTAGGGCTTTCACCGAAGCTTGGAATTGAGTCCTTCTCCAATAAAGGAGAGAAAAGGATGTCTTCTGACATGCCCAGATTACTGTTGGCTGTAGTTATATTTGCTAAGATTTGGTTGCATGATGCTTGGCTTTGGTTAGCTCCTGTGGTCTTACTTTCCCAAAAAGGAAATCTCTAGGTGATGGGCATGCTATTTATTTCCATCACCTGGCAGAATTTGCAGAATAATTACTCAGAACTAGAATATTGATCCAGATTTCTACATTACCCATCCCTCTTGTTCTTTCTGAGCTGCAGCTGGAGATTGCAGGTTGGTTCACAGGAACAAGCAGGGTTAGTCTGAAATATAGGAAAAAAAAACATCTAATGAGTTTAGAATTTAATGAAAAATGTATGATAAGTTTTGAAACATAATTTTTCTCTCTAGTCTCATTTTTGTTAAAAAAAATTATTATAGGACTGTTTTGTTTGCAAAATAGACTTTATACATCCACTGATTATTTGCATAAAGTACAGAAGAAATAACTATTTCTACATAGGCCTTTTGGATTGTCTTTAATGGAAATCAGTTCCACAAGAAATCTCAGATAAGAACTTTTAAAGCCAAGCCCAGCCATGAGTTTGTGTCCTCTAATACCTGTGAGTTGGGTGATCCTCTCGTCTTAAGGCCCTAAGATAAACTTGGAGCTCCTGGGTCTGTTAGAAAGTGAAATTCTTTACTGATCACAGGTCAGGAACCCTGTACAAGGACTGTGTAGAAAAGGGTATAAGGCCAGTTGCCCCAAGGGGCTTTTATCAGTTCTTCAAGTTGAGCTTGACTCCTTAAAGGGAAGTGTACCCTTCCAGTCAAAGCTTTGGTAAAACAACCAGTTTCTCTAATTGCATCCTGTTGCAAAATAAAATATATTCTTTTTGCACTAATGCAAACAATTGTATTTCCATAAGTTAAGAATACTCACAGATAGTTTCCAAATTCTAGAGGAACCAGGCAGAGAGAAGGAACCAGGCAGAGAGAAGCAAACATGCTCCAGATTTTGTTAACAGGAGTATACTTTACTCAACTATTAAAGGCCATAAATAGCTCAAGTTTCCTTGACTTTGAAAAATAAAACAAGTATCTCTAATATTCCAAGTAAGAGTCAAAAAGATTGCTTCAGCTTTCTGAGTTCAATTCATTTAGTTAACTCTTGTTTTGCATGATATTCATAAACATTTTAACTCTTCATGAGTCCTGTACATTTTTCTTTATTTCAATGTCAAAATTTCCAAAGTTATCAGAAACCTGTATTTGACAGTACCTGTCAGAGTCCTATAGCTTATTATAAACCATCTTTTGAAAAGGATTAAAACAAAACAACAATTGTCTGTGAATAACAAAATGTCCAGGGTAGTTACAGTTAGAAACACAATTGACAAAGAAGTCTGGTTATCTTTGTGGCTTACAATAACTTAACATAACAATCTTAATTATGACTGATAGCAAAAACTTAGACATTTGAATTTTAGAAATTCTATATAGTTTTGGAACTTATATTACTGTAATTCACTAAAATATAACCTAAAGAAGCTTGAACACCATTTTGACAATCTCATGTAACTAAAAGTGTCAAATAATCCTGTTTACTTCTCTTTTCTCAATACTCCAGGGGATTTTCTGAAGTATCTGAAAAGTCAGGTGTCAGGAAAGACGACTTTGGAACTGAAGTTTGATTTTAGGAAGCCTGTTAAATATGTTGGAGGTCTGAAACACTTGATGTTATGAAACAGAATTCTAGATAACTATAAATTATTTTGACAAAATGATGACTCAGAAACTTTAAAAAAGCAGAAACCTTCTACAGCCCTTTACAAATTTTTGCAGAACAGCAGATTGGTGCCTTAAGAAAACTTTACAGTGCTTTTATTTCAATGCTTAATTTACAGAGAAACCATATAATACCCTTTTGAATTTAGTCAATATGTTCACACATGGAATTTTTGCAAGATTAATTTTTACAATCCTTCTACCACTTGTTTGAACTTTGGCTTTATCTTATCTAATTTAAAACAATCCTCTAACCCTAGGCAAGAATTTACATTTTTATGTTTTCTTATTGGGTAGATCATTTAAGGTCAGGAGTTCGAGACCAGCCTGGCCAACATGGCGAAACTCCATCTCTACTAAAAATCCAAAAATTAGCTGGGCATGGTGGTACACACCTGTAATCCAAGCTACTGTGGAGGCTGAAGAAGGAGAATGGCTTGAACCTGGGAGGTGGAGTTTGCAGTTAGCTGAGATTGCACCACTGCACTCCAGCCTGGGTGAGACAGAGTGAGACTCCATCAAAAAAAAAAAAAAAATAAATAAATAAATAAATAAAATTTTAAAAAAGTACATCTAACTGCAGTTAGAGTAAGGATAAGGATGAAAATGAATCTTTACTGCTTCCTGCTGACAAGAGGCATCGTTTTGGAAAATGGCAATCAGAGCTCCCTCAGAGGCCTATTTAAGGGTTTTGAGCAGAAGTGCAGTAGGTGCCATCATCAGCAGCTCTAGTTGCATGACCGTTTAGAGTTTGATGGCCTGAAGGCCAGAACGCACAAATCTGGTTGTTAGAAAACATGTATCAAAATGAGACAAGGGGAGGAGTAAGGACAGCTCAAAAATCCCAAGGACTTTTGCCAGTTTGTTCAGGGAGAGGGGGCCAGAAGCCCAACTGGCAAAAAACTTTACCCTTTTGCCAGCACGTTGGGCTTCTGAGTTCCTTCTCCCTGAGCCCAATCCTAAGCCAACCATTTTAAGGTTTGGGAAATTAACCTTTCCCAGTTTGGAAGATGCATCTGAGGGGAGTGTTCTGTAGTACAGAGACACAATTAATTATCTGTGAAGACAGATCCAAGGAGGAGAAAGGAAAAAAGCAGCTTTTTTAAAAAGGAGTCCCAGGAGTTCACGATGCATTCAAAAAGGGTACAGACTGAAGATGAATGGCTACTTATATAGAAAAAGGGGAGCAGGAATCCCTGGTTCGCTTTTCTTCCTAGCAGATACCTGGGGTACATGAAGGAGAGAGGGAAGAGTGTCCTCTTTCCTTCCATCTTTACATTCCTGAGCCCTGGTGACATTGGCAGCTGCTGCCATGAGTACCAAAGTAGTTTGCACCCGTGAAGCAGGAGACTTAGAGTATAGAAATTATCCAATCTCATCCATGTCTCTTTCTCATCTACTGTCAGTAGCCTTGGAGTTCCCTTGACCTTACCTATGACATGGATACTAATGTGGCCTTTATCCATGAAACAGGAAGCTTGAGCTTGACTTAATCTGCATGAATCAGTCACACTCACCTGCACTGTGCTTTTTAACTTCTGTTATCATCTTCCTCTGGATCCCTCAGATCCAGTTTTCTCCCTAGGGCTTCAAGGCAAAGCTTGGAATTGAGGTTGGGACAAAAAAATGTGTGTCAGGGAGGTTGCATGGACTCCTTATAGCTGAATGCTAAGGTGAAGCTGTGGAATTGAGTCCTCTTCTAATAAGGGAGAGAAAAAGATAAGTTGTGACATACCCAGATAACCGGTGTCTATAGTTATGCTTGCTAGAATTTAGGTGTATTGTGCTTAGCTTTGATTACTTCCCTTGGTCTTACTTTCCGAAAAAGAAACCTCTGGGTGATGGGCACCCTGTTTATTCCAATTACCTGGCAGGATTTGCAAGATAATTGCTCAGAACTAGAATATTGATCCAGATTTTTTACATTACCCATCCCTCTTGTTCTATCTGAGCTGCAGCTGGAGATTCCTGGTTGGTTCACGGGAACAAGCATGTTTAGTCTAACAATGTAGGCAAAAACTTAAAAACAACTAGTGAATTTAGATTTTAATGAGAAATGTATATTAAGTTTTGGAACATAATTTCTCTCTCTCTAGTCCTAATTTTCATTTAAAAAACAAATCATGATAAGATTGTGTTGTTTGCAAAATAGACTTTAGTCTTATACTTGGCCTGATTATATACATAAAGTGCAACAAGAATAATTGTTTCTACATAGGCCTTTTGAATTGGCTTTGATGGAACTCTGTTCCACAAGGAATCTCAGATAAGACCTTTTAAAGCTGAGCCCAGCCATGGGTTTGTATCCTCAAATACCTGTAAGTTGGGTGAACCTCTCCTCTTATGGTCTCAAAATGACCTTGGAGATCCTGGACCTCCTAGAAAGTGACATTCTTTACTGACCACAGATCAGAAACCCTGTACTGGGACTGCTTAGGCAAAAATATGAGGCCAGTCTCCCATGGGGCTTTTAACATCTCTGCAAGTCAAGATTGACTCCTTAAAGGAAAGTAAACCCTTCCAGTTAAAGCCTTGGTAAAATAAACAATTTCTCCAATTGTGTCCTGTTGCAAAAGACAAATAAATTTTTATTGCACTGATGCAAACAACCATATTGCTATAAGTTAAGAATACTCACAGATAGTTTCCAAATTCTAGAGAAACTAGGCAGAGAAAAACAAATATACTCCAAATCATGCTCACAAGAGTATACCTTACTCAATTATTAAAGGCCATAAACAGTTCAAAATAAGTTTCCTTGATTCTGAAAAACAAAACAAGAATCAGAAATAATCTAAGCAAAGATTAAAAAGAATTGCTTCAGTTTCCTGAGTTCAGTTTATTTAGTTAACCATTGTTTTGCTTGCTATTCATGAACATTTTAGCTATTCATGAGTCCTTTACATTTTTCTTTATTCCAATATCACAGTTTTCAAAGTTATCAGAACGTGTATTTGAGAGTGCCTGTCAGAGTCCTATAGCTTAATATAAACCATCTTTTGAAAAGGATTAAAACAAGACAACAATTGTCTGTGAATAACAAAATGTCCAGGGTAGTTACAGTTAGAAACATAATTGACAAAGAAGTCTCATTACCTTTGTAGTTAACAATAACTTAACATAACAACCTTAATTATGATTGATAGCATATACTTAGACATTAGAATTTTAGAAATCCCAGTAAATTTTGGAACGTATATTAGCATTATTCACAAAAATATAACCTAAAAAGAAGGTACATCATTTTGGCAATTTCACACACTTAAATATGTCTAATAATCCTGTTTACCTCTCTTTTCTGGAAGTTTTAGGGGCCCTCTGAACTATCCAAAAATCCAGGCATTAGGAAAGACAGTTTTGAAACTGAAGTTTGATTTTAGGAAGCCTGTTTAATATGTTTAAAGCACTTGATATTATAAAATACAATTCCAGATTTATTTTGCCAAAATGATGGCTCACAAATTTTAAAGAAGCAAAAACCTTTATAACACCTTACAAATTTTGCCAAAGAGCATATTCATGCCTTAAGCAAACCTCATTGTGCTTTTATTTCAATGCTCAATTACAGAAAAACCAAACAATTCTGATATGGTTTGCCTGTGTCCCCAACCAAATTTCATCTTTAATTCCTACATATTGTGGAAGGGATCTGGTGGGAGGTAATTGAGTCATGGGGGCAGGTCTTTCCCATGCTGTTCTCACGATAGTGAATAAGTCTTATGAGATCTGATAGCTTTAGAAGACAGTGTTTCCCTGCACAAGCTCTCTCTTTGCTTGCTGCCATCCACGTAAGATGTGACTTGCTCCTCCTTGCCTTTTGCCATGATTTTCAGGCATCCTCAGCCATGTGGAATTGTAAGTCCATTAAAACTCTTTCTTTTGTAAATTGCCCAGTCTGGGGTATGTCTTTATCAGCAGTGTGAAAATGGACTAATACAATATCCTTTCAGAATTTAGTCAATATGTTCACATGGAGAACCTCTTTTGCAAGATTAATTTCCAAAATTTTTCCACCACTTGTTTGAACCTCCAGTGTTTTATATCTAACTCAAAATAATCCTTTAACCCTAGGCAAAAATTTACATTTCCATGCCTTCTCATAACCTTTTACAAAAAAAAACACATTTTACTGTTCTTAGATACCATGCATGTAAATCTATTTCCAGTAGTGTCAATTACATGTTATAATGGTAACTCAGCAATTTTTAACTTTAATGTAAAACCTGGAAGGTTGTTTTAATTGTGTCCTAAGTGTAGCCAAGGTTTAACTTTTCCAGCATAATTAAGGGCATGGTTAGTTTCATATGTCCACAGGCCTTACCAGTTGTAAAGTTGGCAAGTCAAATAGTTATCAAAACCAAAAAAGCAGTTTGTAACCTTAAGACCATTAGCAAACCTTGCATCTGACCTGCAGAATTTAGTCCAACTATTTACATTTTAATGAGTTTGTAACCTTAAGACCATTAGCAAACCTTGCATCTGACCTGCAGAATTTAGTCCAACTATTTACATTTTAATGACACCTGCATTTTACCAATAATCTTTAAGGCTGTTTTTATTTCTCAAAGGTTAAAATCATGAGAACTGAAAGGTATTACAGCTTTTATCTTCTCTTTAAAAAAATTTGATCCAAGGGCTTGTCTTTCTTTAGGCCTAATTAATTAAAGCTTTTTTTGCAGACATTATACAAAGCACACAGACAGGCCAGAGAAAGCCCAGTCCCCAGAACACCCTTTTTCACAACCAAAACTTTACAGAGAATATAAACAGGGATCCTTATATTTCCTAGCCCAGTGAACCATCTTCTTAAAGGAAAAAAAACTTTAAAAGTTAACTGCTGATGCAGTGTATAAGAGAAAAGAAAAGAAGAACAGTTTTAAAATGCCTGGGGAAGAACCTCTTATTCTCATGCAAGTGGTTCCTCCACCAGGGAGATTAGTTTAATTACTGTCCAATGGAGTTGAACCCCTTGGCTGGAGAAGAGGAAGTATTGGGCAGTTCATGGCAGGGACTACCAGCCAGCCACCCAGGATTCCCTGGGCCATGCGGCCCAGTCCCAGCAGGGAGGGGAGGGTGATAGTGAGCTGCTGCTACTTGCAGGTTACTCTTGAAAAAGGAAGGGAAAAGCCATGGAGACTGAGGTTGACCTTCCAGACTCCCGGGAGCAATGGGGATGGGGGCACTATTTCCCCTATCCACAGAAGTCTGAGAATGAAAAGGCTTAGAAGTGACAGTGAGAGATTCTGAGTCCCCATTTCACTCACCACTTTTCAAGTCCCACTTTGGGCACCAAAAATATTTCAGGACTTTTCCTTAGTTCAGCTAACGACTGGGTCCTTATCACACGGCCATGAAGATTTAGGCTTGCAGTCAATTTGAAGAGTGACCAGGGTAAGGTTTATTGAGTAAAATGAAAGAAAAGGGGAAACAGAGACCTTCCACAAAGCCAGAGCTCCTGCTGGTGCACTTCCTGCCTTGCAGTTTAAATTCCAGGTTCCACATGGGAAGAGGAGGGGCCAGGTTCTTCCCTGCTGCAAATGGCATGAACTTCTGTGGCTCCACCCCAGTGCCCAGGCCAGTTAGAGTTTTACCATGGAGGCCTTCCCACCTAGCTGTCTCAGCAAGGGGAAGTTTTGGGGGACTAAGCCCTCAATCTAGGATCTGATGCTGTCTCTACATAGATTGTGTCAGAATCGAATTGAATTAGAGGACACTTGGCTAGTGTCTCCTGGAGAATCTGTGGAAGAATTACTTGTATGTAGGGAAAAACCCCACATTATCTGGTAACAGAAGTATTCTGAGTTGTATTGAGGGTGAGAGCAGAAAAACACTGCTTTTTGCCTTATATCAGACCTTTATTTTCCACATGCGCTTGTTCTATTGTGCACATTTTGATGTTTTGTTTCCTCTTATCCCCCCTGCTTCAGATTGGATATTTTATTTTATATGTTATTTAGATTGCCACTCTCCTCCTCAGCTGTTTCATTTTGTGGAATAAGTAAATATTTCTGGAATCTTAACCCTATTTCATTGACCTATAAATCTATCTATGCCAGTACCATATTTTCTTGATTATTGTTGTTTTTTAGGAACTTGTTTCTTAAATAAACTTGAACTAGGGATAGTTTGCTATAGTTTCTTTCAAGGATTGGACTAATTAAAAATTGAATATACTCTTGAGGAATGCTTTTTTACAATTAATGTATGAATGAAGGGCTTTAGAGACCCCTCAATGAAATCTTTGGATGTTTACCTTGGCTCCCCTGCCTGGGCAGAATCTGAACTCTAACTGTTGTCTCCCACATCCTGTTAGACTGCCTAGAGTTCTACTCAGCTCTTGAGTCATTAAGGTAGAATTTGAATATGCTGCCAGGAAAAATACAGCAAGTGGCAAGCTCCCCTATCTGTACTTTGCTTCTGTCAGAAAGTTTAGCCCTTCAGATCTTGGAGAAATGGAAAATTTCTAATGCCTTCAAACAATTTTTTTTTCAGAATATTTTATCAATTTATCGTAGTTCTCTGTGGGAACATCAGTCAGGTATGAGCTTCTACCAAAGCCAAAAGCAAAAATCAGAACTACCTTGAATAGCTTTATAAAATCGCACTCTAGTTTAAGAACAATTAAGAGATGTCAACCTTTGAAATAAATTAAATATAATTTTAAGGCCCATCATAGATGCAGTCTCACAAATGAAACAAAATAAAGATTGAATTACATAAGGAAGTCTTCCTAAGGATGCAGGACCTTTGTTGATCTTGAGAGAAAAGTAGAATTCTCAATAGAATCATTTGGCACCAATTACTCAATAATAACTATTTCATAAACAGCATGATTAAATAAAATGACAAAGAAACAAAAGGAATCTTGGGAAGAAAAGTAAACCTAGTGAAAAAAATTTTGATTCATATTGTAAATCGTGCAATTATTCTGCCATTGCAATTTAATTAAATACTTTATATCAATTATATCTTTTGAATTCTATTATTGAATTATCAGAATTCTGATGTAACTTACAAAAATATAATGCATCAATTGGGGAAGAAATAAAATTCAGGAACACAGAGTAAGAAAACTAATAGCACCAGCCTTTCTATGTGTAATTACTGCTGAGTCAATTAACGCAAATAAAGCTTCCTAAGATGCTTTGATGGAAACATCTTTTAAGTATCAACCTATTATTTATTATGAAAAGAGATCTTATTTAATTCATTATGCTCTCATCTGGAGGTGGCTTATATTATAGTATAAACAGAAGGGATTTGTGATTCATAATACACTTTTTTTCCCCAGTAGGAACAGTTGAAGTGTTCTTTAGATGATTTTTTGACAAACCACAGAGTGCTGTTCTTTGCTTTCTATGCCCTTGTCAGAACATTTGAATCACTCTACATTCCATTCAGTTTGACAAGTCCTTTAGTTAAACCCATATTATAAAGTAAAGCCTTGCTTTCCTCGTGCATTGCAGGAAGAAATTTCTCTGTTTTTTAAGGGTTGAAAAGTAGGATCAAAGAGAGCAGAAAGGTGAAGAAAAAGCCACATTCAAATACTTATGGATCTGTTAGGGTCACAGCAGCAGCAAGAATGTTTTTTGTAATTGATCATGTACCCTCAAACTTAATGGTGAGGTTATATGTTTTAGGTCTCAGTTCAGAAAATAAATTCTACTCTCCGAATTAATTCCTGGTTCTTTGCCAGGTAAAAGTGACATTGGCATCATTAGCACGTTTGGGGGAAAATCTAGATTTTATTAGAGTTTCAGTGATCAAGAGTTGTTAAGTTTACAAACACCAGAATATAATCCAACCCTAAATGAGGACAAGCAGTATCTCCATGAACCATCATTATTTTTATTCCTCTGAAAGCAGTCCCAGATTCTCTCTCTTTTTATTAGGTATGCCAACATTCTCACTATCTCTCCTGAATTCTAATCATTCACAAGAAGACTGGCTGCCAAGAAAGATTTTCTCAAACCTGGAACAAAATAGTACTCTCTCAGGCTAAAAAAAATAACATATATATTTTCTAAGTTACTTATAGATTTTCTTGCATGTGTACAAATACATATCAGTAAGAGAAAGTATGTGCTAATCATAATGAAAATTCAGACAAGCTGATTTCACCAAATCCAAGAGTTAGCAAATCATACTGATTTCTCAGAGTATCCATTGTCAAATAATGAAATTACTTTTGGTATGTTTTGCCTCAGTTTTAAAATTAATATACAAGTATCAAAAGTACATTCTTTAAACAAAATATGAGAATCTTCAGTATGATGGGTTACAAGGATGAGTTGAAATCTGTGTCTAAAGCCTTTACCATTTGTACTTCGCATGGCCCCCTCTTCGTGAGAAGAGAAGCTCATCATACCTCTTGACACGTGGATCAACTACGTGACCTGCTTTGGCTAATGGAAAAGTGGCAGTCATGACCCAAGGTTGAAATGGGCTTGTGTATTGGAGCTTTCCCTTTTGTACCTCTGCCATCACCATGACAGCAGGCTAGAGCTGGTCTTCTGGAGGGAGAGGTATTTTATAGCAGTGTGCTTGAATTGATTTGTATAGCCTTGCACGACTTCATTGTTAAATATTCACAAATTTCATGAGCCAGCTGTTCAACCACTGGTACCTTGAAACCAGAGAAATGAGCAAATGCTACAAATCAGGGCTTCCACTCTCACCACTTTTTTTTTTTTTTTTTTTTTTTTCATTGAAAAGCACTTTACCAGCACATCACTACAGCTGGAGCAGAGCCAAGTCACAGCATTTGCCTCACAAACCAGCCAGCCAATAGCCAAATATGTGAGCAGACCCAGCCAAGATCAGCCTCTGTGCCTAGCCAATTCTTTCCTAACCCCAGACATTTGAGCAATACATTTATTATATGTCACTGAAGTCTTGTGGTTGTTTTACATACAACATTATAACAGCAATGTGTAAATGATATAACAAAAAAGCAATTTAAAAAATAAATGGAGTGTAATCACTGTGATACAAGACATGATACAAGACTAGAATCAAACATAAGCAAATATGAGTACACAATGCACAAATGATTACTTTATTGCGTATTAAATATATAAGGTGATTGATATGTATTAGGTTCTTACAATATTCCAAGAATTTTATATTTTACACTCAGAGAAAATACACTAATATTACTTACCATGCCAAACTGAGGCAGATTGTATTTTCCAAGATGTCTGCAACAAGCTTTCTTATCTTGTACACTCATCTAATAATGTGGCATTGACTCATTTCTATTAAGAAGTGCTTTCCTCAAAGCTGTGTGCTGGAGATATTAAAAAAGAAAGAAAGAAAGAAAGAAAAATGAAGAGCTTTCCTTCCTCTTGAATCTAGGAAGTCCTATGACTATGGTAGAAATGATGTTATGGGACTTCCAAGGCTAGATTATTAAAGGCAATACAGCTTCCATCTGTTTCTCTCAGAGCTTTATTCATGGAAACCAGCTGTTTCCTCGGAGCCCAGGCCACATGCATGAACCACATGTAGATGTTCCAGTCAAATTTTCAGCTGAGGTACCAAATGACAGCCAGCATTAATGCCAGTCATGTGAGTGAGGAAGCCTTTGAAATGACACCAGTCTGGGCTGCCATAAAACCAATGTCCAAAATGAGGAAATTGTGTATAACTTTCTTGTATTTTCAAACGTCAAATATTTTTACCCTAGAGAGATTAAGTTATGACAAAGAGACACATTTGAAGAGGAAATTTCACATTAGGCAACTTGAAGCCTGTGGAGGGGGATAGTCAGTCTTAGTTCTTCTGGTCTCCTTGTCATAGAAATGGAAAGGGGAAGAGGAGATAGTCTGATCTTCCTGCATCCCAGAGCTTTTTAAAAGATATGCTGGGCCACACTGCAGTAAGGACAGCCCAATTATTAAAAGTCTGCTCACCTCCATAGTCCAATTCTCATTTCACTGCTTCTTTAAATGTTCCCTAACATCCTCTCCTTCCCTGTTTAGAGTTTGTTAGTTTTCCCATGAATTTAGAACTTTATGTTATCCCATTTAATGCTCATCACAATGTAATGAAACAGGTATTGTTTTCTCTAATTTACAGATAGGTTAACAGAGACTTGGAGAAGGCTAGTGACTACCCTAAAGCCACTCAACCGATGAGTGGTGGAGTCCTTGAACCTTCTGACTTTCTCAAAAGCAGAGATTCAGTCAACTCTACCATTCTTCTCTTTCACTCTCATTATTTCATAAAGGAATTACGTACAAATACCCTTCAAAATAATGTAGTGAACGTCAGCTTTGACACACTCAGCCTTTCAGAATATCAACAATACATTAAATTTGTGTAAATGTTTTTGAGCATATGAAAAATCCATCATTAGTTTCTCTTAACAAGCCACAAGAAAATATACAAATTTCTTAACCTGATTTTAAGAGACTCCATTCTTCAGACCTGTGCTTTCCCTCCAGTTTTATCTCTCAGTAATTGCTTATCCTGTCTGATCCATCCAAGTTGACTTTCCCTTGCATCCTTAACATAATTTGTGTATTCCTGTCTCCATGTTTTTGTGCATTATATCATTGTACATTTTATATATGTACTATATGCTACTGTACATTTTATTATGTATTATATATATATATAATATACATATGATGAGAGAGAAAAAGAGAGGGAGTCACAAGTCTGTAACCTTTAATACCAAAGTCGTGCATTTTATTTATTGTAAATCATACCTCAATTAATACAATTAAAAACAAAACAATATGGTTTATACTTCCTTGTGCCAAGATTGAATTTCCAAAATTATAGTTATAGAAGTTGAAATACATCTATAGTGATTTCAGTGTATTCCTTGGATATTTTCTCTTAAAATGTAATAAAAATATAGTTAACATGTGAAGTCCTCCACCCTTTAGAATATACTACTTTCTCCAAACCATGTATAATAGAATCAGATTTCACTAAAATGAGGACTCAATTGAGTGAACCCCAAGAAACTGAGGCTTCTTTTGCAAGGGAAAGGAGGGCTGTGGAGCCCTTTACCAATCTATAACACTGCCTCCTGAGCAGCCTAACCTTTCCATGCCTCGTTTTCTAATTCTCGAAGAAGATAACTCTATAAAACAGTTCTAAAGTCTTTTGAAGTCTTGGAATAGAGTCAGTATAAAAGTGAAAATCATATCTGGTGGTAACTACATTGGAAATAATGTGGTATTTAAATAAGATATAATAGTAAATTGTTCTAATAATAATGTCCTGACATGTGGAGTCTAAGTGCTAGACACATTGATATTCTTTTCTTATCTCACTTTATGTTACATTATTTTCTTTGTGAAATGGTTTTATTATTCTTCATACATTAAGTTCAAGCCAGCAACCATATTTCAAGCCTTATCGTTCTGAAGCAGCTATCTTTAGTGCATTTCAGATGGTATTAAGACACCAGACTGAAGTTATACTGACTTCAGTTATGCTGAATTTCCTGAGATAGCCTATCTTATTGCTGTTCAAAAATAAAATGTGGATATAAAATATGAATTCTGATTATTTTTCCCTCTAGTCACTGTGTATATGGTTAACGGTGTGACATTATTGACAGCTGTTCAGAATACCTCATCACTCTCTATTACAAACCCACAAACACCAACACTACTGCTTGAACATGCCAAACAAATTAAGAATAAAAATGTAGGTTTGTTTAATTTATAGTGAATGCTAACACTTAAAATATAATGCTATTAGATTTCTCCTTTTGTAGAAGAATGATATGCGACTGAGTAAAGGAAATTCCTCCTTCTGTGATCTATGTCTGATAATGGTGTCAAATGAAAACAAATCTAGACTTAGGTTAACGAGAAACTTTATTCAAAAAGGCTATCACAATGCTCCAAGCTTAGGATCTGCAAGCATTTCAAAATCAAACATAAAAAGGCTTTTCTTTATAAGGAGGGTCAAGCAGGGCTAGCAAGAGCCTTCAAGCAGAAACTGGCAAGCAAGTGGAGGTGAACCGACAGCATGGTCATGGTGGTCTCACAGAAAGTATTTTTAGCTGTAGTCAGCTGATTCTTAAAGAGAGCTGTTAATAGGGGATCTTTTGTGTTTTAGTGCTTGCTCAGACTTAGGGCCAGTCAAAGTTTAGGGACCTGCGGAGAGCAGAGAAGCCTAACTAAAGTTTGGTCAAGCTGAGTCAGTGAGCAACTAATGGACAAATGTAACCACTTGGTCAATGGTTTGCTAGCAATCCTATTTTTATATATAAATGAAATCAACTCAACAAATACATTTGAATGTCTACCATGGTCAGGACATTATGTACTATGGAAAATGACAAATTTGGAGATGATCTTATCTGCTATGACCCTCTTTCTCCTTGGAATTGACCATGATGAACTTGGTGTACTATTTTACCTTGACTATGCTTGTTTTCTGCCACTTAGAAAACTTTAGAGACTGAGCAATGACAAAGCAATAGAAACAAAGTAAACTTAAGATTTGTGAGCTCACAAAAATGCCTTGGGTATTGGTAAGTATATTGTGCCAGAGTCTATTTCTGGAGGGCCAATTTATAAATAAGTTAATTTATGGCAATAAATTATCATGGTCTGGTGTGTGTGTGCTGTTTCATGTATTCCAATAGTGCTGAAAGAGGCAAAAAGGGAAGAGGCAAAGTTTCTGGTCAAGAGCAAGTGACATATGCCTGGGTTGAGTGCCTTTTGCTCAGAATATAAGTTGAGGTCTCTATAAGTAGAGCTAATCACACAACTCATATATGTATTAACAAAGAAATAACAGGAAAGAACATTAGTCAATAAGCTAAATATCTATTTTCTTTCTAGAACTGTTATAATGTACATGTTATACAAGTCACTAAACTCTTTAAACCTCATCTGTTTAATGAAGATATTTAAGAATCTTTAAGGTTGTTTTCCCACCAACTGCAACAAAGTAAACTGTACTTGCCTTTGTAAAGAGAAAAGTTAAAGAATACTTTATTTGATTAGAGACAACATGGCAGATGCCAAATAGCATATGAAACTAATTATCAAATAAATGCTACAGATATTTCTGTGGCAAACAATTCAAAGAAGAGTGAAAATGTTTCCAAAACGCTAAAAAATATAAAAATCTATTTTAATTTTTAATTTTGTTAGTTTCTTTTTAAAAGTCCTTTGAAACACATTAGATAACCTCATTTGTTGAGGTTTTGGAAGCTCACATAGCAAAGAAAAACCATAAGACATGATTTCTCTGTTTTGAGGATGTTTAAATAAATCACTAGTGAAAGTATTTTCTCAAGCCAATACATGTGTTTACTTATGAGAATTGAGTCTAAAATATATGATCTTGCATATATATATAGATACACTTTTAATTAATATTTATTCTATTTATATTTACTGGCAGTATGATATAATTTTTGACTATGATATATGGCTTTTGGATAATAATAATCATTTTCACAACCTAAGAAAATGAAAAATGAAATTTGATAGTTTTTTGATGTTATTAATCCAGAGAAAAATGGTTGCTAATAATCTTTGTTTTGCCTCATATTGGGCTAAACTTCCTAGCATTTTTAATATAATCTGTTAAATATACCAGAGAGTAAATAAATTTGCCAAAAAACATAAATAAATAAATAAATTGTAAATGCAATTCACACAGATGTTCTAAATTCTAATACACAGCAGTCCTCTTAAAGTGGCCTTAAATATGACATATTCAAAAATAGGGTGTGGTTATTACAGCTGAAATAAGAATGAGACTATGAGTAGCTATAAAAGGTGGGTGAATATTAATCTGCGTTTTAAAGAGAAAGTCTGACATGTAGGGAGCAGCGTTTTGGTGTAGAAGATAGGCATTATATGATTTGCTATGAACCAGCAAATAGGGTTAATCTCTACCCATTTATCAGAAAGACTGATGATTCCTTTTTGCTTGTTAATTCAGGGATCTTTTTCAAATATCAGATGTCTTTGTGACTTGCATTTTATTGCTCAACAACTTTCCAAGGTTACTGTATTTATGGTGAAGAGTAATTTGCCAATTCAACCACTGTTGCTTGGGATAGCATTCATCCTGATTTCCAGTTATAAGTTCATATTTATTGTTATATGTGATGAATTGTCTGTCACTGCTGAGTGATGCCCAGAAACTTGACTGTGGTGACCGAAAAGCCATCAAATCTGAGCATGAATTGTTCCTGGAAGGTAAAATATAACTAAGTATGTTCATATCCATAAGCCATCTAATTCTCATATTTACCAGTTTATGTCACAGAATTTCCAAGATCTTTGTTCTATTTCTTGTTACAATTGGTGAAAGCAGGGCCAATAATTTATATTAAAATTCAGTATGTTTCAGTTATGCTTTATAAAATACACTGTCTAGAGGAGGAGCGAGAGCTAAACACAGAGCTTAACATTTATTGAGAGCTTCCTGTGTATTGAGTGCTGTGTCAAATATATTATTTAATTTAAATAATAACACTGTGATATTGCTGTGAATATTTCATGAGTAGCTCTAGGACACAAGGGTGAGTTTTTTTTGGAGGAAGTGTAATAAATACACCCATGTCTCAAACACGGCATTTCCACACCTAAATTGCAAAGCTGTTCTGATGTAAGTATAGACAGTACTACTGGCCAATCCAGAAATCTGAAAGAACATATAGAGATGGTTCTGAATTCAACAATTATTTTTAAAAATGCTTCTGAGTGTCCAGCACCATCAAAGTGGGAGTGGGTATTAAATAATGATCTAAGAACATATGAAGGTGAGAATTCATGACACCACGGACTAGAGTAGCTCAAAAACATAAATGAATGAACTGAAGTAGGAAGAGAAAAGAAGGAGTCATGTTTATAAGGTAAGGGAAAAGAGAAGCTTGGAAAGGCTTTGGGTAAATACATGTTTTCTTTATAGAGTCTCCTAACTTTATAACTTTTTATCTGTCAATTTTTCATTTTCAATAAAATGTTTCTGGAAAGCCATCACATAATTATAGCTCTATCTGGATCTGTGTAAAAAAAAATAACGTAGATCATGGGTCTTCCTTTAATAAAAATGTGGTGGTTGATAAATTTTTGTGGTCAATTTTATTCACTACACTGATAAATATTTAAGCCTTTACTGTTTAATCCCAGAGAAATTCTAATTTGTAGCAAAGTATTTCTGTTATAATCTAGAAGTACAAGACTTTATTTTTGACAAAGAAGGAACAAAAAAGCATAAATGACACAATAAAAAGTCAACTATTAAATTGTTTGGAGGTGATTTAAAATGCAACAGGCGTCACAGAGAAAGTACAAGTTAAATTGGACTTTTTAAAGTGAATTTTTATCATTTCTATTTTATGGCATATATATTATTTATTTCTGAATAAAATCAAATCAATAAAGTAAATAAACAAAGAGAAAATAAAAATCACCCAAACCCATCAAACAGAGTTAATTACTATTTTGCTCAACATTCTTCAAGGCATTTCTCTCTCTTTTGAGTGTGTGTGTGTGTGTGTGTGTGTGTGTATACATACATGCATGTAAAATTATATACAGGTATAATATCTGTTCCTTTTTGATGTCCTTATCTATTCTAAAGCATATCTTGGAGATGTATCTGTTAATGTCAATAAACAGAGATGATAATAATTTATTTAGTTCCTGATTACCATTGAAGATACAAATTTAAAAAACTCTAACTGTAAATGAAAGATGCATTATAAACAACACTGATCTTAGCATCTGTGCTAACACATGAACTTGTTCTATTATTTTCTGATTATAAATACTTGAAGTGGGATTATTATGGATCAAACACTGTGCACAATTTCAAATGTATGTTCTTTTTGAAAAATGTTTATTGAGCAACTACAATGTGCCAAGCATCCTACACTGAGGATGCAGCAATAAATAAAATAATATAGTCAAACTCCTTGCTCTTGTGGCATTTACATTCCCTTTGAGGTGAGACAATAAACAAATAGATCGTAAATCAAGTGAGTAAATGTACTATGAAGAGAAATAAAGCAGGTTGTGGAAACAGTGTGACAAGGGTGGGCATTATTTTAGGTGAGCTTTGAGCAATGGCCTGAATGAAGTGAGGATTGAACCATCTGGTGTCTGGGGAAGATCAGCACTAGCAGAAGAACATGCAAGTATAAGGGTTGCGCCTCAAATCACCTTGGCTCATCATAGCACAGTGGTGGTGCTGGACTGGACAAAGTGGAGGTAAAGGCAGAGGTAATCAGATCAGATCACACGAAGACTGACAAGTCACTTTCACTACCCGGTCTTCAAAGATGGGCCCAGGGTTCCAGCCTGCTGGGAGGAAGGTGGACTCTCAACCTTGTAAACTGAATCTGGGCTGGGCTTGGTACATATTTCACTAGATATGAGGTAGCAGAAGTGACACTGAACCCATTAGTTCTGGGCCTACATTTCTAGTAGGCCTGAAAGTTTCTGTTAGTGGGCTGTGAGAGCCCTGCATCTCCAGATAAGGTGTCCAGTTACACTGCTGGGGAGGCCATGTAGAGAGAAAGAGGCATTGAGACGACACAGGACATATGTTCTTTCACAGGGATGAAAGCATTAGTAAATTCCTTTTTCAATTTTTTTTTTTTTTTTTTTTTTTTGGCCAGGTTCTCACTCTGTCACCCAGGCTGGAGTGTAGTGACATGATCACAGCTCACTGCAGTCTTTACATGCCAGGATCAAGTGATCCCCCACCTCAGCCTCCTGATTAGCTGGGACTACAGGCGTGTACCACCATGCCCCACTACTAAATTATAGTTCTAATAAAATCAAATTGTCCTCCAATGCAATTACACTAATTTATACTCACCAACAATGTAAATTACCCTTGAGAATTACCAAAGAGAATTGCCCTTGGCTGACAGGAACCTTCTGGTTGAGGCGTTTAAACTAAGGACTCCCCACACTCCACTTCCACCAGCCTAGAGCAAAAAATTGACTGATGGAGATAGTTGGGCACAGAATCCCATTCTTTTGCCTGATGAAGGAACAACCTTCTGCCCCAGAGGCACTCGCCTCCCTACAATGGGTCAGGCAAGACCAGCCTTTGCCTGAGACCACAATCCTGTTCTGCTCTTTCCTCTTCTCCAACCTGCTTTCCTCCCTCCCTTACAGGTTTTGCTCTTGCACCTTAATCCCTATCTCAGGCTGCTTCCAGGAAATCCAACCTCAGACAAGATCTTCCAGCACAGGGGTCTTCAAATGACAGTTTAAGGAACAAATCGGGTCAGCTGCCTCTTTTAGTAAATGAAGTTTTATGAGAACACACATATGCCAATTCACTTATGTATTACTTATGATTGCTTTCATGCTGCAATGGCAGATTTGACTAGTTGTTACCAAGAATAAGCGGTCTACAAAGCCGAAAACCTTTATTCTTTGACTCTTGACAATAAAAGTTTGCTAATCGACATTATAAAACAATCTATTGGGAATTTTATTGATTGTTATGTTTCATCTATGTATTGAGCAATAATCTTCTGTGATTAAGGAAGTTCTTAGAGATAATTCTACCCCTCAGCAATTTGAAATCTAAAATAAGACAAATACACATGAAGATAACCACTAAGTTCAACCAGAGTAGGGGTTGCCACTTTGCAACAGTTTGTCCCAAGGTTAGCTATCACTTGGCATATATTAATCATATACTCATAGAACTAAATATGAAGAAGTATTTACATAAAGATATCATTTTATATTAGATTAAACATTAAATTACTTTGATGTGTTTGAGAAATTTTCATGAAGAAGACAGTCTTGATCTGGACTCTGAAGAGAAGGGAAGATTTTAAATGGGGAAGAATGAGAATGGCAGGTGAGAGAATAAAATGAAATGAACTAAAACACGAAAGCAAGAATGCACATAGAGGATTTGGACACCACGCATAGGTGGTGTTTCTGTTGTTTTTTTTTTTGTTTCTTCTTTTCTATTCCTCTTTGTTGTCTCCACTTCTTTCTTCTTTTTTTTTTCTACAGGTTTGTAAACTAAAGTTATAAAGAAATGGATGGAGAAGACATTGTGTTCAGTTTAGGGAAGATTCCAGAGTAGATATTAAGGAGGAGATTAAATGATTATTTATTGTACTAATTTACTGTACGTTAGGATATTCATGAAAAAACTTCTTGATGTCATCAGGAAATGACTACCCTTGAATTTAATCTTCTGATTAGATATAACAAGAAAAATCCATACTGTTATTAGAACGACTGCCCAGTGAATAGTGTTTGGTTACACTAGCAATCACTTCAGAGAATTTTAACATGCCTTGAAATATAAATGTCATTTACTAATTTTCTTTCTTCTTAAGAAGTGTATATATAAGAGTTTTTGAACTCTTATTTTTAAAATCTAAAGCTCATTATACACTTAAATTAGTATTTAAGTTCTTAACTTTATGTATCTACTCTTCAGCCAGTCTACCTCACTATTCTTCTCCTCAGAATATGGTCATGTAATTATGCAAAAGCTTTTTTATTATAAATGCAATGCTTATTTCTATAGTCAATTTCACCATTAAAATGATAGGTAGAATTTCAATGTAAGGAATTTTAAAAGTAAGCATCCTTGGTAAAAAAGAGGAAAGAAAGTTTCAAGGATAGATATTGCTAAAAAATAATTCCCCGATCTTCAGTTTCTCCAGTTCTCCTATTTTCCATTGACGCACAGTCATTGTAACCTTGTTTGACCATCTCTCCTGTTGGGATATAGATTTTATTCTTTTGAAAAGTCAGAGATGATATACCAGTTAATAAATTATAACATTTATTTGGCTGTTTATGGATAGTGAATATAGAATGGAAAATGGAAGACTACAAAGATTAGGTAAGTGAGAAGTTGGCCAGTTGGCGGAGAGGATGTATACAGAGTGGAAAAACCTATTGCTGAAACCCAATAGTTTATGATTACTGTTGTCTCCATTTATAATTAAAACTAGGTTAATTGAGAAGTTGGGCTGAGATCATAACCCCAAAATTTGTAGACTAAACAAAATATTCTTCATTGTCATAAAAAGGACCTTGACTGTTGGACAAAGACCATAATGTGGGGCAGAGTGTTGATCTGAACAGCTTTAGAGGGTTTTCCATAGAAGGGAGGACTTACAAATGTATAGCTGTGGGTTTCAGTAGGTCTGAGTTGTCTACTCAAGGTATCATGAGGCTGTTTCCAAAGCTGTACTAGAAGAAAGGCTGGTTTGAAAGCTGTGTTTACTTTCTTTCCCTGATTATCTGAGAAGACGGCAGCAATTATCTAGACAGGGTCTCAAAGATTAAAAACCCTGCCTGGATTTCAAAATTCTTTTTGGTAGGAATTTTTAGATATTTTAACCTACATTTTATTTCCATAACCCCAGTAACTAATTTAGAATTTTGAACACAGTAGAAGCTAAGTATTTTTTGAATCAATAAATAACATATTTCTTTCCAAGTGAATTTTTAAGGAAGTTTTCAGGGGAAAAAGTAGTGAAAATAGTTCTCAATAAAACAACAAAAAGTCCTATGCCAAAAGGAACTTGACTCCGTCAAGCTCTAAATTTGCTCACTCTATTTCAGGGGAAGTCTGATGGCCCATATGTTTCTCAAAACCCAACTGCAAGTGATTTAGATTTCTTGGCTAACTTAGACAAGAGGAATCTAATGTTTTGGACGTCTTAGAGTATTTTATGCTTTTCACCTCTAGTGGTCATAACCTTACAGATCACTTATTTCTAATGTTATAAGCCAGAGGCAAAATTGAAATAGTAAAAAGTAATTTGTGAAAGTCAGGCCTGTTTCACAGGCCTGGGGTAATATGACCCATTAAGAACAAGCATGTTAATATATTCGCTTGCATTTTTTCTCTGTATTTTATGTTTTCTTTTTTTTCACTCCGACTTTTTAATTTATCTTAAAATTCTTCAGTCCATGTGATAAGATGAGGTGATAACTTGATAAGTATCCCTTAATAATTTTAGGAATTAAGTAATGTGATGTTTCTCTTAATATGTATATATTTCATAACTTTCTATATGTATATATGAATTTTTTTGTGTATATATACACACACACAGAGGATTGTTTGTTTTGTACCATTAAACTTTATATCAATTCTTACCTAAGTACCATCTTGGGTTTTTTTGGTTTTGGGGTTTTGTTATTTCTCAGACAAGGTCTCACTCTGTCACCCAGGCTGGAGTGCAGGGCAGTGGACTGATTATGGCTCACTGCAGCCTCAACCTCTGGGTTCAACTGATCCTTCCACCTCAGCCTTCCAAGTAGCTGGGACTATAGATGTACACCACCATGTCCAGCTATTTTTTTTTACTTCTAGTAGAGATGAGGCCTCACTGTGTTGCCCAGGCTGGTCTCAAACTCCTGGGCTCAAGCAATCCTCCTGCCTCAGCCACTAAAAGTTCTGGGATTGCAGGAGTGAGCCACTACACCCAGCCTGCACATTGTTATTCTAACTATCATGGAAATATAAAATATTTGAATCTTTGGTTAAAAAATGCCACCTTTTATTAATTTTTATTTTTTTAAATGTTTTAACTGCTCCTTCTTTCACACAAAAGCATGTTCATTATTTTATTCAAACAGAAATATTAACTGAGGATTTACAAAGTGCTAGCCACAGTAAATAAGACATGTGGTTTGCTCTCATTAAACCTATAGTGTAGCACTCTGTATATTCCTGGCTAAGGCATCTGTCCAAAGTCTCATTGGTGCTTCTTTTGAGGTGCACTAGGCCAGACCTTGAAGAAGTCTTGCAAGTATTACTTTAGTCTCCTACTTTCAAGCCTTAATCAGAGTCAGAAATTATCAGGCCTACTTCACCTTTTTTTACCTTGTCCATTCATCTGTAACTTTCAGCTCTATAGAGTTGAGGCCTTTGCAAAATAAGTTGTATCTATGCAGTTCCATATCCATGAGGGCAAGAATTAGATCTTTCCTGTTTATATGGCATTCCTAGCTCATGAGACTGTTCCTGTAACATAGTAGATCCTCAGTAAGTATTTGTTTAATATAGCAGACTTGTTACTGCTATCTTGATACCACTTATAAATGTAAAGAAAAAAAAAAACTCGACACTCTTTTTAGGCCTCTTCAATTGAGAATCTATTTATTCATTCAAATATTTACTGGTTGCTTACAATTTGCAAGTGTTTTCACACCATCAAAAATTCTAGCCCTAATCCTGAGGGAGGTAAAAGGCAAATATGACTCTCTAATGGCTTCACACTGCGTGAGCCACTGTTGCATGTCAATGCCAAGTCTAGATCCCTTTCTTCCTGGGTTTTGAATAGGGGTAAAAGGAAGTGGGTGAGTGCCACTATTGATGTCTATCCAAAGCCTGATCTCTGACACCATAGATAAAAGCATTTTAGACATCTGTTTATCCAAGATAGAACTATTTGCCAGGTCCTGGCATCAATGTCACTAAACAGAGATGGGTAAGTACAGATGTAAGCTGCTGACTTCCCCAAATGAACCTACCTCTTGTATTGCAGAAAATTTCTTTCCCTCATTGCTATATCATTTCTTTATCCTGCTCCTAAATATATGTATGTGTAAGTTTTTCCCCCTCTATCAGCCCCAATTTCCACTAAATCGCTAAATCCTATTCCCATGCAGTGCATCACCTTACCCAGTACCTCTCCCTTTTTTCTGCCCCTACACTATTCTTGATCAAATGGATCACTAATACATGCCTTCCACCCTCTCTACCTGCCTACAACCCAGTGGTCTTCTTTCTATTATCTTGTCTACTTTAATTAGTCTAAAACATTGCTACCAGATTGTTCTTCTAAATCATTGCTCTGATCTTGCTCCAGATTAAGGATCCTATGATAAAATGGTGTTTCTCATGACAAACCGATTCACTTGAATGGTGTGAACCCGGGAGGCGGAGGTTGCAGTGAGCCAAGATTGCACTACTGCACTCCAGCTTGGGTGACAGAGCGAGACTCCCTCTCAAAAAAAAAAAGAAAGAAAGAAAAGAAGAAAAAAAAACAGAACAATAACTCATCATATTTTTAGTTTCCCAGCATGCCTTGAACTAAAATCCATGCCCAATTTCAAGAAGTGTCCTCAGCTGAGATTTTCTGTTTAAATCACCACACCCACTTTCATTTTGGCACTTTCTATTTTTGTACTTGTGCAAGAATGTGCTGTTGTTAAATCTAAGATCTTTGTGAAATCTGGTAGATTAACAAGAAGAAGAAGAAGAATGATTGCAATTAAAATTTCTAAGAAACGTTATCTTCTTCAGCAGATTTAATTTAAATGTGAAATTTTATTGATTGATTGATTGATTGATCGATTGATTGAGATGGGTCTCTCTGTGTTCCCTAGGCTGATCTGAAACTCCTGGGCTCCAGTGATCCTCCTATCTCAGTATCTGAGACTACAGGCACCCACTACTGTGCCCAGCAGAATTTACTTTTAGGTAAACTGTTGCTTTTTATTCCCAGAAAGCCTTTTAGCAGAACCATGCCTCTGTGGACCTTAATTCTGTTTGGCAACAGAAAGTTATATCTGCATAGATCTACATTTCTGTGTTTTATAAAGTATCTACTGATCACACTGAGTTATGTGTTTTAGTGGACATTCTGTGTTGGCTGTTTCAGGCCCACTCACCTGACTTCTTTCAGTACTGACCACTATAGACTTCATAACTGTGCCCCCTTGCCTTTGGATTCTGGTTGGGTTCAGCAAAGGGGACATACCAGCAGGAGCTCAGATGGACAAGGATAAAATAATTTGAGATTTTTATTGCCTCATAAAAATGAGGCACTCTTTTGCAGATGGGTGGTGGTGCAGCAATGGCTGGATTTTTATCCTCTGAGAGGTAGGCATCTCTTACACCTACTAGGCCTCACTGGGCTCATAATAGCATTCTCCACTTGCAATGAGTATCTGGCTATTACTAATGTCACTATTTCCTATTGGCCTCCCTTAATCTGGCTAAGTAGTCTCATTATTAAACCGTCTTTAATTACCTCTTTTGCATTTTCTATTTCTTTGTTGCCTGTGTCTGACATATACATGTGAGTTCTTGTTTGCTTGAGCAGGAAAACGAGTTAACATCTCTGTCTATCTATTTCCAGTCCCTCCAAGTGGCAGAAAGTCATGGGCCTCATCTCACTTAGGAGAAGAGTCAGAAAAAGTAGCTGGGTTGAGCCTATGATATTCTATGTTATAAAATTGACATTTATAATGTATTAAATATAATGTATTATTATATTTTAATGTAATTTAATTGTCCTAATGAAAGTTTTAGGCCAATTTAATAATCCTGTGGGAGTGGGAGTTTCTACTGTTCATTATCAGCAGGAGGAATCAATTTTATGAAGGGAAATGAAAACTTGGGAGATGGGACTTAGGTAAGGGTGAAGGAGATACACTGTGTTTCTTTATACATGCTAGCGGGGCCTGGATTATAAGGCATAATAGATCCTGGACATTTCTGGTGAACATTTCAGGTGAGTTTATGTAGAGGGCAGTATTACAGTAGAGGGCATCATTGGAAAATCCAGATACTGCCATTTCAATTAGCAATAGTTCTCTATTTTAGCCTGCTTTGTTTAGCAAGATTTTACCAAAAAAGTTGTTGGACTAATGGAATGGTCTGGTCATAGTAGGTCACTGAGGTAAATTAAGGTGTTTGAGTCCAGTGGTGATAACTGAAAGTTGGCTGTAACCAGGAGAAAGTAATTTTAAAGTGGTCATCGTTGGCCAGGTGTTGTGGCTCACACCTATTATCCCAGCAATTTGGGAGGCTGAGGAGGGTGGATCACTTGAGGTCAGGAGTTTGAAATCAGCCTGGCTAACATGGTGAAACGCCGTCTCCACTACAAATACGCGTGTTGGTAGTTCTAGCTACTTGGGAGGCTGAGGCAGGAAAATCGCTTGAACCCAGGATGCACAGGTCACGGTGAGTCGAGATGGTGCTACTGCACTTCAGCCTGAGTGACAGAGCAAGACTCTGTTTCAAAAAACAAACTTCAGACAGTCATCATCAAAAAAGGCAACAACAAAAACACATAGACACCAGGAGTTGGGTCTTGAGTCTACATATGGTAGCATCTGTGGGTACTCTCAGAAACTTGAGGAACATTAGAGGTGGACTAATACCTGGCAATCATGCTGGCACAAGCTCATGCACACAAGCAATGGTTCCTGGAAGAATCACTCGTTCTGTTATATAGTTTGTCATTGATAAAGCCAGGCCATTTGTGGTATAATTGTTTAATGCGTGACTATACTCTAAGGTCTTCCACTGTAAGCTTCTCTTTTATTTTCCTCTAATTTTTTTTTTGGCTATCAGGATATAAACAAAAATAAATGATTAAGTATACACTCAGTAAATATATGTCAATGAAAGGGGAAAGTGTTAGGTAGATGAGAGAGGTAATATTGTATAGTGAGTTACGACTTTGAATAGCTGAATAGACGCAAGCAAATTACCTAACCTCTCTCTGCCTCCATTTCTTCATTTGTGAATTGGGTCTTATAAAAATGCTTAGCACATAGAATTTCTGTGAAGAATTAAAACTTTTAATGTACGTAAATTACTTATATCAGTGCCAGTCATATAGAAAGCTCCAAACATGTCAGTTATTAGTATTATAAGTATAATTGTTACTATTTTCATTATTACCAATATTTAATAAAATAATTACAGAAAATAATTAGCTAGAAATTGGTTAGTAGTGAAAGCTGAAACCCTTATTTTCTAAGAAATTTTCATTAATTTTCACTAATTATTTTATTTTTATGTGTTTTATTTTTTAGAGGTGATGTCTCACTACGTTGACCTGGCTGGTCTCAAACTCCTGGCCTCAGGCGATCTTTCTGCCTTGGTCTACCAAACACTGGGGTTACAGGCATGAGCCACCACCCCCAGCTACACTACTTTTTCTTTAGTTCAAAATAATATCTCCTATGTTTGAACTATTCTGATTTTATTATAAATATACACAATTGTGTATGGAATGATATGTTACCTTACCTTATCTTTTCATCTCTCTTACGTATTTTAATGCCTAGAGATGTCCTCAACTTTGCTATTTCCTTAAAGGCTGGGCTTTTTCTCATGCTTCCTTTGCATTCCTTCTTGTTTCTCTTACATTGTTGAACGGAGGGCTTGAGCACAAATTTTACTTGTAAACTCACAGGAAGTGATTAAAGAGAAAATTATTATAAAATTTATATAATGATTATGTATGTCCATGTCACTAATTCAGGTTTAGCAAACAGAAATTATACCATTGCATTAATAATACTTACTGATCAAATAGAGAATTTGATGATTTTTCTCTTTATGTCTGAAAGTTTCTCTCTCACTATACTATTTTAGATAAAGCTGAACTGCAAGGGCTAGCAAGCCAGAATGCACCTCTTGGTTTGTGAGAAAGAATGATGAACATGATATGGATGACACTTATTTTCTATCCAAGTATGGATGTCCTGATGCAGAGGATCCCGGTTTGCTTGGAAAATGACATTGTCATTATCCCAGCATACTACCTGAAGAGACTGGCTTTATATAAGCAGAGTTGGCAGTTATTATTATTATTATAAAACTTGTGATATTTGAGAAAGTCCAGATTAGATCAAAACATCTCCCCAATAATTATAACACCTCAAATTTCACCATTGATTTTTGTCCTAGGACAAGATGAATTCTGCATCCCGACCCTTTAAAATGTAAACAATAAAGAGAGAGAAAGTGAGGTATTACATATGTTAAATAGTTATCCAGTTGTTCCCTAAAGTGACCAATACTTGGGACTGAAATGCAATGGAGGTAGGTGATAAAGAAGAAGGAATCTGGGCCCATGAGTGAGGCAACTTGGTTTCTAATTTTGAGACTCCCACTTCCTTGGTAGACAACTTTTCCCAAATGCGTTCACTGCTTTTAATGTTATTTGCTCACTCATAGAGCACCTCTGGTTGCAAAATGGTGCCCTGGGCTAGCATGGCTTTCCGTCTTGAGAATACTAAGGTCCATTCAAAAAATGAAGATGAGTCCATGTCAAAAGTCAAATGCTAGGGTGATGCAATAGATGATTCTCAAACGACCGGTAAAATCATATAGTAATTAAAAGGACAGGGGATCAATATGAACAGAGGGGTTATAGAGATAGGATCTGAGAAGTCTGTGAATGATTCTCTGAGGTCTGGGAAAGAGTATATTGTGAGCTAGTAAAATACATTTATGAGGTAAGACTTTTGGTATAAACTTGGGATACAAACTTTTTATTAATCATTTGAAATAATTATAATGAGGGAATTTAGTTTTATGACCTCATTAAAATTCCTGATAGCTTATATAGAATCTACACTTCTATCTTCATTCAGTTTGTTAGCCAAAAGTTAGCATTTGCTGTTTAACTCAGGATTTATATGGGAAATAAATTCTTGGGAGAGCTAGTTGTTTCTCTGTGGTTTAATAATATTTTTAAAAGATTCTTTTTAAGCAATGCCAAATGGGGCCATCGATTTTTATTTCAAACTAAGCAACTAAAATAAAGTCTATTCCCTGATAAAAATGAAGAATTCCCTTTTCAGCTGATAAGGCACAGAGTGTTTATCTTTGGATGGTCATAGAAAGAAGTTGGCTTTGGCTATCCATCTGCTTTTATGAGGTTTTGTTAACACAAAGGGACAATGAGGCTGAAAGTGGCTTTTAACTTAACTGATCCTTATCGTATCTGACATCCTTTCATGAAGGAAAATAAAAGTCAGGTGGATGTTAAATTAGATGCACATTTCTAAAATAAAAACAAATGTGGGAAATGGTAGGTTTCTCCTTTCATTCTCAGGAGCTATATGAGAATGAATGTTGCTTGTGACTTCAACAAATAAAGTTCACTTTATCTCCCTGGCTTTGATGGCATGTGCTTAGCACAGCACATGAGCAAGGGAAGAAACAAAGGCATTATTTCCAAATCAATCCATTTAAAAACCCTCCTTGACAATCATCTCAGTGGTCCATGTTGTCTTCTGTAGCCAAAGACTGTGATATAGTTATTGCGTGGTGAGGGCAAACACCATAGAAGAGGATCTTATTTCCATTCTAACAGTTTGCTCTGGGTTGTACATGGACCTCAAACATTTTTACTTGTTAAAAAATTATAATGTTTCAAAACCATTGACTATTGTAATGATAAATTCGGTTTTATTTGGGAAGTGAAATCCATTCTCTGATTATGTGATTTTTGCACGCATATTTCAGGATGGGAGAAACAACTGTTTCCGGAATTGGTGGGTTCTTGGTCTCACTGACTTCAAGAATGAAGCCACAGACCCTCACGGTGAGTGTTACTGTTCTTAAAGGTGGCGTGTCTGGAGTTTGCTCCTTCTGATGTTTGGATGTGTTGGGAGTTTCTTCCTTCTGGTGGGTTCGTGGTCTCGCTGGCTTCAGGAGTGAAGCTGCAGACCTTCGCGGTGAGTGTTACAGCTCATAAAGGCAGTGTGGACCCAAAAAGTTAGCAGCACCAAGATTTATTGCAACGAGCGGAAAGAACAAAGCTTCCAACAGTGTGGAAGAGGGCCCAAGCCAGTTGCCACTGCTGGCTCCAGGCAGCCTGCTTTTATTCTCTTATCTGGCCCCACCCACATCCTGCTGATTCATCCATTATACAGAGAGGCGATTGGTCTGTTTTAAGAGAGCTGATTGGTCTGTTTTCACAGGGTGCTGATTGGTGCGTTTACAATCCCTGAGCTAGACACAAAAGTTCTCCACCTCCCCACTAGATTAGCTAGATACAGAGTGCTGATTGGTGTATTTACAAACCTTGAGCTAGACACAGAGTGCTGATTGGTGCATTTACAAACCTTGAGCTAGATACAGAGTGCCGATTGGTGTATTCACAATCCCTTAGCTAGACATAAAGATTCTCCAAGACCCCACCAGATTAGCTAGAAACAGAGTGCCGATTGGTGCATCCACAAACCCTGAGCTAGACACAGGGTGCTGATTGGTGTGTTTAAAAACCTTGAGCTAGATACAGAGTGCTGATTGGTGTATTTACAATCCCTTAGCTAGACATAAAGGTACTCCAAGTCCCCACTAGACTCTGGAGCCCAGCTGGCTTCACCCAGTGGATCCCGCACTGGGGCCACAGGTGGAGCTGCCTGCCAGTCCTGTGCCGTGCACCCACACTCCTCAGCCCTTGGGTGGTGGATGGGACTGGGCACCGTGAGCAAGGGGTGGCGCTTGTCGGGGCTTGGGCGCACAGGAGCCCATGGGGCGGTGGGGAGGAGGCTCAGGCATGGCAGGCTGCAGGTTACAAGCCCTGCCCTGCAGGGAGGCAGCTAAGGCCCAGCAAGAAATCAAGTACAGCACTGGTGGGCCGGCACTGCTGGGGGACCCAGCACACCCTCCGCAGCTGCTGGCCCAGGTGCTAAGCCCCTCACTGCCCGGGGCTGGGGGGCCAGCTGGCCGCTCCGAGTGCAGGGCCCGCCAAGCCCATGCCCACCCGGAACTCTAGCTGGCCTGTAAGTGCAGTGGGCAGCCCTGGTTCCCTCCCTTGCCTCTCCCTCCACACCTCCACGCAGGCTGAGGGAGCCAGCTCCAGCCTCGAGCATCCCAGGAAGGGGCAACCACAGTGCAGCGGCAGGCTGAAGGGCTCCTCAAGTGCGGCCAGAGAGGGCGCAGAGGCCGAGGAGGCACCAAGAGCAAGTGAGGGCTGCGAGGGCTGCCAGCACGCTGTCACCTCTCACAACCTCAATGGTTACCTTGTCTGTAGTATCAGAATCCCTTCTAAGAATCCTTAACAGGTGTGTCTTCAATGCCTGTTTGAACAGCTTGACTAAGAGGGAGTCCCTAACCCCAGAGTCATTTGATCCTAAAGTGTACAGCTCAGTTTGATAGGCAACCACTCTTTGGCTGAACATTCTCTTAATATACATGGCTTAGCAGTAGCTTTTACAACACAAACAGTGCTCTGTCCACATATTAGTGCTTCCAATATTTGAAGAAGTCCTCTTTATTTTTCTTAGCTTTCTCTTTTATTGACATTCTCACCTGCTGTAACTTTTAATCAAGTGACTTGGTTTCTAGCCTTCTTATCATCCTGGCTATTCCCCTGTGGATTTGACTTAATATATCAATATTCTTGTAAATAATTTATCCAGAACTGAACACTGTACTACAGATATGAGCAGATGAATATAGAATATAGGAAAGCCTGACTTAGATAGTATTTTTATTAATGTAAATTAATGCTGGTTTTCATAGCAGTCATATTGTGTGACTTGTAGTCAACAAAAGTCGAGATTTGTTTTCAATCTGATCTGCTGATATGTACTTTCAGATACTTTAAAGAATCTAAGTATAAGAGTTAACATTATTTCTACTTAAATTTTAACTCGTCTTTTGGGCCCTACATTTCCTAATTACATGTGCTGTATACTTATGACCCTGCCTTCTAGGACTTTAACTAAAGCATTGATTGCAAATGTCATGGGCAATTGCCATAGACAGAATTTTCAAATAAAATAAATCACTCCATATTTCCTTGTCAATAGTCATAGCAATGTGCTCCCATCTCATGGACTTCCTCTGCTTCTTTAACCTCCCCTAAGACTTTGGGCTTTTCTAGTCATGTTTCAGCTCAAGTCATGGACAGACTGGAGGGAGCTTCAAGAACTAAGGCTTGCCCCTTTCTCCTCAACTCAGAGACTTTGCTAAGTATTCTAAGTATTCAAATAGAAAGTAAAATAAGGAAAGGGAGAGTGTTAATAACAATGCAGTACTTTTCCCCAGATGAGTTTTTTTTTACACCTACAAGATAAGCAGATTTATGTAAGGAATCCCCATTAAAATAATCAGTTAACAAGTAACTACTAAATCTTCTTGTGGTATAGGGCATATAGAGGAGGGATTGCCATGGTTTGTGCTCTAATGGATCTCATACTCTAATGCAGGGATTCAAAGAATCAAGATGAATTCAGTGAAAAAGTTAAGAAATGTGAAGTGTTTTCAATAGATATTGTAGCTCACAACATACCAGAAATAACAGATACGTGGTTGAGTAACTCTGAAATGAGTATCACAGGTAATGAATGAGGTGGCAGTGTGGCAGCATGGTCTAAGGAAGTTCTGACAGATGGGACTGCTTCAGTGGGTCTTTCAAAGGGAAGATTGAGATGATGTTCTAACAGAAGAACAGCATGAATTGTCTTCATTTACACCTGAGTGATTCATATTCTGGCATATTTGGCCACTCTGTTCATGTGATCAGGCTCACATTTATTTGGGAAAATGAATTTAATTCCACTACAACGCTTAAGACAAATAATTATTAACAGTTCCAAGTAATGAGATCGTGTTTTGAACAAACATTGGAATTATATTTTGTATTAGTTCATTTTCATACTGCTATGAAGAAATACCGGAGACTGGGTAATTTATAAAGAAAAGGAGGTTCAACGTATTCACAGTTCCACATGGCTAGGGAGGCCTCACAATCATGGCAGAAGGTGAAGGAGGAGCAAAGGCACATCTTACATGGCAGCAGGCAAGAGAGAGTGTGCAGAGTAATTGCCCTTTATAAAATCATCAGATCTCATAAGATTTATTCACTATCACCTCCCACCATGTTCATCCATGACATGTAGGGATTATAAAAGCTATAATTCATGATGAGATTTGGGTAGGGACACAGCCAAACCATATCATGTATCCCAATTAAAGTCCTCCTCCTCCTCCTCCTCCTTCTTCTTTTTCAAACGAGGCCCTTAGAAAACTACATATCACTTCTGGAGTGCTGGGAGAAAAATGGGAAGACCAATGGCCTGGGGCAGGACCTACATGGTGAAGGAGACAGGCTATGTGCAAATTGCCAGATTGGGGAGGACCAAGAGTCTCAGTGACAGAAATTCAGAGGGTTTCAGAGTGCTGTAGAGAGCTCTGAAACACAACGTTCAGGATCAAGGTTAAATTCAACCATGTTCCAACTTTGTCAGGAACTAAACATTGTGAATGAGATCTTAAATAAATTCCATAATTTTTTGAGATCTCCTTTCTCTGAATTGTTTTTATGAAATGCCTCACTTTAGATGCTCTTAATAAGTACCAACAGGACCATTATATTGTATATTTAGTCCAAAGATAAATTTTCACTTTGATGAAAAAAAAATCAGATAATCTCTATGGAAATCTCCTCAAAATATTAGGTATATTGTTTGGAAACTGGTCATTAAGCACACTGTTTGAAATAGGGTAGGGCAATAAACAATATGGGACACAGTAAATTCATAAAACTCATGATTTCTGCACTTTGTGAACTGGATCTGAAGATAAAAGATCTGAACCCAAAAGAAAGGGTTCTGAAATATTTGTGCACCTTATGAACAGCTATAATAACTATAATACTGTTCTATGGAGACTGCTTTAAAGAATAATGTTCACTAGAGTGAATGAGTTTTAATCTGCTTATAAAAATATCAGTCCAATCATACCAGATATGATTATGAGGCTATAAGATTGAGAGGCAGATAAATATATTGAAAAAAATTTGTCTTTCCTTTTCAATTTAAAAATCATTTTCTTCCATCTTAAAAGGCTAAAGCTGTATTTATGGACTTCTTATATCTAAGGCAATTGCAAATCTTAAAATTTTAAATGATGCCAAATTTGGCTTCAATATTCAAATTTCAAAGTTCTGTAGATCAGAAATGATCTCTGAGAAACTCCCGCAAAGTACTATACTACTATACCAAATAATTTTGCCAGAAGTGGGCTAGGGATAAGGAGGTGTGGACAGAAGATTCAAAAATCATGACGTTCAAATGGATTAGACATCCCTCATCTAAGGATATTATTAGGTATCCTTTCTAAATTCCATAATAATTACTTCTACCTCTTTCAACAAAGTCATAAGGAATGGAATTGGGAAGAACAGAAGGCCATTCTGAGCACCATATGCTTGGTGACTGCATGGGTGTCCTTTCTTTGCATGGCTCTTCAGTCTCAACACTTGAAACACTCACTCAAACTTGAAAGCAATTACCATCGTATTTCTGAACTTTAAATTCCTAGAAGGCTTTAGATTATATCCAGCACATCTATTTCTTAGTACAATGACATGATGTACTTCTGAATTTACATGCATTTAATTAGGTACAAAGTGAGAGATCACATTAATGAGCAGGCTCCCTGTGGCAGAAGAATAAGTGTGTGAAAGAGTTCAAAAATAAATTTTCTATTAGCTGAGAAAGTGGGAGTCTCTCTCACCTACATGAGTCAGTGCCAGGCTTATGAGGAAGGATTGATTTCCTAGTGAGTAGAGAGATCCTGAGAATAGAGTCGTTCTGGTTTATCCTTCAAGTTCTGGGCAAGATCCCTAAAGGAACATATCTCTGCAATCTTGTGCATACTCTATTACTGGGCTACAGCATATAGTGGAGCACCTCAGAAAATGTGTGGTCTTTCTTTGCTTTTTATAATATGCCTATGTAGAAAGGAATGAGAAGCCCTGAGGCGTAATTGAAAGACTACAGACAAGTTTTGAGTTCTGTCCTTTCCAATGTGGTCTTGTGTCTGTTACTAAACATCTATGGACCTCGGCTTCTTCATTGACAAATGGTGATGTTAATCCTTACCTCATGCACACGTAAGTGAGTATTAAATGACACTGTAGATGCCGTATCTGTCTGAGAGCCAGTTGTGCATCATATCACTACTTTTTCAGGTTCTTTGTCTGGGAAACTTTTCTTTAGTTTTTGTACATGTGCATGCCTCCAGTCAAATTTATCCTCCATGATGACATCTTTGTTTCCACAAAGTCTCAGGGGTTTTCTCTCAGGAGAGCAATGAATAGTCTCTTCACAGCATTGTCAAGATTTATTTTATTTGAGTTACTTATTCCTATAGCCATCTTCCTTTCTGGGCTGTTAAATCCTTGTCAATAGACCCAGGTATGTTACATATACTCGCAGCCAAATCCCTCCTCCTTCTAATCACACCCACTGCCAGTCCCCAGCCACTTCTCCATTCAGTCAAAGTTCTTTCTTGGTGAAATGAGGAGGATGGAAATTTGCATATAATAGAGGCACAAGCTAGCTCCTGACAAATTTACATTTCCTTTGCTTGCTTTCTTCTTCTTTGTATTTTTCAGCTCAGATCCTCAGTCCTTCTTACCTTTTTCAGAATTTGCTCTCTGGATACATCCAGTGCATTTGTCAGCAAAATTATTGTTCTGTCTCCAGTCAACTTCTGACCTATCAAAAATCAGCTGGTGCATGTTCCCATTTACATTAATCAAACATATGATATTTTATATTACCTACCAGAAGAGAAACAATTATAATGCACTTAATAAAATTAGTGGGGGAGGATCTATTCATTATCAAAAAATGAGAGACACACATCTACCACCTGTGTCATCTTCCTCTGAACTGTGCTTCAGCTTGCAGGAAAGTCATTTCCACTAGATTTGGCATATGAATGGAACCAGATTCTGCACCTTGGCCTTCTCGTTTTTTTTTTTTTTTTTTTTTTGAGACAGTCTCACTCTGTCACCTAGACTGGAGTGCAGTGGCACGATCTTAGCTCACTGCAACCTTCACTGCCCAGGTTCAAGCAATTCTCCTTCCTCAGCCTACTGAGTAGCTGAGATTACAGCTACCTGCCACCTTGCCTGGCTAATTTTTATGTTTTTAACAGAGATGGGGTTTGACCATATTGGTCAGGCTGGTCTTGAACTCCTCAACTCATGATCCACCTGCCTTGGCCTCCCACAGTGCTGGGATTACAGGCATGAGCCACCACACCCGGTCTCATGTTCTTTATAGCATTATTTTTCCTAGGGAATAGGAGTTGGGCATGGTAGGACCATGATCAAAAAGAAATGGCATCATCAGAAAAGCCTCAGTTTTGAGAGAGCTACAGTAGTTTCAATATTTGGTTTGATATTTTTTCATTAGCTGTTGTTTCAGTACAACCATGGGTTTAGATGGCACGATAAACTTTGTCTCAGTGATTTTCCACACCCCACGTTTTGTTAGTGTCTTTCCATACCCCACCCTCATTCTCTAATTGAGCCACCTTCCAGTTTTCAATTTCCAGCTCCTGGTAGACCTCATTAGCAAGCCCACAATTAGGAAAGTAGCAAAAGAAAACAAAACTTGAACTGATGTCTGAACCTAACTGTATTCATTCATTTTCACCCTGCTGATAAAGACATACCCGAAACTGGAAACAAAAAGAGGTTTAATTGGACTTACAGTTCCACATGGCTGGGGAGGCCTCAGAATCACAGCAGGAGGCAACAGGCACTTCTTACATGGCAACAGCAAGAGAGAAATGAGGAAGAAGCAAAAGCGGGAACCCCTGATAAACCCATCAGCTCTCCTGAGACTTATTCATTATCATGAGAATAGCATGGAAAACACTGTCCCCCATGATTCAAGTACCTCCCCCTGGGTCCCTCCTCCAACACGTGGGAATTCTGGGAGATGCAATTCAAGTTGAGATTTGGGTGGGGACACAGCAAAACCATATCACTAATTTGTTCTAGGAAATATTGAATTTTAAAACAATTTAGGGAGGAAGGGCAAACCTGGGTCCAGTAATCATTCGACTGGAATTAAGACACCTGCGTTCAGGATCTTAACACAACTTCTAGGAAGATAGATGAGGAATCTGTCAAAGTCACCCAGTCTGTCTAGATTTTTCTTCTGTAACGTTTAAAATGAGGAGATACACATAAACCATTTCTAAAAAATCTCTCTCAGCTCAAAGATGTTGTAAGTTTATAAATCACTAAACATCATAACACAATGATGGCATGTGAAGTAGACATTTCAAGGTAAGAGTCTCTTTTTAGCATTCTCAAATCCTTTATCAAGGTGACCATATACTCTGTTTATGTGAGACTAGTTTACACAAGATTCCTACAAAATCTCAACTAATAGTCCTGAGCAAGTATGCAAAGTCATACATGATTTTATGAGTGGACATGTAACAGGGCACAGGTTGATATTTTAAGTGATATCATTGAAAGAATGCTCTACACATTCAAAGTGCCTGAGAAATGTCTTAAGAGAGTTTTTTTTTTCAATTTTATATTCTTTTTTATTTATTTTTTTGAGATGGAGTCTTGCTCTGTGGCCCAGGCTGGAGTGCAGTGGCGTGATCTCCGCTCACTGCAAGCTCTGCCTCCCGGGTTCACGCCATTCTCCTGCCTCAGGCCCTGAGTAGCTGGGACTGCAGGCACCAACCACCATACCCAGCTGATTTTTTGTATTTTTAGTAGAGATGGGGTTTCACCATGTTAGCCAGGATGGTCTCAATCTCCTGACCTCGTGATCCTCCTGCCTCGGCCTCCAATTTTATATTATTATATAACCAAGATCTTTGTGAATGGTACAAGGGAGCAAAGTAAAAATATTAACAGACTTAAAAATCCAAATCCCTGTAGTTTATTCCATATTTGTTCAGTGCCACCAGTTTTTGTTTGTTTGCTTTTTAGAAGTGGGAAGAGCAGTCTTTATTATTATTATTTTTTTAATTATACTTTAAGTTCTGGGATACATGTGCAGAAACTGCAGGTTTGTTACGTAGGTATACACGTGCAATGGTGGTTTGCTGCACCCATCAACCCGTCATATACATTAGCTATTTCTCCTAATGCTATTACTCCCCTAGCCCCCCATCCCCTGACAGGCCCCAGTGTGTGATGTTCCCCTCCCTGTGTCCATGTGTTCTCATTGTTCAACTCCCACTTATGAGTGAGAATATGCGGTGTTTAGTTTTCTGTTGCTGTGTTAGTTTGCTGAGAATGATGGTTTCCAGCTTCATCCATGTCCATGCAAAGAAGATGAACTTACCCTTTCTCATGGCTGCATAGTATTCCATGGTGTATATGTGCCACATTTTCTTTATCCAGTCTATCATTGGTGGGCATTTGGGTTGGTTCCAAGTCTTTGCTATTGTGAATAGTGTTGCAATAAACATATGTGTGGATGTGTCTTTATAGTAGCATGATTTATAATCCTTTGGGTATATACCCGGTAATGGGATTGCTGGGTCAAATGGTATTTCTGGTTCTAGATCCTTAAGGAATCGCCACACTGTCTTCCACAATGGTTGAACTAATTTACACCCCCACCAACAGTGTAAAAGCATTCCTATTTCTCTACATCCTCTTCAGCATCTGTTGTCTCCTGACTCTTTAATGATCGCCATTCTAACTGGCGTGAGATGGTATCTCATTGTGGTTTTGATTTGCATTTCTCTAATGATCAGCGACGATGAGCTTTTTTTCATATGTTTGTTGGTCGCATAAATGACTTCTCTGAGGAGTGTCCGAGATTTTTTTAAATTAGAAAATGTCCTTGAATTATTTTCTATCTGCAAATTTGTAATCAAAGTTTGGCATACTTTGTAAATCACAGTAAAATATTGTTTGTCATTCAAATTAAAATGTACATTTTATCAGCTCATTATTTGGAAATGGTGATTAAGTACTTAAATTAAAATCAAATCATTCACCTGTGACATATGCTACCACGAAGTGTGAAGTAGACTTTTTCTAGCCTGATTGTCAGTTTGCATCATACACAGCTTAGGGAAAACACAGCCCTATCTAGTGTTATGAATTTTCAAAGTCCTCTTCAAAATGTAAGTTTATGTTTTACTTTAAGATTTCGTTTATGTTCTAACCTTTCTGTGCTTATTCAAATCTGCAAACTATGCAGAAGTATAATTTTGATTAATTTTTAAAGAGCTAGTAGTTTTATTTGAAGAAAAAAATGACAGGAAAGGAGAATTCCAATTAGAACTTTTTGCACGTAAGGTTAATTTCTATTTTCTTTGCTTATTTATTTAACTGTTTTATATGGTTTTTTGAAGTACAGGATTGGCGAGAGCAGCATGCAGATTTTGGTCACTTTATGAAAATCAACCGTATTCAACTGAAAATCTAAACACTTCTGAATGTGGAGTGTTCCCCCAAAGCCTTGTGTTGGCAGCTGGAAGTGACAGTCTATTTTCTGTTACAGTGACAGCTTGAGTGGAGATGGCTTTACTCTACGAAGCCTGTTTTCCTGATTTAAAGAAAACTTTCCTATAGCCAAAATCATCTCCAGTGGAGCTCCCTGGGGGGCTTATTAATCTCAAAGTCACAATCCAGAGAATCCAACCTGAACTTTTGCCTCAGAAAGCCACATGTTTCCTCGGCTGCAACTGCAGTCTGATGCTCCACTGAGGCAGAAACGCTAAGTGCTTTCCTTGCCATTGCTGATGGAAGGGGGCAGCTGGGGTTATTTCTTGAATGTTTTATAGCTGACCTACTCTCACCTTACTTTAAAGATACCCCTTGCAAATTTACAGGGCATGACATGAATGAAAAAGAAAAAGAAAAAACAGAAAGAAAATCTTCAACTGTTTAAAAATGATCCACTGATCAGATGAAAATTTAATTAATTCTTCTACCAGAATCTAAAATCTAAAAAACTAAAACCACTTTAAAAGTTAAAAAAAAAGAAAAAATATTCAAGATTTGAAATACATGGACTTAAGAGTGCTGAGAAGAAGATGAAAGAAAGAAGGAATGAGTGAATATGACAATGAAGGCTTTGAGTCATATAATATATAAACAGAGGTTAGGGAAAAATAGTTGTCGTTTATGGAAAGGATGGGCCAGGATAGAGAACAGGCTTGTCCCTGAGATCCACTCAGTGCCCTGTAATGTTTGGAGGGGCAGCCCTGCACCGTGGTGGGTTGGGTAGGGCATGAGCACCTCCACCCGGTGCAACCAGTGCCTTTTGCACAATGCTCCCTGAACAGTGCTCCCAGCAGACACAACCTTTGGGATTCAAACCCTTGCTTGTCTCTGACTGAGATCTTCATTGTCAGATGCTGGATACCTTCCTGATTGACCTTCAATTAGTAGTGGTTCCAAACTCTTTAGCTTTCAGTTTCACTTTCCCTTTTACCCCACTCCCCATGCTCTCTCGATCAAATCGTTAGTGATCTGGAAACAATTAAAGGTACTGGGAGACTGGATGTTATTAAGGGGCACTTTGCCAAGTGGACTTTTAAAAGAGAATAGTTACTTTCTAACATAGGGCACTAACAAATTCTGATCAAGGGGTATTCATTTTCTAAAACAGAGGATAGCCTGTCCTAAGCCTTTATCTGCTGCAATCCTCTGCTATTGTGTGGCTTATATGGACACTATCAATATTCACAATGCAATCTGTTATTGAACATAGGTTAATTGTATTGGAGGCTGAGATCTTTGCCATTCCCTCTTCACTTTATTTTTTTTCTTGTGATTCTAATTTGTGTACCTTATGTGAAAAGAATACCCAAATAATGATTCTAGGAGGTTTCTGGGACAATAGTTAGCCTGCTGTCTGTTGAAGTTTTAAGTACCATTTAATTAGACTCAATTTAATACATATTCTCTTTGAACATCTAACACTTAGCCTAGCAGGCGCCAAGTGCCATTAGCATCAAAAGAAGTAACCTCTGCCCCTAAAAATTGACCATCCATTTAGTGAAATAAGGCATAGTTGCAAAATAAACGGTAAAAGGAGGATTTGAATGAACATTCAAATACATGGAAAAATACTATATTTTAATGAATGCATGGTTGAATATGCTAAAGATGTCTCTATAAAAGCATGATACTCTGGCTCCAAGAAGAGTCATCTCACTGTATCCATGAGTGCTCAGTGATACTAGGAGTGTTATGCTTCCTTCCAGCTCCCCACTTTAAGAGTGTCACTGACAAATTGAATATGAAACACACAAAGGAAGGTAAGCAATATGATAAGGAGTGTGTCTCCAAAGAGGAAACCTGGCAGTAACTGAGGGCCTCCAAGTGACAAAACTAAGCTGAAGGAGGATAACTGCCGCCAATCATTTAAATATTTATTTTTGAGGAAGATTGTTCTCTATTGCTGCACACAGTAAATCTAAAACAAATGGGAAGAAATTACAAATAAACCAAATTTATTTCAATACATTATAGTCTTTTCAAAATATTAATAGCAAAACCATATACCATACATTTGTGTCATATTTTAGACTAAAAACAACCAGCTATATTTTTATAGTCTATGTTGAGTGTTATTTGATTTTATAGATTTTTAAAATATATAACAAAATTTCTAAAACATAGTGATTCATCCCTGTAGTAAATGGCAGAGCTTAGAATTGAACCATGTCTTCTGGTGCTAAATCCTTAATTGAGCCATCACTGGTTCTTTGGATTCATGCTAAAGACGAGGCTCGCTCTGTGTCGCTGAAGGAATTCAAGAAGACACAGCAGGCCCAACTGTGGGGGTTCTTAATTAGGTAGGAAATTTTGCTGGAACAATATCTCAACACTCCTGCAGCTCTAAGACTTTTTAAAAATTATTAACTGTAGAATGTTCAAAGTAATTCATAAGACAATTTCTGCTAAAGTTGTTCATGGCCAATAACTTAGATAAGTTACATTCAGTGAATCCTTTCCTCATTTGAAAGTCCGAGTTTTCCAGTGCTGCTGTCTATAAGAAATCCAGCTGGGCTTCAAGTTGGTAGACTCTTATTCCTTACTTTAAGTTTCTAATAGACAATGATATTTCTGCCTCAGTCATTAAACATCATTCCTTCCAGAGCCTGAAGAGAACTGAAGGCTGTAATTCCTGGGATAGTAATTCTTTCTCTCTTGCATCCTGATTGTTCTTCTGCAAACCCAATAATACATCAGCAGCACTTTTGACTCTTTAGAGGCTTAACATGTGTACTTAGACTCACAATGAATCAATAACTACCAATCTCAATAAGGACTTTGTCTTACTTTTTAATTTGTCTAACATTTAGCCTACGTTATTTTCTTAGAGTTGCCAAATGCCTTCTCCCACTGGAGATTGAGATTAACCACCCAAATCCACTCACTACACTTTACATTCCTGGTCTATTTTGGGGGTGTTTATGAGATGCTCTAAGTGCATCAGAAAGCAAGGAGCAATGAACAGCTACTAAATATTCCATGACTTTGCAGTCCAGGAAGTTGGTGGAAGCATTTCTGCATCCAAACACAAATTCACATTTGGAGGAAGAAAAAAAAAAGAAAGAAAGTGTAGGCCGTGCCCATACATGTGTAAAGCAGCAGTTAAACCCAATAAGTACTTCAGTTGGGATTTAGGGCCACATCTAACAGTGCAGGATGTTCATTGGATACCTTGATTGCAGGAGACTTTGATGAGTTTCTCGTCTTACTGCTAGGTGGATTATGCTTTGATTAGTTATCTGAGTGGAAAGACAGATAGATGAGTTTTCTAAGATATAACAGGAATGATTTAGAAGACTTTCATATGAGGGTAATGCATACTGAAAAGTCTTAATCGATGACACAAAACTGTTACAGAAACTAGCATTGTGCCTGGAGAAAACAGCAAAAGTATGCAAAGGGCTTTTCATCAGTGTTTAGACTGTTTGCATTCCAAAGGCAGAACTAGAATAAGTAGAAGATAAAAAGAGAAATATTCTATTTCAATATAAATCATTAATTATAACAGTAAAACACTGAATTGGCTCCCCCTGAGCTTGCAATCCCTGATGTATGGAGCCTAAGCTGGAGGAATGCAAATCTGCAATGTAGAGGGGGATGCTGAAAGATGGGGAAGCAGGTTAAGGCGACTGCCAAAGCCTTTTGTGCCTGAGTTGAGGATTCATATTATCTTCCTGCAAGGCCAAATTTAATGCAGAATGCTGCTTAATGCGCACATAATTAACAAGATCCAAGTGCTTAAGGAAACAGCAGCCCAGTGCCTCCCCTGTCTCTCAGACAGGGGAGATTTTTCAAGTAAATGGTAGGAGCTCCTTAGCTGATACATAAAGTTCAGAGGCTGATCTCTGGCAACTCTTTCTCCGCTGACTTTCATTTTTATTTTAGGTTCCTTCCCAGTCTGCCATCTTTATTTAGCCCAACAAACCCTTTCTTAAGTATCTTGATGAGCAATGCTCAGTAACACAATAAGACCTCATGTGTGGGCTGAAACCTTAACTGACATGTAAGTTAACTTTTTGGACTGAGATAAATAATATATTTTCTGGAAATCACATCCTCTCCAGCCAGGGTTAGCTCCTGGAAGGGCTGCCTTCAGTATAACACTTGAAGACAACTAATTAAACATGACATTCACCAATTCAGAAAATTTCTCCTTGGCTGAGCCCCCTAATGTCTGATTTTGGTTTTCTTGTTTTTGCTAGTATTCATTTGTTTTCACATTATTTGTGTCTTTGTAGTCCTTTTTAGCTCTGTTTTGATTTCTTTCCAAGATGCTTTTCCTTATATTTATTCCCTAAGGAACAAACATAGCAGTTAGGTGGAGAAAAAAAAGTCTACATCCTGCTTGCCTTATACCTGCTCTTGCAGCAACATGCCTCTGACTTGGTGATTTTAGCTGGTGCTTCGTGTCAAATCTGGCACTATGTCTGTTATACTCATTCTCCACTTCTCTAAGAGGAATGGAGGGAACAATCATCATTTATGATTTGGGTAAAAGTGCAACATCCTTCAGCTCTATCATTTTTCTCATCACTGTTAACAACTTACCTTTTCCCTCTGCATCCTGGGAAACATTTTTAAGTTTTTGCTCCACACCACTGATTTAATTTTCAACCTTGTCAAATATATTTTCCCATTTTCAATTAGAGTTTAAACTCCATTAGTGCAACAGAGGTGTCTTTGCATTTTCCAATAGTACACCCTATTTTTAATCTTTTATTAAATGTAATAGCTGATATTTACTGAGAATCATATATGCCAGTCCAGACACTAAAATAACAAGTATTACTTTATGAGTGTTACATTGTATCTTCTCCCACTACTGTACCTTCATCTGCAAGCCTTCTCTTTATATCACGTTCTACTTTTCTATAAAAATTCTATTTTAAAACAAGTTTTTACTTTTCTATAGAGGCCATACTCTTATATACTATTAAGAACTTGTAAATATTTTAAGTAAATATTTTTGGAGCAAAAATCATAGAATTGTAAGATTTTTCAGAGGTCTGTTTTTCCTCGTCATTGTGATAACATTCTTTTTCTTGTGCCACAACATTTTTCAGAAGCTTCTTTTCTGGTTGCTTATTTGCACATGTGTGAATCTGTCTGAGTTTCAGTTTCCCCATGCTGCCTGTTCCCCACTCTTAGTTTCCTGAAGAGGAGTGCTTAGATAATTTACAATATACAGAATGCTCTTTTCCTTAGGTTATTCATTTCTCTTGTTCTGTTGAGGCTAACCTCCAGAGTGCAATATATAACTATCCACGCTCCTCTTATGTATGTGATACCGTGTTGCAATTATGGATAGGCTTAAAAAAATATGATGGGAAAGTAGGCTCCTGAAAAATCTCAAAAATCAGCACTTGGACAGTGGAATAATCCATGCACAGTTTTATATTTGGTGCAGAAACTCATCTCTAAATCAGGGGAGAGTGCAGAGAGTGCATGAGTTTCACATGTCTCTCTTTCGTTATTTGGGACAGCAGACTTGGTAGATTTCACCAAGCTAAGAAGAGAAATGTCAGTGATTATTTTTTTCTCCAGTTAGCCTTACTTCTTTCTTGGCTTTCTCCTCAGTGAATTTGCTTTTCTATTTTCGCCATCTTCATAAGTATTTTGGTTAGAATGTTGGGGAAGCTATATCTGAACTCTTTGCTAGGTAGCATTTTAAACTATTAGCTTTCCACCCTAATTTCTCTAGGCAATACTGACAAGCTGTAGAGGTGAGTTGAGAAAAAGGACAAATCAAAAGGTCAACAAAATATATCCCAAGATAAGAGAATAAGGTATATGAGTTGAGGAATAAGGGATGAAATTTATACAGTCTACAAAAGAGAGGTCTTCAAGGTAGGGTCTCTGTGACAGGATCTATAAATATCATCAAGGCAACAAAATAAACTAAGCAAATTATTTACAGTCACAAACGATAATAGGACAAGAATGACTGCCTGAATCTAAGTGAAGGAAAGTTTACAATAGGTTATAAAAAGAGTTTTTAGCTGAAAGCAAAACCAAACTATAAAACTAACACAAAAGTTAAGATCTATCACAGACTGGTGGGTAAAATATAATTAAAAAAAAAAACTCACAGGAATAGGCAAGAAATGTATATACATTTAAAAGACATATGATTGTCAAATATTCATTGTAAAAATTAAGATCAAATTTTGGCCTTTTCTGCTTCCTAGCTGTAGGGTCTTTGGCAAGCTATTTTAAATATGTGTAATTAGAATAACATCAATTGTTTTTATAAATATTATGCCAATCATATCTTAAAAATGATTTTCCACTAATTCCATAACCATTTCAAGGCATAACCTCAACAAGGATAATATATGATCTTATCACACTCTTTTCTGTCACCATCAACTTTTCAAATTAGAAACATATATGTCAATGCTAAACTCCTGGACTCCACTCATTTCATTATTTCTTGCTATCTGATTTCCACTCTTACTTTTCTGCTAAGATTTCTGTTTTCACTAATGAGCTCTTACTTTTCAAATGGAATGACATACTGTCACTGCTATTTTTACATGACCAATCTGAAGCACTTGATGGCATTTACCAACACTTGCTTCTTCAAGGCTCTTTTTGCTTGCATTCTATTCTCCTCACAGCTTTCCTAAATCTCTGTATGTTTCTTCTTTATCCTTTCAATAATATGGATGTAAGACTTAAAAGATTATTGCATAGATACAAATGAAAAAAAATACATGCAAGGTTGGGTGCAGTGGCTCATGCATAATCTCAGCACTTTGGGAGGTCAACGCGGGAGGATCACTTGAGCCCGGGAGTTCTAGACCAGCCTGGCCAACACAGCAAGACCTCAGCTCTACAGAGATTTTTTAAAACATTAGCTGGGTGTGGTGGTGCATGCCTGTAGCCCCAGCTACTCAGGAAGCTGAGGCAGGAGAGTCACTTGAGTCCAGAAGTTTGAGACTGCAGTGAGCCATGATTATGCACTGTATTTCAGCCTGGGTAACAGAATGAGACCCTGTCTGGAAAAAAAAAAAAAAAAAAAAGCACAAAAAATTTCTTAGCAAAGCTCCTTGAAGAGAGAACACAGAAAATATTACCTTAGTCAATTTTAGTTAATCTCTGCATTCATAAAGGCATGTTTAGATCTCTCCTCTTTCTAGCAAGCACTCCATAGAGAATCTAATCTCTTTCTGTGTTTTCATTTACCACTAATAAACTGAAGATCTCTTTATCCATAAGTCTCAACCTCTCTTCTGAACTGCAAATCCATGGTTTGAAACTGCTTTCTTTACAAATTTAATGAGATATTCCAAAAGCATATCAATTTTATTTATTTTTATTTATCTTTTCTTTTCTTTTCTTTTTGAGATGGTCTCGCTGGGTCACTTAGCCTGAAATCATGCAGTGACATGATTTCGGCTCATTGCAATCTCTACCTCCGGGTTCAAGCGATTCTCATACCTCAGCCTCCAGAGTAGCTGGAATTACAGGCACGCATCACATGCCTGGCTACTTTTTGTACTTTTAGTAAAGACAGGATTTTGCCATGTTGACCAGGCTGGTCTGGAACTCTTCACCTCAAATGATCCGCCTGCCTCCACCTCCCAAAGTGCTGGGATTACAGGCTTGAGCCACCATGCCCAGCCAAGCACATCAATCTTAATGCAAACAAAATTGGACTCATTATGGACATATCCCTGTTTACTTCAGCCAGTTCTGTACCTTGAGATACCATGGAAGTGATACCATTACCTGTCTATGGTAACCAGTGATCCAAACAGAAAACCTCAGCTGTCTTTGATTCCTGTTCCTTTCTTATTCCCATGTGTCCCAGGCATACCATCACCTGACAATTTTCTCCAGTCATGTGACATGGGTCACATTTACTTTTGCAATTCCTCAGCCATGAGCCTAATTAACCTAGTTCAGATTATGATCTTTTTTCTGCCCAGCAACCAAAAGAACCACCCAGACATTCTATTGCTGCCTAGCTTCTCCTCATTGTAATCCCCTCTTCACATTACCTCTAGAGAGAGCTTTGTAAGTTTTGTAAAACACCAACCTATTCATATTACATTTCTGCTTAAAAGCCATCTTTGGCTTCACATCACCTGGTGTGTAATTCCAAAATTCTCAGAATTGAAAAACAAAAACAACAACAAAAAAGCTATCATAGTTTACTCCTAAGCTGTCTGTCAAGATTTCTCTTCTGCCACCCTTCCATACTTAGCACCTACTAGACATAACAATGTTGGGCATTACCTGTCGTTTCCTCCATGCTTCTTGAAGAGACTGTGCATTTCCCACACTGACCTGTCCCAGACTCAACACAGTTTCTAAATTTCATGGGTCTGGAATAGCCAAGACCCCCAGCTCCATTTCTCTCTTACTTGAAAGGTACTTGACAAATGAGTGAACTTTCTCTCTCTCTCTTTCTTTGTTTCTTTTTCTTTCTTTCTTTCTCTCTCTTTTTCTTTCTTTCTTTCTCCCTCCCTCCCTCCCTCCCTCTCTTCCTTCCTTCCTTTTTTCTTTTTTTTCTTTTGTTTTTTTTTTTGAGTTTCGCTCTTGTTGCCCAGGCTGAAGTGCAATGCTGCCATCTGGGCTTACTGAACACTCCTCCTCCCAGGTTCAAGGAATTCTCGTGCATCAGTCTCCTGAGTAGCTGGAATTATAGGCGCCCATGACACCCGGCTAATTTTGTATTTTTAGTAGAGAGAGGGTTTCATGTGAACTTTCTAATATCTAATTGTTTGCTATGGATGGTATTCCCAGACACTGAGTTTACATCATCTCATTTGAATTTCATGAAAACTACATATGTTAGGTTTCTGTTTTGAAGATAAAGACACTAAAGCTCTGACAGATTAAAATATTTGTTCATTATAATACTGTTAGTAAATTGGTAAGAGAGATCAGTTCATAATGAGGCTTCCTTAATCTAAAATCTGAGTGTTTTTCACTATCATAGGAGATCACACTGGGCAATTTTGTAATGTAGTGAATCTCCCATACTCGGTATTCAAAGCATAGATCAATAATTATTGATTATGGGGTATTTTCTCAGATGAAAGGCTATATTAACTGTATCTAAGGCATCCTCTAATTTTAATTTTGTATCTCTCAGGAGAAATTAAAGCAATCTCACAAATAACATTGGTAAAAATGTAATATTTTCTTAACTTTTAAACTAGAAAGCAATTATTTTAATGTTAATAACAGGGCTTTGTGGTAGTATTTGCAGTGGAATATAAAATTATTCAAACACAATATTAAAAAGCTTGGTTACATATTTAGTCTAACATAGTGCCATTTCGTGCACTGAGGTAGTTATAGTAACTCCTCATCCAGAATTTGAACACAATAATATATTCCAATATTTAACAACTCAAATTGATAACTGTTGGCATCTACTAGAAGATGAAACCATAACAAATAGATTATATCAAAATTATACTGAATAAAATTAAATATTTCTTGGACATTATATTGCAGAATCTTACATGGCCTCAGAGTCATCAATGCAGACATTAATTATAATTGTCATAAACAGATGAAAGTAAAAAATGATTGAAATCTCTGGGCAATAAAATGCAGATGGAAATTTGCAGGATATTTCTCTGAAATTTACCACTATAAAGTAATTTTGTTTTTATAGGTTTTAAATATTCACACCTATAGCTTGTCCATGTTTTGCTATACCCTTAGCCTAATATTATTTCATTTACATTGTAAAAGTCAACTTTGACTGACTGAAAAGAAAAAAATTATAATTAGCTGTATCCATATTAGATATTACTATGAAGTATATTGATAAAAAAAGTCTGAATAATTTTTTTATTTATCATTTACATATCAGGGCCTGGGCCCAAGACTGTAAAAAATATACAGTAAAATGGAACAGGGGCTCCTCTCAAATAGGTTGTAATTTAGTAAATTACAGAATGCTAAGTGTCAAACTAATGACTAAACAATAATAAATATTATAGAAATTTAGCTGAGTTCCAACTCACTGCTATTTGAGAAAGTCAAAAAGGCTTAATGGATAAAAAGTAAACTCAAGCCGGACCTTCATTTTTCTCTAATCAGAAACCTGTGTTATTCGCTGTTCTGCTTCAAAGTTGGTATTTTGCTTTGCTTAAAGAAAAAGGTAAACACAAACAAACAAACAACAAAATGCAAGCTCTATATGCTATAATTTAACTCTGTGATTCATCTATAATCCAGCTTTGGAATATGTTCCTATGTTCTTTCGCATCAGTTATGTTTTCAACTTATAATTTACCAAATACGTTTTATTTTCTAAACTTTGAACACCCTTGCTTTTGAAATCTCCTTCTTTGGAGATTTACTTTAAGTCCTAGCCCGAGTCAGTCCTCTTTATTGACACCTCACTTTGTCTTCCTACTTGGAGTCAGTCTCCCCTTCTCCCACAAACCTGCCATACTCTGCCCATTTATCTGTTCAATGACTTGCCACATGCTGGCTTATTCCAAGGCCTAGTGGACAGCTGCCTTTTTTCCACACTAGGCTATAATAATTTTGAACCCATGAACTATATTGTGTTTTCCTTTGTTTTTCTGAAAGGCTGTACACAGTTGTGAAATGAATGAATTTGACAGTGAGCAAATTAATCTATGTTTAATAAATGAATACATGTTGAATAAATAACGTGCAAGTCACTTAGATTACATGTAAGATCATTTTTTCTGAGGTAAGCCTTCAGGATGAAAGTATCACAAAAAGAAATATTCACACTGACTTTGAGTTTCACTGAATGTGAGTAGGTCAGTGTGTGGCAAAAAAGTCTGTGCTCTGCTCTTTATTTACAAAATTAGCTCTTTCTTCTTCATGCTTTGGCTTTGATATTTCCAGTTTGTACAATAGTCTTATACTTTATGGTGAGAACGTGCATGCAAAACATTCATTTATTCAGAGATTATCAACTAAGTTGAGTTGTCTTTTTATTAGGGTGTTAATAGTAAATTATATACTTTGAGAGGTTAATTTAATTAACAGCAGCAATATGTGGTCACTCAGTTGGTACAATAAATTCCTTCATTTAACAAATATGTGTTAGTCATCTAGCATATGCCAGGCACTGTGCTATTAAATAAAATATATGAGAACCCACTGATCTGGACTGAGGCCTTACACTTGGCCCCAGCAGACCAACCCAAAATGGAGTCACTCATGCTAAACTTTCATGTTACCCTACCAAAACCTAAGCTAAACAGCTTTGTAAGATCTGACCTTCCAAGAAACCAGGAGAGAGTTGATAGCCAAATCTTCAAGAAGCCAATTTAAAAACAAAACAAACAAACAAACAAACAAAAAGCAGGAGATTCACATCAACCAATCAAAAGGGTTTCAATTAACCTGATCCAGCATGATAAATTCCCCTCTGCTTTATCTGGTAAAAGTAACCTGAAGAACTTGATATTATTCAATCTGCTTTTGCTCCACTCTGTTTTCTTGTTTTTGGTCAACCTGCTTTACAGAAAGTGACTAGCCTGCCATGCCCACTGGAGCTTTTGTCTATTTTGTGGACTGGATGATGCCTGGTTCATGAATTACAAATAAAAGCTAATTAGGTCTTTAAAACTCATTTTATTGAAAATGTTTTTGTTGACACTGAAACATCCTAGAGAGTCAAAGTTGAATACAGATGAGGTCTTAACATTAAGGTGGACTACAATGTAAATAAGTCATTGTAAAGAATACAATAAATTAGAATGAAAGGAAAAGTGGCTTTGCAGAGAATGGCATGAGAAATTACCTACCAGTAACCAGAAAGGTGAGAAAAGAATTCTCAAACCTCCAAACTTCTCCCCTGTATTCCTATCAGAGTGACTAGATGCCTTAGCAGTTTTTAAGGGAGTTTAGAACTGTATCAATATAAATAAAGCAAATATATTGCTCTTGAGGGAATTGCTTGTTAAATTAGCTTCCCCTTTTGTCCTCTGAGAAAGACTGGAATGGTGAGCAGCAGTAGCACACAGGGGCAAGGTAGAGCTGACTTGGGCCTGCTTAGGGAGTTGAGTGGTTCTGAAAGAACACTGAACATCTGCATCTTAATTTAATGGAGACTAGCACTCAAAGGAAATGATGTGCCATCCAAAAAGAATGGCAACTGCCAGGGAAGGGTAGAGGAACTGAATGCAAACTCTGATCATTTAATAATTTTTCCAATTGCAAAGCTATCTGTTAGGAAATGATTTTGGTTACTTAAGGACTCTATTCAATCATCATTTATACAACTAGGAGATATATGACCCCCTGGCCGACACACACAAACACACAAAAACACACACTTTTGGGTATACTGATCAAAGCAAGGGAGGAGAAATGCATACTCACAAAAGTCACTGAATAAAACTGAAAACAGTAGCATCAGAATGCTTCAAAATTCTGCCATTATCAATCAAAAGGTTTTCTGACCCTTAGTACTTCAGCAGAAGGATCTAGGGTGGAGTACCTTTGAATTTCAAAGAAAAGATAGATAAAGATGGCTTTATATCTAGGAAAGTTTCCCTGCACTTCATGGGGTTTTTTTTCCATGTAAATATGAAAAAAAAAAAAAACCCTACTACTTTTTATAGGAGAAATATGGACAGATAAATTAACAAAGCCAATTCACTACCTATATGTCCTTTTCGCATCTCACAGTGTCTATTAATATTTGGAAAGGCACTCATTTATCATGAAGGGACATTTCCATGTATTCTTTTCTCTTAATCAACATTAACATAATATGGTAAATAAAGAACAGAATGATGGACACAGCTGACATGACAATTTCTGTGCTTTCTCACCAAATCAGTATGGCTGACATGGAAAACAGAGTAACAGATGGTGGAATAGCTAGAGAGGCACATGATTTGCTCAAGGTCACAAGAATTTCAGCAACACAACTAGAAACAAACAAACAAAAAAACCCAGACCTTGAAGCTAAGTGCTACTGTTTATATATGAGGAATAAAGTTTTAATTAAAGAATTACAGGATAATTATAGTCTCAGTTCTTTATTAAACCCAATCATGGAAATGATAGTTTTGTTGGAAGAAAGGCAGGTAGCTGCTTCTGACTGACTCTATTGTAGGGAGGTTGAGGGCTACATTGGAACAGGAGACTGGAATAAATGCTGTGTCTCTATGTGCCATCTTGAGTTACTGGGTTGCATTTTTAGGCATTTGATATATGAATATGTTTACAACAGGGTTTGTCAAGTTGACACTTTAGGTGGATTTCTCTGATGTCAGTGTATAGGATGAATTGAGCACTGTGAAAAGGAACAAAGAGCAGAGAACTTGTATTCAGGCAGAAAAAGTTAAAGAGCTGCTTCAGTTATGGAGGTCAAATACTGGAAGAGGTAAATCTAAAAGTAGGACCTGGAGGGTGGTAATGCTCCCTGCAAAGGTAGAGAACACTGTTGACTTTGTTTTGTGAGGATGAGGATGATATACTTCTAGACCTACTGAGGTTGAGATATAATCAGGGTTTGGATGGAGACAACCCAGAAGCAGTTAGAATCATTTCTGCAGCTCAAAGAAAAAACTGGGTCCAGAATTACAAACTTGGCAGTTACCTATAGAAAGATGATAAGTGGACCTATGACATTGACTGAATTCACAATCAAAGAGTAAAAAAGATAGAAAAGTGGGAATGGAATAATTGGGCAAAGTTTCATTTACAACCTGATGGATGATCTGTAAAAGAAAGAGATTACAAATTGGACCCCATCAAAATTTAAAACTGCTGATCTTTGAAAGCTACTGTTAAGAAAAACCACACACTAGAGGAAAATATTTGCAGAATATTTATATGATAAAAGACTTACATCCGAAATATATAAAGAATTCTCAAAGTGCAATAAGGAAATAAACACCTTGGTATAAAAATAAGCAAAAGACTTGAACAGATACTTTGGCAAAGAAGATATACAGATGGCCAATAAACACATGAAAAGATAATCTTCTCTTCTTGGGCGAGTGTTTGTAAACAGTAGACTGACAGCAGCACAGATTCAAAATAATAACATACTCTTCATATCATATACCTGTGTGGTACTTATCACTTGTCAGACACAGTTTTAAGCACTATATAAATATTAGCTCACTTAATGAGTTAACAAAGTAGGGTTTTAATTAACTATTCAGTGATAAAGAAATTGAGGCACAGAGAGGTGAAGGAATTTGCCTAAGGTCATATAGCTGGTAAGTGGCTAAGCCCAGATTTGAACACAGGCATTCTGGCTTCAGAGACTGTGCTCTTGGCTATAACAATTTGAAGCCTCTACAGAAACCAGCAAGTATATATTGAGTGCCTACTCAGTGCACATATTATAGAATCACAAGAAATGGACTAAATATAGTTCTTTTCCTAGTGGAGCTTAAAATCTAGATAGAAAGACAAGTCTAGTCTATGCACACCAAACACTTGTCTGCATCTGATAATGATTCAAGCTTTAGAAAATAGACAATAAACATGTTAAACATCATCATGTTGATTAAAAGACAGGATCTTATTATGACAATTAGGAATTATTGAAAACATTCTTGACCCTCTGTAGTTTAGAAGTTCTTTAGAGAAAAACAAAGACCGCAAAGCTTTATAAGAATTCAAACAGGTAATAATAGTTTGGACATTTAAAAATATTCTTCTACAATCTTTTATGCTAGTATAATTGTCAGTAAAAATATTTATCAATTATCTCTTTCATGCTTGATAGTCCTTGTGATTTAAGTTGTTTCTAATAACTTAACGTAAACAAGCATGAGCCTTGTCCAAATATGACAATGATCTAATTCAATTACCCCCCTATGTTAAACCTGCAACTGTCTAGTGAGCTGAACAATTCCTGTTAGCCGGCTGTTATTTCAATAACACTGAAGATCCATCCTTATGAGCCCTGAGTTACTGTTCTGTTTTGTTTTTGTTTTGCTTTTCCATTTTCCCGGAATGAAAACTGCAATAGAAGAGTGATAAAATGCAAGACTATAAGCAGAAGAAATCCTTATTAATTGACTTTGATTAAAAGAAAATAGCATCTTTGAAGCTGTACCTACAGAAGTCATCCTGTGAGACATAGCAACTCCTGTGAGGTCTCAGATTCACTCCATTCTAGCAGCGCAGCCTGAAAAGGGGTCGAATGTGTGTGTGCCACTGACAACTGTGACTGTGCAGGGGGTAGGCAGGAAAGAGAAAGGAGAGAAACAGACAGTGGGGAAGGGAAATGGAGAAAGAATCAAATGAGGGAGGAAATGAAAATGAGAGAGAGAGAGAGAGAGAGATTGTAGGAGACGTGAAAGAGTGAAGGATCGGAAGGAAGGGTGGGGGATGCAAAAGCCAGATTTTTATTGGAAGCAATTGAAGTGGTTGCTATGAGACCCGCTCGAGCGGAGGACCAGCAGCCAGCCCGACGCTGATGGTTCTTACCTCGTACTAAAACCTTTGCTTTGACACAGTTTTAGAGTTGCTTAATATTCGAGCAAGCACCTGACACGGGTGACTTTCTCCTTCTTTTTTTCCTCCGGTCCCTCGGGTAAGATGGAGGTAGAAAATGAAGCCAGCTGCTCCCCGGGCAGCGCATCAGGCGGGTCCAGAGAGTACAAGGTGGTAATGCTGGGAGCAGGGGGAGTTGGTAAAAGCGGTAAGTTTTCACACCAAATGCTGGGGAAGGAGGGACCTCTATAGAGACAACTCTATAGAGTGAAAGAAAAATGATATTGCTGATGCTGTTAGAGGTGAACTGTGGCAGTTAAACACAGAGTATGGGTCTGGCAGGATGCTCCAAAGTGTCAGGACTGTTAAACCGATGCTGATGAGTCAGGATAATGCAGACAGCCAGTGATGATCCTCAGAACCTTAAGAGGATGATTGTTTTCTTTGATTTCATGCTGGGTGATATTTGCTCTTAGTGTATAGGTCTTTTTTAATAATAAAAATAAGTATGAAATTGTCATGGTATGAGAAAAATGTGCTCCTAGTCTCAAAAATCTTCACATAAAGAAAGAAGTGCTATGAATATTCAATTAAACACAGTTACAAACACAGACATATACTCGGGATGATGGGTGTTGATTGTTGTGTTTGTTTCTTTCATTAGGAGGTTCTTTTTCCTCATCTGTAGTCTGACATGGTGTGTGTGGGCTTTGAATACCAAAAGAAAGTTGGTTTTTGAAAGTGGCAGTGATTTATGGAATGATATTCATTGTGAGTCCTGTGCAGGGTGATCAAACTAAACTTTGTGGTCAATTAAAGGAGAAAGCTACACAAATAAATGAAGATGAGGTGATAATAGAGATGAAGAATAGCAAATTTCTTTTGGTACATAAAGAACGGAAGTGTCAGTTGTTGGGATTCTTGAGGAGCCTAAAAGGCCAAATATAAAAAAATTAAAAAAATAGATACATAGTAGTTTTTTGGCTGATCAAATGTTAGATAGCTCGGAGCTATGGCTATCACTAGAAAATAAATAAATATAGCTTTTTATATAAATATTAAATATCTCCACTGGGAATATATCTTTGGGAATTCTAAAAGGTAGAAAAAATATTATAGTTAGCATGGACAAAAAGCATCAAAACAAATCAGTAGTTTTAGTGTTGACAAAAAAATTAAAAGACGAAGACAATATTTTCGGCAGAAGAAACCAAAAAACTAACAACTTTGGTGGATGGGTCCACAAGGGATAGGAAAACTGAACAGTAAAGGAAGAGGAAGGAGATTGTGACTTTAGTGGACAACAAAGTTAAAGATAGTAAGAAACATAAAATTCAGCACCCCTACCTCTTCTCCTCACCCTACAAAAGAGAATTCTCATAAAAAATAAAAGAAATAGGTACATCTGGATGTGGTCAGTAGCAAAATGCATATCAAAGTGAAAAAAATTATTCATCTCTTCTAGGGAGGCAAAAATATGAAAGAAAAGCTTTGTAATTGTGTATAAATGAGGAATTTTTAAAAAGCTTTCTCCTCTAAATATAATGATTTGAGAAGGAAGGAATCAAAATAGGTTAGGATTTAAGGAAGGAGGAAGGGATGGAGGAAGGATAGAGACAACATGATCTATATAAAATGAAGTTATACTTTACAAGAATCCAGTCAGATACAGTGAGGAAGAAAGAAATAAACAATGTGAGAATAAAATACTGAAGAAGAGAGAAAAACAGATTTAAAAAAAACAGGCAAAAGACCAATCCACATTAAATGCCACCAGCAGCTTGTGAGGTCAGGGAGATGCTGAAATTGTCGCAATAATGTGCCTCTGTATTGCTTTTGTTTGCTGGTTAGGTATTTGCTTTTAGGAGCTTGGGGGATGTGGGGATAGAGTGACTGATTTTTAGCCTACTTCAATTTATTCCACCTAAATGAAACTTGGAGAAAAGAGATTTTGGACGGGAACATCCTTCAGCAACACACTTTTCTTGTGATATTGCTGATATTATAGTGGTGATATTTTATCTTCTATTTTGATCTCTCCCAAGTATTATTTGTGCTGACAGATCATTGTTACTGTTCCAATGACTATGGATTTTCAATGTGACACATGGCCCACAGAGTGGCCTGGCTTGCTCTCATCTTTGCTTTGTACAATAGAAGTCAATTCATAATTAAGTACTTGAACAAAACTTTTCCTGTGAGATGAAAAGACAGGAATGACCAGCTCATTCTCAGAGAAAGATAAGGATAAGGAGTATAAACAGCTCAGTTGTATTGATTATATATAAATGGCAACCTTGGCTACTACACCAGAGAATATTTCTCATACTACAATTTCACACCTGGAAAATGCTGTCCTTATGACTAAATGTTTGAAATCACAGTGAGAAAATCATCTGGTCCTTGGACTTTCCCCTGTGACTTACCTGATGTTCTTCCATCAGCATATAAACATTCAAGCACTGATTCTTAATATTAACCTTCTATTGAAGGTTAAAATATTTGCTTTCAAATGAGCTAAAAATATACATGGTTTATTTTATCTCATTTGAGCCTAGGCTGGGGTGCAGTGGCATGATCATGGCTCTAAAATATACGTTTTAAAACCTACTTTTCATATCAAAGACTTAGATCAACAGAGGTATATGAAGGGATTGTATAACCCCATTACCCTGGGTTGTGTGAAGAGATTTCCAGAAGAGATCTGCTCTTCTGAAGAAACTAAAGAAGATGCATCAAGCTACCATCTGTTTCCAATTCTGAGAGTCAAGTCCAAGTCAGCCTTAAACATGAATTAAAAACTAAATTTATGGTGACTATAATTTTTAAAATCTTGGAGATTTTTTATGTATATTAATATTTATTCTTTTTTATTTTTCTTTTTGTAGAGATGGGCTCTCACTATGTTGCCCAGGTTGGTCTCAAACTTCTGGCCTCAAGCAATGCTCCTGCCTCAGCCCCCCAAAGTGCTGGGATTATAGGCATGAGCCATTGTGCCTGGCCTGAGAAATGTTTTTGTCCATGTTTTACCAAAATATTTTTTAATAGAAACTTTTAAAAGAATTTGCAACTTTACTGAAATAGGAATTCCCACAAGATTTAAAATATGTCAGTTAATGAATGTACTTTATGTGAGGAATTTTAAACCACAAGTAATCAATAAAGTTTACTGAGCACGTATTATGCACAGTCCTATACTAGTTACTATGAAGGACGTAAACATTTATGAAGCCCCCATTGCATGGCAGGCATGGGCTACATGTATTTCACGCTTATACTCAGTCCTAACCACAGTCAGAGTCGGTATTTCTATTTCACAGATGAAAAAACAGAGGTCAGAAAAATAACTTGTGCCTGGTCATGGGGGTAATAATTTAGAGTTCTGTGATGTTTTATCTAACTCTACTACATTATGTTTAATGCTCTGAGAAGAACAAAGAGTTGCATCACTCACTAGTAAGAAGAAAACAGATCCATTGATAATGCATTTCCTAGGTCTCGAATGTTATATTTAGAAGAGATCTTAACCATCTAGGCTATCACTTTGATTTATACATCTATGCCGCTTTAATCTTTAACCTAATTGAACACTATGCATAATACTTCTGTATAAATATATAATATTAATATTTGTATTTATATTTTTATAATTATATGTAATATTGTCCAAGAATGTTACTAACTGCAGAGAAAACAGGGATACACAAGAATTATTTGGACAATGGCCAAACTGAGGCATTGAGAGGTGAAGAGACCTGCAAAGGTCATTTATACAGCAGTGGCAGAGTCAGATCCAGAATCCAGTCCTTCTGACACCATTGAAGCTGCTTTTCCATCACTCCCCAATTTTTACACAGAGTAAGCTGAATCAAAACTGCACCATACAAAGTAACAGATATGTATACAAAGTAGCAGACATTTAGGAGGAACAAGTATAGAGATCTAATGTATAGGATGAGGACTAGAGGTAATAATATTTTATTTGGGGTTTATGCTAAATTAGTAGATTTTTTTATGTTTATTTGTACATAGTAGGTGTATATATTTTATACATGTATATATTTATGGAGTACATGAGATATTTGGATACAGGCATACAGTGTATAATAATCACATCAGGGTATGGTGTATCCATCACCTCAAACATTCATCATTTATTTGTGTTATAAATCTTCCATTATACTTTTTTGTTATTTTAAAATGTACAATAACTTATTTGTGATGATAATGACCCTGTTGTGCTATCAAATGTTAGATCTTATTCATTCCATCTAACCACAATTTTGTACCCATTAACCATCTCCACTCCCTCTTCCTACTACCCTTTCCAGCCTCTGGTAGCCATCATTCTACTATCTCCATGAATTAAATTGTTTTAATTTTTAACTTCCACAAATGAATGAGACCATGCAAAGTTTGTCTTTCTGTGTCTGGCTTATTTCACTTGACACAATGATCTCCATTTCCATGCATGCTGTTGCAAATGACTGGATCTCATTCTTTTATATAGCTGAATAGTATTCCATTGTGTATATATACCACATTTATTTTATTCATTCTTCTGTTGATGGACACTTAAGTTACTTCCAAATCTTGGCTATTGTTGCTAGTGCTGCATAAATTAGTAGATTTTAGCTGCTGATACTGCCACCCCCTATAAAAAGTAGCTATGTGAAATGATGGATATGCTAATTTGTTTTCCTATAGTAAATATTTTACTATCTATGTGTATCCCACAACATCATATTGTATACCTTAAATATACACAATAAAGTTTATTTTAAAAATAAGACTCATGACGAGAAAACTACTTAAGAAACAACACACATATATATACACACATACACATTCAGTGAAATAACATTAAATGACAGTAGAATAGAAACTTATATTACAAACTGTGATTACAACTAAAACCAAAAGAAAACAACAAAAAAGACAAATTATCCAATAAAGTTCAGTATGTTAGGCATCTTTTAGGCATCTTCTTTTAGCCTTCTATCTCATTTTGTTCCACTGCCCGCCACTCACCCACCCTAAAAAATAAAAATAAAAATAATCTCATGGTTACAGTTTTAAAGTTTTATGGAGCCTAAACAATCCTTATAACAGTTTCAAATATTGACCTTTGTCACTGTGGTTTGAAACAGCAAGGCCGTTCCTCAATGCCAGAGCATGATGAAATATTGTCTTCCTTGGCTTCACATCTGGTTCTCCAAGTTCAGAATCAAATTTATTCAACAGATTTTATTTAATAAAAATAATATCTTATTTTCCAGGTATTTTGGAAAATATCTGCATTTGGGATTTATTCTAAGTTAGTAGGTTTTTATTTTACTGATTTTTTTTATTTTTATGGGTACATAGTGGGTATATATATATATGGAGTTAAGGAAATATTCGTATACAGGCATACACTTAACATAATGATAATGTTTTAAGATTTAAATAATTTAAGATTCATAATGATCATATTTTGCAAAATAAGATATTATCGCATAAAATTGGGGTAAAAATAACATTTTACTTATTCTGATTATGATCTTATTTGATCACAAAGTAAGAAGGCAAGTAGGAGAGGTATCTAAGCACAGAACTATCAAGAGATTTGTCTAGTAGGAAAGTCAGAAAATAAGGACTGGACATGAACACAGGCTTTCTACATCTAAATTGTTTTTCTATCAAATTGTATGGGAAAAGCAGAAAAAGGTTCCCAATGTCAGATGAGAACTTTATGTCCTTCTCTGGTCCCTAGGACACATCTTGGAATTATTTGGTGAAATGTTGTCAACATACATCTTCAAATGTGAAATATGTATGAAACACTATGCAAGTCATTGAGCAGGGAGGGAGTGTTATTCACAACTATGATTTCAGGTGATTCCTGACCTCTGGGAGTGCACCATCTCATGGTGGAAAATTTGCTGTAATGTGTAATACAAAACAATAAGTTTATATTAGGCTTCTGATGTAAGAGCTTTGGAAACTCAGTATAAGGGGTGGCTATAAGAGATGTGAAAGTTGAGAAGAAATCACAGCATAGATGGTATTTAAATTATGTCTTAAAGGATGAGGAGGATTTTTTTGATGCTGAAGAAGAAAAGTATGGGGAGATCCAAGGGAAAGAATTGAACATAAACAGTGTATACAGGGGCACAAAGGGATCTGAAGGCTTATAATTTTTAATGGCAGCATCTTGATAATTTAGTGTCTCTAAGTGGTAGTTGAAAAAATATCTTTTGAGATTTGCTCAATAGATGCTTCAGTTAACTGTGAAAAAGTTACACAACACAAATAAACTGAAAACCCAAAAAGGATTAGGGAACTCAGAATTTATTAGAATGTTTCCATTGTGAATTCTTTGTAAAGAAAAAACTGATTTCTAAAATAAACAAACATATTCTCTCCCACGGCCATGTGCAGTTTGTTGCCTCTGCAAATTCAGTTTCATGTAGCAGGATTTTATAAAGAGAAAGCAGTAACAATATCTCTGAGGTAAACGGAAAGCAGCACACAACCAATTCCTTCCACCTCAGTGAATTAGGAAAGCAGGTAGGAAGTTGAGCCTTTATCTGATGAATTAAATCAAGGCAAGCAACCAAGTGCATCATTCATGTCCCACAGCCTCTGTATTTTACTTCATTAGCAGAACTTTGAGTCTGACAAAGCTCAACAATTGTCACATCGTGGCCATGCGTTATCCTAACCCTGTGGACTGTAAGGCAAAAGAAACAAAATAAACAAGGGGAAAGCAAAAAGATTTTAAGATTCCAGGGCCTTCTGTTCTCACCCTTAATTGTTACCACCTCAGTTGTACTGCAGACCATCACTCACTGCAATACTGTCAGGAAGCATTAGCCAAGAGGTCTAAATAAGGCTCAGTAAAAGAGTAAATTGGTATCTACTCACTCAAATAATGATTGAAAACAGAATTCAGGCGAAAGGCTTTGATTGACAACATCTCCAAGATTATATGCACTCTGTAGATTTTAAATTGATGAAAGAGAGTTTCTACAGCTCTACATGAGTACTATATGATATGTCTGCCCCATCTATGACTGGAGATGAACGAGCATGTAATAATCCCTCAATGAGCCCACATGTTGCTGAGCTCTTTACGTTCACGCATTTGCTTTGGTGTTTTGCTGGCTGATGGTCTGTCACATTCCCTTGCCTTACTATACCCCTCACCCTGCCTTGATCTTGTGAGGAAGGCTTTACTGTCTGCGTTTTATAAGTGAGAAAACTGAGGTACACACACACACACACACACACACGTAATATGGCCCAAGGCACATAGATATTAAATGATGAACCTAATGTGCCTACATATGGATGTCTAAGTTCGATGTTTACATTATTTTTATTTTCTCACCTGAAAGTTTTTATTTTTTGAAGACATGATACAGTGAACCTGAGTTCTAACTTCAGCTGCATTTTTTTTTTTTTTGAGATGGAGTCTCGTTCTATCACTCAGGCTGGAGTGCACTGGTGCAATCTCGGCTCACTGCAAGCTCTGCCTCCTGGGTTCACACCATTATCCTGCCTCAGCCTCCCCGAATAACTGGGACTACAGTCACCCGCCACCATGCCCGGTTAATTTTTTTTTTTTTTTTTGTATTTTTAGTAGAGACGGGGTATCACCGTGTTAGCCAGGATGGTCTCGATCTCCTGACCTCGTCATCCACCCGCCTCGGACTTCCAAAGGGCTGGGGTTACAGGCGTGAGCCACTGCACCCGGCCACATTTTCATGCATGTATTTTAAACATCACACAAAATCGTCTATATGAAAATATTTTAATATTTTTAATTTTCTACACAAACAACGGAGAGTGCTACGCTTATTAGATGGGGTAGTGAGTGGCATGAGGAGCTCTGACTAAACAATTTAGCATGGAGGTGCCAAAGACTGGTTTGTTCTTGTCTATTCAGAGACCCCTGGGGGCCTCAACCACATAGAGAGAAGGTGACAATTCCTTTCAACTTGAGAAAACCAAGTAACCCAGTAATTATAGGAATTTATTGAAACCTGGGATCATGCAAACAAAGAAAGTAAACAGGGTGCTGAGTAAACCATACCGATTTTTGAAATTAGGTGCTGATTTGCTTAGGGAAGCATACTTTCTTTAAACATATACATTTTGGAATAATTAATAGAAACTGACAAAAGAGTGTTTGTGTGTGTATGCGTGCACGCACGCGTGCACGCCTAGACCTGTGAAAAGCCCACAGATATGACCAAGAATTAGACACAGCCTCTGCCCTGTCCACCAGGGTAACAAACAAGATGTATAAACAGACTTGTGAGGCAATGATAGAGATGCATGGGAGGTATTTTGGAAGCAATGAGAACTATGGCTTAGAAAGATAAAATGACCTACCATACATTGTTCAGCTGTTCATCTGTAGCGTTGGGACTAGAGTCTCCTGACTTTCTAGAGCATGAATTTTTCCAATAGGCCATTTTGCCTCCCATAAACCAGCATAAAATCTCACTGGAGATCAACCTGCTGCCTATGACCGATTATTTCTGTGCGTGTGTGTGTTTGCAGTGTGGTGGGATTGCGACTGTACACATTGACAGACGGTGGTCCTCTGTACTGCTCACAGACATGGAAGGTGCACTTTTATCAATGAATCTGGCTATTTGCAAAGCCCATCAATGATATCTACTCAATCACTTGGGCTTTCCTCATAAATAAATACCAGCTTTCTGGTGACCCTGACCAAACAGTGCTACCTGTCCTTCTCATTGCTCAGCAGGGACCAGCTAAGTGCCATTGCTAGTCACTCTGCCAGACCATCATTTCTGCCCTTTCTGCCTACTATAATTCTACTTCAGCTAACACCACAGCTTCAGCGTGAGAGTATTGATAGTTCTGGTCCCCAAATACTCCAAGCATTTCAGCATCCTGCCACTGCCATGTGTATTGGGCAGATAGAAACCTGATTCTTCCTAAAGTATGCATGAAGGATGTAAAGCCGAAGGGGGAGTGGGGGACTGGGGCCTCCCTGGAGATGTTGCATTGAAAAGGAAATCAGAGAGAAAACTATATTTGCAGTCCCAGGAAAAAATCTTTAATTGAACTGAAATGAGATAGTGTAGATAATTTGTGGTCTTACAATGGAACGCCGAATAAAGATTTTTAACAATTATAGTTAGAGAAGTTGTGGTGGTGGTGGATGAGGGAAGTTCTTTATCAGAAGATTTCTTGTATATGTGAAAATCAATGTTTGGGTAGTCACTTATTGAATGAATCAGAAGTCCTTAGACACTTTACCAGTTCACATTTCCTCTTAATATGCTTTAAAATGAGCAATAAAGTGTGTGTTTGTGTTCATAAATCTGCGTGCATTCACAAAAGAGGAATGTTTCTTGTTTTGTCCAAACTATTATTCTTTCAATTTCTTCCTGCAATGAATGGCAAAATAAAAGTGAACACTTCTGAGTTTTGCATATACCTGACCCTGTTCAAAATGCACTAAATATGTTAATTTATTAAGTCTCACTAAACCCAGAAGTGTGGGTGTGGTTAATATCTCTAATTAATAGATGAGAACAATAAAGCTTGAAGATGGTGAGTAATTCACTCAGGAACCCAGAGCCTGAGGTGACTATGCAGGACTCAACCACTGCCAGAGCTGAGGCCCTTAACCACTGTCCACTGTGCTCGTTACCATATATTATTTTGATCAACCTTCAATCTGTAGAATGAAGCCCTACCATAGAAGTGATGACAGAATAATGTGAACTGGGGGTTTGGGTAACCCAGGAAATCCATATTTGTCTTTTCTCATCTGTAAAATGGGGATGACAATAATAACTACTGTAACGGTTCATACTCAGAATATTAATTACATAGCCTGGCACAAACTGTGGGACAAAGTTTATAACGTAAATGGATAGCTTTGTTTTTATTTATTTACCCTTAACAACACTTGACGTTGCACAGGTCACTTAAGCTCTTTGAGTCTCCCTTTTCCTCATTAAGGGCTTTAATTAAAATATCCTCAGAGAATTGCTGGGTAGATGACATTGGAAAATACTAAATAAAAACTATAGATTATATTGCCCAATATTACACCTTCATTAAAACTGCTCATTCCCTCCCTCCCTCCCTCCCTTTCTTCCTCCCTTCCTCCCTTCCTCTCTTCCTCCCTTCCTCCCTTCCTTTTTTTGTTCCTTCCTTCCATGCCTCCACCTAAGGCAGTTTACCTCTGTAACATAGGGAAGAGTAGTGACACATATTTCAGATAGGTCCTAGGAAAATACAATTTGGGTTGAATATTGTAAAACTGCCATTGTATATGCACCTGCTCTATTCTTGTTCTTGCTCTCTAGATCCTTATATTGATTAGTTTCTGCTTTGGTCTCCTGAGTGGTAATTTCAGTGACAGTAATAAAAGTAGTTTACTAGTTACCTTAGTAAACAATCCCTTTATTCATCCTAATTGACCCATACCACACACAAACACACACACACACACACAAACACACACACACACACACACACACACACACAGCACACTGCCTGTTAGAGAAAGGACTGGAGGACAATTGCCTGCTACAATAGCCCACAAAGGGCCTGATTAGAGGGGCTATGGCTTTTAACAGAGCATGCCTCTGCTTGAATCCAGACTGAAATTAATTTTTCCAATTTGTGTATTGTTTTAATAAATTTTGAGTAATATGACATGTCTTCCATTCTCCATAGTAGCAACACTGAACATTTAAAGGGAAAGAGTCATATTTAATGGTTGCAGGAAAAGCTAATAATAAGCTACATGGATACAGATTTTTGTTTAATTGAAGAAATCAGGCTCTTTATTTGGTAGCAAAAGGGCACATCTTTTATTTGAAATTGTAAAAACTTCAGCTAATTGGTTCCTGCCTATTATATTTATTTATTTATTTATTTACTGTTTAGAAATATTTCATACTTTATTCCAATATAATTATCTTAGGACTGAAATCAGTGGAAAAATATTAGGGATTTTATATTGGCAAATTCTGAGTAACAGAAGTCTGGAATACCTCAGCATCTTTTTTTTTCCCTTTCATTTTTAGTTGACAAGTAATAATCATATGTATTTATGTGTTATTTTCATAGGTGTATACAATGTATAATGATCAAATAATGGTAATTAGGATATCTATCACCTCAAACATTTATTACTTCTTTGTGCTGTGAACATTAAAATCCTCTCTAACTTTTTGAAAATACACAATAAATTATAGCCAACCACATTCATTATATAGCGCTGTGGAACACCAGAACTCATTCCTCCCATCTAGCTGTGATTTTGTATCTGTTAACCAAACTCTCCCCATCCTACCCTCCCTCTCTCTTCCCAGCCTCTAATGACCACAGTTCTACTTCTATATCAACTTTTTTAGATTTCATTTACAAGTGAGAACTTTTGGTATTTATCTTTCTATGCCTGATTTAGTTTACTTAACGTTATGTCCTCCAGGTTCATCCATGTTGTGGCAAATGACAGGATTTCATTCTTTTTTCATGTCTGAATAGCATTCCATTGTGTATGTATATGACATTTCCTTTATCCATTTATCTGTTGATGGGCGTTCCGTTGTATTCCATATCTCAGTTACTGTGCGTAGTGGTGCAATAAACTTGGGGGTGTAGGTATCCTTTTGATATACTGACTCCTTTTTCTTTAGATAAATACCCAGTAGTGGGATTTCTTCTATCATCTTTTAAACCCCCATATCCCACTCTTACCTGCTCTTCATACCACTTCATACCACCGTCCTGAAATACCATTTTGATTCTTCTCCTCCCCAAACAACTAAGATATCTTACTTTATTCCAACACCGTCATTTTAGAATTGAAATAGACCCAGACATGTCCTTCCATCACTGTCATCTACCTTCTAGACAAACTATTTTACTTTTTGTTCCCCAATCACGAAGTTATTTTAAAATAAGCTCTCTCCTCCTTTCCCTCAATTTGTTCGATTTGATCTGTCCTTTCAGATTCTGCACAAATACTTCTTGCTCTTTAATATCTTCCCTGTCTACTCCAGTCTAATATCTTCTCTCTTCTTTATAACACTTAAAATTCTTTCTGATTATTATCCCTTCCAATAACTATTTACAGTTACACAGTTTCTTTGAGCATCTGGCTTGTGGTCTTAAGATGTTATTTAAAGTTTGAATTTGTATTTAATTTGTTATCTCTTTATGTTTAATTTTCCTGTTTTAATAGCAAATTCATGAGGAGTAGGAAATAGATTTTATATTGTCTTTCTTTTCCCGTGATACTTATGGGAGTAAATCTTCAAAAATATTTATAAACATAATACCCTTTTTCATCTTTGAGGAAATTCAGAAAGTAAGACACCGGGCATATGTAGTAAAATAAAACTAAGCAATATTCTAAAAGTTCACAATAGAGCCATGAATAATAGAGAAAGAAACTGGTACCAAGAGAGAAGTGGCAGGTATGTAAGTATAGGGTAAGGGTGTGGCTTGGGAACAACCTAGACTCAGGCCAGCATTAACAATCTTTGGTGACCATGGATTTGAAGGCCAATAAGCCCACACAGTGTTTAGGATGTTCAGAAACACAAATAGACCACAGGAAGTTTGTCCATCAAAACATGGCAGATAGTCACAAACAATTAAGATATAAATGCTGAGTTAAGGGCCGGGCGCAGTGGCTCACGTCCATAATCCCAGCGCTTTGGGAGGCCGAGGTGGGCAGATCACTTGAGGCCAGGAGTCCGAGACCAGCCTGGCCAACATGGTGAAGCCCCATCTCTACTAAAAATACAAAAATTATCCGGCTCTGGTGGTGCACTCCTGTAGTCCCAGCTACTCAGGAAGCTGAGGCATGAGAATCGCTTGAACCCGGGAGGCGAAGGTTGCAGTGAGCCGAGATCATGCCACTGCACACCAGCCTGGGCAACAGAGCGAGACTTTGTCTCCAAAGAGAAAAATAATAAATAAATAAATAAATGCTGAATTAAAAAAAACTGAGCATGCACCAGCAGACAGAATCAGAAGCAGTGTACACATTCCTTGAAAGCAAAAGATTAGGATAACTGACATATGAAACCATGAAAATAGCTCATGTTTTATTTCCGAAACCTTTTTCCACCGCACACCAGAACTGTGGACTACTCTCCGGAAAAAAAAAAAAAAAAAAAAAAAGGGTTTCCTGAGGGTTGGAGTGAGGAGGAGAAAAGAAAGTATTTTATAAAATGTTATAAGAAGATCTCAGCAAATAAGACTTCAGAACATTGTTTACCCCCATGGTTCTAAGTTCAGAATGTTTACTAACATAACAAAGAACAATTGTTTCTTGGTCAACACTAAGAAAAACTGAGGTAGATTGTAGTTGCAACACTGAATTCTGAATTAGCCACATGTTTCCACATATGTTTCCTGGGAGGGTAAAAATCATTCTGCATAAGATTTAATTTTAATTTTGATAAGAGGAAATCCTAAGAAGAGAAGACCATAGAATCTCAAATAGGACTAGATTCAAATCAAAGCATCACTTCTCCCTGATGTCAGGAAGCTGTAAAATCAAGAAGGCAAAACTTATTTCATGGGCAAAGTTGTTGCCGTTATTAGAAAACAAACAAAACAACAAAATGAAAAGCAAATAAACATACAGAAAACAACTTTACTATCTAGGATTAAAAGTTTTTCCTTCCTATTTTGTCTATTTTTTGTTTAGCTAGCTACCCACTCTTTTCTACTTGCTCCGTCTTAATGAATGAGCTTAAACGATCTAATATCAGCTTTCACACTTTCTTTAGAGCCACCCCACAAAAGCCTTTAATATTTTTTCTGCCCTTAAAAAAATTTGCCTTCCACTTCATCACAGAAAAGCAAATTGAAAACATTTTTACCTAAAATACTTTGCTATGACAGGAATACAAGTGGTCTGCCATTCTTAGCTTATTTATATATTTTCTGAATGTAATTCTGAGACAGCCTGGCATGTTTGAAACAGCATGGACTTTGAAGAGGGACAGGCATGCATTGAAATTCAGTTCTCCCACTAATTAATCAAGTGACTTTGCTGATTCTTCCTCTTCTTCTAGATCTCTTAATGTTGCACGACACAGGGCTTCTTCTCATTTTAATTTCCTATGGTATTTTATCCAGTCACATGGCTTCAGTATAATTTATATACCTTTATGTCTTTGTATTAAATTAAATTTTTATCTAGATAACATTTATATCTAAATTTATGTCTGGATAATTAGACATAATTAAAATGACAAAAATTTAAAAAGACTACACTGCTAACGAAGAGATAGGGCATAATGAGAGTAAGAATTCATACAGCCACTGTACAAAATAATTTGACACTTGGTACCAAGATGAAGAAATATGTAACTTGATCAGATGGTTTAGCAATTCTACTCTTAGCTATATATACTCAACAGAATTTAACATACGTATGAACAAAGAGGCATGGTTAAAATGTTTACAATGGCATTATTCCTAATAGTCCTCAATTAAAAGTCTACATGTTCATTACTATAAGTGAATCGTGTTAGAATTTATATATAGATATATATATATACACACACATACATTATACACAGACAGAAAATATATATATGTGCACATATTTATGTGTGAATACAAACACACACACATATATGTCTGTGCATGTGTGTGTATATACACACACATACACACACAAAAGGAAAAGATCACCTACGTAGTCTCCTTTCAAGGAAGGGAGAAGGCAGTGATGGCACTGGGGGATTCTGAAGTCCAGAAATGCAGACTAAAATTCCCCAAAACTAAACCACCGATCTTCTTTTCAAACTTGTTTACCCCCAGCCTCCCTCATATCAATTGATAGCAACTCCATCTTTCCAATTGTGCAGGTCCAAAACATTGGCCTGATGCTTTACTCCTCTTTCCTTCATACTTCCACATCCAGTTCATAAGTAATTTCCTTGGTTTTGTCTTCTATGTATATCCAGAGGTGTCCTTTTTTCAAAACTCAGTTGTGAATTGAATTCTAACTTACCATCCTCTTTTTCCTGTATCTATAGTTTTGCACTAGCCCTTCTCCATGTTTCAATTGTCTCCTACAATTTATTAACACAGCAGCTAGAGTGGTCCTTTTAAGCTACAAGTCAGATTTGTCATTACTGTGCTTTAAACTCTACCATGGCTCTTGTTTCACTCACAGCACTTTTAACAGCCAATGTCACTTCTGTGATCTCATGTCCTACTAACCTCCCTCTTGCTCTCTCTACTTCAGAAATATCAGCTTCCATGCTGTTCCTAAAATATGCCAGACAGGCACACTTCCCTTTTAGGGTCTTTGTGTTAGCTTTTTCCTCTGCCTGGGATACTTTTCTCCAGATATCTGCTTGGCTTACTCTATCTTTTTCAAGCATCTCTCTCCTATTGTCGCATCAATGGACCTGTCCGCACCAGCCTATTCTATTGAAAAACCTCACCTTTCTACCACATCCAAATCTCCGTTTCTTTGGTCCACTTTTTCTTTCTATAGCACCTATTGCTTTCCAATGTAATAACTGATTATGTTACTAGTTATTGTTGGCCTTCCCCAACACTAGAATATCTGTTTTATTCTCCCAACTGCCTAGTGAATAAATGAAATAAAGTTACCTAAACTTGTGAAGCTTCAATGTATTTATCTCTAAAGTATGGAAAATAATACCAGCCTTGCCAGTGGGTTGTGAGATTCAGGGCTGCAGCAGTAGAGATGAGAAGTGATAAGACTCTAGTTATATTTTGAAAGAAATGCCAAAAGCATTTAGTGATTGATAGGAGAGCGTTGGGGCCTAAGCCAAAAATGATTTTGCCATCAATTGAAATGGATTATTCTATGCAAATTTGTCAGAAAAAAACCCTGCAAGATTGTGATTTTAATGTTATGCAGCAAAAGAGAGCATACATGGCTCTTGATATTATAGAGAGACAAAATACACAAATACACATGTGTTTATGATCTTCTGATGCTTATACTCCCATTGAGTTTAAGACTTTTTGAAACAGAACCTATGCTGTAGGGGAAATATGAAGATTAAATTTAATAATCCAAATAAACAAGTGTCATCTGTATATAGGTATTTGATAAATGTCTGAAGTTATTATTTTTTATTATATTAACAAAAAGACTGATAGTTTATATTAATAAAATGACTGACAGTTAAGGTGAGGAAGAAATACATTAATATATACAAGATTAAAAATGCAAACTTACGTTACTTAATGTAATGTTCATTTCTAAATGAAAGGGGAGTAAATAAAAACTTGCTTATAGATCATTATAACCTTGGAAATCACACTCTGTTAAGGAGGTTTAAACTGAATCATTCATTCATTTAATATGCAGTATAGATGTATTGAGTTCTATAGCTTTCCAGCCATCATTCTGGATGCTAGAGTCATAGAACTAGCCTGAGCCCACACCTTCAGAAAGGCAAAGAGAGACAAATGATAAGGAAATTACAATTACCAAAGCATCAAAGCTGATCTTGTTAGTGCTCTTTTTTCTGATTATCTTTTCCAAATAAATTTGTTATATATGATTTACCTAGAACCAAAATAGAAAATCAGAAAAGTTCATCTCCCCTTTCCTTAAAATCATATGCCAACAGCATGGAGGTTTTCTTAGGAGCATAGGCCAGATGTTGCCATCCTGTTTCTCTATGTCATCCCAAATATTGACATGACTGTTCATTCCTCTGAGGCTGGGTTTGTTTCGTATAGTATGTGCTTAAAAGTAAAGATTTGAGATCTTGCTACCAGCATTTAAATCCTGGTCCATTCCTTCAGTAATGTTGTGATCATGGGCATATCACTCAGCATCTTTGAATCTTGGTTTTCTTGTCTGTCAAATGGGGTTGATAGTACAGTGGCCTTCCAATGAATTAATGAATAGGCTTCCAATGAATTCTTATAAATAAAATCCTGAAAACAGTACCTGGCACTTCCTCATAAGCACTAGTTATTGTTGTCGTGGTTGTTATTGTTGCTATTGTTATTGTAACTATTATGTCGTTACAAAAAACCCTATTCTGTCCTACCCAGGCTGACAATTATGTTTTCTCCATTTTTCTCTAAGACTGAGATGACTTTATTCTCCCTTACTTCAATAAAAGCATTTATTATTTACATCCCTGTGTGTTACAACTATTCTCTCTTTATCTAGGGTGAAAAGATTCATGCAATCCTGAGCAAATGGGCTTAGAAGGAGGGGAACCAAAGGCTGCTTTTGCTAATGATTTTCTGGGAAAAAAGTGGCTTCTGATTTCTAAACCCCTGGTTCTTCCCAGAAAGGAAGACACATGTTTCTGCCATTTTTGAAAACTCTGACCATAAAAGATTATCACCTAGAATCGTTCTGATCCCTTAGAAAAGGACTTTCTAATACAACTTCCAACACTGCAAGTTTCTCATGCAGAAAACCTTTAGAAACAAGTGAATTCAAAAGAGAATTTAAGGAACCAGGTTATAGCTTCAGTATTTTGTTCAATTTGAGCTTATCCTGGAAAGTGACATATTTTACATCTCTTTGAGCTGCTCCCCATCACTCCCATCATGTGCTATCATTTTTAATTTTCAAGTTTTATAGCTAGCACTTTAGCTACACCAGCTAATATCTAGCTAACTAATAAGGTCCTCTGCTTCCACCTTTATTGATTAATCATCTGTTGGAGTTTTTAATATCCATTTGTGTTTAATTTGCTGATATTAAAAAATGCCTCTTTCCTGAAAGTGATGGATGGTCTTCCAAAGGACAGGACTTTGGTTATGATTTATGTAACGGCAAGTTCACTGGAGCCTGGCTGGAAAACTACCCTTGGAGATCATTGTAATAAAGAGCTCTGTAGCGACACTTTTCAGGTCTTTAAAAGCTGTCTGGTGGATAAAGTTTTCTTTTTATTCGGATTTCTATGTAGACCTTCTAGAATCAGCCTCAAGTAAAACTCAGCCAATGGGAGTTATTGTTTTCTTATACAAACACTTTGTTCCAGACAAAAGGAACTTTTCATTGTCTCCCAAGTATACCTTATGTCTCTATATGTAACTTTTGCATAAGATATCCTACTCTTTTCCAATAGCTTTCTGGAATCTTCTCTGCTTATTTTAATTTCACTTATTCTTCAAGAACTAAGAGGTAAATATCCAAACCCACAGTAATTTATTCTCCCTCTCAGTATTTCTACTTTTCGCTGTCTTTGCTATTTATTTAACATTTAACATATTCGGATTTGTATATTTAACCTCCTCTGTGTATGTCCTGTCTTTTCTCTATAATATAAACTCTATAAGTTAAGTTTTATATGCTCTATACTCTATGCCAGTACTTCTCAAATTGTCGCTCCCTGGTCCTCAGCAGCTACAGCATCTGGGAACCTGTTAGAAATACAAATGCTCACACCACATTTCAGATCTACAAAATCACAAACTCTAAGGGGTGTTTTCAAACCTCCCCATATAATTATATTGTATAGCAGTTTGAGAATCCCTAGTCTACATGATGCTGCTTTCTCTCTTTCTCATGATAGCAAGGGCTCAGGATACATGGGACACTTGCATATTTGTTAGTTAAAATTAGTTTCTTCTAATTCTAAACTACAGCTAACACCCTTTGGATAGGATCAAAGACACACCTCTTTCTAAGAATGAAGCTCTTTATCCCTTCATTACATTTTTCTCTCAGTCCATTAGATTTTGTTTTTAGCATAGTACTTTCCCAAAGAACTCAAAATTTACTTATTCAAGAAACTGTGGCATAAATGATTTTATCAATCATGTTGAGTAATTTCCCTAGAATTTTAGTTTTATATAACTTTTTGAGTATGAATTTCTTGATACATATTAAAAAAATAACCTAGAAAGGTTGAGAATAAAACAAACACTTGTGAACCCCCACCACTCAACTTAGTGGGTAATTATAGTTGTTTTATTAAATATATTTAATCACCAAACAAACATACTAACATGATTTTAAAACCATTTTAGATATTATTGTAGGCTGATAAAAGAGAAATGTGAAAGCAAGAGTATCTCTCTAGCAGTCACCAAAACATAATATGTTAATAATCTGTTCCCATATATCTGCTAGTATGTGTCTTTGAATGTTACAGGCAATATAAATACATATTTTCTCCTGAAATGAAATTTTCCATGTTAAAAATAATCTTCTGTGATATTATACACATGGTGTACTCTTCTTGAAATGTAGACTCATTTTTAGAGTCTACACCCCTCTAAATCTCAAAGGATACTGTTTAATAACCTGACAAGGAAGACGATAGTTTCCAGCTACATTCTATGAATTACTACCATTTGGACCAGAGAAATTCAGATAGGCAAAATTTTAAAGTTTCATTCAATTCATCTGTGTCTGGTGTGCTGGTGCTAATCTAGACCATCTTCATTAGAATATGTGCTTTCGTGGATTTCTTAACAGACTCTCAGGAAATACTTGTTTACAAGTTGGGATTTATATTCACTCCTCTGTTTCCTTCCTTCCTTTTTCTACTCCAATGTGAAATAGTCTCACTTTTCCGGATTGTTCTGCTTCTTGAACATGTGCTATACAAGTGTTTTTTTCTTCTAATTATTAACACCTTTGCAAAGTTTTAATTACTGTAAGTGTAGACATTACTGTGTATAAATTACTACTGTCTCCTAGTAAGCCAGGATCTTTCAGTAGCGAGCTGAGTGACCAACCTCTCTTGACTTTATATTCCCCACCTTTAATATTAGTGTAAAGGAAGAAAGTAGATTTTTTAACATCCATATTCTGTACATAAGTATTTCCAGATATAATAGTGTTAAATATCTTGTCTAATCAAATTATCATGTCATTTGAGTTAATACTTAGAATCTGCATTTGTTGCTCAACTGATCAAATCAGCGAGTGCAGTTATACTGCAGATAAGTAAGTGGATAGGTATTAAAGATATAATCCTATGCCATTTGTCTTTAGATACAATGATTACATTGAATTTAAAATTAAGTTTACTTTTTTACACAAGATCAAGTAATTTAAATAAATTTTCTCCCAAGTAGTGAGTTTTAAATTTATTTTGTGTACTTGTCTATGTTTTATTTTTATTTTTTTATTGAACTTTAAGTTCTAGGGTACATGTGCACAACGTACAGGTTTGTACATAGGTATACATGTGCCATGTTGGTTTGCTGCATCCATCAACTCGTCATTTTTTAACCCCATCAAAAAATGGGCAAAACATATGAATAGACACTTCTCAAAAGAAGACATTCGTGCAGCCAACAGACACATGGAAAAATGCTCATCATCACCGGTCATCAGAGAAATGCAAATCAAAACCACAATGAGATAACATCTCACGCCAATTAGAATGATGATCATTAAAAAGTCAGGAAAGAACAGATGCTGTAGAGGATGTGGAGAAATAGGAACGCTTTTACACTGTTCGTGGGAGTGTAAATTAGTTCAACCATTGTGGAGGACAGTGTGGCTATTCCTCAAGGATCTAGAACTAGAAATACCATTTGACCCAGCCATCCCATTACTGGGTATATATCCAAAGGATTGTAAATCATGCTACTATAAAGACACATGCACACGTATGTTTATTGCAGCACAATTCACAATAGCAAAGACTTGGAAGCAACCCAAATGTCTGTCAATGATAGAATGGATTAAGAAAATGTGGTAGATATACACAATGGAATTCTATGCAGCCATAAAAAAAAAATGAGTTCGTGTCCTTTGCAGGGACATGGATGAAGCTGGAAACCATCATTCTCAGCAAACTATCACAAGGACAGAAAACCAAACACCACATGTTCTCACTCATAGGTGGGAATTGAACAATGAGAACACTTGTCTATGTTTTAAAACAATGTACCACCTCAGGTTTCTAATGGATGGAAACAACAGTTTAATTTATGTCTAATATTTTGACTTATTTTCATTCTTAATTCCTTGATGTCATCTTTTCATATATCATTCCATAATATCTACATTCATTCTATTAATTAATTTTGAAGTCTTTCTACAAACAAATTGGGCCTATTCTCAATACAATTTCCCTGAATACATTTTCCCGTGAAACTCAATGCCATTTTCTGTATCATAAAAATCCTGTTTCCTTGAAAGTCTTTTTTAACCCTTCTAATGTCAATTCACTGAATTCAAAGTAATTAACAATCCATGATGCTATCAAGAACCAGCTAAAAGAAAATATATAGACAATGTATGACCACTGATCCACATTATGAGATGATTAAAAGCAAGAGAGAGGTGGATTTGAAGCTAATCTATAAGCACGGATTTCATTTCCATCTCCAAGTCAGATTTTGCAAATACCTATCTTCTACAATGCTACTTCTATTATATTCAATGTTATGAATAGAAATAATTATTTAATTTCTCTTTGGTTTCCCTTGATCTTCTGTATCTTCCATCAGAGCCATGCCGAATCATATTGGAGCCTGAGGCAAAGTGAAAAAAAAAAAAAAAAACAAAAAAAACCCACTAATACCAATTTTGAAATGTTCTTCATGGATTTTTGCATAAATTTTGAATTTTTAAATATTTACTAAAAGTAATTTTTCTAGATTATTGAATTTTTGGTGCTTGCTCCCCTGCTCCTCTCTCCAAATTCTGTGCCTGCCTTACCCCAGTTCCAGTCCTGGCTTTCATTTTCAACTTTGCTTTGCACATATGTTTCTTATGCAATCCAAACCTTGGTAGCTCATCTTGCATAAACTATTTTAATATAATATGGAAATGTGAAGATAGTGTGGTGATGGTGAATTTTAGCATTTCTGCAAGTCAGTGTCAGTACTGACCGGAGAGGCACAACAGTTTTCACGACCTTCACCAGTTCCCCAGTTGTCTCTGGATCCTACACCTCCCAGCAACCAAAATGCTGGAATTAGCTCATTTCTTCTCTTTTTCACTGACCTCACAGAGAACTGACTCTTTGGAAATTTCAACTCAGAAGAAAGCATTACCTTCTACATGCTGATAGGTTTCATCACCTCCAGGATATTCATTCTCTAGTTCCCTTATCATATACTTAAATGTGGCTGTTTTGGGGAAGCAAATCTCCCAACAACCTCCAGTTACAAAAAACAAAGGGGGAATAAATAAAAGAACTAGGTCTATAACAATAAATTGCTGATAGTAATAAACATTTTAAAAAACACATTTCCCTGAAATGTAGCTGAAGTAAGTGTGATTTTTGCTACAGAAAATCAGGAAAGCACATTTCCATCTCCTCAATGAAAACTAGCTGTTAGGCTTTGCCATTGATAGTAGGGAGGGAGGTACAGCCCACTCCAATAGACTCAGGGAAATGAGCATTTTTCCTTGACTGACAGTGACACAATTTAACAAGAAATACCACAGTAGCCTTCAATACTTTAGGGCTCTATTTTCTCATTTAAAAAGCGAAAGCACTGAATTAGTTTAACTCAAGATGTTTTCCAGCTCTTAAATAAATTCTCCCACTTACTCACATATTCTTTTTCAAGAAGTTTCTCTGTTTGACTCAATGCTAATAAAATGAGTGTTAGTGGTTTTACTCTGTAATTTTATTCTTTAAAACAATTACGATAGCTATTGTGTAGAAATTATAACCCTGCTTACATATAAGAATATACTATGCATTTGTCAAAGCTCGTATTAGCTAATATGTAGTGATAAAAATAACATTATTTAACGTGTAACTTTTACTAACAAAAAGACAGAAACTTCCCCTGACTATTCCAGACTGGCCCAAGAGAGGCAAAATAAGAGACCGTTTATAGAACCTACGTTTCAGCCATGATTTCTTGCTTTAATAATATTATGTTGCTTGCAATTACATAATACTCTCTTGCCTCACTGTCATTCTTTCAACATTTACTTGATATTGAGAAACTGTTTTGACGTAAAATGCTGCCTTCAAGCTGAGCTTCTGTCTCGATAACAGTTAATATGGGGCTCCTATTGGCAACCATGGTCCTCTCAGTTTGTAATCACATTGGTTTTTGATCTGAAGAAGGACTTAGTATGTCTTTGAAATGCTCCTAGAATATCCTCAGTTAATCTTGAGACTGTATTTAAGTTTCACAAACTCAAAAACACACCCCATATTCAGTGAGAATCTATTCTGCTATTTTCATATGAAGAGATGACAAACTTGATTTTAGTTAAATAGATTTTAGGGAATAAAAGCATTTTTCACACAAAGTAGTCTTAAGATATTCAAACCTCGTAATTTTGTGACCTGGTCAGGCAGGTATGATTACTCCATTTTTAAAAGGAAAAAACAAATCTTTGATTTTGGCTATTGCAAATGTGCTAGAGCGTGAGCTTTCTAACTCCATAAGCCTCTCTTTTGGAGATTACAGAGTCAGAGCTCTACAGAGTCCTTGCTAAAAGCATGTTTCCTGGGGAGAGGTAACTGCATGGGCATCTACAATCTAAAGAATCACTCTCTGGATCCTCTGATAATTTTTCCAAGGTGGTAGAGGTCCCGGTATGTTGGAAAGTAGGACTATTTTTCATAATGTGTTTGCATGTGATGTCATCAAAAGAAGAGTTCTGTTATCTGTTTTGACCACAGTTACCGTTAAAATTATCCATAAAATAATATATATGGAATGATAAATGACTTAGCATATAATTATTTTGAATTCTTTCAAAACTTGAAATCATTTTACTTAGATATGTGTAGATAGTGCTTAAAAACCTAGATGTAGCTAAGGCCAAGGAAAAATGGACACATCAGATGTTTTTTAAATATTGCTAAAGAAGGAAAGGTTAAATAAAACAGATGAAATCTTCCCTCAATTATTGCAGGCAGAGAAGAGACCAGGAGCATTCAGAATCCTAAATAACGCATAATCCAAAGGTCATCTTTGTCTTTGGAGCATATAATGCAATTTCTTTTGTAGCACATCTTTCTGCTAGGTAACTGAACATCCAATTTTGTTTTAATTTCCGGAGAACAATCCAGTTTAAAGTGAAGGAATCTGAGGCACATGTGGCTCATAGGAAATCAGCCTTGCAGGCCCAGCCACAGCAGAGGGTCCAAATGAAGATAATCATGACATGCTGCTTATGGCCATATTTATCAGAAGCAAGGGGTTTCCAAATGGGGCCATAGTAAAGACCACATTATTCAGCATTTTAATATCACCAGTGCAAATCTATAATCTAAATGTTAGAACTGATGATCAAGCTCCTACCCAAAGATATTAGTGAATCTCATTGGTATTGGCGTGAAAAGCAACAATAAAAACAAAAAATAAAGCATGTCTCTGTCTTAAGATTGCCATTTGTTGTCTAATCTCTACAAGTGAATGTATAAACACTGTGGGGACAACAATTTTATTTTCTTTGTCTTAAATAACAGCACAAAGGCCAATATCTTTATCAAAGTAAGTGTTTGATGTATATACATTAAATAAATAGTAAATGAAATATATAATATATATTAAAATGAATAGTAAATGAAAACACATTCTGTTTATTTACTTTAAAATTCAGGAGGACAAATTTGAAAACTCTAATTTATTTAAAGAATTTTCTTCTTTTTTTCTTCTTATTAACTTTTATTTTAAGTTCAGGGATGTGCAGGTTTGTCATATAGGTAAACTTGTCATACAGATAAACTTGTGTCATGGGGGTTTGCTGTACAGATTATTTCATCCCCCAGATATTACGTCTAGTACCCATTCATTATTTTTTCTGATCCTTTTCCTCCTCCCACCATCCACCCTCCAACAGGCCCCACTGGTGGTATTCCCCTCCATGTGTACACGTGTTCTCATCATTTAGCTCCAACTTATAAGCGAAAACATGCAGTATTTGATTTTCTGTTCCTGCATTAGTTTGCTAAGGATAATGGCCTTAGCAAACTTGCTCCATCCAAGTTCCTGCAAATGACATGATTTTATTCTTTTTTTGGCTGCATAGTATTCCATGGTGTATATGTACCACAATCTCTTTATCCAGTCTACCGTTATTGGACATTTAGATTGATATGTTTTTGATATTGTGAATAGTGCGGTAAGGAACATACATGTGCATGTGTCTCTATAACAGAATGATTTACATTCCTTTGGGTATATAACCAATAATGGGATTGCTGGGTCAAATGGTGTTCTTATGTTTAGGTCTTTGAAGAATTGCCACACTGTCTTCCACATGGCTGAACTATTTACACTTCCATCAACAGCGTATAAGTGTTTCTTTTTCTCCACGACCCCAACAGCCTCTGGTATTTTTTGACTTTCTAGTAATAGCCATTCTGAATGGTGTGAGATGGTATCTCATTGTGATTTTGATTTGCATTTCTCTAATGATCAGTGATGTTGAGCTTTTGTTTATATGATTGTTGGCCACATGTACATCTTCTTTTGAAAAGTGTCTGTTCATGTCCTTTGCCCACTTTTTAATGTTTTTTTGTTTCTTGTAAATTTGTTTAAGTTCTTTGTAGCTTCTATGTCAGATGCATAGTTTGCAAAATTTTTCCTCCATTTTGTAGGTTGTCTGTTCACTCTGTTGATAGTTTCATTTGCTGTGCAGAAGCTGTTTAGTTTAATTAGATTCCACTTGTCAATTTTTGCTTTTGTTGCAATTGCTTTTGGCATCTTCCTCATGAAATTTTTGCCCATTCCTAGGTCCAGGATAGTATTGCCTAGGTTGTCTTCCAAGCTTTTTATAGTTTTGGATGTATATTTAAATCTTTATTCCATCTTGATTTACTTTTTGTATATGAAAGGAAGGGGACCAATTTTTAGCCTTCTGCATGTGGCTGAAGGGAGTACAGAATCCTTTTATTTATTGAGTAGGGAATCCTTCCCTTATTGCTTGTTTTTGTCAGTTTTGCCAAAGATGAGATAGTTGTAAGTATGCAGCCTTATTTCTGGGTTCTCCATGCTGTTTCATTGGTCTATGTGTCTGCTTTTGTACCAGTGCCAATCTGTTTTGGTTACTGTAGCCCTGTAATATAATTTGAAACTGGGTAGCATGACACCTCCAGCTTTATTTTTTTTTTTATTTTTTTTTGCTTAGGATTGTCTTGGCTATTTGAGCTCTTATTGGTTCCATGTAAATTTTATAATAGTTTTTTTTACAAATTGTCTTGGGCAGAGTGGTCATTTTAACTATATTGATTCTTTCTATCCATGACCTTGGAATGTTTTTCCACTTGTTTATGTCATCTCTGATTTCTTTGAGCAGTGTTTTGTAGTTCTCATTGTAGAGATCTTTCACCTTTCTGGTTAGCTGTATTCCTAGGTATTTTATTCTTTTTTATGGCAATTGTGAATGTGATTGTGTTACTGATTTGGCTCTCGGCTTCATTGTTGTTGATTTTCGCACATTGATTTTGTATCCTGAGACTTTGCTGACATTGTTTATCAGGTAAAGAAGTTTTTGGGCTGAGACTATAGGGTTTTCTAGATATAGGATCTTCAAACAGGAGTAGTTTGACTTTCTCCTTATTTGGATGCCCTTTATTTCTTTCTCTTGCCTGATTGCCCTGGCCAGGATTTCCAGCACTACATTCAATAGGAGTGGTGAGAAAGGGCATCGTTATCTTCTGCCAGGAAAACTCTATTTAAAACATACATGTGTACACACACAACTATCTCAAGAACCTTAGATTATTTTTTATTAACTGTATTTTCAGTGAACTCTCAGTTTATATTTTTCCAAAATAATCAATGATAAAAACTTTGCCTCATGTTTTTTCCGTAATTAACACTTTTACATACCTCTCCTTAGATTGCCTCTGTCAAGAACAAATATTGCATAAAGGAGAACATTGAACATAGATATGTTCCAATAAGGTCCCCCTTGGTTGGTAGCTATGGATTCAGTTAATTCACTGTTGCTGCTTTATAACAATCCAAGCAAAGTGGAATGGAGGCCATGAAAATGATGATAAATATGTCAGACCAAATGCACTATGTTCATCAAAGTTCAGCTCAAGTTCAAGAAAATATTTGTGGACAAATTTCATGAATAATTTATTTTGAATTTTGCTGTTAATAAAAGTCATGAAATGATTTAAGATAGAATATTGTGCTACAACTTTGTATATTTTCCTCTCTGTCCTGTTTCTATTCTTGCCCTGAATTACACCAGTTTTTTTACTGTGAGGAAAATTTTATGCAATAGAGGTATCCATAAAAGCCTGCCTCTTATATTCCTCAAGATAGAGACTAAACAAGTTTTCATTTGGCTTCAAGTTTTTACTAAACTATCTTAGTGGACTGCTTATTCATAAAATACAATGTATTAGAAATATTAGAACATTAAAGAACTTGTAATTTGGCTTCATTGTTTCTTACATTCTCTTTTTGTAAATGTTGGGCAACTGCAAAAGTTCCCAGCAAGCCTGCTTCAGATAATGTCATTAATAGTCCCTTAATAACATTTTGAAAGTCTTCAAAGTTTTTTATTCTGCTTTTACATAGTTTCTCTAAGAGAGATTAAAAATGGTGTAGGGAGTAATACGCCTTTCAAAGAGGAGACATCTGAGATATTTTAACAGTTTTGCTCAAGACTATACAGCTATTATGTACAGGAATTGGATTAGACATCAACTCTTCTGATTTTGGGCTACTAGGCTTTGTAATTGTGTCCATACACTAGGCTAATATTAATGAAGTAAAATTATTAAGAAACAACAGACTAACAATAATAGCAAAGATTGAAATTATGTGTAACTAGAGGCAAGCTTTGGCTTCTACATGTATCGCTCACATCATTGTCACTTATGTTTCCCGACTAGTGCTGTTTGTGCTGGTGAGTTGGCCTCTAGACAACCACACCAAGGACCACCGAGCAACTTCAGCAACTTCAATACAGGAATGGTTGAAAAAGAAATATTGTTCAATAAACTTATGACTATTCTTGTACTATTCGAGCAGTTACACAAATGCCCTCAGACTCTTACCTGAAACTAAGAAGACAAAGATGATACAAGACAGGTATTTGATGAAGGACACCTTTGAAATAAAATGACCTGTGGTTTTTATTCACAACATTGTTGAATACAGATACTGTAGGACCAGAGAGAAGGAAATCACACTGTCACTTTTTGGTAAGACTGAGTAAGGTAACTTCATGAATAATTAAAAGTAATCAAAGCTCAAGAACTTGTTTGAATCTCAAAGGGAGACACAGGTGCTGAGGTGCCTCCCAGGATTATCTATTATCTTGAAGATTAGTTATATTAATGTCTATAAAATGCTCAAAATAGTGCCTGTTAGTAAGGACATATTGGAACACATCCACGTGTTATTATGGTTATTTTTAAGATCTTATCTCTTATTTCTATCTACTCAATGAGTCATGAATACCTACTCTTTACTTTTTTATTTTATTTTATTTTTTTTGAGACAGAGTCTTGCTCTGTTGCCCAGGCTAGACTGCAGTGGTGTGATCTCAGCTCACTGCAACCTCCACCTCCCAGGCTCAAGTGATTCTCATACCTCAGAATGTAGCTGGGACTCATGCCTGCTACCACACCCAGCTAATTTTTGTATTTTTAGTAGAGACAGGATTTTGCTATGTTGGCCAGGCTGGTCTCCAGCTCCTAGCCTCAAGTGACTCACCCGCCTGAGCCTCCCAAAGGGCTATGATTACAGGTATGAACCACCATGCCCAGCCATGAATACCTACTCTGGGCCAGCAGTTGCACCACCTGTTGGGAATCAAAGATGAACGTGACATAGTCACTGTCCTGCAGGAAGATTTGAGCTCTAATTGCACTCTATTTAGACCTACTCTTTCTCAGAACTGTCTTTGAGAAGCCATTTAGTGTGGCATTTGCCCACTTCCTTCTCCACAGCCATGTGCCAGATAGAGCATGATCTTTTCATCCAGGAGGTTAGCATCCCCAGGCTTCCTACTGTTTGCCCATAGCCCTTTCTGTGGCTCCCTTTGCATGCTTTATTTCACTGGTCACGGGAGCCCCTGGGCCTTGTTCTGGCCAGCCGTGCAGTGCCTTTTGTGGAGAGAGATGTGGTCTTCATCCCCAGCCTTCATATTAAAATGTGAATCCCGCAGTGGGGCATACACAGCCTTCAAGTTTTGTCTCTACTTTTCTCTACAGTTACATTTACGTTTTACCCTGCTATTCACATGTAAATTCTCCAACAGCTCCCTCTAAAAGCACTGTTTCTTTTAAGACTGTATGGTATTCCATCATGCGTATTTCTTCCTGATTCAGTCTTGGTAGGTTGCATGTTTCTAGGAATTCATCTATTTCCCTTAAGTTATACATTCGTTGTTGTATAGTTGTTCATAGCAGTCTTTTACAATTCTTTGTGTTTCTGTTGTATCAGTTGTAATGTCTATACAACTTGAATACCCCTAATCCAAAAATCTAAAATGCTCCAAACTCTAAAACTTTTTGAGTGTTAACATGACACTCAAAAGATATGCTCATTAAAGCATAACATATTTTGGGTTTTGGGGTTAGGAATGTTGAGCCAAGAATAATGCAAATATTTAAAAATCTGAACAAATCTGAAATCCAAAACATTTCTGGTCCCAAGCATTCTGAATATATTACTCCATCTTCACACTGCTGATAAAGACATACTGGGTAATTTATAAAGGAAAAGAGGTTTAATGGACTCACAATTCCACATGGCTGGGAGGTCTCTTAATCATGGTAGAAGGCAAAATCTATGTCTTACATGGTGGCAGGCAAGAGGGCTTGTGCAGGGGAACTCCTATTTATAAAATCATCAGATCCTGTGAGACTTGTCCACTACCATGAGAACAGTATGGGGGAAACTGCCCCCATGATTCAGTTATCTTCCACTAAGTCCCTCCCACCACATGTGGGAATTATGGGAGCTACAATTCAAAATGAGATTTGAGTGGGGACACGGCCAAACCACGTCACTGGATAAGGTATGCTAACCCTATACTCTACAACCTTAAGAAAATAAGGAAATTATGTCATTTATAACAACATTGATGGAACTGGAGGACATTATGCAAAATTAAATAAGCCAAACACAGAAAGACAAATACTACAACTTCATGTATGTAGACTCTAAACAAATCCTCATAGAAACAGAATGTAGAAAGGTGATTACCAGAGGCTGGTAGGAAAGGAGAAGAATGAAAAAAGAGAAGATATTGAGCAAAGGGTACAAAGTTAGACTAGGGGAATACTTTTTAGTATTTTATTGTACTGTGTGGTGACCAAAATAATAACAACATATTGTGTATTTCAAACTTGCTAAAAAAATAGATTTTTTTCACACTCTTGCTACAAAAAAACCCAATAAGGTTGTGAGGTAATAGATATGTGAATCAGTTTGACTTAATCTTTTCACAATGTATACATAGATAAAAATATCACATTGTACCCCACAAAGATATACAATTATTATTTATTAAATAAAAATTAATACATTAATAAATACTTTTATTTTTCTTTTTGTTTCTTTTTTTGTTAATGCTATATAAGAGTAGTCAATAAATACTTTTAAAAAGATACTTTCTTCTCTCATTCTGCAAAGCCACTACAGCATTTCCTCAAAAAAGCCTCCCGCTTCCTTCTCATTCTACTCTTTCCTACTCTTTCCTACCTCCCCCTCATCCCAGCTTCATCCACAGAACTATAAGATACTCCCACTGCTCCTCACACATGGCCATGGTGCAGGCTACAGAAACCCTCAATTGATAGGTCTTTATCTTTCAATAGATTATGACTAACTTTTTTTATTATACTTTAAGGGATATATGTACAGAACGTGCAGGTTTGTTACATAGGTATACATGTGCCATGGTGGTTTGCTGTACCCATCAACGTGTCACTAGGTTTTAAGCCCTGCATGCATTAGATATTTGTCATAATGCTATCCCTCCCCTAGTCCCCAACCCCTGACAGGTCCCAGTGTGTGATGTTCCCCTCCCTGTGTCCATGTGTTCTCATTGTGCAACTCCCACTTGTGAGAGAGAACATGCAGTGTTTGGTTTTCTGTTCCTGTGTTAGTTTGCTGAGAATGATGGTTTCCAGCTTCATCCATCTCCCTGCAAAGGACATGAACTCATTTTTTATGGCTGCATAGTTTTCCATGGTGTATGTGTACCACATTTTCTTTATCCAGTCTATAATCGATGGGCATTTGGGTTGGTTCCAAGTCATTGCTACTGTAAATAGTGCTGCAATAAACATACGTGTACATGTGTCTTTATAGTAGAATGATTTACAATCCTTTGGATATGTACTCAGTAATGGGATTGCTGGGTCAAATGGTATTTCTGGTTCCAGATCCTTGAGGAATCGCCACACTACCTTCCACAATGATGGAACTAATTTACACTCCCACTGACAGTGTAAAAGTGTTTCTATTGCTCCACAGCCTTGCCAGCATCTGCTGTTTCTTGAGGTTTTGATGATCACCATTCTAACTGGCATGAAATAGAATCTCACTATGGTTTTGATTTGCATTTCTCTAATGACCAGTGATGATGAGCTTTTTTTCCTATGTGTGTTGACTGCATAAATGTCTTTTTTTGAGAAATGTCTGTTCATATTCTTTGCCCACTTTTTGATGGGGTTGTTTGGGCATTTTTTGGAAATTTATTTGTGTTCCTCATGGATTCTGGATATTAGATCTTTGTCAGATGGATAGATTACAGAAATTTTGTCCCATTCTGTGGGTTGCCTGTTCACTCTGATGATAGTTTCTTTTGCTGTGCAGAAGCCCTTTCATTTAATTAGATCTCATTTGTCAATTTTGGCTTGTGTTGCCATTGCTTTTTGTGTTTTAGTCATGAAGTCTTTGCCCATGCCTATATCCTAAATGGTATTGCTTAGGTTTTCCTCTAGGGTTTTTATGGTTTTAGGTTTTATATTTAATTCTTTAGTCCACTTTGAGTTAATTTTTGTATAAGGTGCAAAGAAGGGGTCCAGTTTCAGTTTTCTGCATATGAGTAGCCAGTTTTCCCAACACCATTTATTAAATAGGAAATCCATTCCCCATTGCTTGTTTGTTTTTGTCAGGTTTGTAAAAGATCAGATGGTTGTAGATGTATGGTGCTATTTCTGAGGCCTCTGTTCTGTTCCATTGGTCTATGTCTCTGTTTTGGTACGAGCACCACGCTGTTTGGGTTACTGTAGCCTTTTAGTATAGTTTGAAGTCAGGTAGCGTGATGTTTCCAGCTTTATTCTTTTGGCTTTGGATTGTCTTGGATATATGGGCTCTTTTTTGGTTCCATATGAAAGTTAAAGTAGTTTTTTCTAATTCTGTGAAGAAAGTCAATGGTAGCTTGATAAGTCTAGCATTGAATCTATAAATTACTTTGGGCAGTATGGCCATTTTCATGATATTAATTCTTCCTATCCATGAGCATGGAATGTTTTTCCATTTGTTTGTGTCCTCTCTTATTTTCTTGAGCAGCAGTTTGTAGTTCTCCTTGAAGAAGTCCTTCACGTCCCTTGTAGTTGTATTCCTAGGTATTTTATTCTCTTTGTAGCAATGGTGAATGGGAGTTCTCTCATGATTTGACTCTCTGTTTGTCTATTATTGGTATATAGGAATGCTTGTGATTTTTGCACATTGAATTTGTATCCTGAGACTTTGCTGAAGTTGCTTATCAGCTTAAGGAGGTTTTGGGCTGAGACGATAGGGTTTTCTAAATATACAATCATGTCATCTGCAAACAGAGACAATTTGACTTCCTCTCTTCCTATCTGAATACTCTGTTTCTTTCTCTTGCCTGATTGCCCTGGCCAGAACTTCCAATACTATGTTGAATAGGAGTGGTGAGAGAGGGCATTCTTGTCTTGTGCCTGTTTTCAAAGGGAATGCTTCTAGCTTTTGCCCATTCAGTATGATATTGGGTATGGGTTTGTCATAAATAGCTCTTATTATTTTGAGATATGTTCCATCAATACCTAGTTTATTGTGTGTTTTTTTTTGCATGAAGAGGTGTTGAATTTTATCGAAAGCCTTTTCTGCATCTATTGAAATAATCAGGTGGCTTTTGTCATTGGTTCTGTTTATGTGATGGATTATGTTTATTTATTTGCATATATTGAACCAGCGTTACATCCCAGGGATGGCGTTGACTTGAACGTGGCAGATAAGCATTTTGATATGCTGCTGGATTCAGTTTGCCAGTATTTTATTGAGCATTTCACATCGATGTTCATCAGGGATATTGGCCTGAAATTTTGTTGTTGTTGTTGTATCTCTGCTAGGTTTTGGTATCAGGATGATGCTGGCCTCATATAATGACTTAGGGAGGAGTCCCTCTTTTTCTATTGTTTGGAATAGTTTCAGAAGGAATGTTACCAGCTCTTCTTTGTACCTCTGGTAGAATTTGGCTGTGAATCCAATAGACACAATAAAAAAATGATAAATGGGATATCACCACTGACCTCAGAGAAATAAAAACTACATTACAGAATACTATAAACACCTCTATGCAAATAAACAAGAAAATCTCAAAGAAATGGATAAATTCCTGGACACATACACCCTCCCAAGACTAAATCAGGAAGAAGTCAAATCCCTGAATAGACCAATAACAAATTTTGAAATTGAGGCAGTAATTAATAACCTACCAACAAAAAAAGTCCAGGACCAGATTACGACTATCTTAAACAAGTTATGTTGTCTTAGAGTAACCTGTGTTTAGCCTACTGCTAAGAATTAAACAGTTACTCAGAGGATGTTTGATGTAAGTAGTCAGGAAGGAAGGAAGAAGGATGGAAAAAAATGAATGCAAGAAGAAAGGAAGGAAAGAAGAAAAGTTAAATAGCATGACAAGGAATGCTATTGATATAGGCTTTGAAACTCACATTGAAGTTTCTGAACATAATTAAACAGGTTATTGTGTTGATTAAAAATAAATCTGTTATTCATGAAGCACTGTGTGATAAATGAGGGCAGAACAAACAGGAAATAAAAAGACCTGAGTTTTAAATATAGGTCTCCCTCTTAGTAATCAGGAGTCTTCTAGGAGGAACTCAGCCTCTTGATACCCTAGTTTGCTTGTCTGTGAAAGAAACAGGAAGGATGAGGCATGCATATTTATCTCAAGGTGGAGAACTCCTGATGAATAGTGGTAAGAGCACATATGAAGTCAGACTTAGCAGCAGCATGACAATGAAGTTACCAAATCTCTCTGTCCCTAAATTTCTTTCTCTCCAATACAGAGAAACAGTAATACTTACTCTATAGTTTACTGAGATGGATTGATTGATAGAATGCATGGTTGCCAATAAATATTAACCATAATTATGATGATTATCATTACAGTTATTATGAAGCTTAAAAAATAATAAATGATGTTAGCTCCTTACAAGAGCAGTAGATAAATTATAAAGTGTTGTAACATAAGCAGCATCATGATTATTTTTCTAAGTGTTATTATGTAAACATAAGTAAGTTTAAACATCCAAAGGGTAAAATATTTTTAGGCCTTTTTATTAGTGTTTGTGTATATCCATTAATAGATCTATATGTGTAATTAGTATATCAATGACTTAGAAAAACTGGATTAATTTCTTACATAACAGAGACTTTCATTTGTCACCAAAACTCCCGGCAATTTGCTAATAAGGATCATTGTTTAAAAGGAAACTTTCAGGTTCATTTAGACTAGGCTGGCCATCTGTTGACGTTCGCCCCAGGATCCTGGTATATCCCTGTTGTCCTTGCTTTATTCTAAACAGAATCCTTTTTCATCCTCAAAAGTGTCCTAGTTTGGATAGTAAATTACATGGTCATCCTTCTTAAGAAGAACAAACCCTGTGGAAAGCATACAGGACACAACAGGAATAAAAGTTGTTCTTAGAGCAAGTGAGTGGCAGCAAGTGATGTTAAGCCAGTCACTGAATGGCTGCCTTGGGATTTGGTGTCTTCTGCAGTAAATTGGGAGATTTAAGAATTTCCCTTCTTACCTTGCTTTGTGAAAGAATCAAATGAAATAAGCATATAGTGGGTTTTGGAAAATAAAAAATTATTTAAGGTCAATGCCAATTTTTCAAGCCTAAATGTAAAAACAAAACAAAACAAAAAACAAAGTAGCACATAAGCAATAAGGGGGCAGAAGGGAGAAGCAGAGGTGTGAGGTAAGGAGGTAGGTTTTTTTTGTCATTCAGCTTCAGGTTGCCATGGGCTGGATGTCTAAGTCAATGTGATCAAACATCCAAATGTTGCACAAAAGCCCTACCCAATGGTTAAATTTAGAAACATTAAATAGGAGACAGCAAGGTGTGAGAAATCAGAAAGTCCCAGATACAACTCCTTTATCTGTCACTAATCAGATAAGTTTTACGTTGGAGAGCAGAACATATACAACCTGTATTGACCTTGTTTTTCTCATCATTAGAATGGGAAGAAAAATGCCTGCCTTTGCAGGGTTGATGAGCTGATGTGAGGAATTAGCTGATGTGCATACATTCTCTAACAGAGGAAAGCGGCCTGGCACAGGGTAGGAACTGAATATAGATTGGTGGCCTGAAAGTCTATTAGACCCAGAGGTCTTAGTTACTAATAAATACAAAGAAACATAAGAACTGAGTGTGGAGAATACTGACTGAAATTTAAAGCTTCAGTTCCCTCTCTTTAATTACTTTTTGAATACAAAAATTAACGAACATCTTAATAAAACCAGTATTTAATAGCAACTGTCATCACATGTAATGAGTAAGATTTGCAGATTTTGTGGCAGAACCCAGGTAGGTGACAGAGACACTTTTACTGACTGACACTGAAGCTCAGGTGCCTTTTTCATATTCAAATTTGAAATTCAAAGGCAGAGGCTTCCTTTTCTTTGTAGGGGAGAAGTCCAATCATGACGAACTTCACTGACCGACAGTGAGTCTGATGAAACCAGGATTATAGCCTCTAAATTTACTTTCAAATGTAGTATGTCTCCAGTTTGCTTAGACATATTGCTGACGCTTAAAATATCAAATGGAAAAATGACACTGACTTCAATTATGGGAAAGGAAAATTGTCTTTTGTATTCCTCTGTCATAAGTCAGGTTTCCCTTGCTTGGAGTTTTTCCAAGGAACCCTCTTGACAGCTTTAGCTGTCATCAGAGCCCTACTTAACGATGATCTTTGGGGAATACACTAGTCCTATAGGAAAAATTGGAGATTCTTCACTCATAAATTAATTGTGTCTTAATATACATGAAAATATCTGAAAAATATGTTTGCTTGATTTCCAGTCACCTGGCCACAAAAATGTTTATAGCGGAATAGAAATGTTCATTACAGTGCATCCAGTATATTTTTTTCTGATTTGTCTGCTCAGTCTTTGTTTTATTTCCAGTCTTATTAGTACAAAACCAAAACAAAAGAAATCAAAAAACAAAAAACACACAAATCTCAGCTCTAGCCTTCCCTAAAGAGTGATCATGAATAAGTTTTACAAGCTTTGTGATTTTAGTTTGTTTTGGTTCTTCACTTGAAAAATTAAAAATTGAATTAGATGATTTGTAAGGCTCTGTATTTCTATAAATTATTTTGCTACTACGTTGAACAATATTTATAGAGCAATTGCAATTGTTTTCTTTTTAAATGAAACAAATTATCTTTGATGTTTGCCCAAGAAAAAAAGTGCTAAGTATTCAAACATAATGTAATTTATCTGACAGGGCTCTGCTCTGTCACTGGAATTTTATTTAATTACGGTGTGGATCCTGCAGTCCAGCCAGGGCACATCTTTTACAGTGTCCCTGCTCCTTTTCCCGCTCCTCTGGGATGTATACTAGCCCTCTGGACTCTGTAGATGCCCTTGGACAGAAGATTGATGCAGCTGAGATAAAAAGACCACAGTCAGAGAGAAACAACTCAGAAGAAGATTAAGAAAGATAATCTGAGACAATGCCTTTAACTCTCCTGGGTCCAAAGCTCCATATCTGAGGCCAAAAACGTCCCGGGAAGCGGGAGTCTGGGATTCTCCTTAGCCTTCTCCCTGGTTTGCCTGCACCCTGTGGCCATGCTCTTTTCCCTGAAGGCTCCAGGAGGAATGTAAACTATGCTAGGTAGTACACAGAGCCAGTGATGTTTAGCATGTGCGCGATGCAAGGATCCATGAGGCTTAAAGGAACTTATGGACTACTTAGAGGTGTTGAATATATCCATAAAAAGAGGTTCTAAATGTTTTGGAATTCAGAGGCTGTGTAGATTTATACATGTGGCAGTGATCAGGAAAGGCTTTCTTATAAAGGGGGGAATTTAGCTGTACCTGGAAGGAAGACTAGCTGGAAGCAACTATGTAGACCCTTCTCTCTAGGCTTGGGCAAAAGTACAGTGGCAAGAATGCACCTGGCACACAGAGAGGTCAGAGTGGGGACAGGCTCAACCTGTGGAGAGTTTAGGTTTGTAGAGAATGGAGATGTGGATAGAGGAATTGTCAAGTGCGAGAGTATTGAGAGATTTGAAATCTCAGCCAGGGAGTTTAAAATTAGAAAATTAAACACTGACAATGTCATTACTCACAGTAATAAAAAGCAGAAAGCTTAGCTGTCCATGGTTTGCAATATGCTGAGGTTGACTGTGAAATTGGGCCAGGTCACAGGAAGATGCTTTTTTTAGCATCGCTTTCAAAAGAGAATGTCTTTGGAGGAAGCAAGACATGTCAATTAGAAACAATATTAATGTTTTGCTAAATTTGAGAATATGATGGCAATATTAACCTGAATTAGCGGAAGAGAAGTCAGCATCTAGGTAATTTTGCCTCATTTTACACAGAAAATGGAAGCATAATACATTTAAAAATTCAATGTCCTAAAAAAATGCTACATACTACCTGCTCTAGACATTACTGTTTTAATCTCTAATAACATCTAATAAAGAATACACAGGTAAATGTGCATAGACTTTGTTCAGGCTGTAGAAATAGACATGGTGACAGGTGGTGGGCACAATAGCTGTCAGGTAAGTGATGGGCTGTCAGTTATAAAAAGCGCTTGCTACATTGCTCATGTTACAATTTGAATTTGAAAGATGTTACATGAATCATCATAGCCGTAAAGCCAGTTAGTGCTTAATCCTGGACAAGAACTGGAGTCTCCTGGTGTTACAGGATTCTCACTAAAAATGTAATAATGATAAAAACAGATAAGATTTCAAGTTACAAAGGGCCAGGCTTAAACTCAACATGAAGATGTTTTTCCTTGGAATAGAAGCTACCCAACGACAAAATGCCACAAAAAAAAATGTTCAAGAAAAGAGTATTTTGGCCATGTCATCAGGGATACAAGCAAGAAATTTCAGCCCCAGTTGGGAGTTTGAATGAGATTCTATTAGCTACCTAATAGATGGATTTCTTTATAATATTCTATAATAAACAACCTCACATGCACAAGCAAAATTTTGCCTTCTCAGTACGTATACATAGAAAACACTCAGGCACATTTTCTATTTCCTGGCACTATATACCTATGATTGCTCTGACAGTGTTTATGAAGAAACAGAAATTATAGGTCCTATTGGATTCAACTGAGGCTTGTGTTTGAGCCTTTTTTTTTTTTTTTTTTTTTGAGACGGAGTCTCGCTCTGTCGCCCAGGCTGGAGTGCAGTGGCGGGATCTCGGCTCACTGCAAGCTCCGCCTCCCGGGTTCACGCCATTCTCCTGCCTCAGCCTCCCGAGTAGCTGGGACTACAGGCGCCCGCCACTACGGCCGGCTAATTTTTTGTATTTTTAGTAGAGACGGGGTTTCACCGTTTTAGCCGGGATGGTCTCGATCTCCTGACCTCGTGATCCGCCCGCCTCGGCCTCCCAAAGTGCTGGGATTACAGGCATGAGCCACCGCGCCCGGCCGTGTTTGAGCCTCTTAAAAAGAAACAACACACTCTTTGCCATTGCTATCTGAATGTCTCTCTTAGGATTTAACTTATGTCTAGATCATCTGGTATCATGAGTCTTCTCTGCCTTCTTCAGCATCGTGAGCTAGAAAGAGATGTTGCTAGACATATCTATGGACCTCAATCAAATGTTACCTTCTTTATTAGACCATCTGGCAACTTCCCACCCTCAATGACCTGCACAGTTTTTAGGTATTACTTTAGCACTTACCAAAATTCAGTATATTTCATATTATACCTTTTTTTTTCTGGTCACCCCTACACTCCTCTTTCCTCACAACACAACATATACATCATTAGAACATAAACTATGTAAGGCAGGATGATTTTTGTTTTAGTTTTTGCTTTTTTTCCTGTTCACTGCAGCTGTATCCCAAGCTTGACATTTAGTAGATGCTCAATAAATACTTACTGAGAGGAAAAAAAAAGATCAATTTAACGGAAAGAATACTGTAGTTATGCAGCTCTAAGTAGACAAACATTTCATAAGCACTCAATGAACTGCAGAAATCGGTCAACACATTCTGGGGATGGCCCTCTTTTTGTCACCATTCTGTATATCCAGGTTTCAGTAGTAACGTTTTAAGCTTTCTAGAAGAAATAAATAATATATTCTCACAATCTGAATAATGTGAAGCTGTAAGTACCACAGTATAAAGCTGAGGAAATTGAATAGAGCTTAGATATTATCACAAAAAGGAACCTGTCTAGGAATGCCAACAGCACTCTAAAGCCAGGCCTCTGCTTAATTGTCCTTCATCTCAGCTTGTTTCTATTGAAATGGCTCCCTATGTTAAAATGATAAAAAATGATACTTAGTATTGCAGGATCTCGCAAATACCCTTTTATTCACTAAAGCCAGAAAGGAAATGAGCTTTGGATTCATACAAAATTCAATCATCTTCAAAAAGCTCATTTTTCTTCTCTTTCCTTTTTGTCCAGTGTAGCTTGAAAAAGGCAAGGGCATTTTTGGCTCATCTGATGAGACTGACAGGGTTCTTAGACAAAAAGAGGGGGAGCCAGAATGAAACTTCGTGGCAAGAGGCAAAATGGCAGCAAATTGAAAAGGTGGTTGCAACCACAATTCCAACTATAATTAAATGATGCTAAAAATAATATGCATGTATATTTAGACTCAGAAACAAGCAGTATATTTAAGAAAAAATCACAGGAACTTCATACTTTAAATTTTGTGTTTTAAGACAGAATTCAATTTTTCTATAAAAAGTCATTCTTTATAAAGCAAAATATATGTATGTATGCATTGAGTATGCTTAGTACTGGTTGTATCGAAGCCTCTCACAGTTTCTAAACTAATTAAACATTAAGATTTACAAAGGAGTCAATTTCTTATCAAAGAAGTTAATCATGGACAAGCAGAAAAGAAAATGCCTACAAACTTCTCTCAGCATAACCTCTGTTCATGCCACTTTATGAAAGAGAAAATTAGTTTTCTTTTGCTAGTATCATATATAGATCAATGTGAAAAAACTGATTTTTATTACTAATGGTGCCTATATTAGAAATAAAAAAAGGAAGAGCTGCTGATTTAAACATTAAATATAGCAGGGAATATGAGTATTCTTATTTGGTAAGCATGAAATCAAAGCAGGGTAGAGTTGAATTTAATAAAAACAAAACTCAAAATAATAAATAATTTAAGACACATCTTAGTACTGTGTTTTTAAAAGAGTCTTTTAAAATTTTTATTTTATTTTATTTTATTTTAAGTTCCAGGGTACATGTGCAGGATGTGCAGGTTTGTTACATAGGTAAATGTGTACAATGGTGGTTTGCTGCATCTATCAACCCATCACTTAGGTATTAAGCCCAATATGCATTAGCTATTTTTCCCGATGCTCTCCCTCCCACTGTGCTCTCAAAACAGGACCCAGCCTGTGTTGTTCCCCTCCCTGCATCCATGTGTTCTCATCGTTCAGCTCCTGCTTAGAAGCGAGAACATGTGGTATTTGGTTTTCTGTTCCTGCATTAGTTTGCTGAGGATGATGGCTTCCAGCTCCATGCATGTCCCTGCAAAGGACATGATCTCATTCCTTTTTATGGCTGCATCGTATTCCATGGTGTATATGTGCCAGATTTTCTTTATCCAGTTTATCACTGATGGGCATGTCGGTTGATTCCATGTCATTGCTATTGTGAATATGGCTGCAATGAACATATATGTACATGTATCTTAAAAAAAGTCATAAGGCATACAAAAATAAGGGGTAATGCACAGTTTTGGATGAGATCCCAGTTTGGGTAAATTAGGTATCCATAAAATTTCAGGACTCATTGGGGAACTTTGAACATAGTCGGAATTTTATATAACATAAACATTTACTGAAGTAGAAAGATGGGAATTATTAGTTGGAAAAAGTAAGTTACAGAACCATTTGTACAGTGTAATCTCATGTTTACTTATAAATACATACACGTATGTATAAACACACAAATGAATGCCTACAAACATACGCAAAGAAAAATCTGAAGATATGCAGACAAAGATGTTAAGAGATTCAAGTGTGTTCATTGCTGGGTGGTTTAATTGCAAAATTTTTACCTAAATATTAAGTGAGTTTAATTTAGTTGATCTCTACTTTCTAATTACTGCCACTGTTCTTATGCTGCTCCTAAATAGCAAAAGATTATTTAGTAAAGTTACTATCTGTAATTGTGTATCTAAAAAATAAAAAGGCTGTTTCTGAAGCAATATAATTTTGTTTTGTAAAACTACCCATTTTTTCACCATCCTTCACATACATTATGATCCCCGCACAACAGGTGGGAGGAATCCACCTGTTCCTCCCACTATGTCATTGATAACAACATTTTCTCTCATTTATCTCTGCCTATCAAATACCCTTCCATGCTTTCACACCCATTTAAACTGCTACCTCTTCCATGAGACATTCCTAGAACCCACATATTATTTCTAATTTTTTTCTTATGCACAACAAAACTTCTTTAAATGCCATTATAGGACTCTTATGTTTTATGGTTAGTGGAAACCAGGTATGTCCAGTCAACCAGTCTGGATTGCTGGAGGGGAGGGTTCCTAATTGCCATTCCTGGATGGCAGGGTCCATATTTGCTTTCATCTTTGTATCCACATCCACCTCTAACTCAATTCACATATGACGATATCTGCAAAAGCGAATCCATGTTTAAAGAGGTAATGTTTTAATTTAAAGGCTTAGATAATCAGGCAGGGTTATCTTTGGACGAGGGCCTTAGTTATATGAAGACAGTGCATAGTGGAGATCAGTAATAATTTACATGTAAATATATGTTTGGAGCTAGCATCACAAAGAAAGAATGATATTATACCTTTAAATGCCACACCAGATACATCCAAAGGAACAAAATATTGGCAGCATTAAACTTCTTTCACATTTTCTGCTATTATGTTGTGATAAAAAGAACATAACCAAGCAATGAAAGTCATATCCAGCATATGATAGCACCCTTTCAAAAAGCTGTCAGAATAAAACAAACAACATAAACGGCAAACAAGTGGAGGAATCTTCAGAGGGTCAGTGAGGACTGATCTCATGCTAACCAATGAGATGATGAGCTGTCATTTGACTAAGAAGTTGGGGGATGGGAGCATTAACTTTTCCAGATGATGCAGTTCTTCCACTTTTCAGAAAGCTGGACTGTGGCCCCTGAGGAGTTCTACACCCTCGTTATTAAGTTATTGTTACATTTCTAGTTAGAAATAGCAATTTGCCCTAAGATCACTTTTTAAATTCAGACACATGGGATCCGTTGAAACATACGGAAAGGGTATATGGGGAGCATGATTCAGAGAGAAGAGGGAGCTAGAGTGTGTAAGGCAGCTTGAGGAGGAGAATTATGCTTTATTCTCCTTTCTCCCACAGCATCCCACACCTAGTAAGTGTTAAAGTGTTGAATAACAGAGAAATAGAATGTGAGGAAATTTTCTTGTATCTTTGTTTTTCCTTTAGTGTCAATTCCAGTAAGAGATTAATTAGTTACAACCTTGCAAGATGTGGGAAGTTGCAAAAAGCCTGAAAAATAAGATTCAGAACAGGCAGATGAAATGCAGAGTACAGACGGCAAGAAGGTAAAGATTTGTGGAAGAAATCTGCATGGGGGAAAAATACCAAACCCTAAAGTCCTCTGAGCAAGAACTAGACTAGCAATCCATCCTAGCTACTTAGCAAGAGTTGATGACTAGCTTGCTAATTGACTGTTTTGTTTTTCACTGAAACATTACAGGTGTAATTTACCAAAGACTTGAAGAGTTTCTTCCCATTTGTCTCTGAGAATGATGTCCTGTTTTCTTTTTGCAATTTTATGTAGTCATACAAAGCTAAAAAGAACTCTTAGCCCTAAAGGCCTGGCTGATTATTAACTCTGCCAACAGTGTCATAAGCAAATTGATTCGCAAAAAGACTTAGAAGAGAGATCCCAATTCTGGAATTTTCTTGGTGAACTGCTCAGGAATAAAAATACCATGAATTAGGGCCAGGTGTGGTGGCTCACTCCTGTAATCCCAGAACCTTGGGAGGCTGAGGTGGGTGAATCACCTGAGGTCAGGAGTTTGGGACCAGCCTCGCCAACATGGTAAAACCCCGTCTCTACTAAAAATACAAAAATCAGCTGGCCGTGGTGGCACTCACCTGAAATCTCAGCTTCTTGGGAGGCTGAGGCAGGAGATTCCCTTGCACCCGGGAGGTGGATATTGCAATGAGCTGAGATCACACCACTGTACTTCAGCCTGGGAGACAGAGTGAGACTCCATCTCAAAAACAAAACAACAACAACAACAACAACAACAAAACACTAGAGGCATAAATGAATTTTCTGAAAACTGATAATTCTTTTGATAATAGTGAGATTCAGAAGGGGAATAAATGAACAAAAAAAGGTATAGTATGCTTCCAGTTCACCTGTCAGATTTTGACTCATAGATAACTTTGAGAGTCTGATGAAATCTATAGACCCTCTCCTCTTAATAATGCTTTTAAATACAAAATAAAGAAGGTAAAATTATAAAGAAAACCAATCATATTAAAATAATTTGTCAAAGTATTAATAAATGTAATATAGTAATGTAAATGCTTTCTTAAGCACACATTGGATAAGATCTCAGAAGAGAAAATAATACTGTAATTTTAAAGTATTGATAATCATTAACAACACCTTGAGATATCTGTACAACCTGAAGATGATTCAAAAGGCACATATGTGTACTGGTAACAAAGCCTTGGATACTGCTAATGGTACTCCAGTAGGGTAGATATATTAACAATGGAAGAAAATGCCAACTGTCAATCAGAGACTCATTTTGAAAGGGTATCCTCCAATTGTTAGCTAGAAATAAAGATGTTCTTTTTGTCCCATTCAAATTCACATCCTCGCCCCCCGCCACCCCAACTCCATCGCCAGTTGAGAACCTGGGATGTAGTTCCATATATTTTGATATATACAGCTTAGAGTTGAAATAAAAGCATCGGATTCTAGCAATTCAGAGTGATCATAAAAACTTAAGCCTGACACCAAGATGGTTTTGAAAAGGGAGAATATTCAGGACTTTTAAAAGATGTTTACTTCCAAATTTCAGAGAAACTGAACCACTAAAGCAAACCTCGCAATTAAAAATTTCCCTTGCTTATAGATGCAACAGAATAGTCTGCAAGATTTATATCACTGAGATGGAGAAACCCAGAAAATTATTGGTAAAAATATACGTTTCACTTTGAAGCCATGAAAACACCAAGAAAAGCCAATGTTCTTTTTTTGTTCCTATATTAAGTTGTTTCAGTCACATTTTATACAAGTGCAACAAGAAAAGGTTAATTACCAGCTTTTTTACAAGGTCTAAGGGATGATAAAACTGGCTGTATACAGAAAATAAACTGAGAAATATGGAGCTGGCTTGTAATTGCAGAAAGCATGTGGACTGTTATAGCAATACCTGAATCTATGGGCAGACATTTAACTGACTGGATTAGTGCTGTATTTCTCACAGGCATTATCATTCTATAAGATGGTTGCTCTGGTAATTTTCAGCTGAATATATTCATTGTGTTGGAAAAATTCACTACATAATAGCTGATGCACTTAATGAACACTGTGGTAAACAGGCAAATCATGTTTTCATATAAATAACAAGATCAATAAAAGCTGCTTCCCTTATCCTCCACTGCATTCACTCTGGTTAAAAACACATCCTGTGTGACCTGCGAACAAATGTGATTCTTAGCTCATCATGTTTCTTTCTTTGAAATGGCACTTTGCTGTTTGTTTCTAGCACAGTCCTTCGCACTCAGGGACTCACTGTAGTTTTATTGAGCTGAATCGAAATCATCTTCCTTATTACCACTTTCTCCATTATAGCTTGCCATTAATATAAATGAAGAAATTAGAGGATCACCATAGGTTTTGTCTCCTGAAATATTTCTAAAAGCAGAAGGGAAGAAAGAGAAATTGTGATTATAGCTTTCCTTTACATTCTTAAGCTTTCAGGTCCTGGTGAAATGATTGTAATCTGTTGGTTACCAATTCCTCTAACCCATATTGTCTATTTGACAATATGGTGATATGCTTCCTTAAATAGAGCCGTGAAAAATTATTTTCCAGTTGAATAAAACTTCTAAAGCAATAAGTCCCCCCACTCTTATTTTCCTAGCAATACGCAACATTTCCATAAACATACTTTCCTTGCTTTGCTCATTCATTTGGCATATATACTTGTGCATTTCTCAGTGTGAGGCTCTTTTCTGGCTACGGGGACTTAGAGAACTTACATTTTAGAAGAAATGTATATTACAATATGATACAATATAATATAATGGTAATGAGAAGTAATGTGACAAAAATAAGGCACGACAAGAGGGGTAGAGAGAGGTGAGAAAGTTATTATTTTATTGTTCTCAAGGGTATCTTCTCTGAGGAAGTGGCATCTGTGCTGAGAACTGAAGGAAGTGAGAGGAAAAAAGCTTTGTGAATATTTGGTGAAAGAATACTCCAGAAAGAAACATCAATAAGTTATAAGGTCACAGATGCAGTAGGGACCAAACCCAGAAGTCTGTGTAGGTTTTTGGCAAGGATTTCAGATTTTATATTAAGTGTCATAAGAAGCCATCAGAAAATTCTGAGCAGGGATATAAAAGGATTTGATTGATATTTTCCATGTGTCACTCTGGTTTCTGTATGAAGCATAGACTGTAGGTGGGCAAGGACAAAAACAAGGAGGTTGGTAACATGGTAGAGACAAGCCAAGTCTAGACGGAATTAAAGAGATGATGATAACATCGTATTTCCAAATTAATAGAGATAACAAGAAGACTTATTTAGAACAATTCAGAGTGTTACAGGAAACGGGTTCCGATCCAGATCCCAAAAGAGAGTTCTTGGATCTCACGCAAGAAAGAATTCAGAGCGAGTCCACAGTGTAAAGCCAAAGCAAGTTTATTAAGAAAATAAAGTGGTGAAAGAATAGCTACTCCATAGACAGAGTAGGGCGTTCCCAATAGTAAGAGGAGGAACACAGCCACCCTAGGTAAAATGCTTGTTTATATATAGGATAACAAAACAACAGCAACAAAAAATCACAGGGAGATGTGCTCTGCTACAAGGGTTTGTGATAAAGGATTAATTTTCTTCATTACTATATTTTGCAAGAATTGATACTATCTTTAAAGCAAAATAAAGAATGCTTCTGTTCTCAAGATTTCGGGATATCAGGACATTCCTGAGTCTGGACCTGTTTAGTAAATACTACCAATCTGTTCCCTTAACCGGAAACGTCTAGAGGCTAGGAATAACTAACTTCCTGGGAATGCAGCCCAGCAAGTCCCAGCCTCATTTTTCCTAGCCCTCACTCAAGATGGAGTCACTCTGGTTCGAATGCCTCTGAAATGCTGAGTTTAGGGAAGCAAGGTTCAAAAATCACACAAACATGTAAACTGTGCCAACACAAATTGAAGCCTCTTGTCTTCTTATTTGTGCTTTTTTTTTTGTATTTATGAACTTTCAGAAAAGTAGCTATAGTCACATCAATCAATTACTACCTTACCAATTGTAATATCATTTAAATTCCAAAATCTACTGAAGCTAGACTGTGAAGACATTGTGCAGACATTCCTGAATATTTTCTCTCAATTGCCAAAACAATATTACCTTTCTACTGGCCTCCCAGAATGCAGTTATGCAATTGACCACTGCATCCTTCTCTAGGTTCTTGATGCCCATGACACTATGCCTCCTGGTTTGCTATGGATCTCTCTGATTTCTATGTCACTCATAGGCTCATTTTCCAATAAAATGATAAATATAAAATATAAAATTGCTGCTGTTCCCTGGGTTTCTGCTATTGTCAAAGCTCCTCTCATTATACACTCTCTCAGAGAATCCATATGTTTCAGATGGTTAGCCCAGTTATTATGAGTAAATCCCCTGAAGTCAGCTTTCCCAAGCCTGAGTCTGAGCTCTAACCCTAACTACCTGTGTGATCTTGGGCAATTTACCTCTTGAAATAAAATCTTCAGTTTACTCATCTGTACCTATTCCATAGATTTATTGTGAGCCTTAAATGAGATAATTCATTTAAAGAACTTTGGAGAGAATCCAGCCTCCTGTAATTACTCAATAAATTGTAGCTATCTTATACATCCTCATCACATTGGTCAAGTACTAAGTTGTTGAATCTTACAATTGTATTTCCAGGTCATAGCATTTACCCAAATTTCAAGTTTGTATTGTGTCTCCCATTAGAGCCTTGAATATCTCACAGGCCTTACACAATCAACATGTCAAAAACTAAACTGATCATTTTATTTTCTTAATTATTTTCTCTCTCAGTATAGTCTTGCATACCAAAAATAAAATTCCAGCCCCCCTCCTTTCCAACCATCTGAATGAACTCTCTGCTGTCAGCTAGGGGCACCCCAAAGTTAACCTGAAAGATTGGTTCCGGTCATGAGAGTAACAAGGGGTCAGACATACCTCATTATGCCTTCCTCCCTTTTGGAATTCAGGAACAGCTGACCAGCATTTAACATTAACATAGACCTTAAGTCTGATAAGGAACATTTACAATCTATTCTCTCTGAAGCCTGCTACCTGGTGGCTTCATTTGCATGATAAAACTTTGGTCTCCACAACCCCATTCATAACCCAGATATTCCTTTCTATTGATAATAACTCTTTCAACTAATTGCCAATCTGAAAACTTTTAAAATCTACTTATAAACAAGAAGCCCCTGATTTGAGCTATTCCACTTTTCTGCACCGAACCCATGTATATCTTACATGTATTTGATTGATGTCTCATGTCTCCCAAAAATGTATAAAACTAGGCTGTGCCCTGACCACCATAAGAACATGTTCTCAGGTTTCCCAAGGGGTATGTCATGCACATGGTCACTCATTTTGGGCTGTGTCGTGTGCATGGCCACTCATGGTGGGCTCAGAATAATCTCTTCAAATATTTTACAGAGTTTGACTCCTTTTGTCAACGTTCTTGTTTTCAATTGATATATATCCAATAAGCTGGAAATATAATAGCTGATGCTTAATTTTTTCCTTTTAGTCACTCCTTATGTGTGTGTGTGGTGTCCTACTAACTAGTTTTACCTTTTGAATATGATTTTTATCCTTCAGTTACTCATCTCTATCACTCATGTTGTATCCCAGAAAGTTATCGTTACTTTGAATAATATTACACTAGTCTTCTTTCTTCTTTGCTATTCTTCTCCATATAGTTATCTTACTGAAATGCCAAGTCAACTATGTCATGTCTTCCTTCCCAGGATCCTAGAACTCACTGTTGCTTAAAGACAAAATCAACTCCTTAACATCAATTTACTACAATCACAGGGATCTAGTTGCTGTCTACATTTTCAGTCTTATTCCTAAGCAACCCTGCTTCCAACTGTTCACTTTAGAAACATCAAAGGAACATTGATCCATGCTGTCCTTTCTTCTTTAAAAGCTCCACCTCATTTCTAATTGCATGTCCAAACACATGCTCAAATACAGTTTGTATGCATTGCTTAATGCTTAGCCTAACCAGTCTTCTCTGGCCTCCAAGTTAGGTTAAATGGCGCTTCCTTGTCAATTTCTCTACCATTGAATCTCCATATTTTACTATGCTTATATGTATAGAGGACTTTCTTCTAACTAAACCATGAGTTTCTTTATGACACAACCATGTGCTTATCTTTGTTTCTCCAGCACCTATCACCTAGGTGAAACCTAGGGCCTTATCTATATGCTAGTTGATAGACTAGTTTAATGAACATGTTATTTCAAATGTTCCCAATTGTCTCTTAAGATGAAATCCTCTGAAATATTTATTCTGTAAGTACCAATTTGATTGTGCTTTTAAATTTTAATGGTGTGCAATTGCCTATAAGACAGTGCTTCTTAAATGGTGGTTTACAGACCCTTGCTATCAGAGTTTGCAATTTTTCTATGGATTTTCTTTGTAAATTTTGTGAATTAAATAGCCAATCATAAATCATTGTAAGCATGTTCTAGATCATTCTGGATGGGCACTTTGTAACCCAGACTTACCACTTGGTTTCAGTGTGTGTGCTTACATTTTTTGTAATGATGATGATGCATCAAATGTTTAATTAAATAGATAGAACTCAACTTTTAATCTAGAATTAGCTTAAATTCCAGATTTTAATTCATAGATTCTAATCAGGTAGAATCTATGGTGTGAAACCATTGAAATAATTTTTGGAAATCCATGAAGTCTCAAATTTGAGAAATAATGCTATAAATTAAAATTTGTTGTCATAAAATTAAAGCACAATTAAATATTACTCTGGATGTAATTGTATAGCCTTAACATAAATGTTACTCACTAAACAGACCCTCACCATGTGTTTTTTTCTACCCCAACTACATGCTTTGGATTAAGCCATTATTTATATATCTGAAGTTTTCCACCTACCACTTCTACCTTTCTAAATTTTATTTATTGTTCATGTCTTCCCTCTAATGTTATATTCTCTATAAAACCTTCCATGATCACATAAGTGGGAGTTACCTAGTTCTACGATCTTTGTCTTAGTTTTGTTACCACACAATTTTCAATAGCATGCAGGAATATGTGTCTAACCACTTCCATTTTATAAAATGAAAGGAGGTGAAAATGAGATAGTATTAATTCAAGTGAATAAAGAAGATAAAACACTTTGATTACTGTTAAAGTACCTATGCATATACAGATGGTTGAAGATGTGTTCCCTGTGATTCAGAAAGTTCTACTAATGAGTGCCCACCAAAGGAAAGCATAGAAAAATAAAAATAAAAACAGAAAAAAATGTCTAGTTAAAATGAAATAAGTTGCTATTTTGTGATTTACCTTGCATGTTTAGAAAAAGTGAAAATGATAGCCGATGTTGGTGGTTCAGGCCTGTAGTCCCAGCTACTAGAGAGGCTGAAGTAGGAGGATCGCTTGAGCCCAGGAGTTTTAGACTACAGTGAGCTATAATTGTGTGCCACACTGCACTCCAACCTGGGCAACAGATTGAGACCATGTCTCTAAAAAAAAAAAAAAAAAAAAAAAAACCCAAAAAAGTGAAAGTGAAGCTGAACAGAGCTTATAATGTGGAAATCCAGTAAAACCTGACACATCTCACTAAACTTTATCTATTTAAATTGTTATTGTGGGCTAGGAGTGGTGGCTCACCCCTGTAATCCCAGCACTTTGGGAAGCTGAGGCGGGCAGATCATGAGGCCAGGAGTTTGAGACCAGCCTGGCCAACATGCTGAAACCCTGTCTCTACTAAAAAAAATAGAAAAATTAGCCGGGCATGGTGGTGCACGCCTGTAATCCCAGCTACTGGAGAGGCTGAGGCAGGAGAATTGCTTGAACCCAGGAGGTGGAGGTTGCAGTGAGCTGAGATTGTGCCACTGCACTTTAGCCTGGGTGACAGAGCAACTCTCTCTCATAAATAATAAATAAATAATAAAAATAAATAGTTATTGTGAGGAATACAGAATATAAAATTTTTGGTTAAATTTTTAGGTAAAGTGATGTCTGGCCAGTCACCTTATTTAGAATGAGAATTTGATGCTCTAATTGTGATTTATTTTGAAAAGTGTCCTTATAGGGACCATTGTTCTTTCAGAACTTCATTGTTAAGGGTATCTGTATTAAAACACATCACATGAAGCCAGAAGAAAAATTGCTCAAGAAATCATATTGCTCTAGCGTTCTTTCAAAGTTTTATGGAGACCTGTCTGCCATCTACTGATCCTAAGTACTTTATTCTGTCTGAAATTGCATCTCTTTATTTAATTCTTGTGTTATCCTGAGTGAAATGTGTATTGCTTAGTAATAGGATGTAAAAAGAAATTTGTCACCTCCAAAATGTACATTACTTAGAGCTACTGCAGTCAGGGGAATAAGCTATTTTCACCAATAATAAATGTACTTAACTCTCTTCTGAAAAGGCTATGCATTACTCTAACTTGAAACCAACGCTTAACAAATGTTTTTATTAGTGTATTATATATTCTGTTATATAACTTTCTGGTGAGTTGAGATTTCTGTAGTTACGAAGATGCTAGCATTTTTCCTACCTTAATTTACTTTCCTTCAACAAATCCAAGATTGAATTCTACTTATTTCTGTTCTGAAATTTGTGATCTCCTTATGAGGGCATCCATCTATTACTTTATCAGACCTTATTGAATAAATGTTAAGGAAGCCATGAAATCTTGTTTCTGCTTCCAGTATTGCCACTGCTGAACTTCTTAGTCTCTAATCAAATCCTTTACCTTCTCTGGACGTAAATTTTTCATCTGTAAAACCAGTGATTGAAGTTTTAACATGTCTTTCATTTTAAGACACTGGAATTCTGTAATGAGGAGTTGTCATCTGGATGAGGTCTTACTCCTCCCTATGACCTCCCAGCTCTTGTTGGTACCTAATAGACATTTCCATAATCATTCCCACAGCCCACTTTTGACTTACTGACATAACATGCCTGGTTATCTGCTTAGTAACAAATGAAAGAAGTATGCAGTCCTTGATTTTGAGAAAAATATTTTAGTTCTCATTTTTGTGAATCTTCTAAGCTGTCACATAAGAACTGTATTTTATGTATTTAAGATTTCCAGAAAAATCTGTACCCTAAATAAAAGAAAATAACTTATGACTCAAAATTGAAGTTTAAAGGCATTTCACTGGATTCCTGATTGGAACATATTACTAAAGAAGAATCCATAAATCTTCTCCAATAAACGTAAAATTAATTTCAAAAGGGGAGTAAAATAAATGACTTTTGTTAAAATTGTTAATGCCTAAGGGTTATCAATGTCCCAAAATAAGTTCTTACACAAATGGAAAGTTATTGGGTTTATATTCCTGCATATAAACCAGAAATTGGCTACTCGTTTAGCCCCAAAGGTCACCAATGGAGCCAAGTAAGTTAGTCAATATTGGTCAACACACCAGGCTACGGGCATAGAACCCTGTGCTTTTGACGGTTGGCTGTGAGAAAAATTCCTGACACAGGTATGGTGAATCTTGTTTTAAACCACCCCTTCTCCAAGATAAATTGACAATATAATGATTCCATATTGAAATTTATAAGATGTATTATCTCTTTTTTACTCAAATCTACTCATATTTACTGAACAACTTTTTAAAGAAAGGCATGAGTCCAGCTGTAATTTAATCTGTATAGTTTGATCTAAATCTGTTCTGTTGTGAACTTCTTTCTCTGGTTATAACCCTCAAGGAAAATATATAACTACCATAGCCATCTCTTTGCCATGTCCATCACTTTGGTATGTCCCTAGCCTTTCCTTTTCAAAAAAAACCCAAAATTTTCTAATTCTTATTAATAAAGTCCAGTTGTATTGGTAGCCACACACCCTCTAAGTTTTCCATATCATATTTCTGTTAGAATGCCTTTATCTAATTAATGCTTTATATGTCACTCTGAATCACCATTTGCGTGTCAGAATTACTCTTTTCTTATTATGTGCCCAGTTAATATTATATCACTTGCCCATACTTAAACATGTGGTCATTTTATCCTGTCAAATAAGATTCATATTTATCAAAAGTATATTAACTTTTCCCAGCTCTGTTCTAGATACTACAGACTGATAGAAAGGCTATTTAAACTACTGATCTTGGTCTTGTGGAGCTCACCAATTTAGCGGTTCTTCTGAAGACAAAGGGTAGCTTATCAAAGTCTCTGAAGCTATGTATGCAATTTGAGAATTCATATTTAATACTATTATCCAATATTTATCCTGACTGGAACATTAAGATTCATAATTCATATATTCTAAGCTATAAAAAGTAAATCTCATCAAAATCTTTTCAGCTACTAAGAATAATGGATTACAGGCTGTACTGTATGGGAATGTGTAGAATGTATAGAGGAGGAGGAACTGTGATGCTTTTATTTGTAACTGGGTCACAGCTGCCCATCTTAAGGAATTACCTCTTTTTTGTCTTGAAGTAAAGTATAGACATTTACTCTCAATTTTTTAAGGAAATCGTGAGGGTTGTCATAATACTTCACACAGCAAAATACCCTATTTTTTTTTCATCCATCCATGTCCTGAGTATCTGCATAGTGGCTCATATAAAACATTAAATACACGTAAACCTCCCTATGTTGCGGCTTTTTTGCTCCCTTAATTCAGTGAGCCAGGGAAAGTAGTGCCAGGAGCTTCGCTTCTTCACTCCCGTAGCTCAGCAAGTGGGAGGGAGTGGCATCCCATGGCTTCTTCTCTCCTGTTTTTGGTGGGCTAGAGGGAGTGGCCACCAGCAGCTTCTTCTCTCCTATTGGTTGGTGAGTGGGAGGGAGAATGACAGCTCTTTTACTCCCACTGCCCGCAGCTCAGTGGGCAGGAGCATTACATCTTTTTCATTCCTCAGTTTAGCGAGTTCCAGGTTCTTGTTCTGAAACAAAGAGGAATAAGGTACTCAGATGCTGTAGAGTGAGTAAGGCAGAGTAGAAGTTTATAGAGCAACCGAAAGCTAGCTCTCAGCAGGGAGAGGGAACCTGAAAGTGGGTTTCCTTCTGTGAGGCTGAGTAGGGGGTTTTTATGAGCTTAGAATGGGGGACTACTTGCTGATTGGTCTGTGGACGGTCTTGGAAAAAGCACCGTTCAATTGGTTAAAAGGCATCATTCAGAAGGAACTAATCGAGAAAGAGTGGGTAAAACAGAAATGAAAATTCTCCCTCAGGTCATGGACTCTATCCAGAACTGGCAGTTCAGTTTTTAGACTTTAGACTGTTCTTGGCTTGAAGGTCAGGTTTCACAGGGGACCTGTCCCTGTCTGCCTAGGAATTTGTCTGTCTCCTCTTGCTATCACCTGTAGCATACCCAACCCTGAAAAAGAGTCTGATATCCGTTGCTTATTATGTTTCTACAAGGGATAACAGGGCCCTGAGCTTTCTGTGAATATGTTAATATGTATGAATCAAAAAAGTTTTAGAAAATACTGAGAAATGGTAGACTACTTTATGGATTACTATTATATATTAGTCTAGTGAAAATAATTGTAAAATCAATGTTATGAAAAAATAAAGAAACTTGAAATGTCTTAGAGAGCCAATAAATAAACCATCATAAAATGGTTGAGAGGACTGGTTTTAGAATCTGGCAAACTTGAAATCAAATTCTGTCTTGATCATTTATCAGTTATATTACACTGTACTACTTACCTTACAGTATATATGAGACTCAGTTTCTTTATATATAATGTAGATATTACAATATCTTGGTCACAGGGATTGTTATAATACATTAAATGAGTGCATGAAAACACTTGCTATGGGTATGCCATGCTCAATTATTTAGTTGCTATTAGAAGGATTCAAAAAAATACGGGGTATCTGCTCTCTACTGTACTCATTATAAACTGTAGGGATAACGATGCTTTCCTCATGTCGGAATGATCTAAAATACCTGATTTTACATGCAACAGAGCCAAATAAGGGCCGATTTTGATTGTCAGCATAAAAGGCAGAAGATCTGTTTTCTCCTATGTACACCAGAGAAAATCTGTAGTCACTGTGTTTTAGTTCATCTACTAATTTATTTTTTCTGAATGATCTTTGGATGACTGGGGTGCATTTCAATTTGTTTTTATGTGTCCATATTTTGAAAGTTTCAATGTTAATTAATCCTTTCCTCAATGGAGTTAACATCATTGGCATCATTGGCTGGATCCCATCACTGGTGTCCAGCTTGGTAATGGACACCAGACCCAATACGTTCTGGAATAATGTGAAGGCATAGCTAATTCTCTCACAGCATCTCCCAATCCCATTGCTGACCATTTGGGCTTTTAACTGTAAGTGCAATTTTATCTGCTGGATTATTCTGGTGTCATTGTGACTGTATTGTGGAACTTGGAATCAAGTGTTTCATTACAAGATTAGTGGCATTCAGACTCCTTTCTAGTGAGGAAGTTTTATTACTCAATCATAACATCAAATGTGCTTGGCTGTGAAGATAGCATCATATGGCAGAGTAATACTGGACAGGGTATCAGGAGACCTTGATTCTATTTTGAGTGTTGCTTGGCTACATTGGATAACTCTCTTATTCTCTATGAACTCTGACTTCTGATTCAGGGAGTTGGAATGCTATCCTCTCTAAAGTTTGCTTTAGATCTAAAATTCTACTGCTCTCTATAAAATACCTCTCAGATCTTTTCAAGTTAATTATTTAGTTAATATGCTGTGTTGTCATGGATGAACTTCAGTTCACAAACGGAATAAAGACTGTGCTTTAAGCCTAATTGTCCCTGACATAAACTTCCTGGAACTTCTCTAAGGAGGCCTTCTTAGCCTCTGAGGTGGGGTTACTTACCACTTGTTGCACATGTCTAAATCCTGGACCCACTCTAGGACATCCTTTAAAATCAAGAGTTGTCCAGAACCTGCTAGTTAATTGATCCATAAGCATGTTAAACAAAAGCTAAAGCCAGGACATCTGCTGTCTTTTCTGTAAAATAAAATAAAAAAAAAGTGTAAGAATGATTCTCATCCCCACAAGAAAGTCACAGTTTAACTGGAGAAATTTCACATTTCATGGAGCAATAAAACAAGTCAAGTTAATAAGTGGTCAAAGTAATTTAAGTCAAATTAGTGTTTACTGAAGTTCGAAAGGAGATATTTCATCAGTGTCCATCAGTTAAAAGTGCTGGAACTTTGGTATGCAAGATGAAAAATTGAATTAATTTAGATAGATGGAGAGATAAGTGAACTCTTCATTCTGTTTGCTGTCCTGTTTCTAACCTAATTATGCTATACTAGTCCAATTTCTCATGTATATCTTGTCTATGATAACTGCTATTAACTCCTGATATCGCTCAAGCTTGGACCAGTGTAAAATCCCTGTAATTTGAATACTCTACCCAAAGCAAGAATAACATTGTGGTTTTGAATGAAGTCTGCTTCTACCTTATGATAGCCTTATGTCCGTAGGTAATTATTTAAAGTTTCTGAAACTCACTGTTGACATCCATAAAACAGATAAATAATTATACCCATGTCACAGTGTCATTTTGGGGATAAACGAGGTGATGTATATAAAACGCTTGCAAGAAAGACTTGCACATTGTATGTCCTCAATAAATACTAACAATGACTTCTACTATCTTAAAAAGATGATCATGTCATTCCTCTTTGGAAAAAAAAAATATAGAGGAAATGTATTTACATATTTCATTTCCATACATTCTTCAAGCCGACAGCCCCTGTGCAAGCTCGTTTTTGGTGTGGGGCCAGTAGGGAAGAGCAGCTATGTTGAAGATTGGAAGCAAGAGGGTCCTGAGGAGCAGGAGACAGGGAACAATATTAGTAATAGGCTCAAGGGTTCAATGTATTGAAAAATAAGCTATTTTTTTCTTTCTTGAGACAGGGTCTCACTCTGTACCCTTAGGCTGGAGTGCAGTGGTGCAATTACAACTCACTGCAGTCTCGACCTCCCAGGCTCAAGTAATTCTCCCACCTCAGCCTCCCAAGTAGCTGAAACTACAGGTGTATACCACCATGCCTGGGTAATTTTTGCATTTTTTTTGTAGAGACAGGGTTTTGCCATGTTGCCCAGGCTGGTCTCGAACTCCTGGGCTCAAGCAAGCTGCCCATCTTGGCCTCCCAAAGTGCTGGAATTACAGGCATGAGACACTGCACCTGACGAGAAACAGTTATTTTTTATAGACTTGAATTTTCAATGACAGTGTGATGTTTATGAGTGATTCTTGGGTATGTGTCCTGCCTACTCACATACACACACAAGGACGTATCAAATCTTCTGAGTGTAGTACAGAAGTGCATCTCAAACTTCAATGTCTTCCAATTAGAATCTAATTTAGTGGGTCTGGGATGGAGTCTTTAGTGTCTGCATTTCTTGCAAGCTCCCGGGTGAATCTAAAGCTGGATTATTCCTTGAGTAGCAGATAATGTAGAATCTTTATGTCTAAGAATAGTAATTCACACCTGGGCTTCTCATGCTAGTCACTTACTTGATCATCCTTTCATAGATTCAAAGGTAATTTTTGTATCACTATACATTCGAGTGATTTGAATTATTTGATATTTGAAATACATAAAAAAAGGACACATCAACATTACTATCAACAGTTACAACCAAGCTTGTGCTTCTAAGCCATGTACCATGGCAGCAAATTACTTGGCTGCTAAACTACTACTCAGTTCATTCTATCTTAGTGTAATTACCACTTTAATTTAGAGATAATACATTTACCAGATGCTATGCCAAAATTAAAATCTTCCTGATACATTTCTAGTTTGCTTTGTTTGTTCACTCTATGGTGCCTCTTCTCATACAGATCCAGAAAGTCCAAAATTCTATTATGTGTTGCCCAGGCAAGACACACCAAAATCCTCCCAAGGATGGCTGGCTTCTGAGCTCATTTAATTTCTTGGCCCAAGCCATTTGCTACATCTTGTTCTGCCTTAGATGATAAAAAAAAAAAAAAAAAGTGTCCATCACTTGGAAGATTAGCTCCATTGCTAGAGAAAATATTAATATCTGCTGCCCCATAATTATTTGATGTTCCTGGGTGGAATATGGAAAACTATAAGGTGCTATACCCCTAATCTTAAACCCACACTAAATGCCATCTGCTTCTCATGGTAACTAAATATGGAATGCCAGTTTAATGCATGTGCATGCATGTGCGTGCACATACACTACATCCTTACCAAAAAACTTTTCAGAATGATCCATGTTTAATATTCCTAGTTCGTTTGTGTTATTGGGAATGTGTTGAAACATGAGATTCATAGATGTCTAACTTTAATAGAAGCTTGTCCTTTTTCAAAGCGAAGTAATATTAAGAAAGTATGTAGTGCTATTTGGAATGAAAATCCTGGAGATGAGGTTGACAGGTTTATGGCACTGGCCCTTGTCTTATTTGCAATAACTCATTTTATATATAGTGCTTCACTTTGAGAAAGCCAAGGGCTACAGGCCTCTGTGATTTAACTCAAACAATAAGTAAGATTGTGGTATCAAAGAGGGCAGAAAATAGGTCTACTGATTAGAACAATATATTATAGGACAAGAGAAGGCATGCAAAAAGAAAACTTGGATATAACAAATATGAATAAGCATTTCATACTGTTAGCTAGTCCTCCTGCCTGAAGAAATATATAACTCAATATTCTATATCTACAAACAGTCTCCACTGGCAACCTACATTTTTATACTTCCCCCCACCCCCCGCCCGACTAATGGTTAGACTTGCTTATGCACCCTTGATCATCAGAACAAGAACAAGGAATTTCATTTTTTCCAGAACTCACACCAGGGAAAAGAAAAATCCCATGATTATAATTAAATCAAAGTTTATTATGGAAATTTGAAGTATCAGGGGCAAGAGTAAGGAAGCAGGCAGTTTGCTTTGTTTGCTGAGGTCAATTCAAAGATCATGGCAGTTCTGTTAAGTCAAAAGCTATCGTCCTGCTCATTCCTCCCTGGCGAAGCCCAGGAAATGCTTGACTGTCAGGACCTTACTAATGCCTGGAGCAACTCAAAGGAGTACAGTGCCTAGTATACATCTCTGTAGTCTCCATAGACTTTGGCTTTTGCTCCCAAGCCCAGATTTCAAAAGCCCAAATTCTTTACGACCTTTATGATTTATTTCTTCAATATGTTCAAGGTGTAATAAAATGGCTGTCAAGTGCTGACTTCCTGTTTCATAAGTGCCGCCACTTACACTGTCCCCTATTGGTCATTTCTCAGCCTAAAATATGATGGGTGATAGAATTTCCTTGAAACCATAGTTCCTGTAAATTCATATTTCCCTAGGAGAAAACAGCTCCTGGAAGCTTCCCAATAATCTTTTGCAATAAATGTTTATTAGTTTTGATGACAGTGTCTGCACAATCTTGGGTGGAATATTACTTTCATCGTTTTTTTTGATTCAGTGTGCTGTAGTGTTGATGAGTTTCACAGTGTTGGCTTAGCTTTCCAGAGAGCACTGGTGATTCTTTAATACCCTGGACTTTGTTTTTGTCAGTGACTTTTTAAAGTGTAAATACTAACTTGTATTATTAAATATTAAATATAGTATTGTGCAAAAATCTCCTGGTAAGGTTAGGCTTCTGCATGTGCAATAATAAGAGACAACTGTTGCTTGTCCAGTATGAGCAGGTCTAGGGATATTATTTATATGCCCTCACTTATTTCTTACTTTTGCACACAGGACTGGACCCTGTACATAAACCTTCTCATGTAGATTATCCACACACACTATGGAAGCCAATAAAATTCAGAGAAAAACTGAGGGCTTAGGTGTGGAATTCACCTTTACAAAATTCTAATTTTTAGGTTGCTATTGCTAACCCGTAACCTTAAAGTTCTGCCTGCCAACACCAAGGTACCTGTCTTTCCTGGCTCATTTAGCTTACTTCTCTGCATTCACATCCTTGCCTACTAGACCTGTGGTACACCTCTGAAGTTTTATGTTCCTTGGAATCCACATCCTTTTCTCCTAGACCAACAACATGTCCGAAAACCTCATAACCAGTCTTCCAGTACCATCCTTGGTACTAAATAATGTCATTTATTTAAAGTTACACCTGTGGATTTTATCTTTGTGTTATATTTTAAATTACATCTTTTCTCAAACACAGTGAAGAACTCCTTTTGTGTTTGTATTCAGGAGTTACTAAAGGAGCTACAAAAAATGTAGTATGAACCCGCCCTTTTGTGGATAATGATGAATATATTTTATTTAATCATTTTTGACTCTTTTCTGGATAACTTGAAGGATATCATGGGCACCCTCTTTTGATTTAGGGGTATTATACTTGAAGTTGAGAGATTGTCTTAACTAATCTGTCTCTAATTCAGCTTTTGATACAGAGTTGTCACGCACCCACAACCATAATTTCCATCTTAGTGTCTTAGTGCCATTTCATCATTGTTTTCATCACCAGACATCCATCAAGCTCTCCCAGAGGCCACGTCTCTGGAGGAGACCCCATGGGGAGCGCTGAGAGAATTATGCTGCTTACACAGCTTTTCTTCGTAAGAATATGGCTAGTTCTCAATTTTTTGAGATTGTTATTTAAATACATAACTGAGAAGCAATCACTGATTTATCAGGTTGCTCTTCTCTCACGAATAGGGCCTTAACCTTATTCTATGGCCATATTTTCAGAAGGCATAGAAAATGTAACAACAGGAACAGCTCAAAAGCTTTTTAAATAACAGTGTATCAGGCCCTAGCTACTTCCACAAGCCTGAAGGGTTACCCATGAATTGATGCATTTAACAGTAACCGAGGTGAATCCAATGCACAGCTATAATTGAAAACTCAAGTGTAGGTGAAAACAATCAGCAGATTGAAAAACACATATATCACCATGAGGGCATCTCTGCATGTCAGGATTTCTTCTTGGTTTTGCAGGTTCACAAACAAACTTTTATGAATGCGTCATGGGAGTAACAGAATCTGTGAGACTAATTCATTCTAATCAAATTTAAACAATTTAAAGAGCAGAATGGCCAATTTACAATGAGAGTTATTTTTTGGCGAATCACCTTATTTTCTGCTATTTCAGGAAATATTTCTATTATCAAGGTACCAAGAAAACAGACTAGGAAAGCAGATGGGTTTTAGGGCATGAAACAGCATATAAGGATTTGAAAAGAGCTATGGAAAATTTTACCCAGCGTATCCTAAGTCTGTCTTTCTAATTATTAAACTACTTATTTTACAGATATCATTTGTCTCCTCCATAGTCATTACTGAATGAACCCTCTGGTGTGTAATTATGCTTCAATTAATATTCTTGAGTCCATATAGACCACCTTTCATTATTATGTCCTTTCTTTATTTAAACATGTTACTCAACACAGTCCAATTTAGCTATTAGGAGTTAAAGATTAGTCTTCTTTGTGAAATTCCTAACTCTTCCTAATCTTATTAGTAACACATTTATAAATTGCCTCAAAGAGACACCTTTTAACCTCATCTTAAATTCTTTCTGTCCTCATCTGGGGACCATCATAATCCTGTCTACCTTCAGGTCCTTCATTTTTATCAGAAAGGATATTGATACTGACCCAGCTGCACAATCTAGCGTTGACATCCTTGCAGTCACAGACATACATTTACAGAGAAGCTGGCTCAAATTTGGAGATGGGGACAAAGCAAAGCTAACTTTCAACAAAGAGCTGATTTCCCCTCTCAGTGGGGAATTGCAAGTGGTCAAAGAGTTCCAATGTGTCCAAATCCTGCCAAGAACTCTGCCTTGGGAGCATTTAGCTATGAGTAAAGGAGGTAATGATAGAAACTGATGTGATAGGGTCCAAAATACATTTGTATGACTCTATTGTAGGCAAGTATGATTAAAGCAAGTGTTCAGATTCTGCAGTAGATTATACTATTGGTTTCTGCTGTTAAATGGATATAAGATCTAAAAAGGAAATTTCTTCTACAAGGAACTACTTTGCATATGAAAGCATAAAACAATGCTCCATCATTTACTATGATTTAAATATAATTTTTTACTAATCCATGTATCTGTCAATATTTGATAATGCCTTTTATTTTCTTCACCATCTTTTAAAACACCTAACATTTTAATAATCAAATCAATGAATACGAGGTAGAACATTTAAATATGCTCAGAATCATTTTTGAGTGGGGTAAAAATATTGAGTCCCTTCCTCCCAGCTCTCCAGACAGCATAATAAAATGATGAAGATAACAAAAAATATTTATCTAGTTCCTTTATGTGCCAGTCATTACGCTTAGTTTTTCCTTACCATCCCATTTAATCCTCAAAACAATCCTATACCCATTTTATACATAAGAAATATGTTGCTGCTTGAAGGGGTTATGATAGCTTTCCATAGAAGCTATCACAATAATGAGCATACTAGTTCAGAGTGTGGGCTGACTGCCTGGGATTGAAATCCAGTTGCATGTCTTATTATACCACTCTGGACAAGTTTCCTAAACTCCCTGTGCCTCAATTTCCTTATTTATGAAGTGAGCATAACTTATGTATCAGGGCCTAGGGTTCTTGCTCACAAACCTACCACTAGTAAGTATGTAAATTACTTAACAAATAGTTTAGACAGCATTACCTAAACTAATCCACACAGCTAACAAGGAGCAGCATTGCAATTTAAATCCTGGTACCCTGACTTCAAAGCCTATACCCCTACAACGTGGCCATAGGTAAGAGGATGAAGAACATATGCCAGACAGTACTGGATTCAAATAGTGTTTCCTGTTAAAAGTTGAGAGGGTTGTGGTAAGTTTTCAAACCTCTCTGGGCCCCATTTAATTATCCGCATGAAATAGTATCTATCAAAAAGTGCCTCCAAGACTTGAAAAAAATATGCAATGTGCCTTTACTGGTGGGCAAGATAGAACTGTTATCTCCTGCTCACTCCTGGCCACTTTCTCTGCACTTGCTTTGATAGGCTACTCGAAGTCACAGACCTATGTATATTATTAGAGTGTGAGAGAAGGCAGATAATTAGTGCTTAAGGTAATTAGATGTCATTAAAGACTGGGAGGATCAGGTAAATTCTTAGGAAAGGGAAACTGAGCTAAATGTTATGAGTTTAAATAGAGAAGAAAGAGATGAGTAGATAAGAGACATGACTGGGGCAATGTCAACAGTGTGGAAAGGAGCAGTTTGATAAATCACCAGCCCCTGGACTTTTTCGTTCAAATTCAGGCTAACAGATTAGGAAGATTTTCTGAGTTTCAAACTAGGGAGTTTGGAACTGATCCTGTATGTAATAGGAATTAGAGTTTTATATGGGAGGTTATATGATAAAGCCCGTGAAGTATTCAAAAAGATAGAGTTAGGAAATATTCATCATTTCTTTTCAAATTATATTTTACATCCTACAAATTGCCTTGGATAACACAATAGAAACATATAAGCCCAATTAATAAATCACTCCTATAAACAGCTCTTTATTCTTTACACAATCCTAATTAAATTTCTCAGAGCAGCCATTATTTTTATAATGATTTAAGTGCAGGTCTTTTACACACATATCAATTGCATTATTTAGCTTTTTAAGTTACATACATAATATAAGTTAATTCCATAATTAAAGGTTGACATTGAGAGAAGGAAAATAAGTTGTCGTTATTTATTAGCCACTGTTGAATAGATGAACAATGGTAGCAAGAGGAGTAAGAGCTTAAAGTATATTCATGAGAGTGGAGTGTTGTTGTTCAGCAAGCTATTGTCTGGCACGTCTTGTAAAACTTTGGCAGAGTCCTGGGTATATTCTCTGACTCTGTGTCATACAGGATATGTACAGGCTTGTGATAATCAAAAAATCAGGTAAGAAGACAAGAGAGATAGGGAGTGGAAAAGGGTCCAAAAGAACCTCTAGCTTGAACAAGTAGGAATTTTATCTGGGAAGAGGTGATTGAGAGGTCTCCATAACAAGTTACAAAGTTAAAAGTTAAACATTTTGTTTGACATTTTGATTTCCTATTTTGTAAGTTAGACAACAAGGCTTATATCCCTCCTGAGTTAATGAGCTACTTCAAAGCAAGAGCAATGCATATAGCAAGTACTTAATATTCACTCATTTAATTATTTAGATTTAGACCAATGGCCAGTAGGCAGTTAACACTAAAAAAGTTTTTCATAGTTAATTTTTTAAATACATTTAAGTTATAGTATATGAAAAGATTTGAGGGATCATCTCCCGATCTCTAGACACACATGTCCAATTTATGAATGTCTTTCATTATAAGCCCACAGGCACCTAAAAGTGAACCTCTCCTGGATGGAAATTTTTTGTCTTGTTCAACCTGTTACTATTCCTATGTTCCCTTAGCAAAGGTCACCATCCCATCCACCCAGAAAAAAATAACTATCTTCCATACCTCATCTATTCGATCAGTCTCCAATTCTTCCAGATTCTCTTCTGTAGTATCTATTCATTCTATTACAAAACTTCCTATCTGTAATGGAAAAATCTCTCCCCTTTAACTGAATTTTTTCTCTACTTTGATGCTACCACAACAGCAATCATTAACATGGAAGACTTCTGTGGCCAAATACGTGTTTTGATTTGTTTTATTTTTTTCTGACACACCAAGTAGTGAACTGGGTCTCCTCTAAGTCAGGGGGGACACTATCTACTTGGAGATACCGTCAGATCCTACAGGTTGGAGTCTCAGCCTGCAATATTCCCCCCTTCATGCCAGACACTAGTTGTAAGTCCGAGCCTCTGGAACTTGTGACCAACTGGCTTCACGTTGGGGTTCTCACTAACACCTTTTAGGTTGGATTAATTTGCTGGGGTTGCTCAGAGAACTCAGGGAGACACTTACTTATGTTTACCAGTTTATTGAAAAGAATATTTCAAAAGGATACAAATGAAGAGACACGTAGGGCAAAGTATAGGGGAAGGGGCATGGAGCTTCAATGCCCTCCCTCGGTGTGCTGTCCTCCAGGAACTTCCATGTGTTCAGCTGTCCTGAGCTCCTCAAACCCTGTCCTTTTGGGTTTTTTATGGAAGCTTCACAATGTTAGCATTGCCTCCCTCAGGTATTGGGCAGGAACCTCTCTGGGGAGGGTCTTAAAACCCATAATCAGAAAGGCAGGAATGATTAGAGTCCTGCTTTGGGGCAGATGGAGGACAGAAGGGGATTCCGTTTCCTGAGGCCTGCCCCTGAGGCCCAATACATCCAACATTGTAACAAAAGACTGAAACAGGCATTACTATGGGAGTTATGAACCAGGAACCCTGGACGCAAACCAATATATACCAAAACACCATAACACCACACCACCTCTACTGCTGGAGTCTTCTGTGCAGCCTTCACCTTTTCTCATTCAGATTTCACACAGCTGATTCTTAACAGGTATTCCTGCTCCCAGAAATGTCTATTTATATCTGTTCCTTCATTTTTGCTGGTAGATTTTATTTTCAAAAATCAATTCTGCTGGGCAAGGTTGCTTACACCTATAATCCTAGTGCTTTGGGAGGCCAAGGCAGTAGGATCACTTGAGCCCAGGAGTTTGAGACCAGCCAGGACAACATAGTAAGATACTGTCCTTACACACCAAAAAATTAAAAATTAGCCTGTCCTGGTGGTGCACACTTGCACTCTCAGCTACTAGAGAGGCTGAGGTGGGAGAATCACTTAACTTAGGGAATTCAAGCCTGCAGTGAGCCATAATTGTGCCACTGTACTCCATCCTGGGAGACAGAGCAAGATCCTGTCTCAGACAAACAAATAAAAAGCAATTCTGAGTATGTCTCGTTCATTAAAAAAAAAAAAAAAAAAAAAAAAAAAAAGGAAATCCCTTCTCAATTACCCATTGCTTTCAGAAGAAAGTTTAAAATGTTTAATGATACAATGGGCCCTTGGTGATATGACTTTAGATTTTCTCTCCAGCCTCCATCTGCAAGCTGTACACCTTACATCCAGTCTGAGCTCCATCTATACTGAATTAGCAGAAATGCCTGAATACCGCTTGTTGCCTGAGCCTTTGGAACTTCGGCACATGCTATTTCCTTTGCCTGTAAGTTTCCTCTATTTCTTACCCATGTGCATCATTAACTATTAATACATATTCACTATTCAAGATTCAGGATGTCCTGCCTTCTCAGAGAAATAATTAATTCTCCCCAAGGTTAGAGTGCATTCCCTCTTCTTTGCTAAATTAGAACCTGCAATTAACTATCATAACATTTAGTGCACAATGATGTAATTACCTTTTTAATTTTTATCCTTCATTCTGCTGTGAGTTCCTTGAAGATAGAATTTACCCCTTTTACCTCTGTGTCCCTAAAACTTAACAGAGGACCTAGCTGTCGTGCAGTTGTTTGTTGATTAAATGTACAGGAAATAAAAAGAACATATCTAGTACAGTGCTTGTGATTTAGAACTAAAGAAATTGAGCTAGAGCTGTCATTGTGACTTCTCTGAATTAATTTAATGAAGCAGCATTTGAAGTTACGAGAATTTAGCTCCACTGACACTGTTGCTCAATGATCTTTCTATCAAACCCTGGACAACTTCCCGGTAGTTCTTATTGTGTCATTGTTTATGAAAGGGAACTACACACTGTCTTTGGAATTTCACAAGCCAAGATTCACTATCATCATGTCCGTCAGTGCTGGTTTGCCAGTTTTCTCTCCATAATTCACTTAACTTTTCCTCCAGAGAGTTGGAGTGCCATACTAGTGATGCTACAATTTATGTATTAAGAAGAGCTAGCAACAGAAAACAACCCTAACCAAGTAATAAATGGAGTGACTACTCTAGATTCAAACTATTTTTCAATTCAGTCTAACATGTGGTTGAAACAATTTTAGAAACCAGATTGTTGGTTATATTCTCTTCTCTACTAATTCATTAATTAAACAACAGAAAAATGAACAACTGGCATTCCCATGATAATATAAGGAACATCAAACAAGGTGTATTCATTAAAGCGAAACACCAGTTGATTGAAATGTAATATTTCAAACAGATGGGACAACATCATATGAACATATGTGAGCTGTGGTTTTATAAAAAACATCATATTTTAGCTAGATAGACCCTGAGACCATGATGAAACATTGAAAAAGACAAATCATTTGAGTCATTCCAAATAAAATGGTTTAAAAGTAAACTCAGTAAATGTTTATCAAGAACTTACGATTGTCTGGTCACTAGTTTAAGTTCTTTACATATATTGTTTCACTTACTTTTCATAACAACCCCATAGTGGGTATTATTATTAACCCTACATTATAGATGAGGCAACTATGAAAGAGAACTAATTGCTTAATAACTCTCCTAAAGCCACATAATGTGTAAATATCCAGGAAATGTCTTAAGCTTCTAGCACTTGTTTCCTTAACCATTTTCCCAGACTGACAGTTTTGTGTAATCTCACAACCTAAATACCTAATTCTTTGAATTATTGGTTTCAAAATATTTGATGCATTTATTTATATCAGCAGAGAACCAGTCACCAATTTTTAATGAATACATGCTACACTTAATGTCATGTTTAACACTAGTATTATTGTTATAGATATACAAAAGAAACAGGAGCCTGACATCAGTTAGCTTTGAATTTAGCGAACCCATATAATACAACCATATAATAAAATGGTTGTTAAAGGAACTGGCTTAAAAGTCTGAAAATGTCTCCATGGAATTGTTCAGGTCCCAGCATAACACACATTGTGACAGTATACCTTCTTTGTACCTTTAGTGATTCCAAATTTGATAGATCGCAGATCCCTGTGGGTTATCCCTGAGTCAGCCCACATCTGCAGCCATTTCATTGGCCTCATGTACTTCAACTTTTGCTCTCAGCTTCCAAGGCTGCCCTCCTCTTTGACCAGTCAGCCTCCACTCCATGATGGGTTTAAACAGTAGAACTCCCCTCATATTTTTGTGTAATGTAATTTATTAAAGAGGAGAAACAAAGGAGTATAATTTAAACACAAAGCAAGCAAAACTTTAAATTTGACATCTATTATTAAATTGTCCCAAATTTTCTAACCATGCTCCATTTCATGGCTCCCTGGCATGTTCCATCTCTCTGAGCCCCTGGCTTCAAACCTTTTCAAAGAAACTTCTTCCTTTTTCTTCACATTTTGCTTACTCTTCTCATTTGTAGACTCCTCATATGTTAGTTTATAAATATAATAATTTTATTTTATTTTAACTTGATTTTCTCTTTATGTTTTCCTAAGAATACTGAAAAGCGTATCAAGAGAAAAATGCAAGCATTACATTTAAGTACAACTTGTAAATTTATTTTTGGTGTTGTTTTGGTTTTTAGTCACCAAAATTTTAATATTAGCTGTCTTGGGATGAGAGTAGAGGGAGTGATTTGGCAGAAATTTACTAAAACTTTATTGATTAAGCACAGCATTAATTTTTAATTCTATAATTTGATATTATGCACAGGTAAGATAATGGTGAAGTGGAAAAGCAAAAAATGACAGCAAGTTCTAGAAAGGGAGAAAGAGTATTGAGAGAAATAGTTGGATATGGCAAGAGGGACAAAATGAGTGAAAAAGCGGAAGATTATAAGAAAAAAGGGAGAGATATAAGCACAATAGCCATGAATATATGACATTGAGAAAGGAGAAACGGTAGAAAAATAAAAGGAAATGAGAAAAAAGAAATGATCTGGAGTCATACAGACAACTAGTCCAAGTATGTTTTCAAATTGTGTCATCTTTGATTATAGGCTTTTGAAATACTTATTAATTGATGTGTGAGTAATTATAGCTTTTTTTTATTTGGAAGGGTGAAGTTTTACCTTAGATCAGTGGCACTCAAACTTTTTGATCTGAGGATCACACTAAACACTTGAAAATTACTGAGCACCCTGAAGAGCTTTGTTTATGTGAATTATTTTTATTGATATCTACCATACTATAAATTAAAACTGAAGTTTTGTTTTAAATTATCCATGGATGCATAGCTTAAAAGACAATTGCATTTGTCTATCTGTTTCTGTGTTCAATATACTAAAGTATGTTGTTTTGGTTGAGTACATAAGGAAAGCTGGTTTTATACAGACAAGTGGGAAAAGGGAGAACCTCATTTACCCTATGAAAGGGCCTCTCAGACCCTAAGGGTTATTTTACCATATTTTAAGAACCACTGCTCTAGACAGAATAGGTATGATTCAGTTCTGTAAATGTTGACTGTGGAAGACCCTGTGTTGTCTGCCAGACACCATGTTCGCAGTCTCTAGGGAGCCAAGGCCTCTGCCTGTCAGGTGACTAGAAGCCAGTAGAAGCAGCCCAGCTTTAGGCAGAGCTCATCTCAGGGTACTGTGTGGAGCCGAAGCATGTTTACTGTGGAGGCAAGATGAAATCCAGTCCAGGGACTGATCTAGTCAGTGGTTGTGTTTGTGTCACCATAACAAATCCAGCCTAGTGGACCAACAAGTGATATGTTGAAAATTAATAATGTGGTCACAATCTGTTCTAAAACTGTGCAAATCCTTCAAATTTTATGTTGTGTCAGATAATTATGTAGATCTGATCCTAACCTCCACATCTTTTTTCATTTGAACAGATGTCATACAGCACTGACTCATTCTTGTAGTTTTGTAATTGTCACATTGATTATTGACTAAAATACAAGATTTTTGCATGATTCTGTTACATTTTATCTTTCTGGGTTTGTCCCATCATTCCAGCCTATCAGGACTGCCTATCTTGCATCTGACACCCAGCCTATTAGCCATTGCCTTTAGATTGATGTCATTTCACATATGTTGTGAAAAGAAAAATACAGTTAAAATAATGTATAAACCAAAATAACCCTATGAAAATATAATATTATAAAGATTATCACCATTATTACCGTAATTAATTTAAATAGATATGGTCTAGATAAGGCCATGAAAGAGTGTGCCTTTTATTCAGGATATGGTGCATCCTCCATTTTCAGTTTTTTTCATGAAGGACTATGGAAGCTGAGGGAAGCTAATGATGTCTTAAGAAAAGAGTCTAGGAAGCCAAACACATTCATGATACAAGGCACAAAATGGGAAGTTCCAGGCAGGAGGTAAAAAGATATTAGAGGTGAGGTAAAAATATTATTTGTGCCCTCCCAATGCCCTTCTGATAAGGTAGGTAGTTGACTATTCTATGATCTCTTCTCAAAGTGTTTTTACAAAATTGTTACAAGTAGGATAGAGATTCATCAAACAAAAGAAAATGCTTAGGATGTATGCAGATATTACAACACTTAAATCACGGGTGCCTTAATGCTTTGATAATCTTCTAAACCAATGAAAGTAAAACCTTCAGCCCCGGGTATACGTTGGTGCCCATTAGTTACTAACATGATTATCTGAAATATCAGAAAATGTTTTCATTGCAGGATCAGGGTGTCAAGACAGAGTAAATTCTTATTGTGGCAAATGATAACAATGTTAATTCTCATATGGATTAGATGTTAACATCTACAATAACTCCTGTGACAAATTATACACATTTTAAAATCTGAATGCTTTGGAATTGTCTGTAGTTACTACCACCCATTCATGTAGATGAGACTCCAGTAATTGTCTCCATTAGTTATTATGCTGTAAGAATGGCACTACAGAGAGAGTTGTATTTACGTATGTTGGCACAGGTATGCAGGGCACTGCATACTGAAATACTCCTTAGGTATTTCATTTACCTAAGGAGATGAGGTTTATCCTAAATGATAAAATACTTGAGAAAATATTAGTGAAAATGTCTATTTTTCTTCTTTGTTTAAGTTCAAAATAAACTGTCAGCATACAGCAAATAAATAATGACTGGTAATATTTAGTTTTTAATATTCTTTGCCTTTTTGTGTCTCATCAATCATCCTTGAAAATCAGTCAGTGAAGATGAATAGAGTTTTTAAAGTCCTGGAAAGCACAATTTCTTTCCATTAGCAGTGAGTTTGTGGGGAAATGTCAAGAAAGTAAAGGGGAACATTCCATAGAAGGAAAAACACTCAGGGAAATGATGAATTGCAAAAGGTGCTGCTCTCATCCAGCTGCTTAGTTGAACACCATTTCCCCAACCAAATGATGCTGTTTTCTAATCTGTCCCTCAACCCCCAAATCTCAGTCCTTTTCTTCTCAACCATCCATATCCTATAACCACACACCTATAGAAAGGTAGACATACCAGCCCTTCAGTAAATGTCTTATGACTAAATAAACAAATTAAATCACAATCTCAGATTCCCTTCCCATCTTTGAACTGTGATGGATTTGTTCTAAGAAAATAATTGGTTCAGAAATTCTGACTCTGGGAAGTATAGGTTTGGTATTAGCCTGCATTAATGAGCTTCATTACTTTAATATAAATATGCTGAATTATGCTTTTGATCTGGAAAGCACCAAACCACCAGTGCTGAATACCCCTTTCTAAATGTTAATTTTATAGAAATTTAGAACCTGTATTATTCCTAGAGAAAACAGAGGAGAACTTCTTTCATTGTAGAAATGCATTAATTAGAAAAAAAATGAAAGCTGTCATTAAAGTGGGATCGGGATACCTCTTACCCAATTTCTGATTCAACATTCTTTCAGTACAGAAGATCAACATTGTCAGTATTAAAAGCTGCAAAGAGAATTAGGAGATCTTTACCAAACTCCACAAGGACCCTATTTTACTATTCTTAGTACCTCCCTTTTACCTTGACTTTAAAAAGATCCTATCACTCCTGTTTGGGGCCATTCCAGGTTGGTGGTTATCTCAGTCTTATTCTCCGTGCTCAGCAGCTTGGCTGCCTAGGTGCTGGGTGCTGTTCTGCCATGCTTCCTCTGGGCATGTCTTCCTTGGGAAAGATCCTGTGCTATGGATTCTTGTAGCTCTATTTCTGATCCTCAACTCAATGCAATTTAGAAAATGTTTGTAAATATGTGTGCTGAGGGGAAAATAAAAGAACACTCTCCCTGCTTTCTTTTATTTATTTATTTATTTATTTGATTTATTTATTTATTTGTTTGTTTGAGACGGAGTTTCGCTCTTGTTGCCCAGGCTGGAGTGCAATGGCACTATCTCAGCTATCTCAGCTCACTGCAACCTCCACCTCCCTGATTGAAGCAATTCTCTTGCCTCAGCTTCCCGAGTAGCTGGGATTACAGACATGTGCCACCAAGCCCGGCTAATTTTGTATTTTTAATAGAGACGGGGTTTCTCCATGTTGGTCAGGCTGGTCTTGAACTCCTGACCTCAGGTAATCGGCCCGCCTTGGCCTCCCAAAGTGCTGGGTTACAAGCGTGAGCCACCAGGCCCAGCCCAGTCTCCCTGCTTTTACCTTAATTTGACTTTGAGTCAAAAGTTAATTTTAGATGCATTTATTTATTTATTCATTCAAAAATTAACATTTAGTGTACATGTGTGTTATTACTCAGCAAATATCAATGGCCCACGTGGTGCATAAATTTTCAGGTAAGAGGAAGGAATTAATGAAAACCAATTAGCACAATGGAAAGAGTCTGGCTTTGGGGTCCTATGGCCCAATCAATTTGATTCCTTGATATTGCTCTGTAACCTAACCAAGTTACTGCATGGCTCTCAAAACAATTTTGTTAAATTGTTCCTTCAAGGAATTTTGTAAGGTTATAAATCAAACTTAAATACTTTTAAATTGATATATAAAATATTATCCTAAATTTAAATTGTTTTAAAAGATATAATTTCTGCCTTATTTTAAATAATGATGTCTTCAATAAAAATCCTATAATTTCTTGTAAATATATTTGGACATAAAAGACATAATAATTTAATACTCATTATTATCTTTTTTATAAACTATATGAACAAGTTATTTAATAGTGGAAAATGGTACATGGTTCTTATTCTTGTTGAAAATGCTGTATTTATCTAATTGTCATAGAATTTTATCCTACCTACCATAATAAATGTTTATTTTAATAACAGTGCTATAATAATTTTATTTTTTGTTGCTGTTGTCACCATTAAACATACTATTACTGTGTAAGCAAATGTGTGTGTAATTTCACTGGCTGTCCTCCTCCACAACTCCCCATCTTCTTCTCAAATGTAAACCTTTAGAAGGCAAGGGTCTTCATCTGTTTTGTCCATTGACATATCCCAACTATCTAAACAGCGTCTGACACATACTATTTTTGAATGAAAGAATGCCAGCAAGGGAACATAGGGAGTTCCAAGGAGGAGGAATGGGTTTTGATTTAAATTCAGTAATGAGAGAACACCTCGCAGAGAAGGCCCAAGTGAGTAATAATCTGAAAGAAATATAGAGCAAGCCATGCAGGTATCTGGAGGAGAGTTCTCCAGGCAGAGGTAGAAGCACCAACAAAGACTCTCCTTGGGAAAGGGTGTTACTGAAAGGTATGACAAACTCTGAAGGCCAATGTGACAGAAACAGAATGATTAAAATAGAGGACTGAAGTACAAGAGAAATAACCAGATCCTAAATAGATGAGGAAGGAATGGTGATGATGGTAACAATTAAATGAAGAAAGAGGTATTGCAGAATGCTTAATTTGGAGGCGGTTTTAAGTTATCTCTCTTCCCTCTTCACATTTTTCAGACGAGAAAATTAAGTCAGAGAGTTTGAGTAATTTTTTCATGGTCCCAAAAACCAAGACAAATGGGGCTAAATCTTAGTGACCTGTCTCCCAATCTCATTTTTCCCATTTCACTGACAGGACATCAATTCTCAAAGGGAAAGCAGTGATTTGCCATCTTCTGTCTTTGAGTTTTTAGATTGTATTATTCTCTAAATTGCTTTACTTTAGTACTTCGCATAAATATCAAGTATTTTTTGGAGGAGTGGGTGTGGGTTGGAGGAGGAATAATGAGTTATATGATCTTATGCTATATATATATATTATTTTGTAGGAAATAACCCCTTTCTATAATTTTCCTCTTTCATAACTGACAGTCTCTGCCTCTGGCCAAATACCACTGACATTCCAAGGAGGGTGATATATAATATTGTCAGATTTTCAGAGAAGTAAATTTGATGATTTAATACTGAATTATGCAAAGTAAGAAGCAGTTGACTTATATTTAACTTTAAAATGAAATAGTAAATTATGGGAATATCTGAATAATAAAATGGAAATTTAAATAAAAATATGTGCATGAAAAAAGACGTCCACACAAAATGTGTTTGCTTTAAAAAATGATTGTTTTTAATCTGTCACCACTGCCATTGTATGAACATTTAAGATGCATTTGGCCATTATTTATTATATGTACTTAATGAATATTTTATAAAGTCCTTGGAAACACTACATTTACATAACATATGTTAATGATATAGCCACTAATAAAGAAAAAGGGTCTTTGATATGAAATCCATCAGGTACTTCCTAACAGTATCCAGGGCTTACCGTTAAGTAATGTCCATTTCTCTGGTAGGGTAGTATTCTTACTTGCTATACAAGGGTAATAAATTAACTGTAATAATTTTAGAAGTTAAAGCAAAGGGCTATTGAGTCTACTAAGCATTCTTTATTTTCATCCCTAATTACTTTTATAAAGATTGCAAATATTCAGACCCAATGTCTTCTCTACTCATACACACTCTTCACTTTCTTTGTATCCATAAAGCCACTAACCAACTTTCAAAGAAGCGTTTATGTGCATAAAGTAGAAAAAGCCTCCTATTGTTATTTCTTTTCCCAGATATTTTTATGATGACCACATAGTTAACCTGAAAAAACGCTTCACATATTATTTCAGATGTACTCCTATCTAGATAATTAATTTTTAAAAGCAATAAATATAATTATACATATATTTCTAGCATGTAGGTTTTACACCCTACAAAAATTTTTAAAAGTATGGTTTTTAATAATAATTTCTGTTAATATTCATCAAAAATTAAAAGGGGCTTATTCAGATAATTTAGAAGCATTTCTTATAGAAGCTAGTAAGATACAGAGTAACATTAAAGCCAAAGTTATTTTTTTCAGAAAATGATTTTTTTTTGGGGGGGAAAGTATAACATTTCATTTTCCTTCATTTGACATTTCCACCTTTCCTTTAAATATCCTTTTCCCCCTTATGCTGAAGCCTGCTATGTGTTCAGCAAACCTGTTTTCTTTTCTTCCTAACATGCACCCCCATCTCATAGTAGTTAGGAGGAGCCAAGTAACTGAGTTTTGATAATAGACTGTGGATACAGTAATGTACAATATTTATGGCACTTTTTTTACTTAACATTCTGTCACACAATTCTCTGAATTCTCTTACTTCACTTTTCTGCCAATTTTTCATAAAGAACTCAGAGGAGGCCTTGAAGTTCTGAGGGCTGAGAGACCACTTGATGAGAGGATCTGGGAAAGACTCCATAGAACACAATGGTCATCTTCCAGCATAACTTATGTTGCATTTGACATAAGTGAAAAATAATTGCAGCAAAGACACCAAAAGCTTGTTCAGCCATTTGCCTTTCGCACTAATAAATTCTTTATAAGACAGAGCTAGGAAATAGCGTTCTTATACATTCTACTTATGCCAGGGCACCTATTTCCATCAATCTCTCCACTACCCACACTCACACATGCATGCAGCTTAATTTTCTGATTCAGGATGTCTAAAACACATCTAGAATTCACTATATTTGAAGGGTTCCACCTATTTATTTGGTATTGCCAATATCTAGCACACAGTAGATGCTCAATAGGTGTTTTATGGGTGAACTTTAAAATCTTTTGGAACGGACAGCATGATTTTTCTTGTTCTAAGCGGTCTTGACCAAATTGGTATCCAGTGACAGTCTTTCTTACACTTTTCTCTCGGCCTTTTTAGACAAATAGATTCTAGTCCTCTAATTGAAATAATCTGATGCATAGATAAGAAGAGAAACTAAATATATTGTGTTTAGTTCATATTTGACCTAAATTCTCCATGAAAAAATTAATTACTCATTTTCAGCATCAAGTTTTGAAGATCTATACTTCAAGAATTTTGTGGGCTCCATCTTACACATAAGGGTTTACTGGTCAGTGAGAAATGAATAGGAGAATATAGTTGGCCTCTTGAATCTGAATTTCTCCATACATCCTTCCGCAGAGCCAAAGTACCAACAAAAAGTACAATTAAACCACATGTGATCTATGCCATGAATGTCAAATTACCTCTAAGTAGAAAAATAAAGCAGAGGTCAGGTGTGGTGGCTCACGCCTGTAATCCCAGCATTTTGGGAGGCCAAGGAGGGTGGATCACCTGAGGTCAGGAGTTCGAGACCAGCCTGACCAACACGGAGAAACCCTGTCTCTATTAAAAATACAAAATTAGTCGGGCATGGTGTCACATGCCTGTAATCCCAGCTACTCAGGAGGCTGAGGCAGGATAATTTCTTGAACCCAGGAGGCGGGGCCTGCAGTGAGCTTAGATCGCACCATTGCACTCCAGCCTGGCCAACAGGAGCAAAACTCAGTCTCAAAAAAAAAAAAAAAAGAAAAGAAAAAAAAATGTCAACAGAAATTCTGGTGCCATTACAAGGCTGTGGTTGTGCAGGATGGAAAGAGGGAAGACTTAAAAGACTGAGAAAAAGAGGAGAGGAAAGTCAAGTACTTAAATGAAATATTGGTAAAATCATCTTTTGAAAGAAAGCCATATAACGCTAATTGCCAAAATACTGAAAATTAGTCTGAAAGTTTATGTTTCACAGCAGTGATAATGTCCTTGACAGTAAACAGAACCAGAACTGACAATCTGCTTCTCAGGGAGATGGAAATAAGTAGAAAAGTGGTATTCATCTTCAAGATGTGGCAGTGAAGGAAAAGGTAGGAAGGTAATGAAGAAAACTAAAGATTCTGTTGAAAACAAAGAGAAACAATATATGACAATTACTTCTATGATCCTCACCACCTGTCAATGTTACCTAATTTGAAATAAAAAAAAAAATCCTGCAGTTTACTAACCTGAGAGAAGACAACACCCTTGATGTGATAACTGAATATGTAATGCATAGAAACAGAGAAAAAAAGGTGACACAAACATGATACAAAACTACCCTAAGAAGAAAAAAGAAGAGGGAATCAACTGTTTTAAGCTAATAAATATTCTCCCCCAAAATTTAACAAAGCATTGACATGTACTACAAGAAGCTTAACTGAATTAAACATCCTCAAATAATCGTGTGTAGATGAATTTAAACACAGAATCAGAAATTGAAAAACTCAGAAACAGAAATAACTTAAAGAAGATATATACTGAGAAAAAAGAAATTGTAGGAAAAGACAAAATCATCTGAGAAATAAGGGACAAATCACAAGGTACCCTTGGGAGAATAGTTTGGAATGAAAACTGAAACATTTGGAGAGCAGGGAAACAATCAAGAGAATTAACATGTGATTAATAATAATTTTTACAAGGTCTAAAAAGTCAGAGAAAATGTGGTAGAAATGAAAACCAGGCAAAAAATATTCAACAGCATAAAAAGTCAAATCCTTGAAGAATAAAAACAACAATATGTAAAAAAAAAAAAAAACCACGATTCAATAAAAAGTTCTAGAAATTAAAGAAAATATGTGTTTACTTATTGAAATGACCCACTTGTACCTGAAAAAAAAAATCTGAAACTGCTTTTTTTTTTTTTTGAGACAGAGTCTCACTCTGTCGCCCAGGCTGGAGTGCAGTGGCGCAATCTCTTCTCACTGCAAGCTCTGCCTCTCGGGTTCACACTATTCTCCTGCCTCAGCCTCCCGAGTAGCTAGGATTACAGGCACCCACCACCATGCCCAGCCCATTTTTTTTTATTTTTAGTAAAGATGGGGTTTCACCATGTTAGCCAGGATGGTCTCGATCTCCTGACCTCGTGATCCGCCCGCCTTGGCCTCTCAAAGTACTGGGATTACAGGCATGAGCCACGGCGTCCGGCCTGAAACTATTAATTTCAAGACATAACTTAGTAAAACTAGCGGACTATAAAGAAAAAAGAATCCTTAGTATCTCCAGAAAAACAGACCAAACAGTTAACATGGTTCAGAAAAGTGCAGGACAAGTATTTTATATCCAGCCAAGTTGTCTTGTAAGTATCAAGGCTATAGAAAAATAGTTCTAAGTAGGCAAGAACCCTGGAAATACTGTACCCATGAATTCTATCATAAATATATATGTATATATTCCTCCATCCAATCAAGAGAAGATTGGTAAAGCTTTGAAAAAAAATAGGTAATTGATGAAGATTTATTATATTCAATTTTAAACCTTAGACTAAAACAAGAATAAGAACATGAGTACAAGAATGTGAATGGACTTAACTTGCCTATTAAAATAAAACAAATTTTAAATTGGTACAAAAAATCCAGCACTGTAATATACCAAGAACCTCCTGAAACACAGTGATTTACGATTGTAAATTCAAAGAAAAATTAGGAATAAACCCCCAAAATAGAAACAAAGTTAATGCAGTGATTATAACTTTGATCAGACCAAAATGATAAAAATAATTAAATGAGATAAGGGAAACTTTTAAATAATAAAAGCCACAATTCACAATTGCATTGTTCATTGATACTCTAACATTCTGATCAAAATATTGATTTATGACTTATGCTGGTATTTTCTAGGACAACTGTTCTTACTTGGGACATGTTGATCGTTACCTATTTCTCAATATTGTGTTCTTGTGTGTATATAAATGAATGTTTTGGGAGTAAAAGATAGACCATTGTTATTAGATTTTTAGAACCAATGTATTAAGATATTATAAAGTCAGTACAATTAAAATATCTGAAAAAAGGATAGAATTATGTTGTTTGAGTTTCTTATGAAGTTGCTCTTTAGCAAGGAATAATAGAATGCCAATTTTCTAAGGATATAAAACTGTGTAACATAAAATGAAATAAAATTTAATCTCCAGTCTGACTGATAGCAGATTCTCTCCAGTGTGATAACAGGTTGAGCTTGATAGGTACTTAGGAGAGATTTTTCAAAAATTGTTTTTTATAAATTATCTCCCCCAAATGGAAATGCCTGTTAGATGTCCTATAGGGGATCCACTTTGTAAAACACAAAAGAAACTTATACAAATCAATCTTTCTAAAATTATCTTTTGAATTCTGAAACAAAGCTCAGCTGGCTCCTTTTGCTTTGATTCTGTCTCAGCGGTGGGTCAGAAGATTCCACATTTAAAGGGCTTTTTTCAATTATACAACAAGCAGCAGGTTTCCATTAAAGCACAAACTCCATCATGTAAATATATACTTTTTGTTTTGTTTTGTTTTGTTTTTGCGGGGCAGGCTGGCGGGGGGAGGTAGCGGGGGATGGAGTCTGGCTGTGTCACCCAGGCTGGAGTGCAGGGGCACAATTTCGGCTCACTGCAACCTCCACCTCCCAGGTTCAAGTGATTCTCCTGCCTCAGCCTCCTGAGTAGCTGGGATAACAAGCATGCGCCACCACGCCCGGCTGATTTCCGTATTTTTAGTAGAGATGGGATTTCGCCATGTTGGCCAGGCTGTTCTAGGACTCCTGACCTCAGGTGATCCACCCGCCTTGGCCTCCCAAAGCGCTAGGATTACAGGCGTGAGCCACTGCTCCCGGCCTAGGTGTTCTTATAAATAACTGTAACAGGTAAGTCCCTGACTGATTCATTTATTTCTGATGTTGGCTGTATGTTTCTCAAGTCTAATATCCAAATATTTCTATTATTTATTAAAATGCTTTCATATCTTCTTTCTTAAATTTGTTCAAAATTTCTTCAGGCTCCACAATTCCTTCCCAATTGCATAGCAATTAACTTAGCCCATAACAGTTCTTTCTATTGCTTCTTGATAGCTTCCATGACTATCGTGTACTGCTACCTGATAGAGGAAGGTTTAAATGTGTGAATAGAATGGTGTGACATTTGAGTAGCGATATCAATCATTCTTAACATTGTTAAAGAAAATCAGAGCCAGAGACTAGTTAAATTGGTAAGAACAGATTTTATTCAGGAGCTATGGCAAAGGATAAAGAACTACATATAGAACTGGTCTTAGTTCCAAAATACAGCAAGCACTAAGGCGGGTGTATAGCCGAGAAGCAGGATTGGGGTCAGTGGATGGAAAAATTACTAAGAAATATCCAGAAGAGGTGATTCTGGTTAAACAAATTTAATGAGATTCTTGCTGAAGGCAGGGAAATCAAATATTCCTTGAGGAGTGGTGGGGATGAAGAATTTGATCAGGTATTGAGAATGATCAGATATCAAGGGTAAGGGATGCTCTCTAAACTGATTTAGCAGTATTCTTGCTAAATCTGGGTTATGAAAAGATGAATATGGAAGTACGAAAGTTTAGGTGTAGGTGAGAAGAGGGTTCAGAGGAGCCTGACTGAAGTTCAGGAACTAACTTCAGTCAGGAACTAAGAGAGGGAGGCAACTGCCATTTTAAAACTCAGGAAAAGCATTTTCCAAATGCTTCTTCATATCCACTTAATAAACATGTTGCTTTCAGTTTGTTTACCTGAAGTATTCTAACTCCTCAGGCTATCTGTAAGGAACGTTGATTTGCATTTCAAAAATTTGCCCAAAGCTGTCAAATTGAGTAATACTTATATGTAGAGACTTCTTTTGTCACTGCAAATAAAGGAAGTAAACAATTGTTAAAGCATAAAACAGAAATTCTCTTCCACTGGGTCAGTTTCCATTTCTTTGCTTTTCTCAGCAGGGTCAGACTAGCGCATTCCACATGTTTGTTGAATGTAACTAAGTCTTCTCTGCTCTGAATATTTGCTAAAGTGTGTACACACTTAAAAACAACCAGAGCTGGACACTAGTTAAAGCAATAAAAATAAATTTAATCCAGGAACTATTTCCATAAGGGAAAAGAGTCCTCAGTATAGAACTGGGCTCAATTCCAAACACAGAAAGGACATGCAGAGATGTATAGGCAAGGCACAGAGGAGGAGGAAGGTGAGAGGGGAGGGGTTACACCTGTGCATGGAAAATTCCTAAGAGGAGACATCAAGGGGAGGAAGATTCTTGCTAAACTGACTTAGCAGGATTCTTGTTGAAGGTAGGACAGAGGATCAGATATCAGGGGAGGAGTCTCTCTAAACTGACTTAGCAGGATTTGACAAGTGGGATATATAGACCCAGCCAGAATGCAAGGACAGGGTCCATGTTTGAGGCCTAGTAGAGAAGAAGGCTTAGGATCTTACCTAAAATTTGCTCAAGGAGAGAGTCTGTTAACAAACACACATGCAGAAGTGAGGAAAAAAGAAAGAGAAGAGCTATTATACACTATTTTTATATAAGTTTGTTGTTTTGCTTCAGAGTTCCTTTTGCTTCCTAATAATGGAAATTCACATGAGGAAATACTTTACAATAGAAATATTACAAATGTTTTACAAAATCATAGGTTTGGAAATAATGTGGAGGGTACAGAATTACAGAAAAAAAGTAATGAAGAAAAGGTGGTCGATAACATAAATTAGGCAAAATAAAAGTAACTGAAATAATTTTAATTTTGAACAGTTAAAGACAAAAATAATGTAATTACATATCTTTATAGTTCGTAAGAACTTCAGAGGGTATCTATTCACTTTAAAGATGAAAAACTTAGAGTCCCAGAGAATGTACAGATTCTTTGGTGAAAGGGACTTGCACATCATTACCAACTGTTCAACCAGAGAAGGTCAAGAGGGATTCTGTAACTGGTTTACATTTTCATTATGTCAAGAGCTTCTTTATTTTTACTCTAATACCATTTTTATTGAAATACACTTAAAATTTGAACATATTTATTTCAGAGAAGTATCTGGCATTATCTGACACATTTTTCCCTCTAGAACTTCGTCTTATTGTTTTCATTTTGTGTGAAATTAAATTAGTCACTCACATAACTAACTTATTCACCATAACCTTTTAAAAGATTGGTGGACTATGTTGGTAAATAACTTATTGATGAATTAGTGAATTTTTATTAAACAAAATGTGTTTTTTTTCTTTCAGCAATGACAATGCAGTTTATTAGTCATCAGTTCCCTGATTATCATGACCCTACTATAGGTAAGTGGAAGCTTCCTTTCTCCGTAAGCTCAAATAAAGACACTGTGACTAAGTGGCTTGAAAATAATAGCAATGTTGATGGAAAATAAATATAATTTACTCTATGACCCAGAACACATACACACAAATCTATCATATGTAACGTACCACAACAGAAGCTTCAAGAGACAGTATTTGTCCTTACTTCTTGCCGGGTAGTCTGGTATTATCTATTCTATTTCTTTCTGGTAAATGGTGGTTGGAATCCATTAAGTGATTTCAGTATCTAATAATGGATATCTATCTGCATTTGAGAAGTTTCTCTGGATAATAAAATTGTACTCTGGATAATAAAATTGATGTGATTATATATGTATTTGCTCACTTCTGTCAGTCTCTGAATTTTCTACTGCAGAGTTATTTAGCCATGTTAATGGTGCATTTGGAACGTTAGATATAGACATAATATTATCCATCATTCTCATCTTGAAGGTTAGGAAACTGACATTTAAGGTATTAAAATATTGCTAGAGCCAAAACACCACCCATGTTTTATTCCTCCTACCCAGTTTTCTTTCTGTCATAATATACTGCAGAAGTTTTGCATTGGGGAACAAGTTTTCTCCCTCATTCAAAGCACAAAAGATGCCTTTAAAATTGCTTTACTCATTCAAAAAACTACTTTAAAGAATTGGCTGGAAATTTTCAAGCAGAGTCCACCGTAGTACTCTTTGTCAGAAACACACTGGTATTAAAAACACATCAAGCATTATTTCCCAGAGAGGGAGGCATATAGCCTCATGGCTGACTGGTTGCCTGGATGGTGAGCTCCTTTAACCACTCCCCATTACTTACCCTATTTGTTCCCTCAGTCTGAATATATCTTATCCTCACCCCACCCATGGGTAAGATCATCTAGTTTCTATTATGCTTATCAAGAAATTTTAATTCAAGATCCTACTTGATATATTAAGTGGTATGCTGTAGATTATACTCCTGTATTCTTTCCCAAAAGGCCCCAGAATATTTGCTTGCATACCATTGCTGACATATATAAAACATACTTATTTTTAAATGTCTGATTATTTATTAAGACCACCTCATCAGTTGAAGTAAATCGATTAGATAGATTTAGTACATGCAATTAGTATGTGATAACTGGAAAGGACTTCCTCAACAAGTTGAGGTTTGTTTCTAAAGAGAAAGAAACTACTTTGTAAAGTTTTAGAAGTGGTTAGCTGCAACTGTTGCTTGGTAATTCTCTAAGTCCATTTTCTAAATATCTTAATTCCAGAATGCCAATAGCTTTGTACCACACACTGTAAGTTACACAAAAGGGACAATCTTTGGAAAAATCTCTGAATCTTTTATCTTGTTGGAAAATTCAATAATATAATATATAATTTATGATATCAGAAATTCACTCAGTTGTTTATTATTTTCTGTTATTCTTTAAGCTTTGTATGTATTGGTGTCTCAAAAACCAGCCTCTTGTTCATCAACCTCTCACGTCTAACAGCTTGAACAGGGCAGTAGATGTGAATAAATCATAAATGACTCCTTCAAACAGGAGAAATGAGAAGTATATGATGATGTCTCCTTTAGTTATCCATGAGACACATCTATCACTTGAGATTAAGATACCTGGACATTCAGTACTAACAGATAGCTACAATCATACCTTTATCTGGCTATAAATAAAACAGCTTTAGAAGAAGAAGTTTGAAAATGGAAACATAGAGTACTTTATTACTTTTGATCCGATTTTCCTATCATTTCATTTTGTGGCCTTTCTAATGGGAATATTGGTTAGCAATTTTCCATTGGTATCCTGCTTGCAGAAGGTAAAAGTCTGAAATAATTTACCTTCCACCTGCTTCTGCTACATAACTGTAACTCAATGTGGCTGACTTAATGACCTCTTAAGAGGAAATTCGTATTAGTACAGTTTGAAAATCATTCAAATTATAAAAGAATAACACCTATCAAGGATACTTTTTTCACAATTGAGATAGGAAATAAATATTTTTCAATCCTTCTCTAGATCTGTTTGTTACCCTACTGACTGAGGCTTTTAAATAGCCTTTTGTCTAAAATAATTGAGAGATATATATGGCTTTATTTTCTCCCTTATATTCAGCTTAGAGTTATTCTTCTTTCAAATATACCTCAGTTCTGAAAACGTAAGATCCCTTTATCACTGAAAAGAGTTAGATATATTATTTGATACCAGTGTTCATCCCAAGGAGTAATTGTTCCCCTTATTTATTGGCAACAATCTCAACATCAGTAACCAATGAATTTATAATAATAGAAAGGAAAAGCAGATTGGTTAATATTAGGTTACTTCACATTACTGTCTTTGTAAGGGTTAAAGCAGAGGAGACTTCTTTATTACACTGACTCAGGTAGAATGGAATCTCTTGCTTTCAGAAAGTATTGGTCTGTTCACGGGTCTATTTGCTTGCTTAAAATTTCAGTTTGGTTTTGTGGCATCTAGTGTGAGTGACTTCATTTTGGTTTGGTCTCATCTGTTAGGCCCAGGGCAGGAGCTCAGTCCAAAACAATTGCCTGCCATAATTTTGTGTCATAGTTTAGAGCAGATAATCTCTGCACTTATTTTTGAAAGATGCATAGGAATTAGGCTGGTGAAGAGGAGGGATTGCTAAAACAAAAAGTATAGGCACCGAGACAAGACAGCACAACAAGTGACAAAGCTGGGGCATTTTGGGAACCAGAAGACCAAGGGTGAAGCAAATGGTATAATATGTAGGAAGGCAAGCGAGAGCTAAATACATTACCAGGCACCAGATCTTTGAAGATCTTGCAGGCCTGGCTAAGGGTTTAGATACCTACAGTCTTATACTCTTCTGTGAGAGAAAGATGAATATTACTGACAGCCTGCTTAACTTTTCCATTTGTTAGTTCCAAGGCAGAAAAACTAAACATGCATCAACTTTAATAGCTGATTTTCCGTAGTAGATGTTTACTTTTTCCAGGATTCCTTCTCGTGGTAAAGCACCCGATCCACCAGCATCTCATACCAGAAACCCATGAATAATTCATGATACCTATTTAAACTTCTACATTAAACCACTCACAAAATTCTGTTGTTTCTACCTTTATAACAGGTTTTAAAACTGTCCCCAACTCTCTATAAACTTTTCTGTCATCTTTTTCTAAGCCACACCCATCTCCAATTTGGACTTGTTTTAAAATTGGTTTCTACACAGAACCAAAAAAAATCTTGAAAACTATAAATTTGGACTACTGTAATCTCTGTTTGATGGTTCCTAGTGTTGTATTATTTTTAGCATAAAAAATTCTAAGAACAAAATGAAGACTCTCATGGTCTTGCTATTATTTATGTCTTCAGCTTCCACACTTGCCACTTCTTTCTTGGGCATCAACCACATCCACCTTATTTTAGATCCACGAACTAGTCAAGCCCTTTTCTGTCTTACAGCATTTTCATCCATATTTTACCCAGAATGCTCTTCATTTTTTCACCTACATCTTTGCTTCATTCACTCATAGTTTTCTCTTAAACTTAAATTTAAATATTGCTTCCTCAAGAGCGCCTCTTTTGACTTCCCAAAAATAAGCCTTTCTTTTATGCATTCTTTTAGAATGTTGAATATTTTTAATATCACTAATGTCTATGAAATTAAATAATTGTTTAGATAATTATCTGTCAAATTAAAGTGTCATAAAGGTTAAAAATGCCCAATATGTTATTACTAGTGTATCCCAGACCTAAATAGAATGTTGAACATATGGCAGATGATATAAAATATTCATTAAATGGAAAATTAGTAAGCAAATACATTTCTAGGAAAGCATTAATCATTTTTAAATATTGCTATAGTAACTTTAGAGTCCTGGTGAGCAACTAAACTAATAACTAATCAAAGGTGTTCTAGTGGTCTTTTATAAAAATTCTCTATGTTTGTTAACTACTATTTCTTGACCTAAAATGATTAACAAAAGAAAATTTTCATGAAAAATTAAAAACATTGTGCTAATGCCAATCATTTTTATTTTTTCTTATCTTACTCCTCTGCTCTCCTAATCCTTCCTCTTTATTCAATATTATTTCCTTAACAAATGTTTATGTTTCAGGCATTGTTCAAAGCAAAGGAGTCAAAGGTGCACAATGATAGGAAAGAATTCCTTTTTCATTGAGTTTCTTTGCCTACTTTTATTTCATTATCTCTGAGAGCTGATCATATCTCCTTGTCTAGAGTCCAATTTTTCTTTTTTTTGTCTCATTGCATTAAGATGACTTGAGGTCATTACATTAATACAGAACACAATTTAGTTACAAAAACTGGCTTTAAGGACCTATCCATTGTTTCTTAGGGTTGCTTTCCCTTTGGAAAGAAAACAGCTTTAACAACTGAGCAATCAGTTATTATTTTATTATCTCATTTGCCCATCCATTTATTTGGTTCTCACAGTGCCCAGAAATTCATAAGACCAACAAGTTTCCAACTATACTTACATGTCCTATTTTCAAGGAACACTTCCTCTTGTAATTGACTCAACTGAGAATGCTTTTCCTCTTTTAGCATTTTAGACTTCCAATTTCACTTACAAACCATGAAAACTGCATAATACTCTCATCTGAAAGATTTATATTCTTTCTAAGCAATCGATAAGGACTGTAACAAGTTCTACAAAAAAAGAATAAAATGCTATATATAGAGTTAAGTCTTCCTGAATGACTTGGGAAGCTTAAAAAACAAGGACTTTATATAAGCAGCAAAGTACATCAACAATATAGACAGGTCATCTGCAGATAGCCTCGTGCTCAATGGCTGTTAGACCAGCATGGAACAAATGTACTACATTAAGTATACATTTCTCAATATCTCTTGTATTGAGAATACTTCTTAAGCTAGGAATTTAGAAAAATACTACGTTTGAATTACACTAAAATGGCCTGTTCTGTGTCTAAAATGTACACTAATAGAGTCACTCCTTTGTGTCACTAGAAAATTCCTGTTGAAATATAAATGCTCGGGGGAGAGTTAATGCCCAGAGCCATTAGGAGTCATTTATATATTTGCATAGATTAATGTATCCAATTATTCTAGAGAGCAAACCACAGAGCCATGGTCTACAGGGAAACACTGAACAGATACTTACTGAAGGGGTCTGGAGAAGGGAGGATATTACTACTAGTCAGAATAAGTGCTCCAGTATAACTCTTGAAGGAAATCAAGGCCTATAAACTAAACTTGAAGAATTATATTTATTAATGACTCTGGAATGTTTGAATGTGGTACAATAGAAAGATAATTCGTATGAAACTAATTAAATTCGATATTGAATTCTGCCTTCATCCTGGCTCCTTATTTTCTTTCCAAACGGATCCTGTAACAACTTCTTGCTTGCTATGCACCAACCACACTGGACTCCCGTTAGTTCTTTAAATATGCCAAGCAACCTCTTCTCTGCCTTTGGATTTTGTCAAGATACTCTCCTGTACCTTAAACACCTACCTTCTGCTCTTTACATAACAAGTTCTTACTCATTCTTCAGGTCTCAGTTTGCATACATCTCCTCAGAGAGACCTCTGATCACCTTATCTAAGTTAACTGCTTACCACATAAACACACACATAGGCATACATACAGACACATACACACATATGAATGCAAAACATACAGGTGCATTTCCTATATCAGCACACAGCTTGTTTCCTTAATCATATTTATTCAATTCTGAATTAAAAGTTATATTAATTTTTTGTTCATCTTCCCATATAAAAAGTAGGTTCCATGATGTCAGAAAACATGCCTGCTTTTTTCTGAATTTCATACAGGACCTCACACAGTGCATGTTTATTAGGAATGATCAAAACATTTGTGGAATACAAGAATGCATGAGCAACTTCAGTGACATTTTTTTCCCCTGTTATCTAAGTTAGATTTCTATGGTCACATAATTTCAGACCTCTTGGCTCTCTCATTCGATGTGGTAAGCTAAGCACCACCCAAATTAAACCTAAACCTTTTATGAAATTGCACTGGAGCAGCTGAGTATAACCGTGAAGCCTGGTCTCACTTTAAATGTATTATGCTTGATCTTAAATAGGCTTTTAATGGTGCTCTGGATACACATCCAGGTCGTAGACTACTCAATTTCTCACTGCTCTAAAATCACCAACTTCTCCTCCTATCTTCACATCTTCACTGATGACCTTGCTTTCTACTTTACTTAGACAATGGAAACATCTAGAAGATAAATTTTAAAGACTCCCACCCAGAAGATACTTCTAAAGCTACCCACCACTCTGAGTCCATACTTAGCCTTGCCACTTATTAACTTAGGTGAACTGCCAATGCTCCTACATAAGCCAGTACTACCATTTCCATTCAGTAGATTCCATCCCCATGTCCAAATCAAAAATCTTGCTCAAAACAATATTTTCTTTTTGTGAATCACTTCTTATCATCATAAAATGGTGTCTTTGCACTCTAAATATTAAGAAACATTAAAAATTCGTTTATGACCCCACTTCTTCTACTAGTGCCTTTCGCATTTCTCCACTGCCTTGCTATAAAGCTGCTCAGAGTTGAATGTACCACCAGACTCTAATTCCCTTTCTAATACTTTATTCAATCAACTCTAGCCATGTTTTCATCTCATCACTCTACTGAAATTGCTTTTATTAGGGATACCTTGACTCTTTAGGCTAGTCCAAGGATAATATTAATTCTTTCCATTTTAACTTACCAGCAGCATTTGATATGTTCTACCACTCTTGGATTTCATCCACTTTTTTCACTTGGCATACAACATATCATACTCGCTTGATTTCCCTCTAACTTCTGTAACAGCTTTTCTGACACTGTCTGGTTCTTCCTGTTTACCTAAGACTCAGCATTTGGTCTTCTTGCATTTGGTCTTCTTATTGTCTCTCTCCACATTCCCTTCATTGGTGATTGTCTTCAGTGTCATGGCCTTGTGTATCATGTATATGTTACAACTCCAAAATTTATTTCTCCATCTTATATTTCTCTCTTGAATTTCATACTTATATCTCTAGCTTCCAACACAACTTCTCCATTTAGATGTCTAATAGACATTCCTAAATTCCCCTGTTCAAAGCTGACTTCTGGTTCTTTCTACAAAAAAAAAAAAAGAAAGAAAAACTTTTTCATCTACAGCCTTTCCTTCTTTCTCTCTTTCTTTCTTTCTTTCTTTCTTTCTTTCTTTCTTTCTTTCTTTCTTTCTTTCTTTCTTTCTTATTTATTTCTTACTTTTTTTTTTGACAGAGTCTTACTCTGTTGCCAGGCTGGAGTGCAATGGTGTGATCTCAACTCACTGTACCCTCTGCCTCCCGGGTTCAAGTGATTCTCCTACTTCAGCCTTCCAAGTAGCTGAGACTACAGGCACGCACCACCACACCCAGCTAATTTTTGTATTTTTAGTGGAGATGGGGTTTCACCATGTTGGTCAGGACGTTCTCAATCTCTTGATCTCGTGATCCACCAGCGTTGGCTTCCCAAAGTGCTGGGATTATAGGCATGAGCCACCGTGCCCGGCCAACCTTTCTTATCTCTAAGGTAATCTCATCATTCTGGGTTCTCATACCTAAAACCTTTGACTCTTTCTTGATTTTTTTCTTTTGCCACACAATATACTCTCAGGAGGTCTTGTTGACTCTACTTCCAAATATGTACAACATTCATCTATTCTCACTACCTCTACTGCTACCATCTTGATCTGAGCCAGAAGAATCCCCAGCCTACATTATTATTTTAGATCCTTGTTTCTACTCTTGCCTCACTTTGCAGCTTATTTTCACTATAACAGAGTTATTTATTTGCCTTTATTTATTTATAGATTGAGAGGTAATAATGCAGTTTTGTTTCATGGATATATTGTATAGTGGTGAAGTCTGGTCTTTTAGTGTAGCCATCACCTGAATATTGTACCTTGTCTCCCTTAAGTAATTTTTAATCCCTCACACCCCCCGACCATCCCACCTTTTGGAGTCTTCAATAACTATTATCACACTCTTTATGTTCATGTGTACACAATATTTAGCTCTCACAAGTGAATGCATATGGTATTTGAATTTCTATTTGAGTTATTTCACATAAGCTAATTGCCTCTAGTTTCATCCATGTGCTGCAGAAGACATGATTTCTTTTTTTATGATTTAGTAGTATTTCATGGCATATATATATATGTGTGTGTGTGACATATATATCTATGTATGTGACATATAGATATGTCAAATATATGTTATATTTTCTTTATACAGTCTTTCTTTTATGGACACTTAGTTTGATTCCATGTCATTGCTATTGTGAATAGTGCTGCAATAAACATACAGGTGTAGGTACCTTTTTGCTATGATGATTTATTTTCCTTGGAGTAGATACTCAGTAGCAGGATTGCTAAACCAAATGGTAGTTCGATTTTTAGTTATCTGATAAATCTCTATATCATTTTCTGCAGAGTTTGTACTAATTTACATTCTTACCATTCTTACCAAGAGTATATAAGCATTCCCTTTGCTCTGCAATCCTCACCAAGATCTGCTATTTGCCTATTTGCTGCCTGTTTTTTTTTTTGTTTTTTTTTTGTTTTGTTTTGTTTTTTTTAGACAGAATCTCACTCTGTCACTCAGGCTGAAAGTGCAGTGACATGATTTTGGCTCGCTGCAACCTCGGCCTCCTGGGTTCAAGAAATTCTCTTGCCTCAGCCTCCTGAGTAGCTGTGATTACAGGCACGTGCCACAATGCCCTACTAATTTTTGTATTTTTAGTGGAGATGAGGTTTCGCCATGTTGGCCAGACTAGTTTTGAACTCCCGACCTCAAGTGATCTGTCTGCCTTGGCCTCCCAAAGTTCTGAGATTACAGGTATGAGCCACCGCACCCGGCCTGTTGGCTTGTTAATGATAGCCATTCTGACTGGTGTAACATGATTTCTCATTGTTCTAATTTGCATTCCTCTGATGAGCGATACTGACCATTTATTCATATATTTGTTGGCTGTTTGTGTGTCTTCTTTTGAAAAAAAAAAGTCTTTTTATGTTCTTTGCCCACTTTATAATGAGCTATTTTGTTGTTGTTGTTGTTGTTGTTGTTGTTGTTGTTGTTTGTTTGAGTTCCATGAAGATACTGGATATTAGCCCTTTGTTGGAAGCATAGTTTGCAAATATTTTCTCCTGTCCTGCAGGTTGTCTGTTCACTCTGTTGATTACTTATTTTGCTGTGCTCAAGGTTTTTAGTTTAATTAAGTTCTATCTGTCTATTTTTGTTTTTGTTGCATTTGTTTTTGAGGTCTCAGTCATGAATTACTTGCCAAGGCTAATGTCCAAAAGAGTTTTTCTTAGTTTTTATTCTAGTTTTTTTAAAAAATATATTTTTAGGTCTTACATTTAAGTCTCTAATCCATCTTGAGTTAATATTTGTATATGGTAAAGATAGGGGTCCAGTTTCATTATTCTGCATATGACAATCCAGTTTTTTCAGCACCATTTATTGAATAAGGTGTCCTTTCTCCAGTGTATGTTTTCCTTGATTTTGTGGAAGATCAGTTGGCTGTAGGTGTGTGGCTTTATTTCTGGCCTTCTATTCTGTGTCATTGATCTATGTGTCTATTTTTATACCAGAAAGATCTTTTTAAAACATAAGGTTGATTATGTCACTCTGTTCAAAACCCTTCAGTAGCTCCTCATTTCACCCAGAGTAAAAGGTAACTGACAACGGCCTATAAAAGCATATGAATGACATACCTTGACCATCTGACTTTTATTTTTTAGCATTCTTCCTCATTTATTTGATGTCCTTACTATCCTCTTTGTTTCTGAAACATGCCAGATAATTTCTTACACTGACATCTGTGCACTTGATATTTCCTTTCCTGGAATACTTTTCTTAAAATACTCTAAGAGCTAACATCCTTACCTTTTTCAAGTCTCTTCTTCAGGATTCAAATGCCTTTTTTTCAAACATGCTTACACTGACCACCATCGAACCTCCAGAATACACTCACTCTCTTCTATTCTTTTTCTCAAAGCACATTTTACCTTCTTATTTAGTATATAGCTATATGTGTCTTCCTTAGCTAGAAAATAAATGCTGTTTTAGTCATTGGAGTCTCCCAAAAATGATCAGTGTGTGGTTTATAGCAGAGAATCAATAAATTGTTGAGTGAATAACTAAAGTACTTATTGTCCCTTCAACCTTGAAAAATTTAACATAGGTTGCTGGTCTTTCCTCATCTATAAAAATGCAGTGATGACATCATTTTCCATGATTTTTATGTGAAATAATGTAGATATAATTGCTTTATACTCTGCTGAAGACAAAATGAATATTTTGATATCCTTAGCAGGAATTAATCGAACTATAAGATGAAAATGGTGAAATGGAAAGCTGTCAGGATAAGGACATCTAGACTTTGTGCTCTTCTTTGAAGTCTCAGAGAATCTATTCATAGAGAATGGAAAGGCAACCATAATGTCAATTTATTAACTTACAATGAGATATTACTGTCACTGCAACTGGAATTACTCAAAGCACTTATGATCATCATAATTTTTCCTGTGGCAAAACTACATAAAAGAGGAGAAATCATAATTGGAAATTCTGATCCAATCTACTATGTGAAGTTTCTATTGAAAAACTGGATATGAGTAGCATATGATCTCCATGACAGCTGTCTTACATGGGAAAATATGACTTGCCTGTTTGGTATTGAATCAGTCCAAGGAAGTTAAGAGAACTGAAAGTTTTAATGACGTCATACTAAGAATGCATAACACATCTTTCACGACTGCATTGGTCTTGCAATAAAGACTGCAACACTTTGTTCTGTACTCCAAAATAGACTATGATTTCACTCAGTCCCAGAAAAATCGAAAAAACACTCTTTTCTCAGCATTCATGATAAGCTCTTCTGAATAAACCACTTATTGTTTAAATATGCTAGTATAATCTTATCGCTGTTGAGTTCTACAGGCTAGGAGAATTCTCACTCCTTCTGGTTGCTTTACCTATCAATATTCTGACTCATGTTAATTCATTTTGTAATGATTAATAAATATCTAATATGTTCAGGACATTATTTCTGAGCTGGGCTATAGCAATGAAAAAAACAACTTTCCTGCCCTCATAGAGATTACATTTTAGTGGAAGAGACAGAAAATACAAGCTTACCAATAAATAAATGTCAGGAGGTTAATATGGAAACTTTAGAAATATTTTATTGATGCATAATATTTATGCATATTTAATGGGGTACATGTGATGTCTTGTTACATGTAGAGAATATGTTATGGTCAAATGACAGTATTTAGGGTATCCATCATCCTGCGTATTGACCATTTCTATGTGTTAGAAATATTCAAGTCCTACATTCTAGCTATTTTCAATTACACAATTCATTATTAACTGTAGTTACCCTACTCTGCTGCCACACATTAGAACTTATTCCTTCAGTCTAACTGTATGTTTCTACATATTAGCCAACTTTTCTTTATCCCTGATCCCCAACCACTCACACCCTTCCTAGCATCTGGTAAATATCATTCTACTCTCTACCTCCATAAAATAAAGCTTCCACTTATAAGCGAGAACATATGATATTTGTCATTCTGTGCCTGGCTTATTTCACTTAATTTAATGACCTCCAGCTCTGTCCATGTTGTGGCACATGCCAGGATTTCATTTTTTTATGGCCAAGTAGTATTCCATTGTGTTTATGTATCACGTTTTCTTTATTCATTCATCCATTGATGGACATTTAGGCTGATTTCTTATCTTTGCTATTGTGAATAGTGCTGCAATAAACATGGGAATGCAGGTATCCCTCCGATATAGTAATTTCCTTGCCTTTGGATAAATTCCCAATGGCGAAATTGCTGGATTATATGATCGTTCTACTTTTAGTTTTTTTGGAAACCCCTATACTGTTTTCCATAATGGTTGTATGTATTAATCTGTTCTTGCATTGCTATAAAAAATACCTGAGACTGGGTAATTTATAAAGAAAAGAGGTTTAACTGGCTCACATTTCTGCATGCTGCATAGAAAGCATGGTGGCTTCTGCTTTTGGGGAGGCCTCAGGAAACTTACAATCATGGTGGAAGGCAAAGGGGAAGAAGGCACGTTTTACATGGCTGGAGCAGGAGGAAGAGATGAAGGAGGTGCTACACACATTTAAACAACCAGATCTCACAATAACTGACTCACTCACTATTCCAGGAACAGTACCCAGGGAATGGTGCTAAACCATTCATGAGAAACCACCCCCATGATCAAATCACCTCTCTCCAAGCCCCACCTCCAACACTGGGGATAACAACTCAACCTGAGAATTGGGTGGAGACATAAATCCAAACCATATCACTATACTAATTTACATTTTCACCATCAGTGTGTAAGAGTTCTATTTTCTCTACATCCTTGCCGGGATCTGTTATTTTTTCACTACTTGATAATACTTATTCTAACCAGGGTAAGATAATATCTCATTTGGTTTTAATTTGCACTTCCCTGATGATTAATTATATTGAGCATTTCTTCGTATACTTCTTGGACATTTGCGTGTCATCTATTGAGAAATATCCTTTCGAGTTCTGTGCTCATTTGTTAATGAAATTATTATTTTATAAAATTAATTAATTTACTTTTTTGCTATTGAGTTTTTTGAGTTCATTATATATTCTGGATATTAGGCCTTGTCAGATGAATTGTTTGCAAATATTTTCTCCCATTCAACAGGTTGTCTCTTCATTTTGTTGACTGTTTCCTTTGCTGTGTAGAAAGCTTTTATTTTAATACAGCCCCGTTTGTCTATTTTTGCTTTTGTTGTCTGTGCTTTTGCGGTATTTGACATGAAATCTTTGCCTAGTCCAATGTCCTGGAGTGTTTCTCTTATGTTTTCCTGTAGTAGTTTTATAGTTTCAGATCTTACAAACAGGTCGTGAATCCATTTTGAAATTTTTTGTGCATGTAGTGAGAGACTGAAGTCTCATTACATTCTTTTGCATATGGATATCTAGTTTTTCCAGCACCATTTATTGAAGACAGTACCTTTTTCCCAATGCATGTTCTTGGCAACTTTGTTGAAAATCAATTGGCTATAAATTTGTGGATTTCTTTCTGGGTGCTCCATTTTGCTTCCTTGGATTATGTGTGTCTATTTTTGTAAAAATACCATGCATGTTGTTTTTGTGACTATAGCCTTACAACATATGTTGAAGTCAGGTAATGTGATGCCTCCAGTTTTGCTCCTTATTCTCAAAATTTCTTTGTCTATTTAGGCTCTTTTCAGGTTTCATATGCATTTTTTTTGTTTTGTTTTGTTTTGTTTTAGACAGAGTCTCACTCTGTTGCTCAGGCTGGAGTGCAGTGACATGATCTCGGCTCACTGCAACCTCCGCCTCCCAGGTTCAAGTGATTCTCATGCCTCAGCCTCCCAAGGTAGCTGGGACAACAGGCATGAGCTACCATGCCTAGCTAATTTTTGTATTTTTAGTTGACAGAGGGTTTCACCATGTTGGTCAGGCTGGTCTTGAACTCTTGATAGCAAGTGATCTGTTTGCCTCAGCCTTCCAAAGTGCTGGGATTACAGGCGTGAGCAACTGTGCCTGGCCTCATATGCATTTTAAGATTGCTTTTTCTATTTCTGTGAAAAATGCATTCCTCTTTTGATATGGGTTGCATTGAATCTGTAGATAGCTTTGGGTAATATGTCCATTTTAACAGTATTAATTATTTGAATGCATTAACATGGAATGTCTTCCCATTTGTTTTTTATATCCTCTTTGATTTCTTTCATCAGTGTTTTGCAGCTTTCCTGTAGAGGTCTTTCACCACCTTGGTTAAATTAAATCCTAGGAGTTTTTTTTTTTGGTAACTATTGTAGATGGGATTGAATCCTTGATTTCTTTTTCCACTAGTTCATTATTGGTGTATAGAAACACTATTGATTTTTGTATGTTGATTTTATATTCTACAACTTTACTGAATACATTTATCAGATCTAAGTGTATTCTAGCGGAGTCTTTAGGGTTTTCTAAATATAAGATCATGTCATCTGCAAAGAGGGGTAATTCGACTTACTGATTTTCAATTTGTTGTCTTTCATATTGTTCTCTTGCCTGATTGTTCTGGATAGGATCTCCAGTACTATGTTGAACAGGAGTGGTGAAAGTGGGCATCCTTGTATTATTCTGGTTCTTGAAGGAAATGTTTTCAGCTTTTCCCCATTCAGTATGATGTTAGCTGTTAGTTTCTCATATATTGCCTTTATTATGTTAGGTATGTTACTTCTATGTCTAGTTTTTGGGGTTTTTTTTTGTCATGAAGGGATATTGAATTTTATCAATGCTTTTTCTGCATCTATTGAGATAATCATATAATTTTTCTCCTTTATGCTGTCAATGTGATGTATCATGTTTATTGATTTGCATATGTTGAATCATCCTTGAATCTCTGGAATAAATGCCACTTAATCATATTGTATTATCTTTTTGGTGCTCTGTTTGATTTAATTTGCTAGTATTTTTTTGAGAATTTTTGTATCTATGTTTTTTAGGGATATTGGCCTGCACTTTTGTTGTTGCTTATTCTGGTTTTGATATGCTTGGGGTATTTTTTTCTATCCCTTTATTTTCGGTCTGTATGTGTATTTACTAGTGAAGTAAGTTTCTGTTAGGTAACATATATTTGCATCATTTAAAAAAATCTATTCAGCCAGTCTATATCTTTTAAGTGGAAAATTTAATCTGTTTCTATTCAAGATTAATCTTGATATGTGAGCACTTATTTCTGTCTTTTTGTTCATTGTTTTCTGGTTGTTTTGTATATTATTTGTTGTTTGATTTTTTTCTTTCATTCTTTCTCATTTATTATTGTAGCTTGATGGCTTTCTGTAGTAGTAATATTGAGCTCTTTATTTTCCTTATTTATGTATTTACTCTACCAGTGATTTATACTTTTGTATTTTCATGATGGTAAATATTGTCCTTTCACTTTCAGGTGTAAACTCCCTTAGCATTTCTTGCGGGGCTAGTCTAGTGGTGACAAATTTCTTCAGTTTTTGCTAGTCTAGAAAAGACTGCATTTGTCCTTCATTTATGAGGAATAACATTACTTAGTATTTTATTATTGGCTGGCAGGTTTTTTGTTTGTTTATTTGTTTTTGGTTTTGGTTTTTTCTTTCAGCACTTTAAATATGTCTTTTCATTCTCTCCTGGACTGTCAGGTTTCTGCTTAGAAATCCACTGTCAATCTGATGGGGGTTCCCTTCTATGTGCCTAGATATTTTTCTCTTGCTGTTTTATGAATTCTCTCTGTTTTGATTTGGGGATACATTTAATTTAACTTGTTTTAATGGTATGTATTTTTATATGTAATCACTTCTATGTATAGTTAAATTCTTACTAGCCCATTTGATGTAGTTTCCTGAAATACTTGTATCTTAAAAAAAAAAAGCAGAAACAGATATAACTTTGAATACATAATTTTGTATAGGGCCTTGGAAGACACCTCTGCAAGTAAGCAGCCCAAAACTTCAGTTCTAATAGTGTCACAGTCAATTGCCCTCTGCAATGCCTTCTGCCTCTTTCTCTGATGCCAGAAACATCTGTGGCTACTCTGATCACTCTTCGCGTTAGGGGCAGTGTGAGGGAAAGGGAGTCAGAGGGATAAGACAGTGAACTGAACTGTGTGATTAATTTTACAAATTTTACAAGCTGTTTGACCTTGAGCCCAACTTACTAGGGCACCCCCTTACTAACTCTTTATGTGGTACAAAAAAAGGAAGAAATTTCACATCAGAATAAACTTAGTAACACTGCAGTCTACTTTCTTACTCTTGCAGTAAACGTGTGTGTATCAGGTTGCAAAGACAATTTTCTTCCTATATTCACCAAAATTACTGATTCACTGTAAATAATCAAAACCTTCTAAAACTAATGGCCAGCCCTACCAGCTCACAGATGGATGTTTGATGCATCTGGCTTTAAGTAGCATGTGACTGTCATCTGTGTGATGCTGGGAAGATAACTACATTTCTACATATGATTTACTGAACTCTATTTCTCCAAATGAAAAATGGAAATAATAACTCTCCCTACCACATAAGTCTCCTGTGAGGGTTAATTGAGATAATAAATGTGAAGTGCTTAGCCTAGAACCTGGCATACTGTAACCATTTCCTAATTCTAAATACTAACTACTACTGCTAAGTAATGTAATAAAAACAATGTTATCATTATTCTTTTAATATCGTTTTCAGATAGTACTATAACCAATGAAATATTTAGTTAACCATCTTTGATGCTGACTAAATTCAGAAGCTAATTAAAATAAGTGCTGGTCAACCTAAATAACTAAGCAAACATGAACCAATTGTGTTATGAAATCAAATTACTTATATTTATATTTTGTATTATTTTAATAGCTTATTTTTAAAGATATCTTTTATTATTTATTGACTCCTAATAAGCCAATTATGTAAATAATTAGAGTGAGAAGAAAAGTATTCATGTAGACATGACCTACATATTGACTGATTGCTGATGAAAGCAAATTGAGATGTAAAAGCTATTTTAAGCGTACCTAAAATGAGCTAACAAAGTGTGCATTTGCCTCTCCCAATTTGTGTAATTATCATTTTTAAAATGTAGAGTGTGAAATATTCTACTTAGGGATACATTTAAAATTGTAACATACCGCTCAGTACTTTCAATGATTTAGTGTAATTTAGACACATTTACCTAGTGCCATATATTTAGAAGTTGGTAAAACTAGGATCCTAATCCATAATTTTTGACCCCAGTGTCAGAGCTGTTTACAATTACCTTTTAATTTTTGGCCTCTTCAAAGAAGAGCTTTGTTATTAGCCATGGCAGATTCTGCTTAAAGCTTTTAATTTAACTAATGTAATTTTAACTACTATGTTGATATGGTTCCTGGTGACTAAGGAGGACAACATTCTGACATTTCACACTGAAGTTGTCCATATTAGTATGCATTTATTCAGCACGAAGTGAGGACATGGAGAAAAATATTTAGAAATATTTGGTTAGTCAGATTCATGGTAAATAATCAAATTGAATATGTCAATTTTCCATATTCTATAATTTGACTTTCTCTGATTAAAGATAGTCCCATAATGTGCATTCTCATTAGTACAAAGATAGATAATTTTCTTTAACTTTGAATATTTCCTGGACGCAGTCATTTAGAGTTGGTGTGCTTATGACTTACCTGGGGCAGAGGGTGGGGGGATAAAACGTCTTATTTTATAATGTTTTAGTATGTTCTGTACATTTAGAATTTATATGATGAAAAGGGACTGAATTAAATATCAGAAAAGCAGAGTCCAAATTAGTTGTCCTTCTCTGCAAGTTATTGATCCAATCTGAGCCTTTTTTTCTTATTTGTAAAATAATGCCAGCCATATTTATTTTTAAAAACAAAAATGAAACTGTTTTGAAGCTAAAATTAACTATGTAAAAAGCAATTTAAAACCTATCAAGCACCACACCAATGGAAGCAACAATTCGTGTGTATTAGAAAACAACTAAAATTTATTTTATCTTTCTATTTTTGTCAGTCATGTGAAATGATAGGAAACAAATCTTCCAGATGCATATAATCTGTGAAAGTCATAAATAAAAGTTGATGCATCTTCATGCTTACTTGACTATTTGATGCTTTTGTACATTAAACAAATTCTCACTTTTTTAATTAGAAGCTGGATAGTAGCATTTTTTAAAAATGTATTTATTTTCCTAATGTCCTTACATAGTCATGCACCTAGGAATAATTAAACCTTCATTAGTCAAACCAAGTTAACTAACTGGAAGCTTCTCAGCAGTTGAATATATGAGGCCATAGGAGACTGTTTAAGATAGACAGGGGTTACAAGTATCAGCACGTGAGTGGTGTTTTTACTTTAAGCTTCCATATACTGTCATATTTTGTGCATGATAGCCAGTCAATGTTTTACTCTACTTCTAAGAGGTAACCAATACTGGTGATTATGCCCTTTTTGGGGGAAGCATTCTTTTCTTTTGTCTTCTTCAACATAATCCCACAGCTTATGGCTCATTACTTATTTTCAGGCACTGCTCTGCTGCTTTTGGAAACTCATTCTGGGATATCTGATCAATAAATCTAGGTATTTTTCAAGGCTTAATTAATCCTAGACTCTCACCTTCTCACAGTCAAGTAAGCATGAAGGTTCTTTCTCCAGACAATCTCAAAAATTATCATGTTTTTATTTGCTATCTACATGTATGTCTCTGACTCCAAAATTTCTATCTCATATACCTGAAAATAACTAAGTTAGATCACTTTTTTACTTCTAAAACTAAACATCCAATTACCTACTTGACATTTCTAGTTGGATGTTCTATACTTATCTCAAATTTTACCACTTCAGATTAAACTTATGATCTCATGCCTATCCAAATTGTTCCTCTTGTGGTGTTCCCTGAGTCAGTGAATGACATTGCTATCCATCTAGTAGTTCAAGCTCTGAAACTGGAGGTCATCCTTGACTCTTTTTACTCACTTCTCTTAGCTATGCTATCATTGAGCTATTGATTCTATCTCCAGAATATTTTCTAAAAATATTCTCACTCTCATGACTGCTATAGCTCAATATTTTATTACACAGTAACCACTCATATAACTACTATACAGCTAAAACAGTGTGCTGTGTCAACATTTCATAAGTACTTCTCATACTATCTACCCACAACCATGTTCTTTATAACCCTACATTTTCCATGCTTTTCTTAACAGTTTTAATACAAAACAAGCATGCCTAAACATTTTTGCCTCATTTTGTAATACATATATATGTGTAATTATAAATACATTCTGTGTTATTCTTCATCTGGCTATTCTACATGCAATATTATGTTTGTGAAATTTATTCATGTTATTGTACATGGCTATATTATACAGATTATTAAACATTTTATTGCTATCTATATATGTAGTTTACATAAGAATTTTTCCATTTAATCAGTTAAATTTTCTTTTCAATAGATTAACTTATTCATGGTTTTAAAAATTACTGGCATATTTGGACTCATTCCTGCACTCTTATTTTGTGTTTTTTATTTACAGTGTTTGTCTCTTTGTTTTTATTCCCACGTTTTCTTCCTTTTTTTGCTTTTGAAAGTCTCTTTCCTGGAGAAAATTTATGTATTTATTTATTATATTTTAAAAATGTTTTTAATTATTTCTACATATCTGAGATAGGAGTAAAGGCCTCCATCTTAGAAAAAAAGTCTCCAGAGTGATCTTTTTAAAATTCAGATATGATCATATGTTCACATGCATTTACACAACACAAATACATATCCTTCTTTCTGCTTAACATTTTTCAATGACTTTCCTTAACAGGAGAAAAAAAAGGGTAGTATGTCCTGCAATGCTGTACTTGGGCTGCCCTGTCAAGTTTTTAAGCCTTCTAAGCACCATTCTCTTCTCTTTTTCTCTTTGCACTTAAGCAATACTATATTTCTTTTTGTACTTAATATCAATGCCTCTCCTCCTTCCACAGTTCTTCTTCAAAAAGTGAATCTATGTGTCTGAAGTATGTTCTTATGCCTTGTTCTACCTCTACTTCTGCCTCAATTCTCTGTGCTTTGCTTAGTTAAAGCCTATTTTTGCTTCACAAATAAGCTCAAGGATTACCTCTTCAAGGATAAGTTCCCTGATACTCTACTTCCCCTGGATTGTGAGTGACTATGTCTTCATGAATGTGATTATTGGTTTCATAATTATCTTTTATTTTGAAATTCCAGAGCCTTACCCAGCAGCGGAGCCTTAAAGAAACTCAATTTTACTTAGTGAATAAATTTGGATGCCCTATTTTCATTCCTTAAGAGAAGCTTAATGACTCAACGATGGCAGCATTTAGTGTATCTAGCGTAGAGCTGGGGAACCATAAAGAAACCAAAAGGACCTAGTTTGTGAGAAGTATGCCCAGGAGAGGATGTCAGGGCCCTTGTGGAAGTCAGTTTTCCTTTTGTCTTTACACACAACATCAAGATGCTTATTTATCTAGTTTTCAAGTTCATAGCATTTGATACCGAAAATTGCAGCGAGTTAATGCATCATACAGATAGTTACTCTGATAGTGCCAAAAACAATGTTCTCAGAAGGAAAGCATGAATCATATAAGCCTAATACTTCAGCACTGTATAATGCAGATGATACAGGAATGTTTAAAAAATGTGGCAGTATACAGAAATGCTCCTGTAATCTCGGCCCCAAATGATGGCATGTTTTTCTGTTGTAGTTGTACTTTCCTTTCCTAAGCTCATCTATAAATACTAGGATAAATATATTTTGTCAGCGTATAATGAAAGTTCAACATTCTCCCCACTGGGAATCAGAAACTGCAGGAGCAGTAATTCTCAGTCACGATTCCTGGACATTGTAATATCACTAGGAAAGTGAAAATTATTGACACAAATTTATATTCATTACTTACATGCAAACTATTAGCTATCAAGCTATAGTTCATGTTTGCATTGTTTAAAAAAAATAAACCATTGTGGTTAATCTTAAAGTACTATAACAATTTTTAAACAAAAGTGCCAGAATTTGGCGTTCAAATAAGAATCTTTTCAAAGTCATCATGTTGATCAGTTCAGTGATGTTGCAACCTTTCAAAATATGACTCAACTGTGCCTTGTACAGACACATGTATGTACACACGAAATGTTTAATTTTAGGGAGAGGATTTGTTCTGAAAAAGGTGAATCAGGTTACTGGTTTGGAGAAGAGCATCTGAGACACAAAATAATATGGGCTAGTGCTTTTGTTCCCTTTTATATGGCTTACTATCAACAGACATTGGAATTTTTGGACAGAAGAATTTCTCAAATGATTATAAAATCAATAATATTGTAATAAATGTGTGACCTTTGCATGTGATGGATTTTTCCCCCAAATTTTCTGTTTTTAGCAGGCCACTTAACTTTTTGGGATCAGAATGTCTTCAATTACAAAATGTGGCTAATATCTGCCATAAAATGTGGAGTTATAAGAACTGATTTAGATAATATATGTGCAAGACTTTATAAACTTTAGATAAATGTTGAATAAAAATTACTCTCTATAATCATACTATGGAACTATATTATAGCCCTTATTTATAAATAAAATAACATATAATACATATATTTAGATACATTATTTTTTGAGCATAGAGTATGAAAAGAAAAACCAATAAAATGAGTATAGAGAACACTTAAAAATCAGAAAAGGTAGAAATACAGATACTACCCTTTCTATTTCCATAAACTTAACTGAAATGTGAAAATTCGTTATTTTCTCTTAGATCCTCAGAAGTATAATATACAAATCCCGCAGAATAAATGATCTCTACTATGTTTTAAACAAGACAGCTCTGTTGTATATCAATTCAAGTTTAGAATGCAGTGCTGAAAAGTTCATATATACAAATTACTTTTCCCACTTAAAAAATACTGTGGTTTTGATTTATAGAGGTAAAGAAAAAAAGAAAAACAGTATCTGAAGGCAATAAGGTATTTTTCTAGTGCTTTGCAATCCAGTAAACTTAAAACAAATAGTCTTGACCTTTGCATAGTAATGCTCAGTCTGCAGTAATTTATACTCCTAGGTCACACCATCTGAAAAAGAGAAATGAGATGATCACTAAAGAAACTTGAATTGTATTATTAACCCCTTTCACAATTATGTTGCTCTTAGCTGAACTCTTCTTAATGCTGTCCTAGGGTTACAGAATTCGTTGGACGTGAACATGGGAAAAATAGACAGTTTCCCAATGGAATAATTTCAGGAACACGAAAAAGCTCTCCCGACCTTAAATATCTTACCATATTCAATTTATGCAATCTTTTAATTTGATACTCAAATATTGATGTTCCTGATTAAAATACAAAAATATGTTTAAGAGGAATATGAAATTATTACTACTTTATTGAATATTCCAAGGAAATGGCATTTACAATAATTGCTCTGGAATTTCAGAAAGCAAAAAATGAGCCCTTCAGTTTAAGATGTCTGAAAAAGCACTAGGAACACATCAAACTGAAACTGACCCTGAAATAACTGTAGAGGGATGTTTATGACAGAGGGAAGTGAACAGAGACAAAGTTTCAAATTCCTATCAGTGAAGTTTAATATAGAGTTCTTCAATTAGGCCTAGGAATATTTTATTTTCAGGATAAAAACTTCTATTTGGTTGATTTTCTCTTACTCTTTTAATAATTTTAAGAATTTAATAATTTTAATTTCTGTTATTCTTCTGTACCAAACTTTTCTTTAATCTATAAATGAAATAAAATAAAATAAAAGGTGGAGCTAGACTGTGCAATCCATGCCCAAAATCGCACAGCTTCCCCTCCACTTCTTTGTCTTGTCTCACTCTGATCTGTCTTCCATATAGCTGCCAGAGGACATCTCTCTCCTTTGCTTCCTATTGCACTTAGAGTAACACAGCTGGCCCCTTTGGTTGCATGATGCAGCTCCTGCCTGCTCCTCTGATCTCTTTCTGTATTCTGTTCCACTCTCCTGATTGCACATTATTCCTTAGCCAGTATCACCTTCCTGCTCCTCCTTGATCACACCACCACACTGGATCTGGATTCTCGTGCTTTTGTCCACTAGTTGCTTTATCTGCCCAGAAGACTTTCATAACTTGTGGCTGACTCCTCTTTGTCATTTGGATATCCTCTGAAATGTTTTCTCTTTGGAGACACTCTATTATATTACCTTTATAAAATTTTCTGTATAACATTTATCATTAACCGTTATCTTTTCTTGCACATGTATTTCTTTTTCCATTGTCTTTCACAGGAACCAGGACTCTTTCTACCTATTTAGGTCCCATGTCTTTAGCACCCAGAAATATACCTTGGGAACAGCTATTGTTCTCCCATATATCTTGGCAACAGAATAATTGTTATCCCATGTTTCTCAATAAATTATGTAATGTTGAACACGTACAAATATTACAACCACAGCACAGTTACCTGTTTACAACTTTTTTCTTTTATTCCTGTAAAAATTAGTCATGACCTAGAGCTCTGGTATGTGTGTGTGTGGGTGCATTTTCAAATAAAAGTTCTAAAGTTTTTCAATTAAATAAATAATTTTAACCAAGATGCCTGATGACTATTCTTTCTTTGTGAAAAAGAAATGCTGTCTGGAACTTCCAGTGAAAATGCAACTGTTTTAAAAAGCAACTATTATATTTTATTTTCAAGAATTTGTAATTATTATTAATGACTCAAACCTGAACAAAATTGTTGCAGAAGAAATACAATCATTTTCTTTCTAGATTATGCATGAATTGAAAACAATGTCAATTAAATTGAGATGGTGTGAAGAACAGAGCTTAATTTTCATATTATGCCTGGATATTCAAATAATAAAAATTTGCAAAGTTCAGCTGAGCTGTGAGATGGAGAAACAAATAATATAAGATGGTGAGAAAACAATAACCTAAGTCTTCAGTTTCTTCATTATGAAGCCATTTTTACATTAATTCCTTTCTATTAGAGGACTGCAGCCTAATTCAAGTTTGACAAAAACGGCTCATTATAAGAATTTCTCTACAAACCTGCAGTGTTTTCTTCAGAGGCTGAGGATGAAGACTGTGGAGTACAAGTTTGGAGTTTGATAAATATTGAATAGTTGAAGGTTTAGTCTATGTAGTAAAGGAAAATGCTTGCTGATACACATTTTAACAATTAATTATCCTCGCCAATGGAAAACAATTTCTAAATTGCAGTGGATGTGATTCTTTTCTGGAACAAATGAACAAACATGATTTATATTGTGTGCAATCATTTGGCACTAGCTGGGAGAGTTAATTGAGTCTAGTGGTGGGAATAAGGGGAACATGACAGAGTGGATAAAACTGGACACTCTCCAAGATGCTCATTAATCACGTGACTAATTTGAAAATGAATGCATCATGCAAATTAGAGGTGAAAGAAGCTTCCTGGTTTGGAGAGATACCAGCATGTGAGATTATGTGCATTCTCAACGCTGCATCAGACGGGGACATGGGAAGTGTCAATGTCACGCTTTAATTGGAATATGGTGGTGGGTGGAACATGTTTTAGAATTAAACATAAATTTTCATAAGATTTAGTCTGGTTAAAAATGGCATCCAATGATGCAGAAAAGCATTTCTGAAATTGTCTTTAATAAGACCATGAAAATATTCAGGCTGTTCCAAGAAGAAGAGGGGACGGGTTGTGAAAATATTCCAGCTGCCTAATTTCTCTGAACTTCACCAATGACCAACTTTCTGTTGCCTGACACTTCTCTTTTTCTTCTCCATTTGTATTGAAAGAGGAAGCCTTTTAACTCTTTAAATAAGTCTGTTTTTTTCCTATCCCTGCAAATAGGACCTGAGAGTGCAGAAGAAAATCTTTTGTCCACATGCAAATTACATTCAGGTCATTTTATTTTAAATGATCCATCCCTTCTGAGCTCCACTTGTTGAAAAATGTTGCTGTCACATTTCTTGTATTATTTTCTTTATTTACAAACAACAACATTACATTTAAATTTTAAAAAAAAGTTTGTGACTGACGTGTATATTTAACTAATTTTTTTTCTAGTGTAGACATGGGGAATTAGGATGTCTTCGGTTTTTTTAGATAAGTTTTAGATTCTTTACTGACATTGCGATGGGTTGGTTTCTAATTAATTATTTTTAATAAATACCAAATATTTAAGGTGTTTACTACTTGAAGATCATTTAGAGTGGTGGTAGTTTGCCACATTTCCAAATAAGGATATAGTTCTTTGTGTTGCTTTTTTATGTTTTCAATTGAATATCTCACTTGATCCTCAGCATAACTTTAACAAGACAAACATGAACTCCTGTATTTTTAACCAATTAGGAAACTGAGCTCCACAGAGGCTATAGCTAGAAAATAAAAATTTCTGAATCTTTTGTGTATTTATTGTAATAAACATTACATTGATACTACTTCTTTAAATAAATTATCTTGTTTATCAAGGTGCTATTACAACCTTTTTAAAAACATTTTTTTTCCAAGATAGAAAGATTTATACTAAGCTATCCCAAGTATGTTTCTCACAGCTCATGATAATATAAAATGTGCCCAGAGATTTAGTATTGAATAGTGTAAGGTTTATTTCATAATGAAATAAATGGTCTGAATAAATGAAATATTCTACTTTAGCTCTTTTATTTTTTTTTTACTTTTTATTGCTGTTTATTGAAGATAACATAAAGTAATGTACAGCTTAATGAGTTAGTATAAGAAAAAGTATCCTTATAACTGCCATTTATGAAATAAGGTAGAACTTTGCCAGTTACCCCAAAGCTCTCTTTGTGCTCTCTCCACTACAAGTAACCCTTATTATAGCTCTTATGAAATCACTTTAAAATTTTTCTTTATAATTTTATAACTCCATTGATAAAAGTAGAACTATAGTTTACCATTATTTTCCCCACTCTCTTAATATATGTATATGTGTACATATAATCTTATATATATGTACATTGTATGTATACCTATATGAGTATATTTACATATCTATGCATATGTGTAAAATTACATGTATTGTTTTTGAGCAATTTATTTTAAAAATATTAATATTAATTGCTCTCTACTGTTATCCATTGTGTAGTTTAATGCATTAATCTGCCTTCAGAAATTCCTACAAATTTCTAGTTGGAGCTAAAGATTTAGCCACATTCAGATTTGGTATTTTGTGGAAAGACAAATTCATATGTGGTGTTATGTCCTTGATCCAAAGACACACAATATCTGGTTGCCTGCTTTTTGTGTTGTTAACAGCCATTGATAATCAATGCTTAGTTTCTTAATTCATAAAGAATTGCAAAATGGTGATATCCCAACTCTATCTTTTCTACTTTTCTTAGTTTTTGGAATGTTTTTATAAAATGAAATGACCAATGCTATTTGATCACTCCTTGTTTTAGTTTGTACAAAAATGGCAAGATAATTAATTGCTTGAGTCTTTCCATTATTTACCAGTTTTCAAAATAATGAGATGATTCTCTAGTATTTTCCGAAAGTAACCATATGTTATTGTGAATTTGTAGACAAACATACCTGGTGGGTATTATTTCAATGAAGTCATTGTCCTTAATGATGTTCCAATTGCCTTATCTTTTGCCAGTAGCAATTTTTCAAGTTGACTCCTGAGTCTTATGAACACAACTCTAGTAGACTTTGATAGCTTTCTTCTTATCTGATATGAAAATATGTTCTTGGCTCTTCTTGCTCATTTCCCACCTCAGAACTGTACTCAGCCATTTCTCAAAAACCTCTGGTTTGTCTCAGCACAAAATGGTGATTTAACACCACAACCTGTGTGCTAGGCATAGTCATTGCTACTCGGTGCTCATTACTTCTCAAGTTTTTCAGTGAACAGAGCTGGAAAATGTGATGGCTGAAAGTTAAAAAATGAAATTTTGCATATGCTGGCCCCATTCTTTTCACATTTTAAAAATAGTTGTAGTGTATCTTGTCAGAGCATATAGCCATGACATCCTCTCCCTCATATAGTCTTAATTCTACATATAAATATAGATTTAATGCTTATCCCTACTTAAGCCAACATCTTATCAGTTATGTGAGTCATCTGAAGTTCCTTCTATATCATTTTATCAAGAAGGGGCTTATAGAAACATTACTAAGTTTTTGCATGTTGATAATTGTTTATTATCTTTATACTTGAAAGTTAGTTTGCATGATATAAAATCTTTGGCTTATATTTTCTTTCCTTGAGCACCTTAAATATATTATTCTGTTTTTCTCTAATAAAGAGTATGATGACAATCTACCTTTTTTTCCTATTATTTATTATTTCTTCTTTTTGGTTTTTCTATCAAGTCCAATAATTGTATAAAGCATTCTCTTAATAATGGTGGTTCTGGGCTGATTTTCTCAAGTATACAATGTAACTTTTTAAAATGTAATTTTAAATTCTTCTCTTTTTAATTCCAGAAAATCATCTTGAATTATAGTTTTTAATATTTGCTGTCTTCTCTAGCTTTGCTCTCCTTCTTTGGAGGTTACTATTATTAATATTTTGGAACTTCTTTGCATGTCATGTATTTGTAATTCTTTTTAATGTTTTTTATTTTTTTAGTTTATTTTCCTTTTTAAACATTTTTGAAGTATTATCTTTCACAACTCTTAAGGCATCACCAATTGTATTTATTCACTCTTGAGCTCTTTCTACTTAAGCCTTTATTTCTGACATGATTCATTCTTTCCTAAGTTTTTATAACCTTACTTCCTAATTCTCCTAATTCTGATTTATGTTATTTAATATCTTGCATTATGCTCTTAATGCATTTTAACTCATTTAAAAAACACTGGGTAACATTCTCAAATGTTTGGTGAACTGTCCTGTATGATTTTCTTGTCTACAGGGACATTTTGCTACTGCTGCTTTCCCCTCTTCCTCTTCTTCCTCCTCTTTCTTCTTTTTCTTCTTCTTCCTTCTTTCTTCTTCTACTTACTTATATTTGTACAAAAGATGGCTTTAACTTTTTATACACTTTTATATAAAATTTATTTTCCTGATATTTTAGACAGAGGCACCATTTAAGATAGTTTCTTAAAAATTGTACTACTATACAGCACAATTTTCTGTTCAAGGCTTATTTTTGGGAGCTTTTCTCTTCGTTCTCTTCCCCTACTTTTATCTAAACATTATGTTTCCTTTGTCTCTCTTAAGCCTGTTATTCTCAATTTTTTTTTTCCAAAAGTTTATTCTCAGCGTGGGCTTTTGTTATGAAAAAGACTTTAATTAAATAGTTTCGGAAGCATTGAGGGAGCTTTCTACTTCACCATCTTCATTCCTTCTGAGGATTTCTTGCCCTCTCTGGCTATTGCAGTGTGTAAATCCCCCTCAGTTGCAGCTACTATTCTCCAAGACGCTTTCTGGCCTTTTGAATGAGTACTAGTTTTTGGATCCATCAGACCTCATGTTGTCTACCTCTGTTTCTGTTTTCTCTTACACATATGCTGATCCCATGCAATGTGGAGCATTCAGTAATAAGTCTTAAATCTAATCATATTTTTGGGTTCATGGGATACTTTATTTAAGTGATGGTTTTGCCTTAGGGGGCATTTTTTTTAAAAAATGAGGAAATTGAGGGAGAGACAAAATCTATGCCCTTGCCATCTTTCCAGAATCTATTTTCACTTCTTCTAAGTGGTTTTATCTTATGTCATTGCCAAAAATTTGGGCAATGCTGTCACTGCCCAGCAGGAGACTTACTTTAGAGTAATTAAGTGAGTTCTCCTAATGGAAAATAGATGTGCATTTGTTGTTAATAGTGTTTTTTCACTATCATTTTAGTCAAACACATTAGTTTCCATTCTCAAAACATGGTCTTCTAATCTCAGAGATGATAAAAGTGTATATTACAGATTTTAAATATTCCCTTTGTAAACAACTGTTTGTATATGTAGAAGTAGAAATAAATGATAATTTTTAATTAATAGCCAGTGTTTATTTTTGTAAATCAACTTTACAATAACTATCTAGTTTACAATATTTCCTTTGAAAATCAAATTTCATATTCTCAAGCTTTGATTACCTAGAGTTTATCACAGCAGGCTTTAAAGCCAGATTGAAGGAGATGAGATAGAATTAGCTAAAGCATTAGAGGTGAAGAGTTGAGGGGTTGGGCACTCTATAATTTAAAAATTATATGTCATAATCTCCAAGTCTATAACTTTTTCTTTCTTAGCTGCATTGATTTGTTTAAAGGGCCCATAGCTAGGAAGTCTTAGAGGTTACACAAAAAATATTTCCAGATTCTGGCACAATTATTTTTCCCCCTCTCTCACCTCTTTCTTTGGTAGTTTGGTTCAATTCTGATAGCCAGCCTGTGATCAATGCTGTGAAGATATGCAAACATGAGCACAGCATAGTAATTGAGTCTGCAGATCTAACAATCTAATAGGAATATAATAGCCAACATAAATAATTACAATAAGAAGCACAATGTGAAAATCTTACAGAAAGAAAATCTGTGAGTGAGAGTAGCAAAGGGCAATTATTACTTTGTTGTAGTGAATGGTCTCATAGAAGAGGAGGAAGTACTTAGCCCAAGTCCTGGAGGATGAGTATGAAGCAGAGGTGGTACAAGGTCATTCATTCCAGAGAAAAGATTAGTATAGGAGCAAAGCTCAGAGTCAGCAGAATGGACTAATTGCACTTCCCAGAAAGTGTCGGGCACACTGGAGGCATTTGAGGCCTCCCAGTAGATTTAAATCTGCTTATGGGGAAGTCCTGTTATGAGGCTCATGCTAACTTTGAAAAAAGCTTTTGAAAATTACTTTTTTAATGTTGATAACACCCCTTGAGATAAATAGAAATACCCTAATTTATGTAAGCTAAGGATTATGGGTCACGTTTGCATAAAACACCTCTAACTTCAGTTCTGAATGAGCTAAACTCACTCTAAGCAGAGTAGGGAGAACTGACCTGCTGAAAATGTGCCTCCCTGTGATAGGCATGTTGATCCAGGTGTAGGGAACAGAGACTGGAAACTCTGTAATAATTAAATACATTTAGTACAGACCTTATTCATTAGGGTCCCCACTCTCAGAGGCAGATTTAAATACAGTAATATGAAATGAAAGCCCTTTTCATAAATACACAACATTTTAAGCAGAAAAAATCTCCAGGCTAGCCAGAATAGTCATCTCTACTGATAATTAAAGTACTGTTTTCGGCAGGTGAAACAGCCACCTGGCGGGGGGAAAAATCAGTACAGAGCATACCCAGATCCTTCTGATTTTTTGAATAGAGTACAGAAAAAGCAGAGAAAGAATGAACCTGTTGCCACAGAAGGTCATATTGAATATCATTTGGGGTAGGAAAATTGAGATTTTTCTACTTTCAAAATAAGGAGCAAGACATGCTATTCTAGACCATACTGACAATTTTTCAGAACCTGGGTAGGCCTAGGAGAGCAATATTAATGTGTGTGTGTGTGTGTGTGTGTGTGTGTGTGTGTGTGTGTGTGTGTGTCACTGAGGAGGAAAAAAAAAGTAATGATAGAGTGGAGAGGACCAAATTTCTGGCATCAGAAAGACAAAAGTTTTACTATCAAGTCATCCATTTACTAGCTGGATGAGCAGAACAGGTTATCGAAGAATCGTAGCTTCTTTCCTTGCTAATTATTATGGACATTGGTACCAGAGTCAATTAAATAGAAGTCAAGAAATAGATGTGATTAACACTGAATGAATTTATTTTTAATTCAGTGAATTTTTGCCAGGAAACAAAAATCTGTATGAGACCAATTCTTCATATAAGAGGCTTTCTTCTGAAGGGATAAGACAAATCAACTCTGATTACTGTTTGTAATTAAGGTAAGCGTCTTTGTGTTTTCACTCGGAAAAATAAGTTACACATATGCAAACAAGATTAGAAAAATAACATTTGTAAATCTCTCATTTAAAAATGCCTTTAAGAGAATTCTACTTTTCTGTTCTCTTAAATATGTTTCTTTGTTTCCTGAATGCAGAAAAAAAAGTTGTGCTTGGATGTTTTATTAGTTTTCTACTGCTGTCATAACAAATGACAAGGAACATAATGACTTATAACAATGCATATTTAATGTTATACAGTTCTGGAGGTCAGAGTTTTGACCCAGGTCTCACTGGACTAACATCAAGGTACCAGCCAGCCTGAGTTCCTTGCTAGAGGCTCTAGAAGAGAATGTTTCCTTGCTCTTTACCCAGCTCCTCCTGGCTGCCCTGCATGCCTTGCTTTTTTCCCTACCTGCCCCCTATCTTCAGTGCCAACAACACAGCATATTTCTATCCTTCCTTCCGTAGTCACATCTTTCCCTGTTCTCTTCTGCCTCTCTCTCTTTAAAGGCCTCTGTGATTACATTGGTCACACCTGGATAATCCTGAATAATCTCTCTATGCTGAGTTCAGCTGATTAACAACATTAAATGCACATAAAACTTCAATTTCCCCTTGCAATGTAATGTAATGTACTCCTAGATTTTGGGGATTAAGACTTAGTCATCTTTGGGGGACTGGCAGCAGTATTCCTCCGACAACAGGTGTTATAGTAGATTATAATTTCTACTCCAGATAAATAATTAAAATGTATCAGATTTCTTCCTCCCCGGTGGCTCATCAATGCCCTAGTCCCTGCAAGTGATCATCTGGATACCTTGCAGGGACTAGTGCATCATGCAGCCAGTATCTGTTATCCTCTCATCTTAAAGAGCTTTAGCTTAGGTAGAGGGTGGTAATTGTCACTAATATGTGGGTAGTTTTTCAAAGTGTGTTACTGAATGTAATGGTTAATATTGAGTGTCAACTTGATTGGATTGAAGGATGCAAAGTATTGTTCCTGGGTGTGTCTGTGAGGGTGTTGCCAAAGGAGATTAACATTAGAGTCAGTGGACTAGGAGAGGCAGACCCACCCTCAACCTGAGTGGACACAATCTGATCAGCTGCCAGTGTGACTAGAATAAAAGCAGGCAGAAGAAAGTGGAAGAATTCGACCGATTAAGTGTTCTGAACCTCATCTTTCTGCTGTGCTGGATCCTTCCTGCCCTCAAACATTGAACTCCAACTTCTTCAACTTTTAAACTCTTGGACCAGTGGTTTGCCAGAGGCTCTTGAGTCTTCAGCCACAGACTGAAGGCTGCACTGTCAGCTTCTCTACTTTTGAGGTTTTGGAACTCGAAATGCCTTTCTTGCTACTCAGCTTGCCGATGGCCTCTTGTGGGACTTCACCTTGGGCTTGTGTGAGCCAATACTCCTTAAGAAACTCCCTTTAATATATACAACTGTCCTATTAGTCCTGTCCCTCTAGATAACCCTGACTAATCCAGTAAAGTTCTGGAATTTCATTCTTATGGCATGCACACACATCTACTCCAGCTGAGAGAGGAGTTATTCCTCATCTTAATTGTGCTACTCCAAAACACAGAACAGCTTAAAAGTATTCAATTCTATGTTAACAGATGAATGGCCCTTTGACACAAAATCTTTAGAAAGTACAGTTAGAGGGTTAATAACGTAAAGAGAAAATGAGGAAAATTATGTTTAAAAGAAGTGAAATTAAACTTTCAAGTCTCCAGATAAAATCCCAAATGCCCTAATAAGACAAGCACTATTTCTCATTCAATTTCTAGTTTCAACTATGTTTATAATGATCTTCCCTATCTGTTTCCATAATTCCTCCATACTGAGATGGGAAAAATATCTTAAAAGATATTCAATCTAACCACCCATCTTATGTTTGAACTGTTTTTACCACATCTCTCTGACTACAGCCCGTGTTTGTCGGCACTCACTTTCTTTCAATAAAACCCGTCTTATCTTTTGGCCTATATATGAACATCTTGCTTATACATTTTTTTCCTTATATAGAGCTAAAATATTTTTCCTTGAAATTTCACCAAATACTTTATTTTTGTCTTGTTTTATGTCCCCTAGAGCCACAATAAAATTTTCTGCCTACATTGAAGCCCTTTAAAAAACTGACATTAAACATTCACTGTGTGGCCCTCCCCTCTCTAGGCTGAACATCCTCCATTTCTCATCCTCCATTTCTCTTCTGTAGCAAGGCTTCAAATCCAAAAATGACTCTTGTCCCTCGCTGTGTATATCACAGTTTGTCAATATCAGAGTGCTATCCCACTGCAATGAATGAAATAGTTCATTGAATGAATGAAAGAAATGAAATAGATGAATGAAATGAAATAGAATGAAATGAAATAAAAGAATGAAATAGAAATAGCCTGATCAGTAGATAATATTGTTTTAAATAAATGCAGATATTTCTGCTTTCCCAATGCAACCCCCTACAGCCCAAGAGAGTTTGGCTGGCTTTTGTAAATACTTCACTTCATTGACTTCTATTGGGATTCCAGTTGTATTAGTCCATTTTCACACTGCTATAAAGAAATACCTGAGACTGGGTAATTTTTAAAGGAGAAAGGCTTAATTGACTCACAGTTCCACATGGCTGGGGAGGCCTCAGAAAACTTCAAGGCAAAAGGGAAGCAAAGGCACATCTTACATGGCTGCAGGGGGGTGGGAGTGGGGAACTGCCAAACACTTTTAAACCATCAGATCTCATGAAAACTCACTATTATGAGAACAGCATAGGGGAACCACCTTCATGATCCAATCACCTCCCACCACGTCCCTTTCTCAACACGTGGGGATTATAATTTGAGATGAGATTTGGGCGAGGACACAGAGCGAAACCATATCACTTATCAATAGAAAAATTCTCATTTTTATCATAACTGCTATTTTGAATGTAAATCTCTTCATCCTGTCCATAGATATTAAGAAGGAAAAACAAAACATCCTTTGAAAATTGTATCGATCTCCCTTGAGTCTGGTCCTATTGCAATTGATTGTTTAACCCTGTCAAGGACCTTTGGGATAGCGGTTACATCATTTAAACTATTCATTATCTTTCTTGGTTTTTAACCATCTTCCTATATGAACATGTATTTTTCTGCACTTCTGTGAAAATTAATAAAAATGCAAAGCAAATTGTGACACATGGCAACATTCATAGCAAACTATTAGAAAACTTTCTACATACCTAAAACAATATACCATTTATCAGTGTAGACAGAGTAATTCAAACATTTACTAATCTCTCCAATTATCTCTGCTCTCAGGTTATACTTCTTCATTTTGTCAACTGAGATTGCAAGTCAATCACCTATATGAAGCACATTACCCTGTGTGGTGATGGTTCAAACTGTCATTTATACATTTTCTTAGAATTTTAAAATGCCATTAATCTGAAAAAGGAGATTTTTCACTCCATTGGAGTAGCTACATATTCCCTTACAATCTAATAATACACCTTGGGATTTCATTCTTTCTTTACAAATGTTAGTGTGATCTTTTGATTCTCAATACAGTTCTCTTATTAAAGGAAGAAATAAGAAGTCAAAGAGGTCTGCCGTTTTTGCCATTCTTCGGCATTACAACCTCCTCTTTTTACCACCTATTTTCTGGATATATTGTCTTTTTGTATCTTTTGAAAATCTTAACTTCTCTAGAGTTTGAAAATCATGAAATTAAAACCTTCAAGTGTCCTGATAAAATCCTCAATGATTTCATGGATCAGGTACTGTTTCACATTCAGTTTCTACTCTCAGATCACTTTATAATTATCTGGGCCATTTCGATTTTTGGAACTCTCAGTTAATTTGCCAAGTTGGATTGTTTGACTCCTTTTTCTCCAGTGGAAACAACCTCTTTTGCCCCATGAATATCCTAATATTTGCTCTAGCTGCAACTGTATGGCCATACACATTTGTATGTAAATATGTCACTTTTCCCCTTTTCTCATAGGCAGGGACTTCACTTTTCACACTTCCAGGTAGTTTCTTTCACATTGCAGTTTAAGGAAACAGGACCATCTAGGATTGTACTCTATGCAATCTGTATGGCCATGAGTGTCAGCATTTTTAAAAAAGTGAAACTGCATTATGAATGTCAGATTAATAAACTGATCCGAGTAATGAAAGATTTTTTTTTATTATTGCTCATAGTGCCTATGAAAAAATCATAGCATAAGCAGAGGTCAGCCTGAGAGGCAAATAAAGATATTTAAGTTTAAACTGAAGAACTTCTTGAAGTTAGAAAATAATACTAAAGTTGTCTCTTTAGTTGTAAATTTGCTTTTCTTCGAGACGGGAAAGGGGTAGGGAGAAACACTGAGGTAGACATTTATTTTCTTCTTTAGTTATAAAAAGCCTTCACGTCTGTAGTCCTTGGTGATAAAAATTAAGAGTTAACACATTGTAGAACTGGACCTCAAATTAGGTCTTCCCAACAACAAATTCCCTGCAGTAACCTGGTTCGCAATCATCTGACACTTACAGTCTATGCTACCTTGTAAATGTCCTATAAACCTACCTCTTTTATTATTCAATACATGAAATTATTTCCCCAACCCCTGCAAAAGAATGAAGAGGCGTTAATTGCAGACACCATTGCAGACTGACAGAGCAGCCTTCTAAGCTTTAGCACACCCACTTGGCAAAATTGGGAGCCCAGTCTGGCTATACATGATCTTGATATCTAGTAATTTAATTTCTGTATCTCTTTGTTTACATTCTTGAGACATTGAATATTATTGACTCAATGCAGTGTATAGCTTTATTCCTTTAGTTCAGTGATTTGTACCTCTGGCTGCACATTAGAATCACCAAGGGATCTTTTTAAAAAAAAATCCAAAACCTATTTCCAGAAAATCAGATTCAGCTTGTTATCTAAGACCAAATGCTTAGTCTTGGTCCAATCTATTTGACCTAGCTTATGGGCTAAAAAGAGTATTATGCACTTTAGCAGTGAGAGAGTAGAGGGTTATGTTCCACAAACAGAATAGCCAAAACTAAAATGGGAGTAAGCAAGAATTTATAGGCATCTCTACTTATGAGCAAAGTGTTCCTATAGAGATGTGGTAAACTGATTTGTAGTTGTGAAAAAGAGGCATATGAATTATTTTGAGACAGATGGGTAAGTCAAACCTTCACAAAGAAAATAATATTTGAGGTGGTTCTTAAAGCTACTGGGCAGCACTTTGCATAATAGAGAGGTGGAAGAAGGAATTCCCAGTAAAACAATGTCATGAAACTGTGCCATCCCATGGTTTATTAAGAGAACACAAAAAAGTCCTGTGTGTTTAGAAGATAGGACAAATAGCAGTGAGTAGTTGGAAGTAAGTTAAAAAAAATGTATTGTGGTGAAACTATCAGAGCCTTGTTGCAAGCTACATTGTTCTGTGGCTTAGATGATTTGGTTACAATCTAAAGTTTCCATTGTTTTTCACTGAAATTCTCTCTCTCTCAATACAGTAGTCAAGGACATGGAAAAATAACTCTATGTCAATGATCATCAGGCATGTTTAAATCCCAGATGTTGACACCTACTCCTCATCTTTATTATTTGAATGTCTCTTGCAGTCACTGGCTATTTTCCAAGTGTTGGTGGGAACACCTTGAGATGGTAAAATAGTGTTTCACTATTTATCACCTTTTATTATTTTAAGTTCTCTTCCTTTACATTGTAGTATGTGAGAGACGTGATTTTTTTTCAGTTTTGATTATATTATGCCCCCAAATAAATTCGTAGATGCTCAAAATATTTTTTGAATGAGTAGGTGAAATCTGTGACAACACATATGGGATACGAGATTAGCATCATTAGCTGTGTCTCTCTGGCATTAAAATATGAAACAAGGTGAACTTTTAATCAGGTAAGAACTCCAAGTCAGTTTCCTGTCTTCCTTTTTTTCTTCCTCCCTCCCTCCCCCTTCTTCTCTCTCTTCTTTCTTTCTTTCGTTCCTTTTTTTTGTTTTTTTTCTTTTCTTTCTTCTTTTTCTTTCTTTCTTACCTCTCTTTCCTTGGTTTCTCAACATTGCTTTTCTTCCCCCCCAAATGCAGTCATAACTTTGAACATAGGAAGGGAAGGAGGGAAGGGAACAGGAAAAAAATAAAAAACAAAAATACATCTTTGAGTTTCTGCTGATAGCCCCTAACCACATAAAAAGGACATGTGCCAATCACTTGGGCTCCACATGTGGAAGACATTTTCTACATTTGTTGCCTCAGAAGGGAGAGAAAAACTAAGGAGTGAATTATGTGCTATAAAAATTAATCAGTAGCTATGTGTCCTTGTCTTTTGCTCTGGTGCATATCTCTGAAACAACAGGCTGTTGCCACTGAGTGGTGAAAAGGTAAATGGAGACCAGATGTTTAAAGGTGACACAGGGACTATAAATATGAATTGCTGCTGTGGGGAAGAGAAGAAAAAATGAAATGTCACATGGTGCAGAAGCCTAAAGAAGGAGGAGGGAATAAGAGCTAGGTCTAGGAAAAACAGTTTTCATAGGGATGACCAGGTTGTTGAGTGTCCAAACTCAAGTCTTCTGTAAAGTGGTATGGGCAGTCATTTTTCTAGGATGATTTCTTTCATGCGCATCCATGTGAAGAGACCACCAAACAGGCTTTGTGTGAGCAATAAAGCTTTTAATCACCTGGGTGCAGGCAGGCTGAGTCCGAAAAAAGAGTCAGCGAAGGGAGATAGGGGTGAGGCCGTTTTATAAGATTTGGGTAGGTAAAGGAAAATTACACTCAAAGGGGGGTTGTTCTCTGGTGGGCAGGAGTGGGGGGTCACAAGGTGCTCAGTAGTTGAGCTTTTGAGCCAGGGTGAGCCAGGAGAAGGAATTTCACAAGATATTGTCATCAGTTAAGGCAGAAACAGGCCATTTTCATTTCTTTTGTGGTGGAATGTCATCAGTTAATGCAGGAATGGGCCATCTGGATGTGTACCTGCAAGTCACAGGGGATATGATGGCTTAGCTTGGACTCAGAAACCTGACATTCCTGTCTTCTTATATTAATAAGAAAAATAAAATGAAATAGTGGTAAAGTGTTGGGACGGCGAAAATTTTGGGGGATGGTATGGAGAGATAATGGGCGATGTTTCTCAGGGCTGCTTTGAGCGGGATTAGGGGCAGCGTGGGAACCTAGAGTGGGAGAGATTAAGCTGAAGGAAGATTTTATGGTAAGGGGTGATATTGTGGGACTGTTAGAAGAAACATTTGTCATTTAGAATTATTGATGATGGCCTGGATACGGTTTTGTATGAATTGAAAAACTAAACGGAATAAGAGAAGGAGAAAAACAGGTATTAAAGGTCTAAGAATTGGGAGGACCCAAGACATCCAATTAGAGAGTGCCTAAGGAGATTCAGCATTGTCCTACCAGCAAAGATTATTTATTTACTTTAAGAGTTAAGAGTGGCAGTTTGGGGATAGCACCAGGAGATATCAGCTATGATGGCTTGGAGAAACAGTGTAAACCAGCAGTGTAAACAAGAGCAGAGCATGTATGAGTAGTTGAGAATGGTGAATAGGAGTATGACTAGACAGAAGATAGTAGAGATGACAAGTTTTTTGGGACACAGTCCAAGTTGGTCTGGTGAGACTGGGGCTTAATAAAAAGGAGCGTCCATACAGGAGCTTAAATGGGCTGTACCCTGTAGCATTCCAAGGACAGGACTGAATTCTGAGAAGGGAAAGTGGTAAAAGTATTGTCCAGTCCTTTTTAAGTTGGTGGCTGAGCTTGGTGAGGTGTGTTTTTAAAAGACCATTAGTCCGTTGTACCTTTCCTGAAGACTGAGGACTGTAAGGGATATAAAGGTTTCGCTGAATACCAAGAGCCTGAAAAAATGCTTGACTGATTTGACTAATAAAGGCCGGTCTGCTATAGGACTATATAGAGGTGGGAAGGCCAAACCAAGGAATTATGTCTGACAGAAGGGAAGAAATGACTGCAGTGGTCTTCTTAGACCCTGTAGGAAAGGCCTCTACCTATGCAGTGAAAGTGTCTACCTGGACTAAGAGGTACTTTAGTTATCTGACTCAGGGCATGTTGAGTAAAGCTAATTTACCAGTCCTGGGTGGGGGCAAATCTTCGAGCTTGATGTGTAGGGAAGGGAGGGGGCCTGAAAAATCCCTGAGAAGTAGTAGAATAGCAGATGGAACACTGGGAAGTTATTTCTTTGAGGATAGATTTCCAAGATGGAAAGGAAATGAGAGGTTTTAAGAGGTGGGCCAGTGGCTTGTACTGTAGCATAGCCTGCCTTTGCTGGTGTGTGGTGATTAGGCCTGGTTTAACTGCCATCAATAAACTAAGTGTGATCAGGGTGAGGAACAGGAAAGAAGGAAATATGGGGAAATGGGGTGAACATCAGGTGGATCAGAGAGATGCAGTCGTGAGGGTCAGGTGTAGTATCCAGGTCAGGTGTGGTATCCGGAATAATGTGGGAGGCCGGATTGAAGTCCGGGCCAGGAACAATGGTAATTGTGGGAGACTCAACAAAGAGTGAGTGTAGCTGAAGGAGCCAGGGAGCAGAAAGTATATGTGTCAGGTGTGAGGAAGAAAATAGATTTTGGAAATTATGAGAGCTGTAGAGAGTAAGTTGAGCATAGTTTGTGATTTTGAGGGCCTCTAAAAGTATTAGGGCAGCAGCAGCCGCTGCGTGGAGACATGATGGCCAGCCTAAAACAGTAAGGTCAAGTTGTTTGGACAAAAAGGCTACAGGACGCGATCCCGGTCCTTGTGTAAGAATTCTGACTGCACAGCCCTGCACTTCGGCTGTGTGTAATGAAAAGGGTTGGGATGAGTCAGGGAGAGCTAGGGTGGGGGCAGTCTCTAAAGCTGTCTTCGAGGAATGGAAAGAGGAGTGGGGAAAGGATTTAGGATCTATGGGGTCAGCTAGGTTTCCTTTTGTGAGTTTATATGATGGTTTTGTTAGGATGGCAAAACCAGGTATCCAAAGGCAAAATTATCCAACCATGCCTAGGAAGGAAAGGAGTTGTTGTTTTGTAGAAGGGGTTGACGTTTGAGAGATCAGTCGGACACGATCGGCAGGGAGAGCATGTGTGTTTTTATGAAGAATTATGCCGAGCTAGGTAACGGATGGAGAAGAAATTTGGGCTTGACTGAAGTAACGGGGGCTGTCCGTGAAGCCTTGTGGCAGTACAGCCCAGGTAATTTGCTGAGCCTGGTGGGTGTCAAGGTCAGTCCAAGTGAAAGCGAAGAGAGGCTGGGATGAAGGGTGCAAAGGAATAGTAAAGAAAGCATGTTTGAGATCCAGAACAGAATAATGGGTTGTAGAGGGAGGTATTGAGGATAGGAGAGTTTATGGGTTTGGCACCACGGGGTGGATAGGCAAAACAATTTGGTTGATAAGGTGTAGATCCTGAACTAACCTGTAAGGCTTGTTTGGTTTTTGGACAGGTAAAATGGGGGAATTGTAAGGAGAGTTTATAGGCTTTAAAAGTCCATGCTGTAACAGACAAGTGATAACAGGCTTTAATCCTTTTAAAGCATGCTGTGGGATGGGATATTGGCGTTGAGTGGGGTAAGGACAATTAGGTTTTAATGAAATGGTAAGGGGTGCATGATCGATCGCCAAGGAGGGAGCAGAGGTATCTTATACTTGTGGGCTAAGGTGGGGAGATACAAGGGGAGGATGTGAAGGAGGCTTTGAACTGGGGGAAAGGTGGCAATGAGGTGTGGCTGTAGCCCAGGAATAGTCAGGGAAGCAGATAATTTAGTTAAAGTGTCTTGGCCTGATAAGGGAACTGGGCAGGTGGGGATAACTAAAAAGGAGTACTTAAAAGAGTATTGTCTAAGTTGGCACCAGAGTTGGGGAGTTTTAAGAAGTTTAGAAGCCTGGCCGTCAATACCCACAACAGTTATGGAGGCAAGGGAAACAGGCCCTTGAAAAGAAGGTAATGTGGAGTGGGTAGCTTCCATATTGATTTAGAAGGGGACGGACTTACCTTCCACCATGAGAGTTACCTGAAGCTTGGTGTCCATGATGGTTTAGGGGGCTTCCGAGGCAATCGGGCAGTGTCAGTCTTCAGCCACTAAGCTGAGAAGATCTGGGAAGGAGTCAATCAGAGAGGCTTGGGCCAGAGTTCCAGGGACTCTGGGAGTGGCTACCAGGTGAGTTGAACAGTCCAACTTTCAGTGGGGTCCCACATAGACAGGACGTGGCTTAGGAGGAATCCTGGGCTGTGGGCATTCCTTGGCCCAGTGGCCAGATTTCTGGCACTTGTAGCAAGCTCCTGGGGGAGGAGGTTCTGGAGGAACACCTGGCTGCTGCGGTTCAGGCGTTTGGAAGTTCTTGTGTGCTGGAGATGTGGCTGGGGTTTGTCTCACAGTGGAGGCAAGGAATTGCAACTTTTTTCTATTATTGTACACTTTGTAGGCAAGGTTGATTAAGTCCTGTTGTGGGGTTTGAGGACCAGAATTTAATTTTTGGAGCTTTATTTCATGTCGGGAGCAGATTGGGTAATAAAATAAAATGCATATTGATAATAAAACGGCCTTCTGACCTTTCAGGGTCTAGGGCTGTAAAGCATCTCAGGGTTGCTGCCAAACGAGCCATGAACTGGGCTGGGTTTTTATATTTGATGAGAAAGAGCCTAAACGCTAACTGATTTTGGGAGAGGTTGGATAAAGAAAAAGGAGCATTAACCTTGACTATACCTTTAGCTCCAGCCACCTTTTTAAGAGGAAATTGCTGGGCAGGTGGGGGAAAGCTAGTTGCGGAATGAAACTGTAAGCCAGACTGGGTGTGAGGAGGGGAGGTGATAAAAGGATTATAGGGTGGAGGATCGGAGGAGGCTGAGAAAGAATTGGGACATAGCTCGGCCTGGGTAGGAAGAGAGAGGTCAGATGGGTCTGTAGAAAAGGAAGGTTAGAAAGACTCAGCAACGCTTGGGGTTGGGACTGAGGGGACAGGTGGGAGGGAAGGAAGATTTGGGACGAGTTGCATTGGGAAGAGAGTCTAGGGAGGGACCGATGTGTAAAAGAATGCCTGGACGTCAGGCACCTCAGACCATTTGCCCATTTTACGACAAGAATTATTTAGATCTTCTAGGATGGAAAAAACGAAAGTGCTGTTTTCTGGCTATTTGGGACCACTATCAAGTTTGTATTGGGGTCAAGTGACATTGTAGAAGAAAATAAGGCATTTAGGTTTTAGGTCACGTGTGAGTTGAAGAGGTTTCAAGTTCTTGAGAGGACAGGCTAAGGGAGAAGAAGTGGAGGAATGGAGGGTGGAAGTTTGCCCATAGTGAAGGAGGCAAGTTTAAAAGAAGGGTAGAGACACGGAGGGAAGGAGTTAGGGGGTTCTTACCCTCCAGAAAAATGGGAAAGGGGTTGAGGCGTGGAAATAAGGGGTTGGGGCACAGACATAAGAGGTCGGGGTGCAGAAATAAGGGATGGGGGTTCTTACCAAATTTCATGTGCATCTGTGTGAAGAGACCACAAAACAGGCTTTGTGTGAGCAATAAAGCTTTTAATCACCTGGCCGCAGGCGGGCTGAGTCCGAAAAGAGAGTCAGCGAAGGGAGATGGGGTGGGGCCATTTTATAAGATTTGGGTAGGTAGAGGAAAATTACAGTCAAAGGGGGGTTGTTCTCTGGCAGGCAGGAGTGGGGGTCACAAGGTGCTCAGTACGGGAGCTTTTGAGTCAGGATGAGCCAGGAGAAGGAATTTCACAAGATAATGTCATCAGTTAAGGCAGGAACAGGCCATTTTCATTTCTTTCGTGGTGGAATGTCATCAGTTAAGGCAGGAACAGGCCATTTTCATTTCTTTTGTGGTGGAATGTCATCAGTTAAGGCAGGAACCGGCCATCTCGTCCCTGTACATGCAGGTCACAGGGGATATGATGGCTTAGCTTGGGCTCAGAGGCATGACAATTTCAAGGTGCCCAAAATTGGAAAGAATTTGGTATATATTGCTTACATCACCTGCAGTGGATACACGGAAGTGAATTTTGAGAGTACACTTCCTGAAGCAGGTCTAAATTATGCTTTGGTTGCACCAACCCAGCAGTGAAACTGTCATTGCCACCACTGTGTATGGGAGTGTGTTTGCCTACTCTGTCTTCTTCCCAGAAATTCAAATACACATGGCACCAGTATCCTTATATGGCTGATATTTGAATCAACATTTTCATTGGATACACGAGCCTGTAACCTCTATGCAAAAGGGGCTGGGAAAGTGCATTGCTGCTTCTGTCTCAATCATGGAAGGTAGGACTCAAAAGATGCTGCATTACAAACTTAACAGTTGTCCAATATCATGATTTTCCTGCGTTTTACTAAATATGGTTTCCGAAAAGGTTCTGCTTTTTATTATTTATATCTGAGTATTAATTTAAGCTAGCACTAGACTTGGGAGTCTAGTCCATTTACTCAATTCATTTAAGAAGCAACACCAAATCTTGAAAGAAAATCTCTGTACTCCTTTGGTTAGTCTTTAAAAAAAAAAAAAAAAAAACAAAACCAGTGTAGCATAATAGGAGCAGCTTTTGGTGTCTAACAGACTTAGTTTAATCTCCCAACCCCCTCCTATTGGGTCTGTGATTGTAAAGTGTAATACCTCTTTTTCATATTTAAAATTGACATATTGATATATACTTCACAGTGTGTTGTGCAAATTAAATAAGCATCACAACTGAAAAAACTGAGCAGAGTGCTAGACACAATGTGAGAAGAAAGTAAACTGAATTTATTGACCACTTATTATGTACCTGTCAGAATGCTAGAAAATGAATATACAAAGATGAATAAGGCATGCTTCATGCTTTCAAACAGCTGAGACTAAGACAAATAATTACAACAAAATTAAAACATTTCTTTAACAGGGTTATGCCCAAGGTTTTGTAGAAGTTCAATAGGGAGTGTAACGGTTTCTGACTGGGCAAGTGCAGAAAGCCCTCATAGGCAAGTGTGATGGTTAATTTTATACATCAGATCAACTGGGCCATGGGGTGCCTAGGCATTTGGTCAGCCGTTATCCTGGATGTGTCTGTGAGAGTATTTCAGGATGACAGTAGTATTTGAATCTGTACATGTAGCAAAGCAAATCGCCCTCCCTAATGTGGATGGGCCCCATTCAAACCATTGAAGACCTTAAAAAGCTGAGTAATAGGAAACTCCTTCTGCCTGACTGCTTGAACTGGGGGGCCATTGGTCCTCTCCTTTGTTTGAACTGGAAGTTACACCATTAGTCCTCTTGATTCTCAGGCCTTCAAATTCAGATTGACTGAATTTCAAAAAACACCAATGGCTTTCCTGGCTCTCCAGCATGTTGGCTGCAGATCTGAGGATTTAGCCTCCATTATTGTATTCCTTACAATAAATTCATACACACACACACACACACACACACACACACACATATCTGTAAATACAGAACGTGTAATATATATGCTGGAAAATACATAATATATGTGTGTGTGTACATATATCTATCTTACTTGTTCTGTTTCTCTGGATAACCCTGACTAGTACAAAAAGTAAACTATGAAATAGTTACCTAAAACATAGTAGGAGTTTAAACCATAAGTAGGGATGACATTCACTTGTATTATATTTTAAATTATTATTTTGTCTCATCTAATCAAAAAGGCCACGAAGAGCTGTGAAAGAATATTCTATGGCTACATTTTGAATCTACAGAGATCTACGGTTTTGCAGCAAGTGATCCTTTCTCTCTAGATCTGCCTTGGCCAACACAGTAACCATGAGCTATGTGGGCTTTCATGTTCTTGACATGTGACTAGTCCAAATTGACACGTTCTCTAAGTGTAATATGAACCATGGCTTTTAATAACTTAGTGTAAGAAAATTAATGTAAAATATCTCATTAATATTTTTCCATATTGCTTGCAGACATTCAAATGACATTTTGGATAAATTGAGTTAAATAACATATATTAAATTTAATTTAATCCATTTCCTTTTATTGTTTTAGTATAGTTACTAGAAAATTGCATATGTGGCTCATATTGTATTTCTGTTGCATAGTGCTGTTGTAGGTTCTGAATTAGAAGCATGGAATGGCCTGGTAGCTTACTAGAAATACAGAATCCCAGTCCCAGCCCAACACTGAATCAGAATCTGCATTTTAACCAGATCCTCAGGAGATTTGTATGTACAGAAAAGTTCTTTAAGCTTTAAGGTAGCCCATTCATTGTCCAAAAACAAGAACAGAAACAAAACTTTTTGTCCTCCTTCTATAGAGAAAGTTTCGTTTCTGCAGCTCTTAGAGAAGCTGACAAATTAAGGATTGTCCAACTTCACAAAGGCAAGCCTAGAATTCCACACATTATGTCCCTCTCTGTCAGATTTATCTTTGGTGTATAATGGGGTTCACTTATTAAAACTTCATATTCAGCAAGCTTGGGGAACAAGAAAAAAACATGTTTTATTGTTAATCAGTTTTGAGGAGAAATCAGAATGAACCTTTTTCTCCCATGCATGCATTACTCTTCAGCAGATTGCTGCCCTAACCCGTGGTCCTTTCTGGTCCTCAGGAGCCCATCCACCTCTTGCAGCTCTGCTGTTCACCCAGTACTCTCTTAGTCTCTGCTCTTAAATCTATTAGCAGTATTTCTCTCCCCTTCCATTTCCCTTTTATCATTCCTGCTGATCATTCCCTCAGGCCCTGCTTTCCGCTTTCTCTTGTGACAGCTAATTTTGTGCAAAAGTAATTTCAGGGTAAGGTGTTTGTGGTTGATAATAGCTTAATATTTTACCTCTCCTGTAGTTTTATTGCATTTTAATAGGGAGTTCCTGGAAGTAAAATGACTTATCTTAACCAGAGAGAATGAAGCAGAGAGGTGGAACTTGGGGCATCATGCCAGGCCAATGAGAAAGATGTTTTGAACGGAAAGGTCCTTCAACATCATTCTGTTTTTCATCCCCAAAACCAATACTCACCAACACGGTCAGAAATGTATTTACTCAATATGAAGACTAATTATCTAGAAATTGTCATTATCTGAAATACAATTGTTATAGACTAGAGAAAAATAAGAAAATTATTGGAAAAAAATTAGTCAAATCATGGGTTAATTTTATGCAAATATAGTGTTACCGTAAAAATAGGAACAGTTAGAGAAAGTGAATATTTTCTCTTTTCTTACAATTCAGGAATTTACAAAATTCTCTTTTTAAAACTTTTTTTTTAAAGTAAAGTATATTTTCTGTCTCGATTCTCTCACTCAACATTATGTTTCTAAGATTGAACCACATTGTTGTATTCTATAGTTTAAAGAAATTCATAGCAAAGATAATCTACTCTATGAGTACACTGGAGTTGATTTATACATCTACTATTGATACACTCTGGTGATATAATTTGTATATTTGTCCCTTCCAAATATCATGTTGAAATTTGGTCCTCAATGCTGGAGGTGAGGCTAATGGAAGGTGTCTGGGTCATGCGGGTGGATCCCTTATAAATGGCTTGGTACTACTCTCATGGTTCTTACTCTTAGTTCCCACAAGGCTCTTGCTGAAAAGAGCCTGCCCTCTTTTTCCCTCTCTCTTCCTCCCTCTCTCATCACATGACATCTACTCCACTTCACCTTTTGCCATGAGTGTGTTTCCTGAGGCCCTCATCAGAAGCAGATGTTCACCTCATGCTTTTGTACAGTCTGCAGAACTGTGAGCCAAATAAACCTCTTTTCTTTATAACTTACCCAGCCTCAGGTATTATTTTATAGCGACACAAATAAACTAAGACATCGGCGTTGTTTCTAATTTAGGGATGGTATGAATAATGGTGATATAAATATTCTTATTTATGCCTTTCCCACACATGTGTAACTCTACATGTACATATATCCCTGATGTGTGAAATTGCTTGCAATAAAGTGTTCCAGTGTGTTTTTGTTGTATAACACATTGCCACAAAGTCAGAGTAGTAACGATAACTTTTGTTTGTCCCTCATACAGCTGTAGATGAGTTGGGATGTCTTTGTTTCAGATAGGTATCTAGGTTGCTTCTGAAATCAGCAGGGTGAGGGAATATTTTTCCCATGGCAATGGAATAATCAAAGCAGCCTGAGCCATACTGCACATGCTTGTTTCATGCTTCTTCTCACATCACATCTATTATTATTTCATTATGCAAGTTGCATGGTCAAGTCTAAAATCAAAGAATGGGGAAGTACACCCACTTGCCATGAGACCATGATACATGTGTGTGTATACGTACGCACACACATACATAAACACTTATATTATGCTTTCATACACACACACACATATGTGTATATATATAACTGAAACCAATAATTCAGCCTGCCACATAAGTTATACATAGAATCAGCTTTAGTTGATAGTTCCAAACAGTTTCTAAACTGGTTGAACCATTTTACACACCATCTGCAGTATTATAAAAGTTCTCATAGCACCACAAACTCTCCATTATTTGATGTTGTTAGTCTTTTAAATTTGCCAGGCTGTTAGGTTAGCATTTGTATCATTATCATTGTTTTAATTTGCTTTTTATTGGATGTTAATAAAGTTATACAGCTTTAAGTTTATTTACTAAAATAATAATTTACATTTCTGGTTTATTACAAAAAATAAACAGCTGGCTGGGCTCGGTGGCTTACCGTGTAATCCCAGCACTTTGGGAGGCCAAGTCAGGCAGATCACTTGAGGCCAAGAGTTTGAGACCAGCCTGACCAACATGGTGAAACCTCGTCTCAACTAAAAATACAAAAATTAGCTGGGCACGGTTGCACACACCTATAGTCCCAGCTACTCAGGAGGCTGTGGCATGAGAATCGCTTGAACCCAGGAGGCGGAGGTTGCAGTGAGCTGAGATCATGCCACTGCACTCCCGCCTGGGTGACAAAGCAAGACGCCATCTCAAAATAAATAAATAAATAAAATGCATAATAAAAATAAACAGCTTTATCTGCTACTATTAACAAACCAACCAACTAAAAACCACCACCCCAACAACCAAAAAGAAAGCTAACCCTAAGTCTTTTGCCTGCCCTTCATTGGAGGTTGCCTTTTTGTGAATGATTTGTAGGAATGTTTACATATTCTGGATATGGGCCGGGCAAGGTGCCTCACGCCTGTAATCCCAGCACTTTGGGAGGGATTACCTGAGGTCAGGAGTTCAAGACCAGCCAGGCTAACATGGTGAAACCCCATCTCTACTAAAAATTACAAAAATTAGCCAGGCGTGGTGGTGGGTGCCTGTAATCTCAGTGACTCAGGAGGCCGAGGCAGGAGAATTGCTTGAACCCAGGAGGCAGAAGTTGCAGTGAGCCGAGATCATGCCACTACACTCCAGCCTAGGCAATGAGAGCCACACTCCATCTAAAAAAAAAAAAAAAGAAAAGAAAAAACCATACATATTCTGGATATGAACGTTTTGTTGTTACACCCACTTTATTTCATAAAATGACTCATATTTTCATTCTCATATTAAAAACTTTCGATGAACAATGTTTTTTGTTTTTAATGTAGCCCAATTTTTATAAATGTATTCCAACTGGTCAATCTTTTACTTTATGCCATTTTATATTAGTTATTAAGATTTATCACTCTAAGTCATGAAGGTATTCTTCTAAAGTATCTCCTATTTGCTTTATTGTTTTTCTTTGAATATTTATATTTACAATCTAATTAAAATTTCTTTATTGTATATAGTGTATGGTAGCAAATTCCATTATTTCCCAATATTTATATCCAATATATAAATTACAATATTTATGTTCCATTAACAATTTTATTTATTGAAAGATTTTTTCCACTGCTCAGAAATGCCAACTGTAATATTAAAAAATGATTCATAAGTATGTAGGTTCTCTATTCTGTTTATTTTTCTACCCATGTGCCAGTATCACACTGTCTTAACTGCTATGAATTAACAGTAAGTCTTAATACATGGTAGAGCTTGTTGTCCTTTTCCAAGATTTTCTAAACAAAGTCTTGGCTCTGTTCATTTCCATATAAATTTAGAATCAGTTGGTGCATCACTGCTCCCACCCCAAAATCTGTTTGATATGCATTTCTAGATCAATTAGGGAAAATCTAACATCATTACAATATTGAATCATCCAACCCATAAACATGGCATATACCTCCACTTATTTAGATGATCTTTAACTTTCTTCATAACATCTCATAGCTTTCTAAGTAGAAGTCTTACAAACATTTTACAAGATTTATTCTTTGGAATTTGATAATTTTTTATATTATGGTAAATTGCATCATTAAATAATCTAATTTCCCATCTCATTGTTTCTTATACTCACAAATAAGTTGATTTTTCTTTACTAAGTTTGTTGCCAGAAAACTCAACAAAATCATTTATTTAATCTAGTTTTTCTATAGCTTCTTTGAATTTTCTACATGCCTGCCCAAACAATATTTTTCATGAATAGAGGCATTTTTTTCTATGCTAAACTTTTTTTTCACATCAATCATTTTTCTTGCAGAACTAAGCATGTATGAATCACAAGCATGAGGTGAATAAAACTGTTGATACTGAGTATTCTTATCTTGTACCCACTCTCAGAGGGAATAATTTTAGTATTTTTCTATAAATCATGATGTTAGCTTTCGGTTTTGTTTAGACACCCAGTAATCAGTAAAGCAAGATGCTTTCTATGCCCAGTTTTCTAATATGCTTTTTGAAATTTGGAGTTTTTAAAACATAAGTGGATACTGATATTTTTAATTAAACTTTTTAGTTTTAGATAATTATAATTTCACGTGGAATTATAAGAAATAATACAGATTGTTTCTTCTTGGAAGCCAAAAAAGTATAATAAATGAAATAAATAAAAAACAGAAATAATACAGAAACATCTCATATCCCTTTATGCAGTTTTCCTAATGGTAACCTCTTGAAAATTGTAACGAAGTGTCACAAACAGGATATTGATATTGATAGTCAAAACACAGAACATTTCCCTGACCACAAGGATCCCTTATGTTGCCTTATGAAGCCATATTTTGCTCTCTCCACAATTCCTGGCACCCACAAATCTGTTCTTTATATCTACAATTTTGTCATGTAAATAATATTATATAAGTGGAATCATACAGTTTGTAACCAATAAAGATTGGCTGTTTCAGTTAGAATAATTTGAAAGAGATGCACACACTTTATTGCCTGTATCAATTATACTCCACTGCTTTTTTATTATTCAACAGTATTCCGTGATATGGTTGTATCACAGTTTGTGTAACCATTCATTGATTGAAAAATATTTGCTATGTGTACAGTTTTTTGCTATTATGAATAAAACTAAGATAAACAACTTGAAAACATTACTTTCTTTGTGTTCATGTGTGAACATGTCTTTATTTCTCTAAAATAAATGCTCAGGAGTGCACTTGCTATTTTATATGATACATATAGAATGCAATTGTTGCTCTGTATGATACATGCATGATTAGTTTTCTTTAAATTGTTGTAGGAAACAATCTTCAGAGTGGTTGTAACATTCTGTGTATCCATCAGCAATGTGTCCATGATCCAATTTTTATACATTCTTACCAGCATTAGGTTAATGTCACTACATTTTTTATTTTAGCCATTCTGTTAGGTATGTAGAGATATCTTATTGTGGTTTTAATTTGTACTTATTTAAGGCTAATAATGTTGAACATGTTTTCATGTGCTTATTTGCCATCTATATGTAATATTTGGTGAAAATTGCCCTTCCTGTCTTTTGATCACTTTGTAATTGGATTGCCTATTTTTTGCTTTTACTCTTGAGTTTTGAGAGTTATTTATATATGTTAAACATGAGTTTTTTGTCAAATATGTGATTTTCAAATATTTTCTGCTGTTCTAGCTGGTCTTTTCCTCATGTTAATGGAGTCTTTCATAGAGTAAAAGATATTGATTTTTAAAATTTTGGTGAAGTTCATTTTTTTGTAGTCTATGCTTAATATGTCATCTTAGAAATTTAATTCTAAGACTTTGATTTTGAAGATTTTCTCATTTTTTTTTTCTAAAACTTGTAGCTTTAAATTGTATATTCAATTCTGTGATCCATTTAGGTTAATTCTGTGAAAGGCATGAGATTAGCTCTAGGATTTTTTGTTTTGCCAATGGGGTTTTAGTTGGTCCCACACCACTGGTTAAAAACGCTTATTTTTTCCTCCACTAAATTGCTTTTGTGCCTTGGTCAAAATTTAGTCAGTCACATTTTTTGTGGGTTTTATTCTGGATTCTCTGTTCTGTTCTATCTATCTATGTGTCTGTATCCCTTGCCCACATCATATTGTTTTGATTATTGTAGCTGTATGATAACTGTTGAAATCAGGTAAACTGATTCTTTCCATTTTATTTTTCCTTTTCAAAATTCCTATTCCTTTCTATTCATTATATTGTGGAATTAAAATTCTATTCCAAATCCTTTCCTTTTTCCCAAAATATTTTAAATAGTTATGCTATAGATACAAAAAATGTTCTGCAATTCTGACAAGAATTTTGTTAAATCATGACATAAATTTGAACAGAATGAACATCTTTATTATGCTGTCTTCCAATCTATAAAAATAATATTTATTTAAATATTTGATTTCTTTCATTAGTATTGTATAATTTTTAGCATATAAATTATGTATGTGTTTTGTTCAATATACACATAAGTATTTAGTTTTTGAGCAAGTGTAAATTTGGATAATAATCTCAAAAGACACTATCCTCAATGCCATAGTCCTGAAAGTTGAAATCCTGAAAGATCAAAATTCCTAAATCTACATCCCAAAAGTCTAAAATCCCTAACATCTAAAATCCTGAAAATTACAATAATGGGATAACTGTATCATGTTAGCTGAAGCTATTACCTTGTTTTATTTGGACATTAAGTATGGTTTTAGGAAATGTGTATGGGTGTCAAGATGATAAGGAGTGGATTTGTGGACTTAATTTTAGGTGTTAACTTGACTGGATTAAGGAATATGTAGAAGCCTGGTAAAGCATTATTTTGGGTGTGTATGTGGGAGTGTTTGCAGAGATCACTATGTGAGTCTGAGTGGACTAGCTAGGAAAGATTTGCCATCAACGTTGGCAGCACCATCCAATTGACTGGGGGCCCGCAGAGAACAAATGCGGAAGGTGAATTGATCTTTCTCTGAGAGCTGAGACAGACTTTTCCTCTGCTGCGCTGGACTTCAGAACTCCAGGCTCACCAGCCTTTGGACTCCAGGTCTTACACCAGCAGCTCCCCAAGTTCTGAGGCTTTGGCTTCCGACTAAGAGTTGGCTTTCTTGGTACTCAATGTAAAAAGGTTAAACCTTCCACCATCAATGAAGAGAAGTCCTTTTTGTACATCTGCATTTGTGAAATATAAAATTTCTTGAGATCTCAGCTCTTCAGACATAGATGGTAGTGACCCATCATGGATTCTAGTCAATCTAGTCAGGACTTAGGTTGTTCATGACAGTGTTTCCGTGGACTGCAATTATAAAGCTACATGCACACAATGAACAACCTTTGTGATATGTGTTTATACATTTCACTTTTTGACCTATTTCTTTATGAATATAGTTTATCTTCTCATAGCTGTTATATTCCTGAGACTGTCATTAATGTACCTGAGTGTTTATGTTTGCAAAAATATGTATGTTATTATTGCTTATTTTATTGTTTAAAGTGGCCTATGAAGTATTCTGTCATATTTATATATTTTTCTCAAAGGAATTCCCTTAAAATATGAATAAATATATTTTTAATATTTTTAATTTTTTTTTCCAGAATTCTATTTCTGGAATTTTGATCTTCCAGGATTTCAACATTCGAGATTATGGCATTTTGGATTGTGTCTTTTGGGATGATGATTGGCTCCTGGTTTTAAATTTTACATAGCAGGAACAATAGGAAAAATGTCATCGATTTTATCTTCCCAGAAATAGCAGTCTTAGTATAAATCAGACCTTTGTCGCTAGATATTCTCATAGTTTCTCAATGGGCATCAGAGGTACATTGGAATCCTCTCCGAGGGTCCATCAGATGAGGATGAAGAGTCATTAGGACACTGAGACTTGTACAATTGCCTTGATCATAAAAGTTCTTTTTATTTCTGTGAAGAAATAATATGTATTTAAGCTCATTCTGTCATATACAACCTCTGGAAGACAGGTATTGCAGAGATCATGGTCTTAGGATCATAAAGCCATTTTTCAAGGGTATTTTTGAGGTGTTAAAAAGGTAGACCAAGAGATGCCAGGTGCTGGGGAGGAAAGATTATTTTCTTCTCTTCCCCTTCATCCCCAAGCAATAATTAAGTGAGGCAGACACAAAGAACTGGAGACATTCAGCATCAGTGACCGTGACCTAGTCCTGTTGCTCATATTTATTTGGCAGAAGACAGCCAGGGAATTAGGTTTCCAATGGATCCTTCTACTCTCTCAGGTTGAAAGGAAAAGATTAAATGTTTCTAACATATGAGAGACACACTGAAGCATTTTCTGTAGATAATGACTTTGGGGAAGAGCAGTCATTTGGCTGTTCCTTCTGCATACTCTTGCCAGGGCTACATGTCCCCTCATCAGAAGATCAGTATATTCCTTATCAAATACATCTCCATCTGCTTGTCCTTGATCTGATAAGTCATTGTTTAAAATGACATCTTCCAGTAGTGGTCCTCTGTACCTGCAAATCTCCAGGTAGGGTTCTGTGTCTCCACAGGACACACCCCAGCTTGCCCTTCCTCATTGGGTTTTCTGTTCTTGGCAAGGCCTCCTGCAGAGGAGTCCAGGGGCACAGACATTCTGACAAGCATGTTAGTCACTGGAGAATCTGCCTGCAAACACCACAGAAAGTGTGTGATTGGCCACTTTGGGCAGACTTTCCAGAGCAGTAACACTGGGAATCTCCGGGGGGTATCAGAGAGATACTGATTGGTATCAACTACCCTATTACCTACCTAGTGGTAGTGGGGTAGTTGACACCAATCAGCATCCCTCTGATACTAGGGAGATTCCATCTATATAAATAGATGCTAGTGGGGTAGTTGATTTCTGGGGGAAAGATTTCAATTGCTGTGTAAGTCAGATATCATCTGGAAGCTCCTATTTCTCAGAGACCTAAGTAAACTGTACTGAATTCTCAATATTACAGCATGAGAAAAAATCCATGCTCTGCCTTATAATTCCTGTGAATTTCTAGGGTTTAGGTCCTTGTGGTACCCTGTCTTCAGCTTTTACTTCTATGATAGGAAAGGTTGTTCTTCTTTGCCCTGAGTCGTCCCACAAACTCAGTTCAGCCAGTTTTACAAGCCTTTTTCACAGCCAACAAACAGGTAGACTTTTATGACATTTCACTGAATGTTTAGGCCCAAAGGAAGGGTTACATCAGATCTCATGCAACTTCTTTTCTCTTTTCGTGGCAGAGCCCTCCTTGTCTTCCTCCTTCCTAACTCTGTTTTCAATCCATCACTTGAAGAACTGACCTTAGCTCAACATCAGTTCCTCTGAGTGTTCTCTGACATCTCCCTAAATAAGCACCCTTCAAAGTACTTCTAATGTAGCACTCATTAAAATACAGTGCAATTGCTTTTTTATGTATTCCCACAAGATTATAAATTCAATGTGGGTGGAAACCACCTGGCTTTTTCAGTTGTGTAGACTGTATTGCCATCTGAGTGTGCAGCACCTATTACATACTCAAATACATATTGAACCCTTTATTGATCAATATATTGATACATACATTAGATTTGTATCAATGCTGATTCATCCAGGATTTAACATTTTGGTCAAGAAAAAGTGTGCAGCACAGTACGTTGCAAGATACTTCTGCTCTGTACACACAGACACACATATGTACCTACAATTGAGATGATTTATTCAAGTAATCCTTTGAGAAAGATCTTATAAATTGATTCTATGAGACTTTGTACTATTTATTGCCTTTAAAAAATTTGGGTCAGTGATTAATATCTTGGAGGTGTATAATAGCTTGGAGTTATAGAAAAATAGCTTCATTGTAATATGAATTATATATTTCAGATTATGAGGTAAACCATGTAAGAAGTATTCAATCATCTTAAGATATTTGAAAATCATTTAATGAAAATTTACCATTAAATTTCTGATATTTTTTTCTTAGTTATATATTTTGGTGGTCTTATATTATCCTAATTTTATATTTGCAACTAAAATATTTTAAAATTATGTAAATGAATATGTTTATTCTGAAAAAAATACATTAGCTGCTTTGGGAAAATTATCCAGAATACCTTACACTTTTTAATTAATCAAAAACTTTATATTTCTAGTTATTATTGCAAACATATCTTGCCAAAAAGTTTATGATTTACTTGGGAAAAACATTTCCACATGGGTAAATATAAATAGCAGAAATAATTTAGTTTTAATTTAGTTTCATGGCTAATTTGAAGCAGTACTAAATAAAACTCATAACATAATATTCCTTGAGTTTGAATTTTGCTTTCTTTTTTCAAAAGCACTGTCTTATGTGCTACTTTTGTTGATCCTTATAGAACTCCCATGCGTTGACTAGTGTTACTATTATCGCCATCTTACAAATAAGGTTTCATGGCCAACCAATAACAGATATTTAGTGATAGATTTGAGGCTTTAATATAGGTCTTTAGTGATTTCTTCTTATGCAATTCTGCTGAAGAGGGACAGTGGAGAAGATATATCCTGAGAAGCAATGATCTCAAATTAAACATTAGTACTTTGAGATAAATTTTAAGGTAGTGGATGCCTCCAAGAATGCAGTCCTAGTGTGCTTTTCTGCGCAAATGATACAGCAGGCAGCTGCTACCATTTCTGCCTGATAAAGCTTTGTATACATTTGGCCTCATGCTTGAGAAGATAAATGAGTTCACTTCAGGATTGGGTCTATAGGCAGATGATTGAAATTCAGGGAAGTGTTTATATGCATTCAAGAGAGTATTTCTGACAGTGTATTTCTGCATGGGTGGTCTCAAAGGGAGTGAATGAATGGAAACAGAAAGATTGTTTATGGGGAGGAAATGAAAAGGATTAGTTTCTATGGAGGCCAGGCAGGTGACCTAGATTCCCCACAATGAAATGTGTACTCTGATAGACACTTTTTAAAAGAGAGAAAAAAAAAAAGCCGTGGATAAAAGGTCTGGCTTTAGTTTCTAGCCAATTCTCATCAAGTCCCTTTGAAGGGATTTTCTGATCCCAAGAGAAGCTTTTATTTGATATACGTTTCATGTGCTGGGCTTATCTAGAGCTCAGATAATCACACAGAGGAGTTCTCACCTAGATTACTCAGCGTGCCCCTGGCCTCAGCAGGCTCTTCTTTGGGGCTTTGAGTTTAAATAAACAAACACGAAATCTGAAAGATTCACTTATAATCCTTGGGTCACAGAGCCCTTTTCAGAGTAACTATTCTTATTTCCCTGTGAAATTGAAAAACAACCCCATGCATCTTCAAATAAATTGCAAGTGATTCCACAAGATTTCTCTTTTGGGAGAGGAATATCAGTGAATGTACAAAGAGCAGTGGAATAGAAAATAGAAAAATTGTATGGTTGGCCATATGCTGAATACATTTAGAATGGCTGAGAGTTGCTAAAATCATACTAGATGGAGCACCCTGCAAGTCATACTTTCCACAACTTCTACCTTCTGGAGCACAGTCATAAGAAATGAATTTCCTTGAAGTGGCATTTATGCTTTTATACATTTTGTGATTTTGACATCCCATTGTATATATGTGTTTATATGTATGTCTCCCACCATTATTTTACAAACCCCTTGAGAGTAAAGACTATGATTGTATGTGCCCATGTGTGTTTTTGTGTGTCTTCAAAGCTCCAGCAGCTAGCAATAATCTGATTTGTGAGAGTTACTCACCATTATACATTGGAAAAATGCCTCCTATGGTTGATCATTACTACTTTCTACAGCAACGGTTTCTGAAAATAATTCATTTGTTTACTTGTGGCTCACAATCAACAGTATGAATAATTATTGAGTTGTGCCAAAATCCGATGATGTTTTAAAAGCTTTTAGCAGTGATTCAGTTTGCTTTTTGCTTATAATATAAATGCTACATAAAACAAAATGTAGATTGCAGCCAGACTCTAGGAGTTTATGACTTCCAGTTTCAGGAGCTCCAGCTGTGTTTTACAGATAATGTGTAAAACTGTGTTTTACAGAAGTATAGATATTTAACAGGCTGAGATATGTAGAATAAGATTGGCATGAATAAGACCATAAATGAATACAATGAAAGAAGAGCCTTAGAGCTTTATCCAGAGCTTCAGGCCCAGATAACTGTTTCTTTATTGTCTTCACTTGAATGAGCCACAGACATGGCAAAGTCAACGTTTCTAAAATTAAACCTGTGGTTATCCTTCTGCCTCCCCTCTTTCAGGAAATGTCATACCCATCTGCCCAGCTTCAAATGCAAGAAATCTGAGAGTTTCTCTTCTACCTTCCTCCTTCTTGTTTTCTCACACAATTAGTCACTAAGTGCTATAGTTTCTACCTTCTAAACATCTTGCAAATCTGTCAACTTTCCTCCAACCCTAATGCCATTATCTTATACATTATTTCTCACCTGAATTACTACATATTTACTTAATCTTCTTTCTGTGCCTCTAGTCTTCCGTCTTGCAATTCACTCACCACATTTCAGCCAGAGCGAGCATTCTAAAATGCACATTTGAAGATGGCATTATAATGAACTCCACGTTTCTTAATAATAATGAACATATTCATCCTTTATTAGTTTTTTTACATGCAAGACACTCTTGTATTTATTACATACAAAATATAAGGTGACTTCCTCATCTTGTATCATTTAATCCTTGTAACAACTACATGACCCAAACACAAATAATTGTTACCTTTACAAATGAGACATCTACCTTTTAGAGAGGTCAGGTGATTTTCCTAAAATCAGACTGCTAGTAATGCTGGAACCAGGGTTTACACCCAGGCAGTCTGACTTCAGATACCTCATTCAAATACATGACTCTTTTAAATATATTCATAATTAATCTTATTTATCTCTTACATTTCATCAACATTTCTCCTCTAAACTCTAGGATTTAGGAACACTGAAATTGTCTAAGTTTTTATTGTTGTTGTTCCATACTCTTTTCAACATATGGGATTCTGGTTTTCTTTTTTTCTTTTTTTCCTTTTCTCTCTTGCTTCACTTTCTCTTAACCCCTCCTACTCAATTTAGGTGCTACTTCTCCCAGGAAGCATTTCTTTATCTTTCAAGTATAAGTGGGAAGTAATATTCAAATCATACAAAGTATCTTTTCCAATCACAATGGAATAAAACTAGAAACCAACAATTGAAAGAAAACGGAAAGATTTACAACATGTGGAAATTAAACAACCAATTCTCAAACTACCAATGAGTTCAAGAAGAAATCTCAAGGGAAATTAGAAAATAGTCACACATGCATGAAAATGAAAACACAGCATTCTAAAACTGATGGGATATAGCAAAAGCAGTGCTAAAATGGAAATGTCTAGCTGTAGATGCTTACATTAAAATAGAAGAAAGATCTTGAACTGGGGTACATGATGTCAGCAAGATGGCAGAATAGGAGATCTCCCACTCATATTCCCCCGTAGCAACAATAATTTGACAGCCATTCACAAATGGCTTTGTGGGAACATGGTGGGAGTTTGGGAATCTAGGCAGGAAGTTGTGAAACTGTAGTGGAGCCCCAGACCAAGGATGAAGATTTTCAGAAGGCAGGCCAAAATCCAGGTGGCAGGCTCACTTACTGTTGTCCCAACTACAGACCCAAAGACAACTTCATCTCCCTGTGTACTCAGCTATATTAAAATTTGGCCTTAACCTTGCCATTATCACTATCTGCTCAGGGTCCTCTCTGTCTTGAGTAACAGGCTCACTGACCTTGGTCCTGGCTGTGTATATAAAGCAGCCCATGACCTACATCCCACACTCTCAGCCATGGTTTGTTCATCCATATGCAAAATTCCTCAACAACATACTAGCAAACTAAATCCAGCAGCACATCAAAAAGCTAATCCATCATGATCAAGTAGGCCTCATCCCTGGGATACAAGTTTGACTCAACATATACAAATCAATAAGTGTGATTCATTGTATAAATAGAACTAAAAACAAAATCCACATGGTTATTTATCTCAATAGACGCAGAAACGACTTTTGATAACATTCTACATCTCTTTATGTCACCATCACTAATCAGTAGAGAAATACAAATAAAAAACACAATGAGATACCATCTCACACCAGTCAGAGTGGCCATTTAAAAGTCAAAAAAATAGCAGATGCCAGTGAGGTTGCAGATAAAAGGGAATGCTTATACACTGCTGCTGGGAGTGAAAATCAGTTCAGCCATTGTGGAAAGTGGTGTGGTAATTTCTCAAATAACAAAAAAACAGAATTACCATTTAACTCAGCATTAACTCTGCAGATTCCTTTGGCAGGTATGACATTTTAACAATCTTTCAGTCCATAAATGTCAAATGTCTTTCAATATTTTGTGCCTTCTTTAATTTCTCTCAGCAACATTTTACCATTTTCAATGTAGAAGTCTTCACATCCTTTGTTAATTCTAAGTATTTCATTAATTTTGATGCCATTATAAATGAAATTGATTTCTTAATTTTCTCTTCACGTTATTATTAGTTGATAGAAACATATCTTATTTTTGCTTGTTGACTTTATATTCTACAACTTTGCTGAATTCATTTAGGGTTTGCATGTATGTAATCTTTAGGGTTCTACATATAAGATCATGTTGTCTGTGAACAGAGATAATTTTACTCGTTTTCCAATTGGGATGATTTTATTTTTTCTTCTTGCCTAATTGTTCTGGCTATGACTTCTAGTACTATGTTAAATAAGGGAGGTGAGAGCAGGGAATCTTGTCTTACTCCTGATCTTCTAATAAAAGCTTTCAGGACTTTACCATTAAGGTGATAGGATGCAATTTTGCCCTGCATTGTTAGGAAAGAACGAATAACATTTGTTCCATGTTTTTCTCTAGGTAACATCACTAGGGCGCCTCAGATCGCAAAATTTTCCTGATGAAAGAGAAATCTACTTGGTTTCACCATAAGCAGAAACACTTTCTCCTATATTTTCCTGAGTTACATCATTTTTCAATCTATATACGTTATTTGAGGAATATTTCTAATTATCTTAGTAACTTACTTAGAAATTCTTCTATATGAAATCTAAAAATTAATAATGCCTTTCCTGTCACATTTAAATGTAAATGTTGTCTTGTGTTTTTCAGAAGATGCTTATAAGACCCAGGTCAGGATTGACAATGAGCCAGCTTACTTGGACATCTTGGACACTGCTGGCCAGGTAGGTGATGTTCTTAAACCTCTCCAATCTCTGAGTTTATTTTATGCTTTAGCTTCAAATATATTTACAACAAAGGAGAAGATGACTTTATTCAAGCAGAAGAAGAACAAATTTGTGATAACAATCAGGAATTAAATTTTAAAAGAATCAAAATTACCAACCAGAATATTTCCAAATTCCCTCAATTTTCTAAAAATAAAAGAGTCCATATAGGTGTTATATTGCCAATTAAATTATAAAATTTAAAAATACTTTATTTTTTTTCCTCAGGTTTGCACAAAACTCTGACATAGATCCTAATGTGATAATTTCTATTAGAGAATTTTAGGTGAATATAAAGAAAGATCTGCTTAGCAAATCTGCTCATGGAACTAAGGATAAGGAACCTGATGGAATAAGTGAAATAAGTGACATAACCAAGATTTAGTATGGTCTACTATGTTAGTTTGCAAACCTGTAGGGAAGAAGAAAATGAAGGAGGAAGAGAGAAAGAGAAGTAATTTTTTTGTGACATAAAAATAGAACTAAAATACTACATCACAATTATAAGTAAGTTGTGAGGAAAGGTATAAGATTTAAAACATCTCCATGTCCTAGATATATTTTGAAGAAAGGTGGATATTTTATTTAACTTAATACTTTCAAAATGATTATGTTAAAAATATAAACTCATATATTAAGTGCTAGACATAAACCATATAATTTGATACAAGCATGGGAAAAAGAGAAGAATAAAAAAAGTTGTTAATACAATATAAGACAAAAAAGAAAGCATAAAAAGGTAACAAGGAGGTATAATGTACACATATCAAAATATCAGATATCAAAATAAATAAATCTCTCTGTCCTAAAATAGGCAAATATTGTCAGTATCATATTGAACAAAAGAATAAAACAACCCTATATTTGGGTTAAAAGAGACAAATGGTACAGAAAAATGGAAAATCAAATAAGGAATTAAAAAGGTAGGCAAAAGTAGCCAAACTCAAAGTAAGTATACCTGTATTAATATAAGGCAAATAGATGTTATGCAAAAGTATTATTAAATTAGAAGTGTCAGAATATTCTAAAATTCTAATCTATAATATTTAAGGCAAATCAAGAGAACTGTAAATCATTTACAAATTCAAAATTTTATATAGTAGAAAGTTTTAATGCACCTCTGCTGGTATTCAATTAAAAGGCTGTATAGTTGTAAAAGATTTGTAAACACATTTAACTTAAACAGAATACTTCAGTCAATACAAAAGTAGACATTGTTTCACATACACATCCTGTTTATAATTTTTTATTGATTTTGGATCAAAATGTAAATAAGGTAGTCTGTAAAAGATTGATTATTTGATGTATATAGAATTTTTGGTTGTGGCTTAGAATGTGGTAAATTTTTATAAAATATTTAAGCAAGTTGTTACCTCTTATGGGAGAAAGGGGAAAAGTTAAGAAAGGGGGGAAATACAAAGTAGATTTTAACTATACATGTAATGATTCATGTTCTATTAGAGTTCTAATGTAGGAAATTATTAAGTTGAAAACCTACATCATGTATACACAAATCTTCATCATATTATTTCCCTTTGTACTTATTTTCATTATTTTAAAACATTGTATTTTCTCATCGCTATGTTACTGTTTTTAAAAAAACTGCATAATTGGAATATTGATAGTGTACAAGCAACTAGAAATAGGTCATCTCTTTCTATATTTATGAGTTATTTGAAGACTATTTGAAATCTATATATTAACAGATGCATTTGCTTCTAGAAACATTTGAACAATGGACTTATGGGGGTTAGAACTGTTGAAGCCACTGGGAATATATACAATGGAAAAATTATTTCAATTATTTGAAAGGGCTATCTTATCTAAGAGGAAGTGTACTTGTTTTTCAGTGGAAACTAGAGATCTAATTGGAAGAACATTGAGTAGGTTAAATTTTATTCATGATAATAGGGGGTTTGTAGCAACTAAAATGATCAAATAAAAAAAATGGCTGCTCTGGGAAATAGCAAATTTGTGTTGTTGGAAACACTCAACTAGAATTATGCTTTGGTAGAAAGTGAAATTTTCATTTATTGAATATTCATTCAGTCTACAGTATTTACATGGACTTACCTGGTCCCCAGTGTGGTGCCAATATAATGATGAATAGCCAATATATTTCTCCTTTCTATTGATGTAGACTTGACTATGTCACTGCTTAGTCCAATGGAATGCAGGCAGATGAGACAATCTGCTAGTCTTGGTCCAAGATCTTTAGAAGCACTAAGTGTACTTGTGCTACTTCTCAAGAAAAGGGAATGCTGCAGATAACCCTTTGTCCTCAGTGATTGAGAAAACCTGTGAAAAGACCTAAACCCAACCCAAAGAAAGAAAGCCCAGTCTACCCACACATGGAACAGATCTGCTACAGATACCACACAGATTTGTGAACTAGAAAAATCATGAACACTAGTTGCTTTAAGACACTAAGTTTGAGGTGGTTTGTCTTGTAGCATTATTGTGGCAATAGCTGAGCAATACAGAATATTAATAGAACATTTTTTAGTTACATATGGCTGGAGATGGAGAATCTTACCTCATTGTGGGTGAAGTGGTAAGTGATGAGAGATAAATCTGAAATTCTATGCTCTAGTAATACTGAGAAACTGGCAAACATACAATTAAAAAGATAAAGCTATTAAATGTTCATATCAATAAAAATTTTTTAAAGCTAGTTTCAACTGCAGCCAAACATAGTCAGGAGTACATCAGGCTAAACAGATGATGAAATGTTGGCTTTCAAACCATTATTAAATCCTTCCATTCAGGAGGTGGTCTATACAGTTGTTTTAACAGAATTTATGTTCCCTGTAGGAAACAGGAGAGAACACCATTGAAATTCTTTTAATAATATCACCTTGTTGTCTTTTGGTACTATTAATTTTCAATGTATGTTGAAGTTTACTATCCTTACAACAAATCCAGGAAGTAGACAGAAAAGCTATTATTAATGTCATCACCTAGAATTTGAGTAAAATGTTATACAAAGAAGTAAAGTGGGTGTTTTCTTGGTGGCAATACTGGAGGCCAAGTCCCAATGTGTTTCATGATTGTGCTTGTAAAAGAGACCAAGTGATATATTTCCCTTGCCCATTGCAAGCTTCATGGCTGACACCCTATAACAAAAGACAGAGACATTAACAATAGATAAGCATAATGCTTTATTTGACCAAAGCTTTACATGATGTGGGAGCTTTCCAAAATGAAGACTCAAAGACCCAGGAAAAAATGTGTATTTTTATGCTCAGGTTTGATTAAGAATGAACAATAGTGCGAAGTGTGATTGAATATAAATGGATATAACCTAATATTAATAAACCATTACCATTGCTAATGGTAATAAACCAAACCATTACCATACCATAAAGGATCAAAAATTCTTTTTGGCATTTCTGTGCAATATTCCTTTGCTCTGGGTGTAGGACTGGATACCTGTCAATGAGGGTCTTCAAAAGAGCAGGGGTGAGAGAAGTTCAGATAGACCTTTCTGCTTTTGAGGTTTTCTGCATTTCCAAGGTACCATATTTTGGGGTAGCATGTCCTGCACTTCATCTTATTATACACATAATCTTGCAGTGCCACAATAATCCCATGGCATCACCAAATCTCAGATTATAAAGAACTTGTACCCTAAGCATCTTTCCAGCATTTAATTTTTTTAATACTTAACTCTTCTGCTACATGCTCATTAAGGCTATGATTGATGTCTTCCATTTGTTAAGAATTCTGTTTTAGGAAACAAGCACAGCTTTGGAAAACTTTACTTATTAGAAAGAGTTTTTCTTACAATGAGCTGAGAATTTCTTTATAGTTTCCATCTATTGGTTCCAGATCTATCTCCTGAAAAAAAAAATTACTCATTACATACGTGGAAAATGCAAGGCTCATAGAGGTAATGTGATTTATCTAAGGTAGTACGGCAAATTCTTAAGCTAGCTATGTCTAAAATCCATTTACATTTTACTCAAGCTCTTTCTTATTTCACTTTTTTTATGGAATAACTTAGTGTGTACCAAGAACTGCAATAGGTCAAGAAAATACAGAGTGAAATAAAATTGAGGCTCTGTCTTCAAAATGCTTGAGGTTTGGGGAAGTGAAGATACTCTAAATTAAAAATTGCAGCAAATTATAATAAATACTATGGTAGAAGTGCACAAATTTTGATACTGGGTTATCTTTGATATCTAAATGATCTAAATAAAAAATTAAAGATAAAGTATTTTAAAAATAATTATAAGTTTAGGTGAAACTCTAGCAAAATATATATCATGTTTACTTTATAAATGTATTGAATAATCCTCATTCTTATTAGAAGCAAAAAAATTAATTCTGCAAATACCTTCAATTTTTTTTTTTTTTTGAAATGCTAACATATCCAGTCAATTCCATGACCTAAGTCTTGCCCCATACCTGGCTTTGGCCTGGATTAAGTCATTCTGGAACAATGGGAAACAGTTGTAGTTTGGTATTAGGTTTAGTTCCTAACCAACTCTGCAGTCAAGCAAGTCCTGTAGCCAATCTCGACCTAGTTTACTCATCTGTGAAATGAATAAATTAGACTTGATCTCTAAAGTGTCTTCCAGATATAAAGCCCTGTGATTTCTGAATTACTACGAGCTTAATTTTTATATAATTCTTCTCTGAAAGCTTAAATTGCTTTTTAGCCACAATTTATTTTTTTCCTTTCTTCCCCAGTTTGTGGCTTATCTTTAAAGAGAATACTTAAGGGCATGACCCCTTCCTTAAGGAATCCTATTATTCTATAAATGGTTTTGGATATTTTAAGGTCCAGAGGAATAAAATGGGCTAGAATTGTTCTGAAACTGGAAATAAAATTCCAAATCAAGAGCTTCTATTAGAATGATGTTTAGGACATTTCCTCACTAATTATATTCTAGAATCAATACATGTGTCCAAACTCTCCTGTCCACTTTTACTACATTTTGATAGTTTTGATTATTTGATGGATGCTAACTAACTTACTAAGTAAGAGTCGATGCAAGCTTTGTAACATCAAAATCAAAAGGTATGGGAAGGTAGGCTTTAAGAACATTCCCAATTTTCAAATTCATATATTATCCTTAGGATGTGACACTGAGGAAGTGGAGAGATTGCTACCCTCCTTTTACTACCTCCTCCAATGTACTTCTCCTCACTGCTGCCTACCCAACACTAGACTCGAATACAGGTATCCTGTTACTATAATCTTACAATGTGTATTCTGTTCACATACTTCTTAAATCACTCCATGCTGGTATTACCTAGTCCATCTAGAAGTAAGGCACATTTTTAAAAACTCTAGAAATAAGGCTTAACCTGAAGTACTTGCCATATAGTCAGAAATATATGAGGAAAAGTTAAAAGAAAACTTGATAAAGAACAGTTAAAAATACAGCCAGATATTTAAGTACAAACTGATTTTATAAGCATTCTCATTAGGAGAATCAACAAATGCTAGTCCAGCTTTAACTATGAGAAGACAGAATATGTTTACAACCATACTCACATCCCAAACTGATAGAACTAAGCATACCCTTTGATCTTGGGGAAAATGGGCCAAGTTCATTATGATCCATTGTTTTGGCTCTGAGATGCTTGAAAACAATTTATTATTAACATTACTGCAAATAGGATTGGCATGAATCCTGATTTTCCCAGGACATTCCTAGTTGGTATCTCCTGCTGTATAGCAATTAATGCTTGTTAATTCTTATGGTAGCATTGAATTTCATTCAAAGGTGTTCCAGTTTGAATTAATTTATATAGTCATCCAAACCACAAACTAGTAGCTCTCCTCCAGTACAGTGGCTCTGTACTGTACATGGCTATAAAACCAACTATGGTTAAACATGCATAGTTGAAAAGCCAGTCACTATTCTGAACAAGACGAGAAAATAGAAACCAAATAAAAATGATTTTAGTAGCCCAAGCAAATGTCAAGAAAATCCTTAAAATAAAATTCTTACATTGTTTATAAACCCTTTCACGACATGGGAGACTATCATGTTCTCGTTCTGAGTCTATTTGATATTAGTGTCAGATATAACATGCTGATTATCTAAATTTTAAGAACTAAAACTGGGTTTCTAGAAACAAATATTTTAATAGTAGAATAAACTGACAACTTATAGAAAAAAGATGAAATTATTTTAAAATGTAAGATAAAACTTAAAAATTATTTTATAAATATGTAAGTCTGGGACCATTTGCTCTAAAGGCAAGCAGCTAGGTATAATAATAATATTAATAAATAACACCATTAAACTATCAATATATTAAGAATTATGATTTGGATTTTTGCTAAAGAAGGCACAAAGTATGAAATTTTAGAAAAAACTTTTGGCCAGGTGTGGTGGCTCACGCCTGTAATCCCAGTACTTTGGGAGGCCGAGATGAGCGGATCACGAGGTCAGCAGATTGAGACCATCCTGGCTAACATGGTGAAACCCCGTCTCTACTAAAAATACAAAAAAAAAAAAAAAAAAAAAAAAAAAATTAGCCGGGCGTGGTGGCGGGCGTCTGTAATACCAGCTACTCAGGAGGCTGAGGGAGGAGAATGGCATGAACCCGGGAGGCGGAGCTTTCAGTGAGCCGAGATCACGCCACTGCACTCCAGCCTGGGCAACAGAGCGAGACTCTGTCTCAAAACAACAACAACCACCTTTTACAAGATGACCATTTCTACAGTATGTTTTAAGGGTAAATATCTGTATTGACTCAGGAAAAAAAATTATCTAGACCATCAACTGTGAAAGATTTACAAAAGATTTATAGAAGCCAATCACAGTGTTGTTAGTATTTCCCTGTATTTAAGAGGCAACTATGTCTCCTCTTATATGTGGAGATAGATATATATAGAGAGAGAAATATATCATAAAGGATATATTTCTTTATATCCTTTATGATATTTTTCACAAAAAGTTTTTTCTTCCCTAATTCTAAACATTAGGAGTATTTATTTTCAGCTTTTCCTTGATTTACATGGTGCATATATTGATCAATTGGGAAAGGATTTAGATTATATAAATGAATGACAATATTGCATTCCATTTGGTATCTATATGAAAGATCACATTAGTGAGTACATTAGGTTTAGCCCATACTGCTTGCCATAACTACGGTACAGTTGTATCATGAAGCAGAGGCACAGTTAAGAATAAGACTTAATAAAAATGAATGAAGCATATAGATCATATATATATATATGTCTATATGTGTCTATCTGACATTCTCAACATGATTAATTGAACATACACAGATTTATAATGCCCCAATTGATTGTTCCATATTGATACAAAAGAAATAAAATCATGGCATTCCCTGACCTTGGAGAACTTACACTTTCATTTTTGTACATATTGAGAAATAATTTAGACTCAAAACTGGAGAAAGAAATGTCAAATTTCTTCACTACATATTTTATCATATCACCTCTTTAGCTTTCTCTCATAGTGAATGTTTTTATCAAAATATGCTTTATGAACCTAATTGCTCATCAGTATGATATGTAGAATATTTAGATTTATATTTATCATTTATATTTTTAGCTGAAACTTCACAATTTCAATACTAAATTTGCCAAATTAGAAAATATACATATACTTGTCATAAGAGTACTACATAAAATGACTACCAAGATTCTCTAAAGTATACTTTTAATAGAAATAGCCGAAAAAGAGAATGTCATTCAATTATCTCTCAACATTCATTTCTTAGCTTACTGGTCACCATTAATTCAAAGCATTTCCTTCAGCATTTCATTTTTGTGTTGGACAATGAAAGAACTTTGCATCCTATAATTACTGCTGGGCCACTGTGCCAACAGAAATTTCACTAAGGATAGTTCTCGGCAGAAACTCTGAAGTCAATTTACAAAGGTTTCTACTTAATGTCCATGAAAATTTCCATAATTATGAATATAAAAAATTAGAAGGAGCTTCAGGAGGTCACATATTTCAGTCTCTTCAGTTTACTAATAAAGACACTGGGGCTCAGAAGAGGTTAAGTGGCTTATCCAAGGTCACGTGGCTTCTAAATGACAAAGCTGGAGTGATCCTAGCATTATGCTCATGAATCATTTCTGAAATCCTACAGTGATGTGGCTATATTACTTCTTCTAAAAGCTGTTTCTGTGAAGGTGAGTAGGACTGGACTATCTGAGTGGTAGTGCTTGCTATTCATGTATCACTTTTTGATGACATCAGTGATATAATTAAAAGACACCTAGTTGGAAACTTTGAGCAATGAACCAAATACTCAGGTTGGTAAAATCATGGAAGAATTCTGAAAAAAAAAAAAAAAAAAAAAAAAAAAAAAAAAAGCCATCAGTACACATCTTTGTTTACCACCATATTTTTATATTTTTATATTTCTTTATATCCTTTACGATATTTTGCACAAAAAGTTTTTTCTTCCCTAATTCTAAACATTAGGAGTATTTATTTTCAGCTTTTCCTTGATTTACATGGTCCATATATTGAACAATTGGGAAAGGATTTAGATTATATAAATGAATGACAATATTACATTCTATTTGGTATCTATATGAAAGATCACATTAGTGAGGACATTAGGTTTAGCCCATACTGCTTGCCATAACTACGGTACAGTTGTATCATGAAGCAGAGGCACAGTTAAGAATAAGACTTAATAAAAATGAATGAAGCATATAGATCATATGACCTCTTTTTTTCACATCTGACTCAAATGGGATGTGTAGCATTAGGTAAGAGAAAATATTTCTTGGGTCTATGATTCACTTTCTTCCCATTCTTAAAACAAAGAGTTAAATGTTATTTAAAGGATTTTGTGCTCTAACATTCTATCATCCTCAAAACTGGTTTGTTCATTCATTTAACAGTGAACTATTCAGTATTGGACATGGATCATGTTCTCTGAACATTACTGATAGCTATGACAGATTCAAACAAATTTAAATAGTTTTTCCTGCCTTCATGACATTTGCAACATAGCCAAGATGTACCAGTTGATTAAGAGAAAATGTCATTAATGTGTTGTTAAGGTAGCTCTCAGTTAAGTTTTAAGAATGAGAATCAACTGTTTTTGCTCAAGCAAAATGGTAACCAGAGAAGGATAAATCAGGAGGGCTACTCCCAAAAAGCTTAAAATTGCTGAAGAAGTATATTTATACGCACAACCTCCAAACTACTAGTCTATTAAAAGAAAAACACATGAATAGTGATGCCTACCATTACAAGTCTTCTAGGAATAGGACATTGTCAGTCAGGAAAAATGATGAGACAAATCATTTTAGGAGGTTTATTTGCCAAAGTTGAGGATGCACACCCTGGAGACAGGTTTATGCCTTTCTCTGAAGATGATTTTGAGGCTCCAAATTTAAAGGAGAAAGGGCAGGATATTGAGAAGTACACAATTTTTATGTATGTGGGAGTAGGAAAACATAGTCGTTCATGCCTTCGTCTGGCTCAGTAGTGAATCTGCATTTTTACATAAGATAACATAGACAAAACTGGGCAGGGGAAAAATCAAATAGGCATTGTGTCAGGTGGGGGTGGAGTAGTGACTGCACCTGTAAAGATAAGCTATCAATTTACATTGCCATGGTGTAATTTTAACAGAAACACTTTAGGGTAAAAATCTTGGAGCTCACTAGGAATTTCCTTGTGGGCAAAATACTGGGGAGGCATGTAGCTTTTCATCTAGTAGCTATCTTATTTAGGAACCAAAAGTGGGAGGAAGATTTGCCTGACCCAGTTCCCAGTTTAACTTTTCCCTTTGGCTTAATGATTTTGAGGCCTGAAGATTGATTGATTGATTGATTTTATTTTTTTATTATATTTATTTATTATTATTATTTTTTGAGATGGAGTCTCGGCCTTTCGCCCAGGCTGGAGTGCAATGGCACAATCTCGGCTCGCTGCAACCTCCGCCTCCCAGGTTTAAGCTATTATCCTGCCTCATCCTCCCAAGTAGCTGAAATTACAGGTGCACATCACCGCGCCCAGCTAATTTTTTGTATTTTTAGTAGAGATGGGGTTTCACCATGTTGGCCAGGCTGGTCTCGAACTCCTGACCTCTTGATCCACCCACTTTGGCTTCCCAAAGTGCTGGGATCACAGGTGTGAGTCATCATGCCCAGCCTGTTATTATTTTTTAATACAGATTCTCACTCTATTGCCCAGGCTGGAGTGCAGTGGTGCAATATCAGCTCACTGCAACCTCCACCTCCTGGGTTCAAGTGATTCTCCTGTCCCAGCTTCCCTAGTAGCTGGGATTATGGGTGCCTGCCACCATGTTCAGCTAATTTTTGTATTTTTTTTAGTAGAAATGGGGTTTCACCATGTTGACCAGGCTGATTTCAAACTCCTAACCTCAAGCGATCAGCCCTCCTTGGCCTTGCAAAGTGCAGCGATTACAGATATGAGCCACCAAGCCCGGCCAGGATTTATTTTCCTTTCACAACATTTTGATGACAAAGCCAAAGAAAGGTATTATAAAAATGTTTCCTTCTTTTTTTCCCATGAATATAGCAATATTATGATGTTAAAACTTTCTCAGTGTTCTTTTGGAAAGATAGTCAAAGAGTAAGAGGGATTCCTCAAGCCTTGAATGAGTTTCAAGAACCCAGTTTTCCAGTTATTTTCTTCTAAATATTGTCTTGACCCCTCATGGATTTCCAGATATGATGGATGTTCCCATGTCACTGTCTGTGCCTGGGGTCTTGCTAGCTATATTGCAGGTGGTTCTTAATTAAGTAACTATTTTCAATCAATTGCAGAAGAAAATAATATATCCTGGATTTTTCTGGTTCAAGACTATTTTCTATTAAACATATTCTTATTCCTAAGAATCTTCAAAGGCCCTGGAAAAGAAATATGTTGCATTTCATCTGAAAATCAGGAAAAGATGGTATTTGGGGAACCAAACCTCTCCATTAGAAATCAATTCTGCAATTAGGCAGCAGAGATGCTTAAATGCTCCTATTCAAGGAACGTGGATTATTCCTTGCAACATGGATAGGTAAATAGCATGCTGATTTTGACTTTAATGAGCAACTGGAGACACACTGTGACCAAAAGAGTTGGAAAATATATTGTCTCAGAGCCATTAAGTGCCCTCAAAAGTAGGTAAAAAATGTCTTCTGATCAATAGAATTTGAAGAGGAGCCACTTTATATAGGATTGTCCTGCAGACCATTTGTGAAGTTTATTTGTATACTAGCATCCTGTGAATTCTGAGTTCTATTTAATGCAAATGAAAATGATAATGACCATCTCATTCAGAGACTACTCACAGAAATAGGGGGTCTATTTTAGAATGACGGTTTGAAACTAAATGGAGTCCCTCCACTAAGCTAATAAGTATCTTTGATATCACTAAGAAATCAAAATACACATTTTTCCTGCCAGGCTCCTAAGCCAAAAATTTTGCATCCTGCTTTCTACTTTGAAGCAAAGCTGTTTGACTCTCAAAGCCTGCTCAGATAAACACACTTTCATTCCCTAAACACACGTCTGTTAGTGGTTCTGGCAGTTATGTAGGATCTTTCAGCTTATTATCTGAAAATGCTATTCTCTCATCTTGAATCAATTCAAGTTTCAAACGAAAGTTAAAATATAATCTTATCTAATGGGAATTTAAAATGCATTTTCATCAGCAATATTTTAATGGGCTTATACACTCATGCCCTCAAAGTATAAAAATAGTTTTAAAATAATTTTAAATGGGTTTCCTCTTCCCGTTTTTAAAATTGTTTTCTCATTGTCCTGCTATAATACAGAAAAGCTCCATTAATAGTAAAATGCAAAGTGCTATTACTTTTATTTGCAGATATGCAACTTTGATTTTAAAATAAAATTGCTATCGCAGGAAATCCAAAGTTCTTTCTGGTAGAATGGTTGACTATTTTATATCAGGCAGATTTCATGTGTAAGTATGGTAGTAGTCTGCTTACGTAGCTACCGGTGCTTTCACCCCTAAACATTTCTCTCCTTTATTCTCACATCTGAAATTTACAGAAAAGGTGTTGTGTTATGGAGCAATAAAAAATAGGCAAAACATAGGTGAGACAGGTGAGATGCAGCCAAACATCATCTGCTCATTAAAGTACAGAAAGTCAACAGAATCAATATATTTATAAAGACTCTACAGAGTGTGCCATGGAAAATGCGTACTCTCACTCTCCTCTGAGAGAATACCACTTTGGGAGGTTGCTCCACTAATTGATGTTAGAATGCCAGATGACTCCATCTTAGTAGTTGTGGTGGTTAAAGAAAAATGATTGCTGTTTTCATATGGCTCTGGTGAGACCATAGAAAATGTAGCCTAAATAGCAACACACCCAGTGGCTCAAGGGATATGATTATAAAATTTAACTATGAAGTCAACTCATTAATAGGGGTCACACATCTTCACAATGGATCAATGTGATTATTTTACACCTACACAGCTGTTTTCTTGACTTGGTCTGTAGGTGCCATGTATACTCCTACCTTGATTTTACACTCTAGTTCAGAGAAATGTGTGGTTACGAGTGAAAGCCAGTTATCAGAGGATAGTACTAGAGTAAGCTTTGCTGAATAGCTCTAGCTGAGTCTTGATAAGAGTCCACAGTCTGAGTGTAATCATATTCGGAATTCAGTACTCCTGTGTTAAACCTGAGTTGATGCGTCCTGCAATAAGTTGTCCAGCTTTGCTGTCCAATCTTTGTCAAAACTCTACTTCTGGAGTAACTGCTAACAACTTTAATAGTATTTCTAAGCAGATATTTATTAAACTCAGAGATGAAAAGACAATGTAGAATTTGTGTCACTTCAGAAAAAAAACTGAAGTTGTTGGATTGCTTTTACAGAAGATTAGGATACATATCAGCTGGGTGTATAGTTACTATAACATTTATTATTTTCAACTTTTTATTCTTTTATGTATGAACTCTGTAAGCCAGAATGACTTTTAAAATAATTCCCCTCTGTTTATCCCAGATATAATAGTTTTGAAATGTGCCACCACATCCTTAATTTTCCAAAGTAGACACTCCAAGACACAAGAGGGAACATTATAAACATAAATAATAAGCAAAAAACAAAAAAATTAACCATTAAAATAAACCTTAGGAGAAAGGTGATTGATTAAAAGTATACAAATACATAATGTTTTGAGAGGCTTGTTTTGTAACAAGAAGACAATTTTTCCCCTATCTTGAGGAAGTGATGAGTATACCTTCTTCATAAAAAAGCAAACAAACATTCTAGTCAATATATTTGCTGACAACAAACTGTATATAATCTTGCTGTGTTTATGCTAGCCTACATTATTGATGTAGGTCCTGTTAATAAAATGTAGTTAGGAAATATCTTTAGAGCTTATAAATATTGTTGACTTCAACCTTCAGCTTGGACTCATGATCATTGAGGAGTACTGCTAAAAACATTGGCAGGGCTGGGTGCAGTGGCTCACGCCTGTAATCCCAGCACTTTGGGAGGCCGAGGTGGGTGGATCACCTGAGGTCAGGAGTTCAATACCAGCCTGGCCAACATGGTGAAACCCCGTCTCTACTAAAAATACAAAAATTAGCTGAATATGGTGGTGGACACCTGTAATCCCAGCTACTCAGGAGGCAGAGGCAGGAAAATTGCTTAAACCCAGGAGGCAGAGGTTGCGGTGAGCTGAGATCGTGCCACTGCACTTCACTCCAACCTTGGCGACAGAGCGAGACTCCATCTCAAAAACAAAAACAAAAACAAACAAAAAAACATTGTCAGGACCTCAATCCTCAAAGAATTGCTTCCAAATCTTCTCAAGTTTACATGCTCTGTAGAGGTTTTGACCGTGAAAATATGTTTATAATGTTAGGTAATGTAGACTTCTGTGACAATTCCTTAATTCTCTTCTAAGATGATGCCGAGAAAAGTAGCCCTTTATGAAGATCCTGTGTCCTTGGGAATCTACCACAGAAGAGTGAAGCTTGAACAGTGCTAAGACATTTCAATTAATCTATAGAGTTGAAATTTCTGACTATTTGTAATTGATGATATAATTTACTTTTTAAAAGTATCCTCTTTTACCTCAGTATTTGTTTGGTAGTATACATAATCTCATTCATCTTTTCTTGGAATTTTACCCATACTACGTTTACTTCAGTTAAGACATACCAACTCGTGGCTTCTCCACATGCCTGTTCATCTCCCTAGTCATCATCTCAGAAATATCTCAAGTTTAGGCATATAATAAATGGCTGCATTATTTTACATAAGCTATGATGTTCTCACCAGGCTGTTGATCCTCTATGGGACAGATAAGCCTCTAAGCAATGGTTCATAGTGCAATTAAATTATGAACTTTTATTAATGCTACAGTTTTATCATATGAATTAGTCTAAATGGAGTACAGTGGCTTAAATCTGACAAATGACTGGTCCCCAGAGCCTGTTAGGAGAATAGTAACATACTAGCCTGGGCCCTCCATTCCATTTATTTCAAAATTGAATGGAAGTCTTTTAACATGTAAATTGAAAAAGGAGAAAGATAAATGAAAATTTTCAATAACTGAGAAAACTGTCTTTTTAAAATTAGTATCTGTTTAGGATCTAGAGTGGAAGATGTAACTGTTTAATTGTAGAATTTAAGAGTGATAGTATAGTACTTGTTAAACTTATTATATATACTGTAATTCCTGAAGTCAGTAAACAAATTTTACCTTAATTTTTAAAGAAGTCTTATAAAAAAGCATTTTTGTTGTCTTAAAATGACTGTTTTAATATTGGCAATGTCCTTACAGTTTTTAGCTCTAGCAATTAAAATGTCAAATAATAAGACTTCAAATTATTTTGTAAGCAATAGAAATAGTTAATATAGTCAGTAAACTTTTATTAAAAGCCTACAATGTTTACATATGAAGCTGGACACAAGAAAGTGTAGGAACAAAGCAGAGATGGAGTCCCTTCATGAAGTGTGGTCTAGTGCAAAAGACAGATGTAAAACTAAACTATTTTATCCAATTGCAACTGTGCATAGGGAACCTTGCATAATATGGAGGGTTAAGGTCAATGAAGGCTTTAAGACATGATCTTGAGTTCAGGAGGCAGATAAGGGAGGAAATAAAAACTATTGTTGGCATGAAAACTGACATATGTAATGAGATGTCATTGATGGAGAGTAATAAAAGTGGGGTTGTCTTTTTAAATGTTCACCCTGGAATAGCATAGAGAAAGAACTGTGAGGAGACAATACATGTAGGAAGATCATTAAAAGGCCTTTACAGAATTTCAGGCAAAGGATGGTAGCCTGGCTCTGTGAATGGACAGAGGGGGCACGTTCCAGAGTCATTTCAGATGTAGAGACAGGATTTGGGGAAATGTTCAGGAGTTGCGCTTGGCAGTATCGCTGGTCTGGACATGGTCTGACGTTTTAGTATTTTTCATGATCAAATTATATATTATATTTTATCATTCTTTTGCCTCTTCCCAACAGATTCCTATCAAGCTTGTCCTCATCTCCTCATTTTATTATTAAAAACATTGTCCCTGGAATTTCAAAAGCACCCCTAGTTTATGTCCCATTAGTATGAAGTGTATTATCATATTAGCTAATTTGTGGCTGCCTGAAGCTTCTATACTAATCAGAATGGACATCATTCTTATCCCAGTAACTGCAGCCAGTGAGAAGGACATTTCTAGCTGCTGAATGCATGTGTAGGCACCAGAAGGGTACATATCTTGGTCAATAATTTTTTATATATTTTGTAACATAACAGATCAAGACCCTACATTTTATACAGAACAATAGATAAGAGTTGCTGGGATGCTAATGCAAAATTACATTTTAAAACAGAATTCTATATCTAGCAAATTTGTAAACTTTCCAAATTGCTGATCTTGAAAGAGTCTTGATAAGAAACCAATTTTTATAGACTGTTTCTTGCCTTGCCAAAGGTGAGCAATCCATGGCTCCCAAGCCTGTGATACCTCACTCTGTTCTTATCAGCTGTTACAGTAGGAACTCTTTTAACCAGCCTCCTCTTTAACTCACCCACCAGGTTAACCAGTGGTCCCTGCTTCCTCTCAAAATCTTAATGATCAATGTCTCAAATTTTCTAAATCCTGGCAGCAAGATTGCACTCTGCTATACCTGAACTGAAGCTCTCTCCGACAGGTTTATGAAGAGTCAGTTGTGTTTTCTTCCAAACCAGTTTATACCAGTTGTACATAATTTTTAGTTTAAGTAAATTATTATTAATTAATGAATCAATTAATTAGTTAATTAATTTTTTGAGAAGAAGTCTCACTCTGTTGCCTAGGCTGGAGTGCAGTGGTGCAACTTCAGCTCACTGCAACCTCCACCTCCTGGGTTCAAGCGATTCTCCTGCCCCACCCTCCCAAGTAGCTGGTATTACAGGTGCATGCCACCATGCCTGGCTAATTTTTGCATTTTTAGTAGAGACAGAGCTTCGCCAAGTTGACCAGGCTGGTCTTGAACTCCTGACCTCAAGTGATCCACCTGCTTCGGCCTCCCAAAGTGCTGGGATTACAGGAATTATTTAATTTACGTGAATTGTAAATTGCATGAACTGATAAAATACTGTGAGAAGCAAGTCAACATGCAGACCAAGTTGAGTAATTTGAAATGATATGTTAACCATGAGTCTCAGCTCTCTCTCCTCCCAAATTATTGTTGCAACAGGGATTGGCAAGACAGTTTAAAATTTGTCATTTAAAAATCTATAATTCTGAATTCTTATAGATTCTAGACTCACAACTGTGTTAAATTCTTGTTCTACTTTAATCGTATCAAAATATAAAGCATGAAGGATGCATTATGGATATTTTGTGCAAAAATATAACTCCATTTGGCAGACTTATTTCCAAAAGGGGGTGTGTTGGCTCACCATCAAAGATTTGAAAATGAATATACATTTGTGTTTTAAGTGAATATGTAATGCCTAATGTATGTATCATTTAAAACTATTCCACTTTTTAACTGATGTTGATTAATAGTATGAAATCAGGTCAGTTCTATTGTCCCTAAGAGGTCTTTGCCATAGAACAGCCCAGACACCAAACAGTCTTTGCCTGAATTATCAGTAAACATTTTGTCCTAGACCTTGGCTTCCCTGTATTACAACAGTCTCCTCTTTATCTCCTACCAATGGACTCCTCTCCAGCTTGTTCTCACCTCCTCTCTTAGCAGCCTTCCGGGACGCCAGGATGCCATTACAACTTGTGAAACATATCAAGATCAAAACTTTCACCTCTGCCTCACACTGCCTATTGCAAATTGTGAGACATTGAGTACATCTGAGTTTTTTTGGATGTAATTTCTCTACTAGGTATCAAGAGAGTAATAACCGAGACAACACCATGTGCAAGCTAACCCACATGTAAGAGACTGCTTCCTGTTGCCCATTGATGGTACTGCTCCTTAAAATAATTAAAACAGGCAATTTGACCACAGATGCATTTCTCTTGTTAATCATTAGGTCATTAGACTTAATAAGATCAATCTGTGATTAGATTCACCGTCTCTCAAACCGACGAAATGGAGCAGAGAGGAAATCAAATTTCAAGTACATGTTTCATTTATCTCTAACCTTCATCTCATTCCACAAAGCCCAAATAGTCCATGGAGGTTACAGATACACTATCTCCATGCCTAAGTGATCAAAGATTTAGCAGAATGACAGCAAAGGAGGACACAGAGAGAATAAAAAGGACTTATTTAGCAATCAGCACTTATTCCTGGGGCACTGAGCCAGGGTTGGCTAGATTATTGGGGGTTTGACCTATTTCTTTTAATCATGAGCATCCTCTAGCAGAGATGTGGAGTGTGGGTAGAGATTAGCATTGCTCTTTTGGTGCTAAGGAAGGTAGATCTATCCTTGGATGTTAAGAATCACTTCAAAACTCAGAGTAAACCCAAACCTTCTGATCCTCCAGTGACTCACTCTTTACCTGAATTTTCTGTGAAAAGAGGGTTCCTTTTGTAGTCGTCTCCATCTTAGCTGCATACTTGAATCACCTAGGGTAACTTTTAAGCACCCCGAGGTGATAAACCTTGAAAACATTATGCTAAGTGAAAGAAGACAGATGCAAAAGACTGCCTACAGATGCAAAAGAAATTACATCCAGAAAGACTAAATGAATTTTCCAGAATAGGTAAATTCATACAGAGTAGTTATAGTCTCGCAGTGGTTGCCAGGAGCTTGGAAAGAGGGAACAAGGAATACATTTGAGATTTCTTTTCAAGGTGAAGTAAATGTTTTGGACTTAGTGGTGATAATTGCACAATTTGTGAATATAGTAAAAACCTGAACTGCACACTTCAAATTGTGAGTTTTATATGAATTAAATCTCAATAAAAAGGACAATTATAATTAAAAACATCATGAGTATCAGGCTACTTCAAACAAATTACATCAGAATATTTGGGGTAGAGACTCAGGCATATAACCAGAGAATAAGATCTTAGCCTCTGCTCTGACATTGACTTGCTATTTCCCATGGAAAGCCATGAAATCATAAAACGTCAGAAGGGGAAGGACCTTTTGACCCTTTTAAGTCCTAACCTGACAGTACCCTCTTTAAAACTTAAGTGGAGAGAGTGTTGGGGCATCTTAAACACCAAAGCGAGGCCAGTTCATAATCAAACCACTGTTCTTCATGTGCCACCATGGTCAGCTGGCTTCTGCCTTCATATCAGCCTGGTATCACTTGTGTGTTTGGTTTGTTATCTTATTCATCTACCTGTTAATTATTATATCTGAATCCTTGGACTCTCTGGTGTCTGCTCTTCTGCATACAATTTGGTTTGCAACAGCAGTAACTCTTGGCTGAAATGACAGTAGTATTATTGAACAATTTCAATCTGTGGTGACAGCTCTTGTGGTGACTGTTTTGAAACAGCTTGAATTATCATGGTCAACTATTTTTTTCTGATAATTTAATTACTGCTTATCTGACTTCCTCAGAAATGTATTATAAAATGACCTCATGTGTTCTACCCTGGCCTCCTCATATCTGCATGGAGACACCAGTGTGTCCTCCTGACCTCCCAAAGCTTCACATAGCTTGTCTGATATAAAATACTTCGAAATGCCCAACAACACAAGTATTGTTAAGCAAACATACAGCCTATTGCTTTCTCAGTTATTGTGACCTTAGTCTGTTATGCAGAGAAGGAAAAGTAATAATTGAGAACAGTAAGAGAGGTGGTAAATGTAAAGTGACATATTTTTGAAAGGATAAAGCTGAGGAGAAAGACAATAGAAGTCTTAAAGTACAAATTCACGGTATGGGCTGGAGATCAGGGACATAAACATGCACTGAGAAAATCATCTGAAGGCTACGTTGTATGTACAAATCTCATTCAGACCTTAAAAAATTTAAAAAAATAAAAGGAAAATATAAAATCAAAACACTTTCAGCTTCAAGCAAGTAGGAGATGGCTCAAAAAACTAAAATCCGATCAAGTCTACATTATATGGAGCTTGTGAGGCTGTGTGTCTTGAATAAGGAGGAACATGCTTCAGAAGGATCATGGACTAGATCAAATTGATTACTCTCTATTTTCTTTTTTGGAAGTTGATACCATCATCTACTTTTGCCATTACTTTTAATGGAAAAAACAGCAATTACGTTTGCCACAACCTAATATATTTACAGGTTTTTTTTTTTTTTTTTTTTGAGTTGGAAATTCACTCATTGCCTAGGCTGGAGTGCAATGGAGCAGTCTCGGATCACTGCACCTCTGTCTCCCAGGTTCAAGTGAGTCTCCTGCTTCAGCCTCCCAAGTAGCCGGGATTACAGGTGCTGCCACTATGCCAGGCTAATTTTTGTATTTTTAGTAGAGACAGGGTTTCACCATGTTGGCCAGGCTGGTCTCAAACTCCTGACCTCAAGTGACCTGCCTGCCTCGGCCTCCCAAAGTGCTGGGATTACAGGCATGAGTCACCGTGCCCAATTTACTGTATTTTAAAAGATACGCTGCTACTTTTATTGATTTTTCTGCTTTTATACTCTTCTCTGTGAGATATTTTTCTTGCAACCTCAGACACTTCAGGAGCATAAACCCTACAATTTGCAGAGATATCCTCTTCAGCAAACTTGTTTCAAGTTTTAGATGAGAAATAGAGTTCATTCTAGAAGATAAGAAAAGCCTGAGATCTCAGCTCAGCCTCGAGCATAATAGTTGGAAGGGCTCTCTAGATATTATCTGGTCTCTACTATTATTCTAAAGTAGTTTATTTTAAAATCCCACACTTCGTTTAAACGTTTATTTATAGAAATGATAACTGAAATATTTTAAGAATAGCATGGGGCATCACAACTAAATTTGAAAGAACTTTTCTGGGGAAAGCAACTGTGGGAAATATCCCAAGCTTTAACAGTGTTGTTTATGAGGATAACAAGACCCTCCTCTCAGATATGTCTTTGTGATTTCATAAGAAATAAATGGTGTTAACCAAATAAGGGGTTCCTGTTATTCTTGTAAGCATCCCTGCCCCTAATAGGCCAGAGTCGGTAGGTCATGAGAATCATGCTACCACTGGCTTCTCTACAAATGCCTCCTATAGTTTTATAATGTCCTCTTTGTTCTCCCATAGTCCCAAAGCAACAGCTGTTCCTGGCCTTACCTCTGTATCACTCACTTTTAGGGTGCCACTGAGATGGCTCATTTTTTCCATCAAGTATCTTTCCTTTCTAATCATTGATTCTTGGTATTTCTTTAAAATAAGTCAATATCATAATAAAGGATAAGGTTTTAGGAGAAATTTTAAAAGTATATTTTAATAATGTACAATGACTTAGAAATAAACATGGCAGAATGTCAGCATATGTCTCTTTTCTCTCTCTTTTAAAACATATTAAAATGATATTAAAATACTAAAATTTGCATGATCACAAAGACAAAAAGAGAAGACAATGGATGAGAGATTGCTACACATTTTGGGAAGAAACAAAATAAACAAATGAATGAGACTGATTTTGTAGATTGAAGAAAACTACAATGTAGTTTTCTGCAGAGGAAGATAACAATGAAAAACAACGTGATTTATTCTGTAGATTTTCTGGGAAAGCTGAGAAAGGATGGTATAGTGTGAAAAAAAAAAACACCTCAGGAGTATAAAACTGTAAAGAAAAGAAAGAAAAGATAAGCAAAAAATGCAGGATAATGTTTACCCAAAATACAAGCCTTGTTCTCAGTGATAGATATATAGGAACTCTGATAGCTCTAGTAATATTTTATTTCTAAAGCTGGTGGTGGCCTAAATTATTCTTTATACATTATATATATCTGAATGTGTATGTATGTAGTATATTTTTTTATTTCATAAAATTGGAAGATTTTTTACTTGTAGTATCATTTATTTTCTTTATTAAACCACATTATTGAGGGATGATTGACATACAAACGGCTGTACAGTATACATCTGTGAAACCATCAACACAATCTATGCCATAAACATATTCATCACCTCCAGAAATTTCCTTCCACGCTCTTTTTTTGGGGCAGATAAAAACACTTAATGTAAAATTTACCCTCTCAGAAAAATTTCCAGTATGCTATACAGTATCACTAACTATAGTCACTATAGTATACAGTAGATCCCTAGGATTTATTCATGATGTACAGTTGAAGCTTTGTACCTTTTGACTAATAATCTCCATTTCCTCTTCTCTCTAGCCCCTGGCAACCACCATTTTACCCTCTGCTTCTATAAAGTTTGACTATTTCAGATTCCTCACATAAGTGGTATCATATGGTATTTGTTCTTCTGTGTCTGGCTTATTTCACTTATTATAATGTCCTCAATGTTCATCCATAGTGTTATAAATGGCAGGATTTCCTTCCTTTTGAAGGCTGAATAATAGTCCAGTGTGATATGGTTTGGCCATGTCCCCACCCAAATCTCATCTTGAATTGAAGCTCCCATAATACCCATGTAACATGGGAGGGACCCAGTAGGAGGTAATTGAATCATGGGGGTGGGTCTTTCCCATGCTGTTCTTGTGACAGTGAATACATCTTAGGAGATCCAATGGTTTTATAAAGAGGGAATTCCCCTACACAAACTCTCACCTGCTACTATGTAAGACATGACTTTGTTCCTCATTTGCCTTTAGCCATGATTGTGAGGCCTCCTTAGCCATGCGGAACTGTGAGTCAATTAAACCTCTTTCCTTTATAAATTACCTAGTCTCAGGGATGTCTTTATTAGCAGCATGAGAACAGACTAATACACAGTGTATGTATATAAACCACATTTCCTATTTGCATTATTCCATGAATGGACATTTAGTTGAAGCATTATTTACAGTCCATGTCATGGCTATTGTAAATAATGCTGCAATGAATATGGGAGTGCAAATATCTCTTTGAGATACTGATTTCAATTCAATTGGTTGAATACTCAGAAGTGGAATTACTGGATCATATAATGTTTATATATATATATATTTTTTTCTTTTTTAACTTTTATTTTAGATTCAGTGGGTACATTTGCAGGTTTATTACCTGGGTATATTGTGTGATGCTGAGGTTTGGAGTATGAATTATCCCATCGCCCAGGTACAGAGAATAGCATCCAGCTGTTAGTTTTTCAATGCTTTCCCCTCTCCATCCCTCCTCTTTTAGCAGTCCCCGGTATCTACTGTTGGTATCTTTATGTCCAGGAGTACTTGATGTTTAGCTCTCACTTGTAAGTGAGAACATATGGTTTGGTTTTCTGTTCCTGTGTTAATTTGCTTAGGATAATGGCCTCCAGCTGCACCCTTTTTGCTGCAAAGGACATGATTTCATTTATTTTTATGTCTGCATAATAGTCCATGGTGTATATACACTACATTTTCTACATTTTCTTTATTCATTCCACCATTGATGGGTACCTAGGTTGATTCCATGACTTTTTGATATTGTGAATAATGCCATGATGAACATGCAAGTGCATGTGTCTTTTTGGTAGAAAGATTTGTTTCCTTTTGATATATACCCAGTAATGGGATTTCTGGGTCAAATGGCAGTTCTGCATTAAGTTCTCTGAGAAATCTTCAAACTGCTTTCCATAGTGGCTGAACTAATTTCCTTTCCCACCAGTAGGGTGTAAGTCTTCCCCTTTCTCTGCAGTCTCACCAGCATCTGTTATTTTTTTTTTTTTTTGATGTTTTAATAATAGCCATTCTGACTGGTGTGAGATGGTATCTCATTGTGGTTTTGATTTGCATTTCTCTGATGATTAGTGATGTGGAGCATTTTTTTCACATGCTCCACAAGTTTGGGGGCCACTTCTATACCATTTTTTTTTAAATGTCTGTTCATGTCTTTTGCCCATTTTTTAAAATGGGGTTATTTGCTTTTTGCTTGTTTGAGTTATTTAAGTTTTTTATAGACTCTGGATATTTAGACCTTTGTCAGATGCGTGGTTTGTGAATATTTTTTCCTATTCTGTAAGTTGTCTGTTTACTCTATTGAAAGTTTCTTTTGCGGTGCAGAAGCTCTTTAGTTTAATCAGCTCCCACTTGTCATTTTTTGTTTTAGTTGCAATTGCTTTTGGGGACTTAGTCATAAATTCTTTCCCAAAGTCTATGTCCAGAATGGTGTTTCCTAGGTTTTCTTGTAGGATTCTTATAGTTTGAGGTCTTACATTTAAATCTTTCATCCATCTTGAGCTAATTTTTAATGGTGAAAGGTGGGGATCCAGTTTTATTCTTCTGCAGATGTCTAGCCAGCTCTCTCAGCACCATTTATTGAATAAGGAGTCCATTCCCCATTGTTTATTTTTTGTTGAAGATCAGATGGTGTAGGTGTGCAGCTTTATTTCCGGGCTCTCTATCCTGTTCCATTTGTCTATTAGACTGTTTTTGTACCAGTACCATGATATTTTGGCTACTGTAGCCTTATAGTATTTAATTAACTAGAAGAAGATAAGCAGTTGAGTATAGAATAATTGACTGAAAATTAATGCAGAAGCACAAAATGTTGGAAGAAGTAAAATAGGCAACTTCTAGTTTTGGGTACAAGCCTCATTATATGATTTAATATGTTATATCTTGTGCATGAGCTGTTTTAATTTTCACAAAGTCAAATCTTAGAAATACTAAGAGATGATTCTCCCATTATGTGGATATAAATGAGTAGCAGATATTTATTCTTTCTTTCTTGTGTACATAACATCCAAGCCCTAAAAATGCTCCCTTCAGGAACAGATTAAAATGCAGATCAATTGGGGTAAAGATTCAGTGAGACTTTTATTTTTTTTTATTCAACCAAATTTATTCTTTAGATGTTTTCATCAGTGGAGAGACAAGTCTCAGATTATTAATCCCAAAGCCCCAAGTAGTTCTGTACCTCTGAATATTCTTTGTGAAAGTTGTCAGAATCGAAGTGGAGTAACTAATACGAAATAGTTAAATAGAGCTGAGGAAGGCTATGAAGAGAGATTTCTCATACTTGTATAGCTGATACTGAAAAAGACTGCAAAAACTACAACCTTGCACAAAGGCCATCACAACATTACACAAAACATATTTCTGCAAGGTTATCTGCCCAGCAATTGCCTGTCTAACCACAGACTGGCATCACCCCTGTTATTGATCTTTGTAGCCAAGAATAATTATTTTGAAACATTTATGTAATGTTCCTCATTTTTTCATTTGAAAACCTTTGTCTTCCTTTACCTCCCTGAACATACACATAATTTACTATGGTATGCATATGTCCATTGCAATGCCCTATTCCCAAATAAATTTCTTTTAGGAAGCCTCTCTCTATTTGTTATTTAGACTGACTCCTTTATTCAGAGAGTTCCCCGTCATCCTCACATCAATAGGGAATTATTGGCATTTCACTGGGCACCCCACAGCACACATGTGCCCCTTTTGGAGCAGGAAGATATGTGGTATAGTTCAGATCTTTTTGGCTTGGAAGCCATGGTCTATGTGGCAGGGCATCTAATTAGAGCTCCAAGTTCTAAGTATTGCTGCAGCACTCTCTATTTTAATTTCTCCCCAGCTGTGTGACTGGCTGAAACACAGATGGGAAGTAGAGCTGTGGGAAATCAGAAGAACTGAAAAGTAAGTTGAAAAACCAATGAAGCTTTAACAAGAGCAGAGTTGCTCTGAGAATTCTAAGCTCCTAGGTGGGCAGGATTCTCTGACCGTCTCATTTCCTTTCCTATACTTTGGGATTTAACTTGTTTCTTGAGGTATAATGGAGAGGAAAGTGGGTGGTTTGAGGGTGACTTGGGAGTAGGGTTCTGCCATCACAGCGTTTTGCATGCTTTTGGTTTGCTCCAGCTGAGGGAGCAGTGCCCCAACTGAAGTTTCTTTCTCTTGATTTTCCTCTGATTAAGATGATCATATAACTTTTCCAAATAGGACACTTTTCAGAGGATAAGGATGTATTAACAAATACCTCAGACAAGTCAGATATCATCTAGGACTCCTTGGGCAAACTGGGAGGTTCTCTAGTTTGCATTCTGCTCAGGTCCATTTTCTAGAATCCATGTGCACTTTCCAAACTTGTATTTTATGTCCTGACTTCAATTCTTGTCATCCCATCTGATGTGTCCCATTCTTAGACTACTAATTCTATAACAAGACACCTGTTCATTCTGGCCCTAGGATGAATACTGGTACATTACCCTGAATCATAAACTCCTCCTTGCTCCTGCAGAACTCAGAGTGTCACTGAGGAAGACCAAATATCAGAGATCAGGCCCTGGGAGTTAACTTGGAACCGCCACACCTCCCCTCTCTCCTCTAACTACCTCAGTTTGCCAATACCTTTGAACATTTGAACAACATGTCAGGACATTATATTATTTAAGAAAATTATTTTCACTTCTTGTTTTCCATTCCTCATTACGCTTAAAGATGTCACAAATGTCTCAGTATCCTCTGCATAAGATTAAATGTAATTCATTCCAATTAAAAGCATATTATATGTGCCACATTTAGAACGGTAGGAGGTATGGTGTATCATACTGAAACAGAAATAAGTCTGCTGAAAACTGCATTCCAAAAGTAGTTCTGCTAACTTTGTTAACTTAGGTACAATCCATCTAATCCATATAGATACATACATAGATATAAATATGTATAAATTATACTTGGAGAAGTTTTTTAGTTCATATCTTTAGGTAAAGGATAAAATATATCTTAAAGTAATAGCACCTACTCTCTAGGGGAAGAAACATATACATTTTATTCTTCTTTTGACTTAAATGTATTTTATATACAGCTACTATGAACATTGAACAGGATGTTCTATATCAATACCCATTTGCTTTGCAGTTTTCTGTGCTGATCTGTTTCAAGCTGTTCATAGTCCACGTGCTACTGACCCACATTTCTAATTCCTTTGCCCACCTCATGCTTACTATGTTGGGATAGTAGCAGTGTTGCTGATTCATGGCCTCATTCTCTGTATAGAAAATCCTTCATTTTTATAACTGTAACATTTAAAGTCCCTATCAAGTTCAGTCCTTATCAAGACATTTCTAAGAAGGCTTGCTCCCTCTAATATGCCCTGCAAAATCAGAGACATGAAATGGCGTAGGCAGTAACAAAGGTTAATAAAGGAAATCCAAAGCAAAACACTGAAGGAACTCAATTCCATTTTCTTAATGTGTTCAGCCATGGGCAATGAAAGATTCACTCATTGAATTGTAAATAATCGACTGATCACAACATCCACAAACAATTTAACCTGGACTCCAGAAATGAATTAATCAATCCAGCTGTCAACTGTGTTTTCAAGACAAAGGAATTCAGTCCACTCTCAGTTAAGCTTACTCTCCAAATGGAACCACTAGCTATTCACTATGTCTGCATCTCAATTTCCAACATCCTTCTCTTTCCTAATAGTTTTATGTCCTCTTGAAGGTCAGTTTTCCCCATATCCATATGTCTAAATGCTTGGATTAAGAACTAACATAAATCTAGCTCTTCAATGAATCATTTCCCAATTGCTTAGTTGGAAATTCTATAGTGTATCCACATATTCATAGTTATAATTTTCATCTAAGTTATGTAAAAAGAAAAGAGAGATAGCACTTCTCTTCTTGGACCCATTTTGCTACTGGTCCATAGTATCTCTTGCTAGGCAAAGAAATTCTGGAACCAAGATGGAAAGAAAAAATATCTTCTTTTGCACTTCTAAAGCTTAGGTATGGTAATTTACCATGAATAAGATTTTCAGAGCTGAAAGTGACCTTTCATATTTTTTCTTTACTATCTTTGGATGCTAACTCACTAAATTTCACATTCATTTACATCTCTGCTGAAATAGCAGAGTACTTTACCTTAAATTTCCTGTAGCAAAAATGATATTATTTTTGAGATTTTAGGCAATATAGTTTTACTCTTGATAATTCCTAGTTTCTAGGTCTTTCATAGCACCCTTAACAAGAACAAAGTTGGCAAGATTCAGATAATAGAACTTCTTACAAAGTTTAGAAAGTGTATACTGTTTTGTTCCCATTAGCAAATAAGAAATTACTCCTTACCCCTTGAAATCTCTCAGAATTTTAGGTACAGTATATATTATTAGAATATTTTAAAAATATACCTGTATAGTAGTTTATTAACTGATAGGAAACATTAGATTCACTGTGGTTTAAGAGTGTAGACTGCCTCCTGAACACGAGAATTTTGTGTTGTCTTTAATAGAATTGTAACAGACCTACCACAAAGGAGAGATGTAGAAAAATGTAAGCTACATCCATGATTTTAAACGTGTGGTTTTCAGAACAGCATTATCACTATCAACTGGGAACTTGTTAGAAATGCAAATTTTGAGGTTCAGCAAGCTGTGTGAACCACTGGCCTACATTAAGAGATTATTACAAGTGCAACTTTTTAAATAAAAATGTCGTATTAGCATGCAGGTTTGTATTCCTTTAAACTATTTTTTCATAGGGTCTACATATTATGGTCAGTTTACTTAATTTTGCATTTGAGAAATTTTAGTTTTGTATTAAAAGATAGCATACAGCCACCTAAAATATGCACCCAAAGTATTCACAGCGTTTAAAATTTGCCTTTGTATGACCTTTTTTAAAAAATAGAAATTAAACAACAAAAAACATTAGCCAATTAGTGCTTGTTCTTCAACCAACACCATTTATCTGATGTTCCTCTTTTCTTATTTTCCTCATGCAAATACTTCCAATGATAAAACTAGCTTAAAATGTATCAAATACTGTTTTGAGTATTTTTTGTTATTTGTTGATAAGCTGACTTTATCTGACTGTTGGATTTGATATGCGTTGCTTGCACATCTCGTAAATAAAAGCCTTCACAGATATGATGCGTCCTTGCACAAGTCTGAGAAAGAAATAAAATGCATGCATGTTTTAAAAAGGATAAGAGAACAGAAATTTAAAAAAGACCACACCCAGTACAAAATGATGACATTAGTAACCAAGTCAAATGTAACCTTATCACTGCCTAACTGAAATAAACTAATGCTTCTTCTGTCATGGGTAAACACTCAACAACACCACCCATAATGTTTGCCTATGCAGCAAAAACCTATACCAAATTCGCACACATTCTTGGACGCATGTTCAGCCTGTGATATTCTAACGGAATGGATCTTTGCCAGTCTATGTTTTGCCTTTTCAAAGAAGAGCCCTGTGCCTAAATGAATATTAAACTGATAACCCAACATTTTCACTCACATGGGACAAATAAAGAATTAAAAAAAAAAAAGCTAGATGCACTTATTGATTATGCATATTTGTAGAATGTAATTGCCCTTTGCAGAAAGACTCTTATGTAATAAATATCAATGAACAGTTTAATTAAGTGAATGCTAAATTGTCAGTGACAAAATATACCTGTAAAATATCTTATAAAGTACAAGCATTAAAGTTATCAGATGAAAATAAATTATATTTGAGAATAAAATAAAATTGGATAGAAATTAATGTAATTAATTTCTTTCATTAATGTAATTTTAAGTAAATTTTTGAGAAATATTATTTTATAAACAAAAGAGAATGTAAATCAAAAACTAATGTTTGAGTTTTCTTAGTATGCAATAATTAAAATAATCACTCTCAGAACTCCTTTAATCATTGCAACTGCCCTCTTGTCTCTCCTAGATGGTTCAATGCAGAGAGACTTTCCAGAAGTGACAAAATCTCTCTCCTAGGATGACTGAAGACATTGGCTCTTATAAATTGTATATTTTCTTGGAAATAAGTGTGATCTGGAAAATGGAACTTAAGTAGAATCTTTGAGTATTAATCTAAAAAGATTCTTAGCATCTCACAGTTTCAGGACAGAGCCCCAAAGTAGCGACTTGCAGACAAACCTATCCCTACCAACATGATTTGCTTAGTTTGAAGACTTAAAAACAAAACATCATCATCAACAACAACAATGGAATTTTTTAAATTATTTCTCAATCTTGGAGAGAATTGGGCGATACCTGATAAAAATTCATAGTCCTGGCTCTCTCTCCCATGTGAAAATGGTGCATTGCAGCTGAATAGAGCCTACCTCATTGAGATGCACACTTTCTCTCGAAATCACAGGGGCCCACCCATCTGGCCAATCAGTCCTTCCTAAGACTCAGTGATCACCTGTCCTGTGCCAGGCATGCCTCAGGCTAGGGGACATTGCTGCAAATATAGGAAACATAAATCCCTGAACTCATGAAGCTTACATTGTAGTGGGGGAGACAAACAATAAACAACATAAATAAAGAACCAATCTTGATGGTCTGCTAGATGGCATACTATAATGAAAAAGTAAACAAAGAAGTGTGAGAGTTTGCCTGGCACATTTAGGAAACAGGAAAGGCCAGTGTGGCTGGAGTGGTATGAGCAAGTGAGGCTCGGTAAGTGACAGGAACAGAAAAGTTAGGGTAGGGGGCAGTCTGCATATGGCCCCAGGGCTCATAGTCAAGACTTTTTGTTTTTTCCACTGAAGGACATGGGAGCCATTAGCTAGTTCAAAGTAGGGAAGGGACGTGACGTGGCTTACATTTCAGAGACTTGTTCTGAATGTTGTGTTGATAACAGACCCTGGAGGGGCAGGAAAAGCAGCTAGGAGTCTATTGCAATAAAGTAAGGGAATGGGGTGGGGATTACCCCATAGTGATGTCCTTTCTGAAAGAAAAAAGTAGTTGGATTCTGGAGATACACTGAAGGTAGAGCTGGCAACATTTGCTAATAGATTCAATGTGAGGTGTGGGAATAAAAGAGAAGGATAACTCCATAATTTAGGACAAAAGTAAGTACAGTAAGTCCTCACCTAATGTCCTAGTGTCATTGACAGGTTCTTGGAAACTTTGATTTTACATAAAATAATATCACAAAACCAATTCTACCATAGGCTAATATATACAAACAAGAATTAACTTCCTATGACCTATTTCTGGGCAAAAAATTTATCAAACTTCTAACTAAAGACCCAAACCACTTCTAAAAATAAAGAAATAAATGTGAGATATGCATACATTTAGGAAAGATTAATAAAAACATGTAAAAGAATTATTTACCCAATTTGTGTTGATTCAGGGGTGACAATGGTCATAGTCATGGTGGGATAAATCAAGGAATAAGTATTTGCAAATCGAAAATTGTCAGCAGTACCTCCTACTGAGAGGTGAAGTCAGCGGGACTTCCTGGGTCGAGTGGGGACTTGGAGAACTTTTCTGTCTTATAAGGGGATTGTAAAATGCTCCAATCAGTGCTCTGTAAAAACACACCAATCAGTGCTCCATAGCTAGCAAGAGGATTGGAAAATGCACCAATCAGCATGCTGTAAAATGTACCAATCAGCATTCCGTAAAATGCACCAATCAGCAGCATCCTAAAAATAGCCAATCGCAGGGAAGATTGAAAAAAGGGCATTCTGATAGGACAGAAACAGAACATGGGCGGGGACAAATAAGGGAATAAAAGCTGGCCACACCAGCCAGCAGTGGCAACCTGTTCGGGTCCCCTTCCACCTGTAGGAGCTTTGTTCTTTCCCTCTTCACTGTAAATCTTGCTGCTGCTCACTCTTTGGGTCCATGCCATCTTTAAGAGGTGTAACACTCACCATGAAGGTCTGCGGCTCCATTCTTGAAGTCAGCAAGACTATGAACCCACCAGAAGGAACCAGCTCTGGACACACTAGCACCATGCAGTTCAAACATCATCAATCACCAACATGGCAGGCTTGACGGGTGCTTTCCTATCACATCATTTATTGTCAAACATTTATATGATTATGCAGATTTGGTGAATTTTTATTTTACAATAATTTGTATTCATTCATTTACTCCTTTTCCTATCCTGACAGCTCAGGGTGCAAGGTGGGAACCCACTGTGGACTAACACCATCCCATTGCTGGCCACACTCACACCCACACTTACTCAGGATAGAGCTATTTAAACCTAACAGTTCACCTAATGGACACAGCTTTGGCATATGGAAGGAAGCCCAAGCACTTGGAGAAAGCGCACGTGGACATGGGGAGAATGTGCAAACTCCACGCAGACGGTGGCCAGATATTTTTTCCTCATCAATATGTAACAAAACAACATTGATGAAAATGACTATATTTGTGACCTACTGTCGAAGGTATGGTAACAGTTAAAGGAAGAGGAAGACAGTACGTAGCTGTGAAAGTTGATTTAATGTTAAATATTCCAGGAGGCAAGATACTGGACTCCTGAGTGGAGAGAGGCTTCCGATACTGAGTCCACTTCTCCTTCACTGTCCAGAGGGTGAAGGTACATGCAAGCCTTCAATTAATTTGAAAGTTATAGAAGTTGAGTCCTGCCAGCAGCAACCACTCTGTGTGCCAGTAAAAAGCAGTCCTTATGCCAAGCCATATGGAGAGGTTTGGGGGTGATCAACTGTTATTTCTAGGGTCTAAGTGATTATTTCTACTTTGAAAAGGCAAAGGGCAAATCAGTGTAAGTGTTTGACATATTCACTGTTTTTTTTTTTTACTTGAACAATTAAGATAACAACTATAAAACAACTTTTTTGATGAGTCATACATAAATGATACCTTGATAATTTGAATACCAGTAAAATAATCACTTATCCTTGCATAAACTGCTATAATGGAAATGACAGAGATTAAACAAATTTACCTATCACAGTAATCCCAGTTCTACGACTAACTAGTCGTGTGATCTTGGACAGGTTATTTAACTTCTCTGTTCCTTAGTTTGTCTCCTTTTTAGTTCCTTAGTCTCTTCATTATAGGGTTGTTCATAAAATTAACTGGAATAAAACATACATATTAAATATGCACACAAATATACATACATATATATGAAACAGAACAATGCTTGACCAACAGCACTGTAAAATCAATGTTATTAATTCTACTTAAATATATCATGTTAGATATTAAAGCAAATATTAATACATTAAAGTATCTGGCATTTTTCCCCATAGAAAATTGATGTGATTAATTCTACTCCACAACAACACTGCTTAATAAGGGGAGTAGGGATTATTATCACTTTCTCTAGAAAACATTTGTTTACATGCATTATTCTGGATTTATTTGCATTGTTTTAAGGAATTTATTAACCTTGGGTAATTTGATCAACCATTTCACATTGTATCTATGGGCGGCAAACAGTGAAACTTTCATCCCTCCTGGAAAACAGACTTGACTGTGAACAGAAATTTTTGATGCTCTAACTCAGAAAAATAAGTAAAATTATGCATTGGAGAGGGGTGGGGGGCGGTCAGCAGGGAAAGTACTTCTAGGCAAGGGAATAGCTTTTAGTGTTCCTCAAATCATACCATCTTGACGGGTTCTTATCCCAATTCTATGTACAGCCAGTCTATTTTCTTCCTTGACAGTAGCTGTTGGCTCCAGTCATGCAAATCTGCTTAAAATGATATATACCATTTGCTCATTTCTTTTTGCCTTTGTCAAGTCTCTGTCTGGATATCCCTTCTTCCCCACATTCAAGATCAAACTATTGCTCCTTTCCCTTAAATGTTGTTTAAAGCCTCTCTTCTGCTGAATAATGTCAGAAAGCCAAACAACATGCATTAGAAGCCTGAGTGTCAAGCCTGACAGAATAAACACAATTTTCCAAGATATCAACTAGGAATAAATGGGACCTTTGTTTATACTATCAGAGCAGTTGCATTTAAATTCCTAGACCAGCAAGATTTTGTACCATAAAACAAATGACATTCCTGCTGTAAGAGTTAGAAAACTTACCAGCATGCTATTTTGGAATGTACATCAGAATTAAGAGTTAAGTGGAGTTAAATTGAGATTCTCATCTCCCTATTCACTAACTGTGTGACATTGATCAAAATACTGAATGTTCCTGAGCTTCATTTTCCTAATTTATAAATTAGAATTATTGATGCCTTTTAATACTATTCTTTTTAAAAAATAAAATGAAGCTTACAAAAGAGGCATATACATTGTTAAGGACTTTATATGACATGTGTTTTTTCATTCACTTAACAAATAGTTGTGGAGGACCTACTAAGTGCTGTGTGCAGCACTCTGCTAATACATTCTTACTTACATTGAAAAGATACAGCACCTGACCTGGAAGCCAGCCATACGGTGTGATAGGCCAACAAGTAGACATCAAGGATAACACAGTGCCCCTGTGAAGAGAGGGTGTGTAATGTGTGTGTGTGTCTATATATGTGTGTGTATATATACAAATTATATATATTTAACTATATATAATGTTAGTGAATACATAATAATGTTATTTACTATATATTGTGTATATAATTTATATTATTAATATATTAAATATATTAATATATATGAAATGTGTGTGTGCATATATATATATATATATATATATATATATATAGTGAGCCTTTCAAAATTTGAGAGAGGATTTTTCCTTTGAAGAGAAGTAGGAGATGTGACCTGCAGCATTTAAACTGAACCTTGGGGATGAATGGAAAGGAAATTTAAGGCAGAGGGAGCTGCATAAACAAATGCATGGGGGCATAAAATGTATCTTTCCTGGACTATTGTTATTCGGCTTTGGCTGCATTAAAACACCAGTGTTGGCTTCTTTTCAGAGTGTTAATCTATATGATTTAACCCTATCAGGCCTTCATTCAGGTGGACAAGCAATAGGAAATGGTCAAATAAATGCAAATTGCCGTGTACATGTATGAAATTTTCTCAAGCAAATCCGTCTGGCTCTAGTCATTATTTTCACACTATTATTGTACTTATAATTTTTTTACATGATGTATTTTTATTTTGTTTTTTGTATTATATGATGTGCCAAGAGCTATCAAAGATTATATTGTTCTCTAGCAATAATGTTGGAAGGGAGACCTCTGTTTGTAATCAGGCTTGCAGTCCAGGTTTTAGATATAAATACTAATGTTACTTCAGTAGCATTTTTTTTTCTTTGCAAAAAAACTTTATAGGCATATTTTGACTTGGAATAAAGAACAAAATTTTAAAACTTGAAATAGGTATTTTCTTTTAGTAGTAATACCAGATTAAGCATTAGTAAACCATTTCAGGAGATAAGTAGAATTTCTTCCTGTGGGTAATTATCTGTGGCTTTAGGCTTATTTGTAGCTCTGTCAGCCTAACAAAAGGTGATTAAAAGGGGCAAACAGACCTAGTAAACCAAGCAATATTTATAGTTGCTAAAGTATATTGGTTCTTACTATGCCCAGGTAGTCTTGGAAGCAGATTACAAGAGGAAATTTTTACAGAGCTTTAGTTGTAATAACGGACTTGGTCTTGCAACAACCTTATGGGGTAGGTACTCTTTTTAACTTCATTGCACAGATGAGAAAACAGAATCCTAGGGACCTATGAAGTGGCAGAGTCAGATTTCAAACCCAGGCAGTATAGCTTGAGAACCCCATGCTTAATCCCTCTCACCAGCCTCTTGCCGATATAATTTTTTGACAGTTTTCATTTTCAAATCATCTGCTTTCTTACGTTCTCAATAAATGTATTTGAAAAATTCTATTAAGTTGGCTGTTTTGTTTAATGTCTTTTAAGCAAATAAGAAGTAGTCTATTGGCCTGGGGTGGTGCTTCACACCAGTATAACCCCAGCACTTTGGGAGGCCAAGGCAGGAGTATTGCTTGAGCCCAAGAGTTTGAGACCAGCTTGGGTAACATAGTGAGATGCCATCCCTATCAAAAATTAAAAAATGAAAAATTAGCTGAGCATGGTGGCACATGACTGTAGTCCTAGCTACTCAGGAGGCTGAGACGGGAGGGTCACTTGAGCCTGGGAAGTTGAGGCTGCAGTGAGCTATGATTGTGTCACTCTACTCCACCCTGGGCAAGAGAGCAAGATGCCGTCTCTTAAAAAAGTAGTGTATTATGTGTGCTATATCAATAATTTTATTACTAATAATTCTCTTAGAGTAAGTTAATAATTCTTGAGCATTTGGACTAAATGTAAATAGAATATTTTCCATATTTGGATCTTTCTTCAATTCTAACATTGGAGTAGGCAGTTTGCTATTTTGGAAGTAAAATTATGTCTTAAAGCATATTTTAAAGTTGAAACTTGGTTATCTTGTTAAGTCTTCCTTCAACAGCTTTAAAGGACAGTGTTTTTAGGGAAGAGGAGGAAAGGAAGTACCAAATTTTGGCAGTATGTACCACATGTCTTAAACTCTACTGAATCTTAAAAATTAGGTGAGAAGGAATTATTTTATAGTATCATTTTGCTCTTTCTTCTTCATCCAAGATCAAAATTTCTTGAAATAGATGTGTTCGAACTTGTTCGGTCTCATTGCAGATATCTCCTGGACTGGCATTTCTACCACCAGGCTTTCTGCATCCATTCCTTGAAAGCCCCTTGTTTTTGTTTTATGCCATTATTTTATCCCCTTGGCCACACTCAATACTATTTTATACTTATTTCCTTTCTCACTTAAAACTTTCAAATGCCCAATTTTAAACATCTGTTGAATCAAGTGAAATGTACTTACTCTTCCACTCTCTTTTCTTTCTTAGATATCATATTTCCTCTTTACAAAAATCCTTGGAATACCTTGGTGACCAATATTTGAATATCCTTCTATTTATCTACTGTGCCTCAGGCTGAAGTTTCCTTAGCTCAAAGTAATCCCCCACAGCCACTGGAGTCCTCAGTCAGAGGGAGAGAACTACCAATGCCTTGACCCTACCTTACATTTGCCTCTCAAAGAGGTATAGCCAATCCCTTGCCTCTTGAAGAGTTGTATTTATCCTCTTATCTCCCTAAATAGTTACAATTACTATTTTCTGAGTTCTTCAGTTTGATAAGATTGGGTTAGTTTTTATGTTCCCCCAATGAATTTTATCTCTGTTGTTTACAACTTATGTTAACTCCCAGAAATATTCCATCCCTGTCTTATGTACCATCTTTTCCCGTCAATCTAAATTTGAGCAAATGAGATCCAGCCCTGAGACAATGTAGATCAGGAAGCTTTGTGGTTAGCTGATAAGTAAACCAGCTTTGCAGTTGCATTTGATGCTTTCCAGAGCACATCTCCTTTTTTCTTTCTTTCTTAATTTAAATAATAGGAAATAGGAATCCATGCATGCTGCCCTACTTGTCATGTTGCCAGCACAGTCAAGCTTTTACTATCCCCTTCACCACCTTCTCCGCTGTACCTCTGAGGTTCAAGTAGCATAAAAATAATTTTTGAATCACTTGGATAATAGAGTACTCTCCTCATGGGCACTGCATAGAAGCAGGCATGTTTTCAAGGACATTTAAAGACAAAATTGTTGGCCAAATTATTCAAGAATAAAAATTGCAATTAGGGATTTTACTTTGGTGAGCTTCATGAGGATAGGAAAAAAATGACAGTAACAATATAGCTAGTATTGCCTTTTTCAGAGGCAAACCATGTTAGAACCAACATAGAGGAAGGCATTTTTCACACATTGTGTTATTTAATCTTCACATTGGTGATACTGGAAAGGCATTGATTTTCCATAATCCAGATGAGAAAATAGATGGTCAGAGAAATCAAGATATTTGCCCAGCAGATCAAATGTTATGTTTGTGGTTCCCTCAAGTCACATTCTCTCTCTCCTTTTTTTTTTTTTTTAAGTTGAGTTTTGCTCTTGTTGCCCAGGCTGGAGTGTAATGGCATGATCTCGGCTCACTGCAAGCTCTGCCTCCCAGGTTCAAGCGATTCCCCTGCCTCAGTTTCCTGAGTAGCTGGGGTTACAGGCATGCACCACAAAGCCCGGCTACTTTTTGTATATTTAGTAGAGACGGGGTTTTACCATGGTGGTCAAGCTGGTCTCGAACTCCTGATCTCAGGTGATCCACCCGCCTCAGCCTCCCAAAATGCTGGGATTACAGGCGTGAGCCACCGTGCCTGGCCCACATTCTCATAATTACATCACATGTACTCACCGTGATATGAAGGCGGAGTAAAGAATGCCACATGTAGTATAGAGATATATACTTAAGGGTTAAATTGGTGTTCTAAGTATGATAGTGCATAAAAGATAGAGACCACAGAATGAACAGGAGTCAGGAAAAGTTTCCGAGTAGTTAGAAAGATGTGTAATGTTTCTGTTTCTTCACTTCAGCAGTCCAACATTACTCAGAATGGTTCCTGTTTATGAGTTCTCTGAAACTGAAACAACATCATTAACAACAATCTCTTGAACTTTTCTGTGTTGTTTCACATACTTAAAAGGAAACTTAACATTGTCCAGTGTGATGAAAGTTTGGGTTCTACTTTTGTTATGGCAAAAGCTGGTTAGGAAATGGAAGTCTATGTGTGTCCTGGCAATTTCACCAGTTAAATGATAGTGCACCTGATACTGTGATACAGAATGTTTGTTTATTTATTTATTTGGTTATTTAGCATATGATATTGAGGCAGGAGAATAGGGTCTGGAGGCAGGGAATTGAAGGCCAACTGGAGCTAATTTCCTAAAGCTGGATCAAAAAGGAAAACACCTGGGTCTGGAGGCAGAGACTCTAAGGCCAATTTGTGATCACTTCCTAAAGCTAAAGGGAAAGGAAAATCCCTATCTCTCTAAGCCCCAGTAACAAAGTATCAAAAGCTGCTCCCTGCACCACCCCCTTTCGCACTGTATCTCGGATGTAAAAGGAAACTGCCTTGGATTGCCCGCGGGCCAAATGCAGGCCATTCCTTCATCTGCATAGGGCGCCAAATCCACTCTGGCCTCTAAATGGCCACAGGCCAAATCCTTCATCCGCATAGTGGATAGCCAATCCGGACCTCAAAATGGGGCACTTAAACTCCAGAAAACTTTGTCACCGGGGTCTTGAGCCACTTGCTGGGGCCCGCTCCCTCCCTGTGGAGGGTTCTCTAGCTTCAGTAAATCCCTACTTTCACCATTTCGTTCCTTTGTTACTTTGCGCACTTTGTTCAATTCTTTGTTCCACACGCCAAGAACCTGGACATCTCACCTCCTAGGCTTGCCTTCTGGTAACAATATGTCTAATATCTTATAGCAGACACTGTACAAAGACTGTATAAAGATGAACACACTAGACAAGTTCCGGGCTCTCTTCGATCTTAGGATCCAGCAGAGGCACCCCATGCAACTGCACTGACACCATCTAATAAGTGCTGGATGGGTGAGTCCAGAGCTTCGTAGCTGTTAACCAACCCTGCGGTATCCATGTTTGCTAAAATCTGAAAGACTTGCAGGCAGAAGACTGCCACAAAAAATGAGGGAGAGAGTGTCTCTGCTGTAGAGTGATATAGGGGATTCCCTTAGCACATTTCCTAACTGAGCAGTGTCCTTGTTCGTTCATTCAACCCTGCCGCACACCACTCTCTAGTGAAGCAATTCGGAGTCATCTCAGCATCTGCTCAGCTCTCTTTCTTGAGGCCCCAACACTAACACCAGAATATCCCACAGTTAGACCTTGTATCTTCCTTAACAGGGTCCTCAGGGTTTTGAACAAGTGGTAAAGGCAGTAACTGATAATGTAGGGGAAAGGTGTTTCTTTTTTCTTTGTCCCAGCTGTTTCTTTATTTAATTACCCTGATCACTACCCACAGACACTCTGACTTTTTCTATTTGTTGATGATGCTGTGTTTGACGATTCCCAAGACTTCATTAGGACTCTTTCTATTTATCGCTTTTTTCTGCTTTCACTTTTAATTTTCCAGAAATTTTGAGTTACTGTTACCATCATTTTGTTTTCCAATGGTAGTATAGATATCAAATAATAACAATAGTTCTGTGATTTCAATTGCACTTTGAGGGGCAAGAGACTGAGAAATTGCTCACTGTCTTGAACAGGAAGCTGCTGATTTTAAAATATTGCTGCAATAGAAAGGGTTTAAGAAAAGCATTGTTTAAAATTATCATATGTCCTAGGCACCAAAATACATTTTAAAATAATAAAACATATGCTATACAATATTAATATCTGTGCTTATGTTTTATATGTATGCATATGATATCATATGATGTTAATATCCATGCTGTATGTTAACATGATATTCATATATCCATACTTTTTATATTTACTACAACTTACTAACAATTTGAAAAAACTATTAACTTCCCAAGTGAATCCATCTTGAGGCATCTCACAAACAATACCATAATAGAAACCAGCCTTGATAATTTTAAAACTCAAATATCCTCATTATCTCATCATTCTCCATTATCCCCATATTTTTCCTGGCTCTAACCTAATAATGAAATCCTATTTTTTCCAATGTAGTTGAATATGCAATTTTAAAATTATTGTATTTTAAATAACTGGATCAAAATGATTCTAAAATTACCAAACTGATATGATGATGTTTTTGTGTTATGGAACAGCTCACCTGAGTCTAAAAGTGCAATGAAACACAATTACATTTGTATAACCAAATTATTTGATTGAGCACAGTTACTGCAAAGAGTTGAAATAATATAGAACAAACAATGATTTTTTTCTATATATTTAAATTTTTTCCTACTATATTTGTATGCAGGATGCAAGGCAGATTAGTCTGTTCCCATGCTGCTAATAAAGACATACCTGAGAATGGGTAATTTATAAAGGAAAGAGGTTTCTTTTTTTTTTTTTCTTTTTTTTTTTTTTTCTTCTGTGAGACGGAGTCTTGCTCTGTCACCAGGCTGGAGTGCAGTGGTGTGATCTCGGCTCACTGCAACCTTCGACTCCTGGGTTCAAGCGATTCTCCTGCTTCAGCCTCCCGAGTAGCTGGGATTACAGGCATGCATCACCACGCCCAGCTAATTGTTGTATTTTTAGTAGAGACAGGGTTTCACCATGTTGGCCAGGATGGTCTCGAACTCCTGACCTTGTGTTCTGCCTGCCTCAGCCTCCCAAAGTGCTGAGATTACAGGCATGAGCCACCACACCCGGCCAGGAAAGAGGTTAATTGACTTACAGTTCAGCATGGCTGGGAGACCTCACAAAGTTTTCGATCATGGTGGAATAGGAAGTAAATATGTCCTTCATCACATGGTGGCAGGAAGGAGAAGAATGAGCAAAAAGGGCAAAAGCCCCTTATGAAACCATTACATTTCATGAGAACTCACTCATTATCATGAGCACTCACTCATTATCATGAGAACAGCATGGAGGTAACCGCCTCCACGATTCAATTAACTCTCACCAGGTCCCTTCCAGGATGTGGGAATTATGGGAACTACAATTTAAGATGAGATTTTGTCCAGGACACAGCCAAACCATTTCACAAGGTTACAAATGTATTTTGAAAAGAGAGAAAGATATTGACTGACTTGGGAACAAAAATTTTGCTGATTTTCATTGTACAGGCATGTCCTTTAACAATATAAATTTTAAAACATTTTTCTCCCAATTTTCTTAAAAGATTTATCTAGGATGATGTACCTCATTAGTATTCACAAACTCCTTTACTATTAGAAGCTTGCTTATTATGCCTGTGTTCCAGAATACATACATTATCATAGAGTTAGCACATCAAAGTATTTTTCTAAATGGCATTTATTTGTTCAAATGGCAGCAATTTAATTGAATTTTTTAATGTTAAAAATCTACCAAGCAATATAAGTGCAACATAAGTGTTAAACACAGTTTAAGCATAGATGTTGTACTCTAAAATGTTTAACATTTGCTTAGTGTCACAAACCTAATTCCTTGAATAAAAAGAAAATAAGAAAGATATAATTAATTGCTAATTTTTTAAGTTCATAAGTGATGAAAATATACAAAAAAATTATTCTCAATAAAGGCTGGGTTTGTTAGATATGGGTTAATAAAAAAAAACAGGAAGAATATAATTGACTAAGAAGCATGCACAGGATTCAGATCACGGCAAAGGAAGGAAAGCTACCCATGTGATGTAGAAGGGATTAGAAAACTGGAATTTCTGAGCTGGCAGTATTTTAATTAGCTATGAGAAAATGATATCATCACTACCTTTCTGGGCTCTGATTTTCTCATCTGCAAAAAAAAAATTTGATAATCACTAAATTCTCGATTCCCTAGAAAAGGTTCAAGTATGAGGAATAATGTGTCTGAAGGCACAATGGTAAGAGAGACAGCTTTTATGATCAGGCCATGAGAGAAGTGACCCCATTAGAGAGGGCATATTCAATATTAACTGAAGATAAAGTTGATTGGTAGCATGATATCAGATTATATAGGGTCTTAAAATCAGGCTGATGAGTATAGATTTGATGTGAAAGTAAGTGTGTAACCACTGGACCTTTGGAGACAGAAGAGCTGCAGAATAAATGCAGTACTTAAAGAAGAGTAATCAGATAGTGAAATGGATGGATTTCCCCCCATTGATGGATTGATTGGAAAAGGGAGACCGTGGGGTTACAGTAGCCACTCAGGAGGTGTAACTAAGCTGGAGGATGAAGTATATCCAGCACTTAATGATGGTCAAGAACCTTGTAATCTCTTCCTGGTTGTACTTCTGATGTTATAGAGGACAAACATCTGCTCCAATGACCACTTTCCTCATTTCTATCATGAGGGAGTGCTGGCCTCTCAATACAACTGTAAAATTTTATAATTATCTGGAGACAAATTCTTCTTTTTATTGCAAAACAAGATCATTTGGTTTTTACTGAAGGAGGAACCAAATAGTAATTTATTTTGTATTCAGTATTTAGAAATATGAATTTAATTGTGGATGGTGAAGCTTTTTCAGAGAAAGCACGTGTGGGTATGTGTGTGCATGAGTCCCATATCATTTTTCTTATTTATAGTAGTATCCTATCTGATACTCTAAATCAATTAGCAACTGCAACTTTGTCATGTGGATTTTCTTATTTCACTCTATTTTTGTTGAGATCATCCTTTCAGTATCACATTGGGAATGACTAAACTGCAGTAGATGAAATCCTTTCACAACACAGTTATGCTGGCTTCTTCCAAGACACATTCCTGTAGGTTTTATCGGCAGGAAAACAGCTCCCAGTATGAGTGACCTCCAGGATAAACAGGAAGCCAGCTGCGATTAAAAATATCTTTTAGTGGATTTGTACCCCCCAGAGGCGGTCATGAAACTTTAAATCTTTGACAAAATACAAGTCAAATAGAAAGAGGAAGGCAAACAGACTTCTATGGGAAAGAAATTTTGGTGCAAAATTTGATCCAAATACAGTAAGATTCCTCTTTCCTCCTCCCTTCTTAGTGTAAGACAAATGACTAATGCTAGAGAATGAAATAAGGAACATTAACTTGCTTTATAATTGTTGTGGATTTCAGTGGGATATAGGCTTATCTAAAAGTTAAACTAGACCTGGCTTTACATGTACAGGAATGAATAAGTAACTAAAAGCTTTATCCATTTAGTTTAAGGATTTGATACTCTTTCCCTTTTATCTTCATCCTCCAGCCTCCAATCCTCATTCCCCTTAAAGTGCATATCATCCAGGGAATAGTAACATATTTAAAAACATTTAGCTTAAAGTAAGTAATTAACCAAGTGATAATATAATTATCTTTTGGGCTTTGATCCAGGCACTGTCCCTAGTGCTTTGGAGAATATGATGCTCAGGTAGGTTAGAGTCTAGTGATGGGAATGAGAGTAAAACACACGTAATTACAATAAAAGAAAGAGGCATAAGTGCCAAAATCTGAGGACAGTTCAGTACTGTGCATGCCTGGCAAAAGAGAACAAAACTAGAAGAAAGCTGTCAAAAACCATTTTTATAAAATCTCCTTTAAAATAGATAAAATACTTCAAACGGAGGCAAAGCTCCAGCTCTCAAAAAGAAGGGACAAAAAGAATTTGTCCCCCCAAACTGATCCAGACTAATTGATTTGTACCCTATTTCCAACTCACATATTCAGTCAAAAAGTCTTGCCCCCTGAATCTGTCACAACTACCCCATTTAGATTCTAATCTTTCACCTAAGCCATATTTCCAGTTATCTATGGATGGTTCCATTTGGATGTCTAATATTAACTCTCACTAGACAAGTAGAACTCTGTATGGGACATGATGGCCCTTAAGTTATTTATTTTCTCAATCAGCTGATCTCTGTCATTACAACTACCAGATCCAGGGCTACAAAAACTGGAACCATATTTAATTTAATTTAATTTAATTTAATTCTTTCTTTCCTTGGCGAGGCAGTGGTATCAATGTGTCTCTGATTTTCTACTTGATAGCTCTAGGACTTCGACCATCTCATTTAATATCTCTATACTTTGTTTTTTTATATCTAATGTGAGATACGTTTTTCATGTCCTTTTTTCATAATTCTTTTCTCTTCATTTTTTTTTATTGTGACCTCTCATTCAAGGATTTCCCCCCTTTTCTTTCTCCTTTTGTGAAACCTCACTTCAGAATTACTGTGAAAGCCTTCATGGTTTTCTCCCTGCTTTCAGTGGCCCTTTCCTCCACTGTGACTCTCACCATTGCCAGACTAATCCTACTAAAATAGGGCTGCCTGCTTGTGACTTTCCTCCTGACAAAAATCTCCTGAGTTCTTGGTTTCCTATTGCATCAAACCCAAAACCTGGTTGTCAGGGATTTCAAGAGTCTGATCTCACTTGGCAACAAGAACATACCACCTCTTTATATGAGTCATACTAACGCCTCTTTCTGTAGCATTGTTTCTCTTCTTAAGGGCCTATCCCAGTCTGTCACCCTATACTCTCCGTCTTGCCACAACTCCACACCTCTCAACTCCTGGAACATCCATCTTTGCGCAGGCCTATGTTCCTCACTGAGGTCAGGATGCTTCAGTAGTGACTTGGCTTCTGAACATAATTGCCAGTGTTCTCTCTGGGGCACCTGTCCATGGAGTCTTCTTTGGAGTTCCCCTCACATGTGCTCCTGGCTGTTATTTTGTGCTAATCCCATTGCAATGGGACTGGCTTCATGAGCTGGCAATTGCTGCAGCTGCCCAGGGTCCCAAGCCCAGAAGGGCATTGCACTTGTTTTAATGTTTTATTCTTGCTGTCTTGAAATTCTTAATTATTTTTGAACAAGTAGCCTCACATTTTCACTTTGCATTGGGATCTACAAATTATGCAGCTATTCCTGCATTACAACCTTAATGCTTATTCAAATTGTATTTAGTTAAGAGTTTTCCAGGAGCCATCATTATAGTTGGATTCCAAGTACCCTTCAAGCCTCCAGTTTCAATGCCAACAACTAAACTAAAAAGATTTTAAATATCATTCTCAATTATTACACAAGAACCATTTTCTACAGAATAATTTTATATTATCTTGCTTGAAGCTTCCGTCAGTATTATTGAGTATGACTATGAAATGTTTGGCAAGGCTTACATTGAAAACCACAATTACAGGTTAGTCTTAGAGAACCTGATACTGCAGATCTAGTTTGGTTGACACTGGGGATGTTGTCTGCTATCTAAACCCCAAGAAGATAAATTGCCTTCAGCAATCAGTGCTTAGGGGAGATTTGTGTCAAATTAATATGTTATTATTGATGACAAAAGTGATATAATTGATCATGTTTTCATTGTAGCTTGGGTTGTTTAAACGTTCAGAGTCAAATTGTAAATCAAACTCTGTCTCCTCACTCTATCCTGGTTCTGATGCTCTAATTTTTATTTGTCTCATATAAATATATATATATATATATATATATCTCCATATTTTAGTTTTAGTATATGTATTCATTTTAGCAATCTCAAATCTTACATGCCTGTCATATATAAGTGCTCAATAAATATTTGATGAATGAGTTAGGCAAAGTGCAAGCAGTATTCCATGATAAAATGCATTCCTCAAAATATGTGTCAAATACCAAAAAACAAATGATAGATTATCTTCTCTGAAAACTGTAAAATGGTATTTGTTAATTATATTTTGACTTTTAGGCATAATCTTTGACCTCATATTATTGGCATTTATAAAAGCTTTGTTCGTTTTCATTTAAATTGACATAACCAGTTTAAGGCATCAGATTGAGACTGAGAAACTACCACTCCTACTTATTGCAATCCTTTTGCTTTGCAAAAATTATAGTAAATTCATGATACCTAGACTTTAATCCTTTATAATTTTTTCTGTATTTTCATTTAAAAGATACAAATAAAAGAAACAACAATCACATGATTCTGTGCTATGCCACCCTCCAAAAACTCAACTATTGAAGGGTAAGCAGGTCTTAGATGATTAACTACTATGCAAATGATGAATTTGTACTATGAAAGGCTATTTAAGAGTGACTATACATAATCTTTGGAAGTGAGGTTACCTGAAAGTTGAGGAGCTCTGTACAAATAATAAAGTTAAGGAAGAACATCACATCCTTTTCCCTCACCAAGCCCTCTTTGCCTTCCCTCTGAAAACTGTTCTTGCCGTTTTCTCAACCCCACAGTTCATTTAGATCTTAATTATTATTCATTCATTTTATCTTGGCTTGGTTGTGTTTCTCCAACCCAGACAAGTTCAGATATATATATATGCCCTACCACTTGGTACAGTGTTAGGTGTATGACTGACGGACTTATTAATTTACTTTTTTTTCCATAAGGAGAACAAATGTGGACATGCGGTTTATTAAAGAGATGGCCAAAAGGGATTCAGATCAGTATATGTAATGCTATCTGTGTGCCCTTACTGGGAGTTGCTAATAACCTGGTCTGAATATAGTGCTAGTGCTTTTTGAATGTAGTGAGGCATTCATATCTTTGTAGTACTGCTACTTGAATGCAACGGGGAGCTGGTCTAGTTCCTACATTTTCTAATACCTGCTTAAAATTCTTACTCTGATAATCAAGAAGCTGGAATATGAGATACATCAAAAATTCTTTATTCATTTTCTGAATATAGAAAAATTATCACACAATTTTAATACAAGGGAGTATATCAAAGGCAACTGATCATACTGGAATGTTGTATTCAGAATAGCTCTGAAAATATTAGAAATGCTTATATTTGTAGCATTTTATACAAAGGGTCTGTTTCATAAATATTTTGCTACTCATAGATAGCAGATGGAATCTGGTAATGTTCCTGAATAATTAACCAACAAGTTTCATTTATAGCAGGGAGCAAATGAAGAAGATATTAACATTCAGGATACATCAAACAGAAAGTATAGGGATCTTTAATTCACAGGTGAATGAAGACGGAAGCAACATGTTGAACACAGCATTTTTCCTTTTAAAGTGATTTCTTTATCATATATTATTAAGTTGATACATAGTAAAGAGATTTTGCTCAAATCTCTGAGTCCCATCAGCCTCTACTGCATCTTTTAGTAAAACATACACACACACACACACACACACACACACACACACACCACATCCACATGGAAACATATATACGTGTTGTGTAAAGAGTTGGTATAGAAAATGTCATCTAAGTTAAAATATCCTCCACATTCATTATGATAGCTTCATTACATCTGTTTTATTGGTGGAAAGATTTTCTGTTGGGGAAAAAAAAAGCTTAATACTTTTCTGATTAAGCTTACATAAAAAACACTGCCACATTTATATTTAATGCAGCTAAAAGAGGATTTCATGCCTGTTCTCCCAGTGAAAGGTTCTATTCTGCCAGATTTGTACCAGAGATAATAATAGGCTTGATTTGTATTGTATTTTAAAAATTCATCAAAGCATTTTAACATCTCTTCTCTCATTTGAGCTTTTCTACTGCCCTGTAAGACTGGTTAAGTGTGTGTCCTAATCCATCTTTAACAAAGGGGGAAATTGAGGCACAGAGAGGTTATGTGACATGTCAGAAAACATGCTCTAAGTAAGTAACAGTCCTAGAGGTCATGTACTATGACTGTCTTTCTCTGCTTCTGGAATATAAAGACCACTCTTGAGCATACATTCAGTTATATATTCATACAGAGAGGTGCAAAACAAAAATCATCCAAATTTTAAAGTATGTATGCTGGAACTTCATACCTAGAGATTCCAATTTAGATCAGATGTTATTCCTTGACATATCTATTTTTAATGTGATATGTGTGTGACTTTGAATCTGGTCAACAAGCACAATAACTGTTGGACTTTTATTTATTCAATCATCCAATATTCTCTGTGAATGTTGCCTTCTGTAATTTGCTTGTCTTCCTAACAGGTTGTTACACTTTATCAAATTTGTTAGTCATTCATTATGGTATATTTTTGTTGAAGTAGTCAAATGCTTTACTCTTTTTCTTATGTCTCACATAGAAATATATTCCTTCAGTTCAAATTTAAAAAACAATATACAGTTGAACAACAAAAAGAACCAACCCTTTTCAAAGACAACTACTACATTCTTCACAACAAAATAAAATCTATATGTAGAAGACAACATATAAATGAATATGTCATAGGACATGTTGATCATAACACATAAATAATAAATACAAATGAAAGGAACATGATGTTTCAATTCTACAATTTGTAAAAGTGGAACAATTTGATAAGCAGCATTGTTGAAAATGAGGAGAATTGGTCACATTTATATAATGTTGGAAAAAGTATTGTTGATACAATGTCTTTGGCATTGAGATTGGCAATATTTCTCAAAAGTAAAATGTATGTTCTTTTTGGTCTAGAAATACTAGACCAAAAAGATTCTCAGGTATAGATAAATTTTCTCAGGTATAGATAAATCTGTGTGATATGGATGTTTAAGAATAAATATCACAGCATTGTCTATAATAAGAATAAAAGGAGGCCATCTAAATGCCTGTTCATAGATAAGTAGCTAAATAAATTATGGTACATGTATAAAAAGAATTATGATGTCTCTATAAAAAAGAATAAGCAATATTTATATATACTTATATAGAATAGTTTCCAAGGTATATTAGCGCTGCTACATTTTAATTAAAGGTATATATTATGTTTCCCATTGAGTTTAGAATGATGTATAAAGGAAGAAGGAATATGTATATGCTTGTATGTACACAGACAGTAGTGTAAAGTTAAAGAAGCTATTAACTGATGCATTTGAAAAGAAAAATTAGAAGTTTGAGGTGAGAAGAAAACTAAATTAGTACTAGATATATCTGTACCATTTAAATATTTTGCTAATATTTGTATTTGTTAATTTTCAAAAAGGACTAGACGATTGAAAATCAAAAACTTTAGTACTGAAAATAATAATCAGAAAGTAGCATAAACTTTAAATTGTAAAATGGATCTTTTCCATTTTAGCTTGCATTTTTATTATTGTTTTAATCATATACAACTGACACAACAGATCTAATTATGTTTTCCTAAAGATCAAACATATTTCTAAGATGATTTTATAATTTCTTTTCCAAAGAAATGTAATTATGAGTTTGAGAAACATGTTATCATTTTCAGTCCATACTTCTCTAGTCAAGTCCTGTCAATTATGGGGTTTTGATTGCGACATAGGATTTCAAAATCAGAGTATGTCAGAACTATGAGGGATCCCAGATATTTTATTACTCAATCTTGGTTCAGGAATGAAACATGGATCCAATAGAATATTTTTTCTCCCATATTAGTACATTTCACTCACATTGTGAAAGTTAGGATTGAGTTAAAATAAAAATTAATGCTAAGTAATATGATACAGTGTGAGTCAGGTAACATGAGTTTTTTGACCCAACTCTATATCATGTTGCTGTTGGTCTTTGGACAAGTCTCTTGTCACGTCTGTGATCCAGTTCTTGCAACTTAGAAATGATTGCTTGAAACCGATGCAAAAGCCGTTTGCATTTATTCCATATTTACTGCAAATGATTGGTGAAATTCACTTATTAACTCAGGAATTTATTAGCTTTATCACTCTCTGGACTTGCAACCACCCTAGTTTTCCAAAGTTCCTGGATCTACATAAATGCTCCCATCTTTCAAGCTAGCGTAAATCAAATTGACATTTATTTAAACAATTACTCTGAGTAGGGCATTTTGTGAGTTCTTATAAACACTTTGCTAGGTAAAGAAGTCCCATTTTCTCAAATTCTTCAAACACAGTTAAAACCCACCTAAAATTTTATTGCTTTGATTACTTATAGCACAAACTGTCCAAGTCACAATATGCTCTTTTGTTCTTTCATTGCTTATTCCACCAACAGAAGTTAAGTTTCATATTTTTCATTGCTTCTATCTAATTAGCCATTGTCATTTTAACAGTAGTTTCAGAATAAAAGTGAATGAAAACAGATATTTTAGACTTAAAAGAAGTTTCCAAATTGTAATTCAGAACAAATACTGAATTTTCAGTCACCGAGAAGTTGTAGTTGAAAGAAGATGAAAGAGTCAGCAGAATGTAGAAACTGATCCATCCCTCAGCAATCCAGATCCTTCTGTTTATGCACCTTCATGAGACAAATTAATACCCAAACAAATAACTGGATCTGGAATTATCAATGCTAATAACTTTTTCCATTCACAAGGAAAACCAGGTCTAACTCTAATTCATTTTCATATTTTTGAGTAGAAAAATTTGTTCCCCCAGATTCCTTGGCAGACGTATGGCAAATCCCCTATACAAACCAACTTTCATTTGCAAAGTGAAGCCAACTTCCTTAGATTATACAATTTTTTTTCTTCAATGTTTCTAGAAAAGAAAATTGGTTCCAATAAATAGGGAGTGAGAAAATATCTGAAATATGTAATTTAAAGAATATCTAGCCTGGGTTCAAATAAATTTAATGATTAGAGTATAAACATTTAGATTCATTTTCTTAAAGTGAGGTCATTACAAATTAAAAAAAAATCATCTTTATATAATCCCTAAGAGTCTATAAGTAAAAATTGCTGTTTAATATGTTTTTCTAAGATCTCATAAATGAAATCTCCTATGATTAAATATCAATATTCTTAATAGTTTAAAACATTCAAATTTCATAATGATTACATTTAAACCTCATATTAATTAGCTATATTGAAAGCCCATAACTAATTTTTTTTTTTTTTTCCTGCAGGCAGAATTCACAGCCATGCGGGAGCAGTACATGCGAGGTGGGGAAGGCTTCATCATCTGCTACTCCGTCACTGACCGTCAATCATTTCAGGAGGCTGCCAAGTTTAAAGAGCTCATTTTTCAGGTCCGCCACACCTATGAAATTCCCCTGGTGCTGGTGGGTAACAAAATTGATCTGGAACAGTTCCGCCAGGTGAGTGCCGATTTTATCTGGTAGCTTCTGTCTTTTGCTCTGAGGATGCATAGTACAAAATATGGCTGCTTTCCCAGGTTCACACTGAAAATTATGAGAAAGAAATTATGCACATGATTTTTCTAATAAGTCATGGTGGTCCCATGGTAAATTGTGTTGGCCTCCATAATATATTTTACCACATATGCTATTTTGCAGAGTGCCCTTACTAGTGCCCTATCCCCTAGGATCTGGGATTGTATACTGAATACAGTAGAAATGATTCTTGTTGACTTCTGAAGTGTAGCCTTAAGATTTCTGCAGTTTCTGCCATTGCCGCTTGAACTGCTTACCCTTGAGTTCAAGTAAAGAAGCCCAAGCTAACCATGAGAAGATAGTCATGTGGACAAAATGAGATTCAGGCTCACAGCTGTCCCTGCCAAGATACTACACATGTGGGCAAAGCCACTTTGCATGTTTCAGCACCAGCCACCATGTAACTGTAACCTCATAACATAGCCAGCCAATCCACATAGAACACGAAAATCTCCCAGGTAAGCCTTGTCTGGATTTCTGACCTAGAGAATCAGTGGCAAATAAAATGAAATTGTTTACGCTACCATGTTTTGGGGGTAATTTTTCATGCAGCAATAGATGATCAAAACAGAATCTTTCCCTCCTTCCAGAATTAGAACAAGCCACTACTTCTCAGGTTGCATCAGAAATTACTCTTATATACCATCCATTTCCTTCAGGCTGCATCTGCTGTATCAATGTGATCAATAGAGAGTCTCAAAACTTCTCCGAACAAACAAAATTGATAAGGAAGAAACTGTGGCTAGCTTAGACTGGGATCCATTACCGTAACTTACATAGTTCATTCATTATATTTTCTTCTCTTCTGGTCAGACACTACTTCTTGGGCAATAACAGATGGCCGAACTATGATGGCTTCCTCCCTGAGATCTCAAGATAGTAATGATAAATCAGTTGCCCTGGTTCAAGAATCAGGCAAATCATATCACAATTCCATTCCCATGACTCACATTGTACAAAGTAACATTACTGAGAAGTGTCATGCAAATCAAATTTTTGTAAATCTAATTTTCTAAATTGAGTTGCTTTGTTATAAATTGAGATGCTTCATCTTTCTTTTCGTTGACCTTAAATTTGAACTGGCTTTTAATAGTTCATGTTATTCCAGCTAATGATTTATTGTTAGCCTATTTAAATTAGTCAACTAGTAAAACCTTTTACTAACGTAGGAATCTTCACTAAAACAAATAGTTGTCTCCTATCTTAAGGGTATTATAAATATGAATTTTCATGCTTAATATGCTTTAAGTTTTCTTAAATTGAAAAGATCTCATACAGAGTCCATGTTTACAAGTTGATGTTTAACCGGGAACGTATTTCTATGATTTAGTGCAATGCATTTTTGTGGTGATATTTTTGTATATTTTACTTGAGAATCTAAGCATCTTAAAATGGCAGCTAATTATTGTTTTAGGAACTGTAATATTTGTTCATCTCTTCTGCAACTGTTCTGCTGTCTTACTTTGCTGTTTCTCTTTCTCCAAAGACATGTTCAGCATGATATGTTGCATTTCTATGGGTTAAGAATTCAAGTTTATCTCATCAGTTAAATATAATCTATTTTAGATAACTTGGCAGAAAGGAAGAAAGTTGGAGGCTTAGTAGCTGAACCTTTCCTATACTCCTCTGAAGAGTGCTAGTGCTTTACTTTTCTTAGGGCCTCTAGGAACTAGTGTGACAAAGCACCCTAAATGTGCCACCAAGTGATCATATGCCCATTTTTGTTGCACTTCTAAGAATTCCTGGAGAACAAAAACCTCTGACAGGGTTTCAGTTAGGAAAGCTATAAGTGACTCTGAAAAACTAGTGAATTTGAAAACATTCAGGAAACATTTTTTCAGGCCAAAAATCAACTAAACTTTCTCTACAATGATTGCTCTTCATGACTCCAAAGCTGGCTGACATTTACTTTTCCTTCACTCTCCAGGCCCTGTCTTACCAGGCTCAAAGGTGATACTTAGGATCTCACAAAGGCATGTTTATCAGAACCCCTATCCCAGCCTGGTTAATTAGCTGCTCCTTTCAGATTAGCAGTGAAGTGAATTGCAAGCATTACAAATGTCACTGAAATTAAAACCCAGGCAAAGATACTAAGTTGAGTAACTTTGCAGATTTGATAGTCTTTTCCTTGTAGATAAAAGCAAGTACTGTAAACAAGATAGTCACAGAAAGTGCGAAAACCATGAAAACACAAATTGCAATCTTTGCAAAAATGTTTGTGTACCACTGTCTCCAGTAATGAAGTGTTGATGTAAAAATTTGGCTTCTGGCTGTGGTTGTGATAGCAATAATTATTCTTAAAACTGCAGAGTGGTTTTTTCTGAGCAAAATGATTTCAATTCACACTTTTATCTTGTAACCACTCTGTGTATTTGTAAGCCAAGCATTTGAAGAATGAGGACATCTGACAAATGAATATATTGATAGCAATTGACTTTACTAAACTATTGCAGCTAGTGACAAAATTAAGACTAAAACACTGTCATATTGTACTCTTTTTGTTCATCAGTATCTGAAAGGTTAGGTTTCTGTTTCTTCATATAAAAAAAAAAAAGCAGACTCAAAAGAAAAATAAAGATGCTGACACCTGGATGGTTTGCAGCTCAAAAGAATTCTCTGAGAATTCCTAGAGTGATAAAGTTAAACTCTCAACGGTGAAATTACACTGGTGCTATTGTTTAGTGGTGAGAGGCAAAGGAGTAGGATTCTCACTAAGCAATTCTTATTCCTTATCAGCCTACACTGAAAGAGTTTGGAAGGGAAGAATTCTGATGGTTGAAGCTGCTTCTTTTCATATTTGGTAAGAATAGGTGCCTGTATTCTTAATGCATTTTGGGAAATCCCAGGGCCCTTTCTAAAAAAGATAAAAAGAAAAAAAACAAAAAGACAACGAGTTTTAGTGTATTATGTGTTTATCATTATTCACCTCCTTGAGCTTTAATGTGGAAGGATTCAAAGGATAGTATTTAATCTGTGAAAAATATTCATTTTGATGGTGATATTACTGATGATACATTTAGTGTTTTCAAGGCTCTGTGCTGGGCACGTTACACACAAGATTTTATTTAATCCTCACCGCAAGACCAAGAAGTAGTCTCCTTTATACCTATTTACATATGAGTCAACTGAATCTCTGATACATTCAATAACTTGTTCAAGGTCACACAGCTAGTTAGAGTTGAGAGACAAAACCCAGTGTATTCTGACTTAAAATCTCACTGTGTCTTATGGTTGGCCTACAAACCATTGTCATTTTATCATGAACTTATTTTTTTATATCAGCTTCAAGATACTAGCATGCTTCTTAGAGCAGTAGCATCTTATGGACAAGGAGGAGCAGGAAGAATCAGGATAATAATTCTTTGGGTTTGGAGTGGGCAGTTCCAGGCCATGGATAAGCCAGTAGTAGCCCAAAGTTGGTTTCCTTACCCTTTTGGTGGGAGGAAAAATAAAAGTAAGGAAATGGGTTTCAAAATTACTGGAAAGTTGTGTTTTATAACAGCCAAAAAATTCTGTCCAAAGTTTATCCAGACTATTCTAAAGTCTGTCTTAATTCCTGAACAACATTAGGTCCTTGAGCTCCCAAGGTCTTTGTCCCTATTCATGCAGGCTTCTGTCTTCCCACTGGAGAATAGAAGGAGATAGGCCCGGATTTCTCTTTTTCCAAAACCCTGACCGGCTGTGCAAAGTAGAAGCAGTCTATGAGTGAAGGAAGTTTCAGGGATTTGGGAGCTAGGTTAGAACGTTTTATGTCAATTGCAGACCACAAACTTTTTTTTTTTTGAGATGGAGTCTCGCTCTGTCACCCAGGCTGGAGTGCAGTGGTACAATCTCCACTCACTGCAACTTCCACCTCCCAGCTTCAAGTGATTCTCCTGCTTCAGCCTCCCACGTAGCTGGGATTACAGGTGCCCACCATCATGCCCAGCTAATTTTTGTATTTTTAGTAAAGACGTGGTTTCACTATGTTGGCCAGGCTGGTCTTGATCTCCTGACCTCAGGTGATCCTCCAGCCTCGGCTGCCCAAAGTGCTGGGATTACAGGCATAAGCTACTGCGCCCGGCCAAACTGTTTTATCCTGAAGATATCCTGAAGATAGACAAACCTTTCGGTACCAACAGTGTAATTGCAGCTTAATTCTCAGCTTTAGGCCTTGAAACTCTGCTTCCCACAGTCTGTGTAACTCTTGAAGTACTGAGTTGAAATCATGAAAGGCCTTTATTTATTCTTTAGTGATATATCTAATTAAAATAGTTTCATTTCTTTACTTAGAGGGGTATTTGGAACCATGAGAATTAGGAATTACTGGATTAAAAAAGCATAATATCTATTTAGAGTTCTATCAAGCATCTATTTATCTTTGGAGAGTCGTGATGGTTTTGGAATATAGTAAAGGCATGAGTAATCCAGTCCCTGTCCTCAAGAACTTTCTGTTCTTCTCAGGATCTGTGCATATGATGTAGGGAGAAAGCCCCCCTTAAATAATACAATTACATGTTGAACAATATAGCACAATTCATAGGTGCAATGCTTTTTGAAAACCAGGAGAGACCCATGTGGGTAGCACATTTGAAGAACGAAGATACTGAATGAATGGATGAATATCTTGACCAAGTAAGAAAGATAAGGTGAATGGTGACGGTTATTTTAGGAAGGACTGAAAAGGATCAATCTAGAGAGGAAGAAAGAAACCTTGGGTCTTAGGAGTGTACACAAGCAGTAGAGTGATCACTGGGAAACTTGGAAGATAAATCTGCCTAGTACACACATATCAAGCGTCCTAAGCATAATTTCATAGTGTCTCCCTTGTAGACACATTTAATCAAAGACAAAACATAAATATGTAGCAGAGCATATTGGATATAATGTAATGCAGTAATTAATTGCAAATACCACTCAAACTTAAAAAAATAAGAGTAGTGCTTAATTATCTTTCATCATCAGTGCATTGGAAAATTTATATAAACATATTTTCCAAATGATGAGGGCTTATTTTTTGAAGAGAAAAAAAGGTTCGGTAATTTACTCATTATTTTGGGATAGATAGCCAAATTCAATTAACAATTAATTAGCTTTATTTATCTTTTCCATAGCATTTTGTAATATGTTATTTAATTAAATTAAATAAATGTGAATGTATTAACTCCAATTGAGACAGAAAACAAAACAAAACAAAGCTTAAGAGTTTCACATGATTTATCCAAACTGGATGGTTGTAGAACTGGAATTTGAGTTACCTTAGCTTACACATATATGTTTTCGCTACTGTCATTTTTTAAATTTAATTCATTTTCCCAATGGGTAACAAGCACTCTTTCAGAATCTGGGAATACACAAATGAACTTGACAGCTAATATCTCTATGTGCAATAATGTGAAGTTACAGTGGAGGAGACAGACAATGAACAATTTGAGTATGGGTATGTGTATTCTAACTGCACAATGCAAAAATGGTACTAGGAATAAAATTATACACATTCAAATATGCATGCATACATACACACATGTGTACACAGTTCTGAGCAGTGAAAAGGGCAAAGGAGAAAAATGAAGCAAGGGAAGGGGTTGGCATGTGGAGTGTAAGAATCAGAGCTGTATTTTCTCTAGGGTGGTCAAGATGGTCTCTCTAAAAAGATGGCATTGAGCACAACTCCGGAGTGTGGGGAGGATTTGGGTGAAGAGCATTCCAGACAGAACAAATAGCACTTGCAAAATCTTCACAATTGGATTTAGCTTAGCATGTTTGAGAGCCATAATAGCTGGTGAGGAGGCAGGGTCAGGTTATGTAGAGCTAAAAAGTTCTTTGGTAAGAGTTTGGATTTTATTTAAGTTTGAACAACAATTGTTTAAAACATTTGAGCAGAATTGTGGTATGAATACATTTCTATTTAGTCAGTCTTGTCGTTGGTTGGAGCAACCATGAAGCAGCGAGATGCATTTGGAGGCTCTTTCAGTCATCAGAATGAGAAATGATGGTAGCTTGAGTGAAAGGGATAGTGCTTGCTGACTGTTCACGAATTCCATACTCATACTGCACACTGACAGGATGGCAAGTGACAAGATTACAGTGAGGTTTAGAGCCCTTTCATGTAACAACAAATTCTTCTACATTCCTCAGTGATACCTGAGGTCATTACTGCATTATCACACAATCCAGTGGGTGTCCATGATGGAGTCCTCATGACATTTTTAAGAAATGTAAGCAGCATACAGAAACTAACAGATGATGTAGTTGAAAGAATCAGATAGTCCTGGGTTTGAATTGTTACTCAGATGATTACTGTGTCCTTGGACAAATCAGTGACAGACACTGATTTGTACCTGTTGTTCAGAGAAGTACTTCCTGTCCAGCACAGAAGTAGGAAGATATAATTCATAGATAGCTTCCGGCCATCAAGTGCTTAAAGGGTCAGCCTCAGCTACATAGAGCCTCCTTGCCTGATGTCACACCCTTTCTGGGGAAACTCATTTCCAGTTAAGTGTAGGCATACATTTCCAGCCATTTCAGTCCAATGTGAGATACTGACAGGCAAATCTTGCTAGGGAGCCCCCACTAGTTTGGTAAAGACTCTGTTGGGTTTGCATTAACGTTCAACTTCTCCCTCTGCTCAACCCTGCTTCCTTCTCCTTCCTTTCAGAAATGTTGATTCCTAATAAACATCTTGCGCTTCAGACTCTGTCTCAGTGTCTACGTCTGTAAAATAGGATGATAATATCTCTGTCATTGTTTTTTGGGTGGGACAGATGAGATAATGTCAGTAGGTTATCTAGCACAGTGTATGTCACAGAGTAGCGCCTCAATAAATACTGGGTGCTACTATCCCTATCCCTCATCTGGATTATTGTAATAGTCTTTGGGTTATTATTCTTCTAATACACTCTCTTACAAATTAAAAAGTAGCTAATCAAGTGCATACGAATTGTGTGAAAAGTAAAAGTAACTAATCTGGGTGAAGGCCCAGGGAGCTTTCTGATATAGGCTTCCGCACATGGATTTTGCAAAATTAAATTTGAAATTATTTCCCAATTTTTCAGCTGTAAAACAGAGTAGCAATTCTTTAATAACTGAAATCTGCCTAAGAGAGCCTTGAAGAAATTCCTGCCTTTTTGCACAGTTTATGAGCTAAGTAAAGGTGAGTAATCTGGAGATAGACAACAGACACATACAAAAGATTACTGGCCATTCCAGAAAAGCTAAACTAATTTTTAAATGTATGGACAAACTCATCTTGGATGAGAACTGTGGTTCTCAAAATGTTGTCCCCAAACCAAAAGAGACAGTACCACCTGTGATCTTCATTAGAAATACTAATTATCAGGCCCCATCCTAGTTCTGGTAAATCAGAAACTCTGTGGGTAGGGCACAGCAATCTATTTTAACAAATTAGCTGGGTGATTCTAGAGTATAGTATGCTAAAGTTAGAGAGCCAGTGGGCTAGAATATAAAATGAAGTGCATGAAGGATAATTTTATTTTGGGACACTATAAGAGCATAGAACCTACAAGTGTTTTAAAGGCCTTAAATGAAATATTTGAGAACTAAAAGAAAAAAATATATATACACATATGGTGTAATATATACATAATAATACATGTGTATATATACTATATATGCACATATATACAAACATATGTATATATATATACACGCATATGTACAAATGTTTAAAATATAAAATAATTTTAAACATAATGTTTATATTAAAAACAACAATGTTGAAAGTGTTACAGATTCAATCTAGTTTTTGGGCAAATTTGTCATTTAGAAAATTCTAAATTTCACCGTTTATGTTGCACATCTACACCTAAATAGACTTCCACTTGATAGTTTCATGTTTCTTTGGAACAGAGCTTGTGTTTCCTCAGATTGAACTGACATTGTAACTGTTTGCTTTCCCTCTTTATTTAAATTGTCTTACACTGAATTGTTTGGTTTTCATGGATCATTGACTGCATTTGTAAAATTGACAAGCCAGAAAAGGCTTCGGGAAATAAGCTTGTTTCTTTTTAAGGAAAAGAAAAAAGCAAAGCTGTTGGGGAATTGGATCGGTTCCTTGAAATGGAATCCAATATTACAATACCACTCTTAACTAACCTTTTGTAATTTTTAACCAGTCACTTCAAAAAGGTGCCAAAAAGGAAATAAATACTGAGTGAGTAAAGTTTTTTAAATTCTTTATTACCCTATCTAAGATTTCAGGTCTCTATACCCTTTCCCAGGTATCCTTGCCTGCCCAAACCCTAACATTTGTGGAAAATTTCCTCAACACTCAGCAGTTAGGCTCTGGCTGTACTCGATAATCAAGTGCATGGTGTGTGTGTGTGTGTGTGTGTGTGTGTGTGTGTATAATTATATGTATAGATGTAGGTGCATTAGATAATTCAAGACAATACTGTAAATCCAAATGAATGATATCCATAGATTGAACTACAAATACTCAGAATCAGGAGCACTAGCTGTGTGTTCATGGAGTACTATTATTTTTTTTTTTTACTTTAACTCAACCACATGCTTAGGGAATTACATAATCCAGCTTTTACAAATTGTTTATTTAGAAATAATTACAGACGCACAAGAAGTTACAAACAAATGTGTATAAAAACCCTGTGCATCCTTCTCTTAGCATTCCCAATATTAACATCTTATGCAACTCTAGAATACTATGAAAAACAATAAAGTGACATTGATTCAATCCACAAAGCTCATTCATATTTCACTGGTTATACATGTACTCATGCATGTGTGTATGTGTATAATTTGATGCAATTATGTCACGTGTGTAGCCTGCTTAACCACCAGCATAATCAAGACACTCAACTCTGCCATTACTCTGAGGCCCTTCTCATCCCCTTCCTATCCCAACCCCTAACCTCTGGCAACTAGTAGTCTACTACCTCATTTTTCATCTATATAATTATTTTATTTTTGATTATTATATAAATGAAATGAGTTAACATGCATCCTTTTGAGATTGTTTTTCACTCAGCATTATTTACTGAATTATATCCAAGTTTTTGTTATCAGTAGTGTGTTTCTTTTTATTACTAAATAGCATTCAGCTTTGGATATATCACAATTTGTTTATTCACCCTTTCAGGGACATTTGGGTAATTTCCAGTTTGGTGCTATTATGAAGAAAGCTGCTATGGGCATTCACACACAAGTTTCTGTGGAACATAAGCTTTTAATTCTCTAGAATAAATGCGCAAGAGCAAAATTGCTAGATCTTATGATAAGTCCATTTGAGTTTTGAAAGGAAATGCTGAAGTATTTTCCAGAATGGCTCTATTATTTTATATTCTCACCCTTGCCAGCATTAGATATTATCACTAGTTTTCATTTTAGTCATTTTGATCAGCATATAGTGATATCTCATTATGATTTTAATTTACATTAGTCTAATGACTAATAATATTGAACATATTTTCATGAGTATATTTGTCATCTGAATATCCTCTACAGTTAAGGATCTGTACATGCTTCTGACCATTTTCTTTTCTTATTTGCCTTTTTAATTGACAAGTAAAATTATATATATTTATCAGGTACAACATGATGTTTTGTAAAATTATACATGGTGAAATGGCTAAATTGAACTAGTTAACATATGCATTACCCTACATACTTATTTTTTGTGGTGAGAACACTTCAAATCTACTCTTGGTTATTTACAAGGAATTGCACATTGTTATAACTACAGCCACCATATTGTAGAATAGATCACTTGTCCTTGTTACTCCTAACTAGCTGAAATGTTGTATCCTTTGACCATCTTACCAGCGCCTCCCTGCAGTCCCTAGCAACCACCTTTTTACTCTTTCTATGAACCCAACTTGTTTAGATTCCATGTATAAGTGAAATCATTAAGTATTTGTCTTTCTGTGCCTGGCTTATTTCGCCTAAGATAATGCTTATTTTTATTTTCATTATGTCCATTGACTATTTTCTGGTTGGATTGTTTCTTTTTTAAGTTTAAGTTATGAGAGTTCTTTGCATATTCTGGATTCCAACCCTTTGTAGATATGTGACTTGGAAATATTTGGTTCTAGTCAGTAGTTTGTCTTTTAATGGGATCTTTTACAGAGTAAAATTTTACATTTTGATGAACTCGATGTATTGATTTTTTCCCTCTTATGAATTGTGGCTTTGGTATCAAATCTCAGAACACTGCCTAGTCAGTCGTAGGTACCCATGAGTTTCTTTTATGTTCTTTTCTAAAAATTCTATCATTTTGTTTCACATTTATATCAATTATCCATTCTGAACATTTTTTTTTGTATAAATTTGTTTTTTTTTTTTGGCTGATGGATGGTTAATTGCTCCAGCATCATTTATTGAAGAGTCTTTTCCCTTTTTATTGAAATGCTTTTACAAGTTTATAAAAAATTAATTGGGCATATTCATGTGGAGTTATGTCTGCATGTTCTATTCTGTTCCTTTGATCCGTCTTTCTGCCACTACCAGACTGACTTGATTAGTTCAGCATACATACATAAGTCTTAACATCAATAATTCCTCCCTCGTTTTTCTTCTTTTTAAAACAATTTTGGCTATTTTAATGCTTAATATTTCTTTGTTAATTTTAGGGTAATTTTATGTTTACAAAGAACTACGATGACATTTTGAAAGAAATTAAATTAAACCTATTGGTTATGTTGAATTGACATCTTTGCTATGTTGAGTTTTCCAATCCATGAATATGTTTTTCCAAGTATTTAGCTCTTCTTTGATTTCTTCATCAACATTTTATAATTTTAATTATGCAAAAACTGTAGCTGTTAGATTCATACCTATGTAATTTTCTTAGGAGTAATGGAAATGGTATTATATTTTTGTTATTACATTTCTGTTTCCAATTATTTCTTATCTGTATGTTGAAATGCAATTGCATTTTGTGTATTCATGTAGTATTTTTTAACCTTACTGAACACGAGAGAAACTTATTAGTCCTCAAAGTATATTGTATATTGCTTGGGGTGTTCTAGACAGACAAGCTTGTGATTTGTAAATAGAGAGTTTTAGTTGTTTCTTTCTCATCTGTGTATCTTTAATTTCCATTCCTTGCCTTATTGCAGTGGCTAAAATTTCCAGGATCATTTCTGTAAGTGTAAGGAAAGACATCTTTGCCTTGTGCCCAATCTTAGAAGCAAAGCATTCAATGTTTCACCATTATGATGTTTGGTGTAGTTTTTTTAATAGGTATTCTTTATAAGTTTGGGGACATTCATCTATATTCCTAATGTACTGAAAGTGATTTTTTTTTTTCATGAATGGGTATTTAATATACTTTTTCTGTAGTAAATGATATAATAAGTTTTTTCCTTGGCTTATTGAAATGGTGGACTACATTAATACATTTTGAATATTTAATTAGTCTCACATACCTGGAATAAATCACATTTTATCATAGTGCATTATTATACATATATATTTTTCTATAATATTTTGATAAAATTTTGTTCAGAATTATTTTCATCTAAGTTAATCAGATATATTGGTCTACATTTTTTACATTTCATGTGATCCCTGTTGGGTTTGGGTATCAGTGTAATACTGGCTTCATAATATGAATTAGGAAGTATTCCCTTTTCTGGTTTTGAAAGAAATTGTGTAAAATTTGTGTTAACTCTTTTTTGAATATTTGGTAAAATTTCCAGTGAAACCATCTGGGCCTGGAAATTTCTTGAGCATAAGCTTTTAAAATAAAAATCTGATTTATTCAATAGTTATAGAACTATTCCATTTATCTATTTGATTTTGGCTGAGTTTGAGGAGTTTGTGGTCTTCAAGAAGTGTTTTATTCCTTCCACCTTACTGAACTGATGAGTGTAAAGTTATTCATAATATTTCCTTGTAATCATTTTTAAAATTTGTTTCAATAAAAATTTTGCATATATGTAAGGCACATAACATAATGTTGTAAGATATGTATATATGGTAAAATGGTTGCTATAGTGAAACAAATTAACATATTCACTATCTTATATAGTTACCCATGGATCTGTTGAGATGTCTTCTATTGCATTTCTGATTTTATGATTTAGGTCTTGTCTCAATTTATGTCTGTCAATCTTGCTAAAAGTTTACCGATTTTATTGATTTTTTTAGATGAATTGGCTTTTAGTTTTATTAGTTTCCTATTCTCCTGTTTACAAATTCATTGATTTCTGATGTTATCTTTATTATTTTCTTTCTTCAGCTTGTTTTGAATTTATTTAGCTCTTCTTTATGTCTTCTTATAAATATATTTTGTGTTTATTTTTATTCCACTCTACGTATTATTTTCCCTTGAAATTTCCTATTTGACCAATGCATTATTTAGGAGTATATTTTTAATTCCCAAGATGTTGAAAAATTTCCCCCTGAGTTTCTGTTATGGGTATACTCTTCTTTGATACATTGTGGTCAGAGATCATACTCTGTGTGATTTTTTTTTATTTGTTAAAGTTTGTTTTATTACCATGATATAGTCTATCTTGGTGAATGTTCCATGTAAGCTTGAAAAGAATATGTATTCTGCTGTAGATGGTTATAGTGTTCTATAAATGTCAGTAGATCTTGTTGTTTAATGTTTCATTATTCGCTATCCTTGCTGATTTCTATCAATTGTTAAAAATAGGATTTTGAAACCCATGTTATAATTACGGATTTCTTTCTCATTCTGCTCTATCGGTTTTTGCTCTATGTATTTTGAAGTTCCGTTGTTTGGTCCAAACACATTTAGGATTGCTATATTCTTGGCAAATTAATCCACTGGAAAGGGGATGGAGTGGGAAGATGATCATCCCCTGGAGTATGCTCATCCCGCAGCCAATCTCTCCAACTATCCCCAGCTGAACTCCTCTCAACATTCAGGTGCTTCTTCTCTTCTTCTCTACCTCACCACTCTGCAGCTCTGCCGCTTTGCCACTCTTCTGTTCCTCTGCTCATCTGCTCTTGGAGCCTGGGGTCTGGGGTTTATATACGTACACATTAGCGGGGTGTTGTGGGCCAAAATGCAACATTTGGGCAGGAAAACAGGAATGCCTGTTCCCATTTAGGGTTGTGGGTTTCCAGGCTTGACAGTGGAGCCTTTGCCAGGAAACCACCCTCTTATACCCAGTATTTCCCTGCCTGCTGTCCGTATCAATAATGCTTGAAGCAGATTTCTTACAGCCCACATATAAGTGGGTGGTGTTTGTTAATTCCACTATGCAAATCACTACCTTTTAATTGGTTTAGATTGTTAAATTAAATAATTACTGATAGATTAGGGCCTATGTCTGCCTTTTTATTATTTGTTTTCTGTTTTCGCTTTCTCTTTCTCAATTGGCCATTGTTTGTCTGTATGTATCTTGGCCTAACTGTGGATAACTTGAAAATAGTTTTAGAATTCTATTTTGATGTATTTATGTTTTTCATTATAGCTGTTTATATAATTTTCTTAGTAGTTGCCTGCTGGTGTCAATGTGTTACCATTTCAAGTTAAGTATAAAAACCTTACTTCAATTTAGATCCCCTTAACCGCTTTCAGGTATAATTGTCTCAATCATTTCCTTTGCATACATAGAACACCATGTCAGATGGTGTTCGTCTTTTGCTCCAACTATAAAATATAATTTTTAAACTCATGAAATGAAGGATGGTCTTATTATGTTTACAGCAATTTTTACTCATTCTATTCTTTACTTTCTAAAGATCCCAGTCATCATCTTTTATAATTTTTTTTTTTAGTTTAGCGTTTCCTTCAGCTATTCTGTATTTTAAGAAAATAAATTGTTTTATTGTATTAGGGTGATTTGATTTTTAGCTTTGCAAAATATAAACTTGAAAACTGAAGGGTTTTAAAATGTATTCCAACAATCTTTAGGTATAGGTGGGTTTTGGTTTCATGGTTATGTTCTTTAGCGGTGATTTCTGAGATTTATTGGAACTGTCACCTGAGAAAATAATTGTTTTTTGAGAAAATAAATTGTTTTATTGTATTAGGGTGATTTGATTTTTAAATTTACAAAATATGAACTTGAAAACTGGAGGGTTTTTAAATGTATTCCAACAATTTTTGGGGTAAAGGTGTGTTTTGATTACATGGTTATGTTCTTTAGTTGTGATTTCTGAGATTTTAATGAACCTGAGCCGTGTACACTGTCCCCAATGTGTACTCTTTTATTCCTCACCCTACTCCTAAAAGTCCAACCCGTGAGTCCTCAAAGTCCATTACGTCACTCTTATGCCTTTGCATCCTCATAGCTTAGCTCTCACTTATAAGTGAGAACATATGATATTTGGTTTTGTATTCCTGAGTCATTTCACTTACAATAATGGCCTCAAGCTCTGTCCAAGTTGCTGCAAAATACATTATTTCATTCCTTTTTATGGCTGAGTAGTATACCATGGTGTACATGTACAACATCTTCTTTATCCACTCAGTCAGTGGGCACTTAGTTTGGTTCCATATCCTTGCAATTGTGAATTGTGGTGCTATAAACATGTGTGGATGTGTGTCTTTTTCATACAACGACTTCTTTTCCTTTGGATAGATACTCAATAGTGGGATTCCTGGATCAAATGGTAGTTCTTGTTTTTGTTCTTTAAGGAATCACCATACCGTTTTCCGTAGTGGTTGTACTAATTTATTAGGTTGGAACAAAAGTAATTGTGGTTTTTGCCATTTAAAACAATGGCAAAACCACAATTATTTTTGCACCAACTTACCTATGTATACATTTCCACCAGCAGTCCTATGGTTACTCTTTAATGATAAATCTGCTAGCAACAAATTCTCTCAATTTCCCTTCAACTGAGAATGTCTTTATTTCAGTATGAAGGATGATTTCACCAGATACACAATTTGGGATTGACCGCTCTTTCAGCACTTGATAAAACTGATATCACTTCCTCTGTCTTCCATGGATTCAGATGACAGATTCTGTCATTAAACCTGCTTTTTCTTTATAGAAAATGCAGCAGTTTTCTCTGTTTTAATGATTTATTCTTTGGGTTTAGTTTTCAAGAGTTTAATTATAATGTGATTGGTGTAGTTTTAGGTTTAACCTAGTTGAGTTTTACTCAGCTTCTTGAATCTGTAGCTTTATGTGTTTTGCCAAATTTGGGAGGCTTTCAGCCAGTATTTATTTGAATACTTTCTTAGCTCCTCTCCATTTCTCTTCTTCATCAAAATTATGATGATTCTAATGTCAGATCTTTGTTATTGTCCCACAGATCCCTTGATCTCTATTTATTTTTTCTTTTAGTCTATTTTCTCTTTGTTGTTCAGATTGAGTAAATTCTATTAATTTGTCTTCAATTTCACTGATTTTTTTCTGTGTCTTTTCCACTCTACTATTAAGAACATCCAGTGAAATTTTTGCTTTTTTTTTTCTTTGTTTGGTTATTTTGTTTTTCATTTCCACAATTTCTATTAGATTCTTTTTTATTTTTATATATTCTATTTATGTCCTGAGATTTTCCATGTCTTTTAAATTTGTTTTACAGTAAATTATAATGATTATTGAAGCATTTTATGATGGTTGCCTTAATTTTTTTTTTTTCACTCTGTCACCCACGCTGGAGTGCAGTGATGATCATAGCTCACTACAACCTCTATATCTTGGGCTCAAGCAACCCTCCTGACTCAGTCTCCCAAGTAGCTGGGACTACAGGCACATGCCATCACACCTGACTAATTCTTAAAATTTTTATAGAGACAGGGTCTCACTACATTACCCAGGCTGGTCTGGAACCCCTGGCCTCCAAGAATCCTCCTGCCTTGGCCTCCCAAAGCACTGGAATTTCAGGCATGAGCCACCATACCTGGCTAAAATCTTTAACAGATAATTTCAACCTGTGGATAGTCTTGATATTGGTATCAAATAATTGTCTTTTCTCATTCATATTGTGATTTTTTCTGGTTTTTGGTACCAGTGAATTTTATTGCATCCCAGACATTTTAGTCATTACATTAGGAGACTCATAATCCTATTTATGTTTTCTGTTTTGGCAGGAAGTTGCTCTGCTTTGAGCTTTGTGCTTGTTTTTCTCCAAATGCATGTGTAAAAATTGAAAATGTCTTTATCATTGTGCTCAACCCCTTCAACAGTCTACAGAGTAAATTACAATGTCTTCTTTTATCTAAGCAGGATCCTTGTCCACTTCCATCATTCCAAGTTATTTTACTACTTCTCATCCCTTTGAACTTTTAAACAATCGCCATATTATGCCTTTTGCTAGTCACTGAATATCAAACATTGGTGTGCCCTTTTCTTGTGACCTCTACACTTGTCAGTGATTTTCCTTATGCACTTTTCACACTGTATTCATCTATTGACACATCTGCCTACATGACTAGTCTATGCACTTAATTAAGGGATAAACTAGCTTACACAAAATCAGAAACAAATTTTTTCTAAAAGAAGACTTAAAAAAACAGTAGATACAGACATAATTTACTTTTATTTTTGTTATAAAACACACACTGAGGGAGGTATAAGCAAAACAATAAGTTTGAGATAATGACCCCACAGAACATCACCATGCTAGGAAAAGGCAATTCAACAATTACTGAGTGCCTCCTCCAAGGCATCAGATTCTGAAGTTGATGATAGGAATGAGAGAAAGACAATAGGCAGGACGGTTGGCTAGTCTAGGCCTTGAGTGTTGTGTACAAAGACAAGGAATAATAGGAAAAGCTGTATTGTTTTCATTACTGGTTCTCTTAATGAGGGAAACAAAGCTATTTTCATAATTATCAGACAGATATGGGGCAGACAAGACAGGTTTTGAAAGGCAGTGTTCCATAAATGGCAATTAATGATGTATGTCATTTGTTTCCAATCTATCAGTAATGCTCCAAAAACGAAAATAATCTGCAATTAAAATTATCATTAGGAACAGCAGGACAGAAGCTGGATAGAAGGTGGCTTTTCTCTTAGAATTCAATAATTTCAAAAGCATCATCAGAGTGTCTTAAGTGTATCATGCTACTTTTTAAATTAAGAATTACCCTGTTTCCCTCTAAAATGTGTTTGAATTAGAAGGGATCAAGGAAAAAAAGACCCTTTTATTGTAATCAAAGGGAACATCTCTTATAAAGAAAACCACATAGTAATAAATAACATTAATGTAATATGATTTAAGCAGTTTTATGATTCTACTTTGCTGCATATTCAGTATTATGTATGTCTGTATAGATGAGACACTGTGAGAGACAGATTTGATTTTTTACTTTGAGAAGAAAAGAAAATTTGTATTATTTTGTTGCTGCCATATGGCAAATAGAATCATAATAATGGGCAGAGCATATAATTGCATATGTCTTGGGAATTCAAGATGGCTGGGTGTCCCAAACAGAGGAACATATCCTCCCCTGCCTATTTAAAATTGGTATTCAATATTGAAAAAAGAAACTTTCATGTCAAGAGATATAAGGCTTAAAATGAAAACATTGCTGGAAAAATAAGTGTATAAGCAGATATATATATGTATATATATATATACATATATATATATATGTATATATATATATACATATATATATATATTTCAATTTGCTTCATTTACTTTTAATTGATAAATGGGAAAACATTGCTTATAAATATTTTTTTTTTTTCCTCCTTAGCCTTTATCCCTAGTTCTGCTAAAGCCAGCCACCTACCTGGACTCTGTTTTATCTCATCAGTTTTATCGACATCCTAGATTCTGATCCTTTTAGAGCAGATATAGCCAATATCAAAAATACATGTGTTTGGCCGGGCACGGTGGCTCACGCCTGTAATCCCAGCACTTTGGGAGGCCAAGGTGGGCAGATCACCTGAGGTCAGGAGTTTGAGACCAGCCTGACCAACATGGTGAAACCCCATCTCCACTAAAAACACAAAAATTAGCCAGGCATGGTGGTGGGCAACTGTAATCCCAGCTACTTGGGAGACTGAGGCAGGAGAATCACTTGAACCTGCGAGGCAGAGGTTGCAGTGAGCCAAGATTGCACCACTGCACTCCAGCCTGGATGACAGAGTGAGACTCCGTCTCAAAAAACAAACAAACAAACAACCATGTTTTTCTCTTCTTAAAAAGCATGTATACTTAGATATAATACAGAATGTTTTACCTACTGTAATATTTAAGTAAATTTAAATACATCACATATATACAGCAAGTTTTACAGGTATACAGGTACATCCATATAGATGTATTTACCCTGCTCTTGTTTCACACATTATTATAATTTTGATATCTATGTTAACATATACAAATCTAATTTATTTATTAAACGACCATACAATAATATTCCGAACAATGAATATATTAAAATTATCTATTGATCTATTATTAAACTTTCCCCCTAGTTCTTTGCATTACCAGCAATCCCATTATGAATGTTTCTGTGCACATCTCCTCAAATACAAGTGAAAAAACTTCCCTTGTAGACATGGCTTGAAGGGAAATTAAACTGTGTGAAGGCATGCAGATTTTAAGCTTTACAGATTATTGACAAATTTTATTCCAAAACAATTGCACTAATTTATGTATACATCCTCTGGGATAAATAAAAATTCATCTTTCTATGTCCTAGTTATTGAATTTACAGTTTTTGCTCATCCAGCTAATGTTAAATTTTATCTCTTCCTTCTGTTTTGACTTTCATTCTTCTGATTGCCACTTAGGTGGGACAATTTTTCATGTTCTTTTGACGCCCCGTTCTGTGTATTGTCTATTTATGTATTTTGCCCAAATTTCTATTATTATCTGCCTTTTGTGTATGAATTGATGAATATAAATTTCTTATATATCCCAACTAATTCTTTGTTATTTATGTTAAATGTGTATATGCCAATCTATCATCTATTTTATCCACTTTATTATTTCAGTTTCCTTTCGTGAGTTGTATTTTGTTATTTGTCTACAAATTTCTTCCTCAGTAGGCCAGAACTAATGTAGTTAGGGCACACTGAAACAGCACATCCATTGTTAAACTATAAAATACTCTTGTAGCTCTCATTAACAGTTACCTCCCAGACCTCAGGCCTCCCTCTTGCCCAAGTGATCACTGCTGCTTTAGTCTCTCATGCCCCTCTCTGGGAAACTGCTTAAATTCCCAAAGATCCAGTAGCTTAGGACTAATACCTGACACTGCAAAGACTTATGGGACCCTATTCCAGTGTCATGGCCGGCATCTGTCCTGACTCATTGCTACCCATAGTGTATCTGCTGAAAAGGGTTTTGCTTGATGCCACAGGAATATTCTCTTACATTTTATTCTAATACTCTCAAACTTTGGATTTAGACAATTAAGGCTTATCTAATCATTTATTTGGTTTATGATGCAATATAGAAATAGAGTACTTTTTTCCATTATGTAAATCTACTTGATCAAATATTAGATATTAATTGGCACTGTCATACAAAGAAATTCTTGTATGTGCCTGGGTCCATTTGTAGGAACACTATACATTTTATTTATCTTCCTATATAGTATTATAATAAATATAGCATTACAATTTATACCGCTATTTTGTAGGGCAAATATCCTTTCCTAATTTTTATTATTGTCTTTTAAATTCTTGGACTTTTCTTCTGCCACATGCGTTTTATAATTAATTTGCCTAGTTTCAGGAAAAATTCTTCTTTGATTTTGATTAAAAATACTTTGATTGATTTGCTTGCTTTTTCACTTAGGATGCCTTAGTAAGATTTGCTTATACTTCCATTGTTGGATTCTTCCTGTCCATTTTGGCATCAAGGTAAGAATGACTTATAAAATAAGTCTAGTAGCCTTCCTTCTTGATCTGTGTTCTGTGATAGACAGCATTATCTGTTTCATGAAGGCTTGTAAAAGTTTCTGGACTTGATTTATCATCCTTTTTGTGGGGATGGATTGGGTAGTGGTAGCAGTCATGGATTGAAGTGAAGATTTTCTATTCTAGCGGCAATTATGATAATTTATATTTTTGTAAATAAATGTCGTATATTCATCTAAATAGCATAAAAATTGTGTCAAGTTTTATTTTTTTAGTTTGCAAACTAAAAAATGCATTTATACTGTATCTATACATATATATTTTATTTCTGATTAAGCCGTATTGTGGTCAGACAACACAGTCTCTATGAAATCAGCTCTTTAAAATGGAAAATTGCTTTGCAGCTCTTAGATAATCGACTTCTGCAAATATTTTGTGTGCTTAAGAATGAAATATCTTCTATATTTTGGGGCTGTAGAAACAAGTGTAGCTATCTATCAACCTATTAACCTGTTTTCTCTTATCTTTCAATAAATGTATTACATAGAGTTTATTTTGGCTTATTTATTATATCAGATTCTGAAAGAAGCACATTAACATATCGCACCTTAGTGTGAATGAAAATTTGTCCATTTTTTTCTCATAATTTTCTTAGTTGGTGTCATATTCAAGATGATTTTTTAAAAGCATGTGAGTATATTACGTTTGAATATCCAGAATTACTTCTTTTTCTACTATTTTTATGCCTCCTCGATCTTTTTGACTTTTTTCTTTTATCTTTTCTAGTCCTTCATCTTCTGTCATTTTATTTAAATTGTGCTTCTTGTAAATAATATATAAATACATTTTGTTTTAATTTTATAGAATTCAATTTTAAAATCCCATATTATGAAATTACTTAAAGCCAATGTTAATCCATTTGCCTATAATTACTGATACATTTTTATTTATTTGGCATTTCCTATTTATGATTTTTTTCTTTTAATTAATTTCTGTCATTAGTTAACAATTCCTTGTTTCTTTTTTAACTCTCTTATTGTTTGGAAGTTACAGTTTATATTTCTATTAAGTTAACCCCCAGTTTTCCACAAACATATTTATTTTTTTTCTGAAGGTGTTTTTATCTTGACAAACAATGCTTTGTATACCTCAATGGCCCTCCAATTTTTTTCCATTCCCATCTTCCAATAAATTATTATTTAGAATTTTATTTGCATCTTTTAAAATTTTGAAATACTTGATTAAACAATATATAAAAAATAATATATGTAAATTATAAAGTACACAATAATAGAATGAACATCTGTAAACATTATACCCAAGAAACAGAACATCCTCAGTAACTTTGAAGCTCCCTATGGGACTTTCACTGGTTGCAATCTGTTGTCCTTTTCTGAATTTATATTCTTAATAATTTGCTTTACTTTAGGGTTTTACAGCATACCAATATACTAATCACCATCATGACAAATTAAAAAAAATGTTATAGGCAAGAAACATAAATACCAGTAGTTCTGAACGTCTCCTTTACATTTGTAAACTTACGGAGAATCCCCCAAAGAGCTTCTGTTTATCTGCGTCATACCTTTTGACATTAATCAAATTAAAAATTAAGGTATAATTTTTAAATTTATGAATGATATTTATATTTTATTTAAATTAACAATGTACTCATTACATGATTGTATTAGTAACAGACCTTTATGGGAAATATCTATATTTTATCTCAAAATTAGTGATTTGTGACATTGTTTTATAATTTTTGCAAATCTCCTTAATGCCTGGTCTAAAAGAAGACAGCTGGATTTCTATATCTGCATCTTCATTCAATCTGCAATAAACATGTTTTGGTTAAAGTATATGAAAAAAATCTGGTTTCAGAAAAGGGAGGATATTTTATTATATTTTTCCAGAGAGCTTTGGATAGTCTCCTTTGACAATACAGCAAAATTCAACAAGTGGTGTTTGCTTAAAAAAATAGTTACAATGTGCAATCTAAAGCCACGCCAATAAACTTGTATATTCTCCTACATCAAAACTTATTGGGCTGTCTTGCACTTTAAATTGACCTTTTAGCAAAACAGCATGGTTTTATAATATCATGCATTGGACTTTTAAAAAATATTGATTTAATGAGTTATACAGATTTTTTAAATGGTGACACATCTATTTGTACAATATCAAAATATCATATTCATTAATTTTACTGCAATATATCTAAAAGTCTTTTATAATTGGGAGATTTTTAAGCCTGTGATGGAGGATACACATTTTCCAAAATTCTAATTTTTGCTTGCAAGCTCAAATTTTGTTACTGGCCACAAGTGCTGTCAGTTCCCCTTGCAATTAAAGCTTTACTTCTTTAATTGTCAAGATGATGTTTGCCAGGTACTCAAGTCTGAATAACTGTGGTTTGTCTGTTAATCATTCTCTCAAACAAAAATAGTGTTCCATAAAATCATCGCTAGTTCAGTTTCTCACTGAAACAATTGTACAAGTGCTTTAATCCAAGGCAACAATTGTACATTGGCAGAACTGCTTTATGCATCCTTCCCATTTTCTTACACATAATATTAAACTAATATGAACTCAAGCATCAATATCTAATACAATTAATAATGTTTATTGTCTCATCAAATTTATTCTTAAACTGCCATTCTTTATACTATGAGCAGTTGGCAGCAAATAACAGAAAAGTACTAATTCAATTTGATGCCACTACCTTGTCTCATACCAAGGAACCATCAGTTTTATCCAATATTGCCCTTGCACCATCAGTAAAAATGCCAGCACAGTAAAAAAAAAGCCAAATAAAATTTTAACCGTGATATAAAAATAGCTTTGACCTCACAGATCTCCTAAAAGAGTCTTGGTAATGCCTGGAGTTCTGTGTTTCACACTTTGAGAGCCACTGTTAAACATTCACCCCCGCTTTACCTGCTTTCTGATTCCGTCTCTTACTATGTTCTCTGTGATATAATTCATATTTTTCCCCTTTCACAAACATCTAAGTTTTTCCTCTTAAGCCCTTCTGCCTCAGCCTACAAAGCTGAATCTCTGTTATCCCTCACATATCTTGTTACTGAAAGTACTATCAACACTGATATTAATGAAAAGAGGGAGAGAATTATTTAAGGGTACATTTTTTTTTAAGGAAGCCTGTATTAGAAGACAGAGTCAGGGATGTGATGGTATGATGCTTTGGCTTTAGGTATAGCCAATTCCATCAAAAGAAACCCTTTGACTAAAAGGTATTTTCTTGTGAGCTCTTTAGCTTCTCTCTTTTTTAAAAAGGCATAGTGCAATGAGGCTATGCATTGTTAACCTGGCATATCCTAAACCTAATTATTTGTATATGGGGATTCGCTTAATTTTAACAAGTGACTGCGTCTGCCTGTCATGGCATGGACTAATAACCTGACTTTTCATTTAGATTCCTGACTCTAAGGTAGGTTTTCTGAAAAGCCCCAGAGACATTATTTTAATTTTAAAACTCATTAAGTGTCTATACCATATCTGACACATGTGAGGTTTTATAATAATATCTTCCACCAAAGAGAAGCAGAAATTTCTTCAAAAATTATACAGCATTAAATTTCGTAGAATGAAAAGCACCTTATTAAAAATAATCTTAAATTTCTTAATCACACATTCAATTTAGATTAAGACATATAATGCGTACTCTAAGTTCTAATTGACATTAAATATTATTACTGGAGGTTAATAATTAATTAGTTTCTGGTGGTCCATTTTCATTAATTAATTAAATTTTATTAATTGTTTTTAAATTATGTAGTTTTGTACTTATTAAACTAACTTGCTCAATTTAATAATATATTAGATTGTATATGTAATACAATGTTGAGAAAGTATGTACTTTTATGAAGATTTTAAAAATGTGTAAATTAAACTAAATTTGGCCTGAGGCTGCTTCTTTACCTTGATTCCTTAGGTAAGGAACTACAAGCTAATTTAATATATAAACAAACTTAAAGTCTAACAGGATATGTTATAAAAAATAGCTGGGTCTCAGTCAATCACTACAGCTGAGCTTCAGCCAATCACAGGCTACACATTTATATCTTTAGTGACAGCATGCATATTTTCAGAAGGAAATGAATGTCCCAAAGCTGAGCTTTTAATGCACCTCAGGTTTGCATTACCTCACGCTTTGACCATGAATCGAAATAAAGGTAATCACTATAGCTCTCATGAGAAGAACCAACATGAACTCAGACTTGTAGGATGGGAAGCCTTTTCATAAGCAGCTACTAGAGAAAAGCTGTTTCAGATACAGTGAGTTAATGGACAAATGAAAAAACATCAGGAATGACAGAGGTGACATATGGGACACTGTAGACAATAAAGACTCACTTGCCATATAGGGTATCTCAATTATTGATCTCTCCCTCCAGCTTGAATTTCTTTCACCAAGGAAAGCACTCATTTTGAAGTGTCCTGTTCCTTATCTTCAGGTATTTAGATTGTTTCTGTGAAGATAAGAAACAGGACACTTCAAAATGAGTGCTTTCCTTGGTTAATTCTTATGCCCACTGAAATGTGACAACATTCAATGTAGTTGAAAAATAAGATGATTCAATTATTGAGGTCAATGAGTGAAAGAAACTGTAAAGTAATTACTTTTAAAAAGAATAACCAATAGATGCTAAAACTATTGTGTGAATGTTTGATTTTTATGAGGAACTGGATGTTTACATAGTCGCAAAATAACTTTTAACAAATTAATTATTTATTTAAAAAGTATTAATTACCACAATGAAGACTCTTAAAGGACAACACTGTAACCAAGTGATAAAAGTGAGCATCATTTGTAATAAGACAAAGAATATTTTGTGCTCCAATGAGGGGCGCTGAAAAGGACATATCACTTATGTAGTATTCTTATTCAAAAGTATAACTTGAATCTAATTACAAGAAAACATTGGAGGAGTCTAAATTGAGAGACTCTTTGCAAACTAATTGGTCATACTTTTTACAATTTGTCTGTCATAATAGACAAATGTCAAGAGTCAGGCAAGATCGAAGATAACTAAAAGGAAGTGATGATCACATGGAATCCGTAAACCAGAATCGGATTCTGGAGCAGGAAAAAATGCTTAAAGGACATTTTGAGGGCAAACAGTGAAATTTGAATGTGGACTCTATATTAATCAAACAAATTATATAATAACATAATATTTATTATTTTAGTGCTTGTCACTCAAAGTTATCTTGGAGTTTGATATTATATTGTTACAGTAATAATGTCATGCTTGCTTCTTTTGTTTTTGTGGTTTGACATCCTGGTCCTCAATGTTTAAACCTGTAATCTTTCTAAAGAAGACTATACAATTGCCCACACTTCTCTTTTTTGTTGTTGATTTTGTTTTGGGACAGTCTCACTCTGTCGCCCAGGCTGGAGTGCAGTGGTGCAATCTCAGCTCACTGCAACCTCTGCCTCCTGGGTTCAAGCAATTCTCATGACTCAGCTTCCCAAGTAGCTGGGACTACAGGCACCCGCCACCACGCTTAGCTAATTTTTAGTAGAGGTGGGGTTTTGTCATGTTGGTGAGGCTGGCCTGGAACTCCTGGCCTCATGTGATCTGCCTGCCTCACCCTCCCAAAGTGCTGGGATTTCAGGCGCGAGCCATTGTGCCCGGCCGCCCACACTTTTCAATCCTCTCCTCCCAAGTTAGGGAGCCTACAAAGCAATGACAGAATCTGAACCCTAGCCTCTTTCTCTCTGGAGTCTCAATAGGAAATCCTGACCATTTCACCCTCCTCTACCTCTGCTTCCATCTTTTGCCCACGATTACAAGCTGCTGCCAGAGATGTTAACCATACAATCTTTGGTTTTCTTGTGGTATAACACAAAGACTGAAGCATTTATTTATTTACATCAGCTAACTTCAGGAATCTCATTCCATCCCTAAGCCTAATTATTTACATCCAGGCATCTTTATACTTGATAGCCTATTTTTGAATGATGCTAGACCAGTGTTGCTAATCCTTTTTTTAAAATTATATGTCTAGTTATATTATGTTTGAGTTTTATTTATATCTATTGAGTTTTAATTTATACTTATATTTGAATTTATTTTAATTCCCCTAACTAGGTGTTTTATACATTTTTTTTCCCTAACTACATCCGCCATGAAACTTTAATACCATAGGCATACTGTACAGGTTTATGTGCTATGCATTTATTTGTGCTTTATACATAAACAAAGTATGACATTTTAGCCCCCTAAAATCAACTTTTTGCTCCCTTTGGGGTCACTGCATTAGGAATGCATGTGGTAGACTATGTAGATGTTTTATTCTTCTGTCCTTACATTTGTCAGTCACAGAGTTATAAGGCATTCTCATCTATTTTGTTTACCATCACCGTTCTTCCTAGTCCCTCTGGGCACCAAGTCAAACCCACTTCCCCCTGCTCCAGACTAACCTTTCCCACTGTCAACCAGCTGCCAGTTCTAACACTCCCCAGCGCCATCAGATCAGAATCTAACACAGCAAGTCTCTCTCTCTCAGGACTGAAACTGTAACTAGTGTGTTGGGAGGTAAAGGTGGATAATGAAAGCAAAAAGGGAGTAAGTTATCAGGTATTTTATATAAGGAAGTAAAAGAAACGAGAAATGACACATTCTTTCATTGCTTTCTTCCAATGACTGTGTAGTACCTGTAGAACCTTGCTGTGATTATATGGTTGACAGGCTGGTCTCAGAAAAGATAAAGGATTATGATAGGTATAGAGAAAAAGTCACACCTGACTGAGTACATTGAAGAGGACTGCGTCATTTAAAATGCTCAAGCCTTGTGAAGAAAACCAGATAAGCCAAGTTCAAGTAAGGAAAGAAAATCACATAGTAAGGTGAACTTCCTCAGGTCACAAAACTGTTACCTAAGCCAGGATTAGAATACCCATCTAATGGCATTTACTCAACAGGTTTTCTCACTCTATGATTGTATTCACACAGTAAATAATAATTAAACATACTGGAGTTCACCATGATCAGCAAAGGGAGTTTAGTGTGTAAAAGGCTGAGTCAACTGAATACTTTCTGATAAATCAGTTCCTCCAGACAATCTAGACTTCTTATCACAATAGATTAAAAATTAATATGTGCACATTCTTCTGACTGAAAAGAGGATGCAGAATCTTAGCTATAAGACAGAAAACATTTTTCAAAGGAGCATCCAAGATTGTATTACAATGTTGAGAGAGTGGGCAGGGGAACATAGCTTGAAACAGAAAGAAAAGAGAATACCACACTCACATTAAACAATATTGATAAACTTCTTTCAAAACGTGATGAGCAGTTAACTTTCCTCTCTCTAAAAAATCAGTTAGTCAGGATAATGTTCTGAAAAAATGGCCATTGAGAGACATGCTGTACAAGAGAAGGCAAGAAAAATTCCTGTCATTGTCTCTACAGATTAAATTTGAAGTGGACGTTGAATCCATGCCTTCTCACAAGTGAGAGAGAGGAAAACAAACTTTTTTTATTTTTTTTGTGACGGAGTTTCACTCTTGTTGCCCAGGCTGGAGTGCAATGGCACGATCTCAGCTCACTGCAACATCCACCTCCCAGGTACAAATGATTCTCTTGCCTCAGCCTCCCCAGTAGCTGGGATTACAGGCGCTTGCCACCACGCCTAGCTAATTTTTGTATTTTTAGTAGAGCTGGGGTTTCACCATGTTAACCAGGCTGGTCTCGAACTCCTGACCTCAGGTGATGGCCAGCCTTGGCCTCCCAAAGTGCCAGGATTACAGGCGTGAAAAACGAAAACTGTACCAGCAAATCTAAAGTCTGCCTTTGATTGCCTTCTACTGTACCTGCCACATCCCCCATCTTCCTGGTTTCTATCCCAGAGAAAACCACTGTTATCAGTTTGATGTGTTTCCTTATAGATTTTTGAATGCCTATTCATGATTTACTAAGCCCATATTGCTGTGCAACTTGCTCCTTCCACTCTGCATTGTGACTGAGAGATCCCTTTATGCCAGTTAATAGAGATGTCAGATTTTGCACTCTATGCAAGAGGAAAGTGTCTTACCGAGTTCTTCCTAAGATCACAAAAATTTGAGTGAAAATCCTGGACAATAATCCAGTTTTCTTGAATTTCACTTAAAACCGTTTACATCTCATAGGTCCTCAATCGGGTGAATCCAATCAGATTTTTACATAGTGGCCCTTTTACTTTGGTGTTGACCATGAGTACTGTAACTTTAATGTTGAAGTCTGTGCTCACATGTCTTACTGCCCCCAAAACATTCAAATTTGGAGATCGATAGAACAGGAAGTAAAAATAATAATATGTATTTGAAAGGAACTTAATGAGAATTCTTAAGATTGTAATGTGGAAGGATTATAAAATGTTTCATTTTCAGAGAATTCTGGTCTATTACCATGAATCTAAAATACATGTGTATTGTTCTCAATGTCAGAAAATAGGAAACATTTTCTATTTGATCTGAAATCTTTAATTGGTAATGACTAGTAATCATTGTAAGCTGTGCAAAGGTTATAATTGAGGCTCTGAGTATTATAAAACAGGACAATTTAAGTCACTACAAGAATTACTAGAAAAAAAAACAAAGACTACTAGGATAAAATGTTTTGAAAGGAGTTTCCAATTCATATCTTATATCTAATTGCATAAGATTAAAATGCCAAAGTTTAATTAATTTCTTATCATAAAACTATCTGCAGATTTCCTCCTTAGGGATAAGAGGGAAATTCACCCTCTTTCTCCCTCTACTGATACTTGAGGCTTCCACTTCCAAACTAGGTTCTTCATAACTTGAGAAGAGACTAAATGAACACCTGCATTTATGTTCATCATATTTACCTGGAGGGGCAAAGCCCAAAGGCATTTAATCCCTCTACTAAAACTACTTCTCTATGCATAGAGCAATTATGGTTAGTGCTGAACTTTTTCAGACAAACTGACTCTACAAATTATTCAAAAGTATATCTATATACAGAAAAGTCAGTCAATGTGATTGCCTATCATACTACAGTATAATTTCTTCCCCACAGCAGTTTAATTTTAATTATAAATTAATTGTAGCTGTAAAGTGTCTCAATTTTGACTCTAATAAACTGCTCTCATTATTCCTTTTTAGAGTTGATTTCATAGTCTACTATTTACCAATATCAGACACATGAAGATCTGTTTATTTTATTATCATAGCCTGACTGATCACAGCATAGCCTTTAATTATCATAGCATAGCCTATACTGATCAGACTGCTACTTTTTGAGTATTATAAATGTACTTATATTAAGTGTTGTTCTACTAATAATTATTTTGTTAAATACATTGCTCTTTCATTATCCATCCAGGAATTAGTGAGCTTCGTTTATGACCACTATATACTCCTTGCCTCTTAGATAAGTTTCTCTTCACTGATGCTTGAAATGTTTTGTGTGTCTTGCTGATTATTGGATTCAGTTTTCTGTTGATTTCTGCTAGAATTTGGTCTCCAAGAAACTCATGGTTTGTGACATCAATGCATTTTTTATGGACAATCTTTTTGTTTCACCAGCTGCCTTGCAAAGCACTTACTGCATTGACTATGCCAACATCCTGTCTTCTTTCTATTTTCATGTGTCATTGCCACCACAGGATATATAGGGAGGTGACAGGAGTGATGTACAGCTGCAAGGGATCAGCTAAGCTGTGCTCTTTCTGCTGAGCGCCATCAGCGTTCTGACATAGACAAAGAGCTCTATCATGCTTGCTGTCCTGAATACAGTTTACAATCTCTCAATTGGTAAATTACTTTTACTAAAATTTGATCTTTTAAATGTAATAATTTTGTGAAGGGATTACTTCTATTGCTCATTCACATTTCAGTGTCAATTGTTTTAATCTTGTGAGTTAAGCCACTTTTTTAAAAAAAATGAGTTTTAACTAAGGGTGAAAAATAACCAAAGAGTAATGAAAGGAGTGAGGGGTGTACCAGCCCATGACAGAATGAAGTCAGTGGTTCTATTTTTGACTCTCTCTTTTTTTCTTGCCTTCTATCTTCATTATAGATACTTGGTAATTCATATTAACAGGAACATATAAAAAACTATTTCAAAGGTGGTGTTTCATTTGTAGGTTTCATGGCCTAATATGACCAACTCCATGTTTTTAAGATCCTAAAATTAGAAAGTGCTATGGTTTGAATTTGTGTCCCCCCAAAATATCTATTGAAATCTAACCTCCAATGCAAAAGTATGAAGAGCTGAGGCCCTTAGGAGATGAGTAAGTCATCAAGGCTCTCTGCTGTTATAATGAGATGAGTGCCCTTATAAAAGAGGTTTAAGGGAGCTGTTCACCCCTTCTGCCTTTTGAGGACACAGCAAGAAGGTGGCATCTGGGAAGCAGAGAAGAAACCCACATCCAACACTGAATCTACTGATGCCTTGATCTTGGACTTTCCAGCCTCCAGAACTGTGAGAAATAAATATTTATTATTTGCATTAACAAGACTAAGGTATTTTATTATAGCAGCACAGCATAGACTCAGAGAGTTAGCTTTTTTTTTTTTTTTTTTTGAGACGGAGTCTCGCTCTGTTTCCCAGGCTGGAGTGCAGTGGCGATCTTGGCTCACTGTAACTTCTGCCTTCTGGGTTTAAGCGATTCTCCTGCCTCAGCCTCCTGAGTAGCTGGTATTACAGGCACGCACCACCATGTCCAGGAGAGTTAGCTTTTAAAATGCTCAATTGGTCTCCAAATTCCTGTGGGCTTTGGATTTTAGGACCTACTGACCATCTATTGTGATACAATTTCCAAAAATGGCCTCCATGCTTTACTAATAATTTTTTGATTCAAAGCTGGATAGAGGTTGAGGTAATAACAGAGACAATTAGTGTTAGTTCTTTCACTTCAGTAGACCTAACTCAGACCACTTTGGAAATGGACCATCCAGAGAACTGCTAACACAACACTGTGAATTCAGTATATAGACTCAATCCTAGGCAAAGAAGAGTAAGTAGGTGATCTTTCTATAAGACACCAGGATTTCAGTAATTCTATTTACACATTTTTATCTCAAAGAAAAATAGATACTCTTAGTTTTCTTCTAGGTATTTTGTCACTAACACATGTTTTATGTACATGATCCTAAAGCTGCTTTATTTGTCAAATGACTGGGGTATTTTCTTCAACTACATTTTCAAGCATTGTGCTTTGCATAGATTCAAAGCAACTTCAGATTCTGAATGTGAATCAGGCAGCACAATGTCAGATAAGATTTAATACGGGCAAAACAATTTAGTAATGCAGACCTCAGCCTCTTAAGCAGGATTATTTCCCCTGAAGTATCAAGCTATTCTGAGAACAGAGTTTATTATTTTTAGTCATAGTTTAAGAATCTGTATAATCCAATAGACTCCAATTAAGATAGTATTAAAATACATTAATTCATGAGAACTTCTTAATCACAGTAAGTCCAGCTCTGGGACAAATTTTAAAGAAAAGACATTCACTTAAGCTGGAAAAATGGGGCCTACACATATGAAAGGTTTTTTAACAGTGCAAAGGAGAATATATACTTAGAGCTGAATTAGTACTCTAGGTAGGAAGTGCTACAGAGTTCAGAAGCAAAAGATTATAACGTAGATTGGAGGAGGCGAGCATGAACCTTGGCAGAATGTAACACTGACCTGGGCCTTCTACCCTGGAGAGGTTTGTCGTGGTGAATAGGCTTTATTTTTTAGAGTGTGTTTTTTTTTCTTAGGTTTATAGAGAAATTGAAAAGAAAATACAGAAGTTCCCACACACCCCCTGCCCTCACACATACAAAGCCTCTCCTATTATCAACAGCCCTCACTAGAATAGTCCATTTGTCACAATCAATAAATCTACATTGACACACCGTTATTACCCTAAGCCCATGTCCTATAATTGGATTCACTCTTATTGTTGTACATTATATGGGTTTTGAAAAAGATAATAACATGTGTCTATCATTGTAGTGTCATACTGAATAGTTTCACTGCTTAAATTCACCTGTGCCCTGCTTATTCATCTCTCCCTCCCCCTTTACCCCTAGCAACCACGGCACTTTTCATTGTCTCCATAGTTGCACCTTTTCCAGAATGTCATATTGTTGAATTATACAGCATGTAGCCTTTTCAGATTGGCTTCTGTCACTTAATAATATGAATTTGAAGTTATTCCATGTCTTACCCTGGCTTGATAGCTCATTTTTTAAAATGCTGAAAAATATTCCACTGTCTGGATATACCATGGTTTGTTTATGCATTTACCTACTGCAGGACATCATGGTTGCTTCCAAATTCTGGCAACCATGAATCTATGTGCAGGTTTTTCTGTGGACATTGAATGACATTTTTATTTTCTATATAAATAAGATACAGAGAAAATATGCTAATAACTTCAGTAACTTGTGTAGAGATCATAATAATTGTTTATATGTTTTAAATATGGAGATGGAAGGCTATGTGACAGTTCAGTGAAAGAATGTGAATATCTAGATGGTTTGATGTACCTTCAAGTTGCTATTTTTAAAATATGAGAACAGTAGTTATTTAGGATTGAAGCTGAGTGTACTATTAGGGAAAGGCAGAGAAGAAAAATTGCTGGGGCCAGGGTTGCATCTCTACTCTGTTGTTCAGCTCTGTCCTTACATTCTGGATTTCAACAAACAGGCTCTGCAATTATGCAGAAATTCCTCTTTTTTAGTCACTAAATGATGATCTATTTTTAGTTTAATATGTCTGTTGGAGGATTCAACCTCCTCATGCACCCAAAGAATTCATCAAAACCTCCTCTTCAACTATAAACTAAATAGTCCCTGATATAACTTCTGGTAAATATAAATTTCTTTGTTGTATCTATTTCCAGTGATAGTTTAGCATTGCTCCTAGAATTATATGCCGATCAACTGTCCTATTCCCTAATATAGCTCTGTGTTTATGGAAGCTTAATAAGGCAGAGGTAAGTTGATTTATCTTTATTATTCTTTTATTTCAGTGTTTATAATTTTTTTTTAGACTTGGCAACATAGCTGAAAGAATGTGAAACCAATTAAGTGGGTCTAAAAGCAGGCTACATTAATGTCCTTGGCCATTATTTAGTAAACGTTTAACAAGAAGATAATTCTGGACCTTTTTGTTGGCTCTTAGAACGTCTATGCTTTCATCACTCCCTTCTTTCCTCCCTGCTTCTCCTTCTCTCTCTCTCTCTTCTTCCCTCCTTTCCATCTTAACTTCCTTCCTTTCATCCTCCTTCCTTCCATCTCTTCCTCCCTCCCTCCCTCCCTCCTTGACTCCCTCTTTTCCTTCTTTCCTTCTGTGGCATTTAAAGAATTTCAAAAATTAAGTTTCTTGCCAAATAGAGTTTAAGCTGTGTAGTAGATAGTATTAAAAATTTTATCTACAAGATAAAAACTACTTTAAAATTCTCATTGTTGGGTATATCATTGAATGCTTTTTTGCTACTGGTTACTTTCATGACAATTTCTGTTTGGAATTTTTTTTTATAATAGGATGATGATAGGGAATAGTCCAAATAAAGAGTAACCATGTTTTATCCTCCATAAAGAATATAGAAACAGAATTGGAAGGCAATATAGTTATAAAGTATCCTGAAACTCTCATTTTATAAATCAAGACCACTCAAGTCAAATGATTTTCCTGAGGTCATCTCAGTGGTAGCCAGAAATGATGCCCAAATCACCCAGCTTCTTATATTACAACATAATGCATCATACAATACTGCCTAAACGTATAAATATATTTAGTCACTCAGAGGCTGAACATTTGGAGGAGATGGGAAGGGGTTTTATCTCTTTAATGCATGTCCTTTGTGAAGAACAAAACTAAACAAATTCATAGCACAAGGACAAGTCTGGTTAAATGAATGGTGATTCTTATCCCTACTTGAAAGTATTTGATGTAATGGATTATAAATAGCAAAAAAACTAATGTTCTTTCTGCATTTCTCTGAACCTTCGTTGTCAACACACATGTCTGCTTATGTTACATGAGATAGAGTATGTATGTTTATCTTCTGTGATTATATGTATAAATGTTTGATGGCGGTATACATTTTTAAAAGGAAGCTTGTCAATAATGTGTCCATCACAAAATGACTTTTCTCCTTAGCTTTAAGGCATATTTGCTATCACTAATCCATTACAAAAAAAAATCACTGATTTTTCAGTTTAGAAACTGGCTTCTTTCTTCAGTTAGAAACCCCAGTTAATTAAAATATCTAGGAATGTAAGTCTGTCACCATGACAGAAATGTCAAGAAATTAAATATCTATGATATTGAATAGTCAATGGTAATTCTACTTTCTTGCAAGAAAGTAACACAAATAACCCAATTTTCCTATAGTTTTATATATATAATATAATTCATCTAAGGTGGAGTGAAATCAGAAAGTTTAGCATGTGGTAAAGTTAAGGAATTATTCTAAAGAAGTTGTTTATGTTAACTTAAATACTACACCTGTATGTTGATGGATACACTAAGTAATTTTGGATCAGTAGAATCTCTTCATATTTGAATACCCGAGGAAAGCTGGATAGCCTGGGTGGTTTTTAAATAGGATTTGTCATTTATTTTTAAAACAGTATATGTTAACTTATTTATATAACAGATACAATTGACCAAAATATTGTCCATTATACTAAAATGCATTTTAGTTTTTTCAATCTTTTTAAATTAAAAAAAAATCCAACAAATTTCAATTTTCATTTAGAAACAGGGGGGCACATGTGCAGATTTGTTCCATGAGAATATTGTATGATGGTGGGGTTTGGAGTGTTGACCCTGTCACCCTGATACTGAGCATAGTACCCAGTAGGTAGTTTTCTAAGCTACTCTCCTCCTTCCTTCTTCCAGAAGTCCACAGTGTCTATTGTTTCCATGTTTATGTCCACATGTGCTCAGTGTTTAGCTCCCAATTACAAGTGAGAACATACAGTTTTTGGTTTCCTGTTCCTGCCTTAATTTACTTAGGATTGTGGCTTCCAGCTCCATTCATGTTGGTGCAATAGACATGATTTCATTCTTTTTTATGGCTTTGTGGTGTTCCATGGTGTATATGTACTGCATTTTCTTTATCTAATCTACTATTGATGCACATCTGGGTTGATCCCATGTCTTTGCTATTGTGAATACTGCAGCAGTGAATATATGAGTGCATGTGTCTTTCTGGTAGAGTGATTTATTTTCTTTTGGGTATATACCCAGGCTATTATTTAAAAAGAAAAAAAATAAAAAAAAAACAGATGCTGGAGAGGCTGCGGCGAAAAGGGAATGCTTATACAGTGTTGCTGGGAATGTAAATTAGTTCAACCACTGTGGAAATCAGTCTGGAGATTTCTCAGATAGCTTAAAACAGCTACCATTCAACCTAGCATTACCATTAGTGGGAAGAAACAAAAACAAAAAACAACCAACCAACCAAACAAACAAACAAAAAAAAACCCTTTGTTTTTTTAGAGAAGTTTTAGGTTCACAGCAAAACTGAGTAGAAACTATAGAAGGTTCCCATATACTTTCTGCCTTCCCCCACACAATTAAAATCCCCCGCCACAGTGGTATATTCGTTACAAACTATAAACCTACATTAATTCACCATTACCACCCAAAGCCCGTAGTTTACATTAGGGTTTGCTCTCGGTGTTGTACTTCCTATGTATTTTGACAAATCCATGGTGGCATAATTCATGTAGCATAAAACAGAATAATATCACTGCCCTAAAAATCCTCTGTGCACTGATTATTCATTCTTCTCTCTCCTCTAACTTCCAGCAGCCACTGATTTTTTACTGTCTCCATAGTTTTACCTTTTCTAGAATGTTACATAGTTAGAATTATACAGTGTGTAGCCTTTTCAGAATGGCTCCTTTCCCTTAAGTAATAGACATTTAAGCTTCTTCCATGTCTTCTGACAACTTAATAGCTCATTTCTTTTTGATGCTGAATACTATTCCATTGTATGAATGTACCACAGTTTGTTTATTCACCTACTGTGAGGCAACTTGGTTGCTTTCAAGTTTCAGAAATTATGAACAAAGCTTTTGTAAACATTTGTGTGTAGTCTTTGTGTGGAAATAAATTTGCAATTCATCTGAGTAAATACCAACAAGCTTGATTGCTGGGTTGCATGACAAGAGTATGCTTAACTTCATAGGAGACTGCCTAACTGTTTTCCAAAGTGACTGTACCATTTTGCATCCTCCCCCCTCTTCCACCAGTAATGAAGGAGAATTCCCGTTGCTGCACATCTTTGCCAGCATTTGTTTTTGTCAGTGTTTTGGATTTTCACAATTCTTTTATGTATGGAGTGATACATTACCTAAGCCTGAAGTCTGAAACTTTCTATTTCATGTTACTTTTCAAACTCCAAGAGAGATTACCTACCATGAAATCACATATGCAAATCATTGTACCAGTATAAAATCTTAAATAACATGATGTTTTTTGAAATAGAAAGTACTGTTTTATTTTTTCTCAAATAAACTACTCCTTTCTCTCTTGATAACTAAGGGATATTTATTAATTACTTACTTTTTGCATTTTTTATCTTCTGAATAACTCCTACAATTGGCCTGTAAAGTCTTGGGTGCTTTTATTTAGCCTAATATCTTTTTAGGTAAGATTTATCTTAACAGCATTATATCTTTTTCTCCAAAGTCACATTTCAAAATGAATTAAATGAAACAAATAATTGTTCTTAAACAAATATTTTATTTTGTTACTAAAAGTACTCTGTCCACCTCATAATTTTGGGGGACCTTGGCTTTCCAATTTCTATTGTATTCCTTCTAGAAACAATCTTACCTGACCTGGGACTTCAACTCTGTCATCCTTCCTGAATGAAAGTAGCATTGTGGTCTTGCAAAAAGAAAATTATTAGAACTCTGTTATGAGTTTTCTAGAAAATTTGTTTCTAACCCAAAGAATTTAGGAGGCAGCTAGGCATCCCTGTTATCTCATAATTAAAAAACAGCCAATCTTGCTACTGTCATTTCTGTTTAATTTTCATGTTGCCCTTCTGTCATTTTCTGCATTGGTTCATTTTATTTATTATATTAATATTCCATGCCCCAAATTATGTTAGCATTCATTATGTGCTACAAAATAATCTGCCAATCCTCTCACATACCATACAGATGTCAAATTACAGAAAAGGCAGTACAACTTATGTGCCCAGTTACCTTCACTTTTCTAAGATTTACACCCGTTTGCATAATTTCCCAAATGGTCTGGCAGACCTACTTGACCATGAAAGACTATAAGAAACCTAGCACTGGAATCTCTCTATTCCATAGCAGAAACAAAGCAGTTGAGTTATTAGTTCATACAATCTGAACATCTCAATTTATTAATGTTCTTCCTATTGTGCTATCTAGCATATCTGTCATGTCTAGCATAATTTTTATCAATCTGTTTATACCCTACTAATTGTTATTATGCTCATTTATATTGTTATTCTGCGCGCAATAGAATTTCGGAGTTCTGTTTAAAGTACTCATTCCTCTGTTGTCTGATGAAGATTTTATGATGCTTTTGATAGGAAGCAAATTTAAAACTCACAGAAGTAGAAATGTATTTCAAAATTTACACTTTAAAAATGTATACTTTAATCAGCAGCTTATCATTGAAAATCATAGACAGCAGTAAATCAAATATTATCACTTGGCCTTTATTTCCCAATTCATCTAAAGGAAAAAATTGAGAAGAATTCCTTTTGAAGAAAATAAAGGTTGCTGAATTAATACAATCACACATCCTGGTTACTAATAAGTCACTTCCTAAGGAAAAGATACTGAGCTGTTGGACTCCGGCCCCTTCATGATAATGTCAGAGAATGAATGTAATCAGTACACTTCTATGGCTAGGCCCTTGGAGATCTGCGAAGTTTATTAAAAAATGGGAGCATTAATATCATAAATTTATTGGATTAATTTTTAAATCAGAATCACAGAAATTGTATATGCAAATATGTGTTAAACCTTTCAAAAATGTCTTGCATTTAAGTGACTTTGGTTAATGGTTTGTAATATCTCCATGGAAAGTCCTACAATATGAAAACTAATGAGATATTACTGCTATTCCACCAACCCTCTCCTCTAATAGTAAAGATCCATGAAAATGTATTTGTACTATTTCCAATATATTTTGGAGCCTGATTATTATTATTATTTTTTTTTGAGACAGAGTCTCGCTCTGTCACCCAGGCTGGAGCGCAGAGGCACGATCTCGGCTCACTGCAAGCTCTGCCTCCCAGGTTCACGCCATTCTCCTGACTCAGCCTCCCAAGTAGCTGGGACTACAGGCGCCCGCCACCACGCCTGGCTAATTTTTTTGTATTTTTAGTAAAGACGGGGTTTCACCGCGTTAGCCAGGATGATCTTGATCTCCTGACCTCATGATCCACCCACCTTGGCCTCCCAAAGTGCTGGGATTAGGGGCGTGAGCCACTGTGCCTGGCCCTAATTGACAATTCTTTAACTAGAGAATATTTCTATTAGTAATTAATGTTTTTATTGGGGTATAAGTGATTTTAATTTACCATCTGTGAAATGAATGTTACAAAAGCAGCACATAAAGCTCTTTAGTTGTCTATTTTCTATTTCCATTTCAATGCTCTCATTTTATTTTGCTGCCAGCAATACTTTTGAGAGCCAGTTGTTACCTTGATTTAAGATGAATTCACAACAGAAGCATTTTAATATCAAGACTGACTTGAGTTAATCCAATGGTGTAACCTAACAACTATCAAGCCATTCACTTTGGTAACCTTGGTGAGAACAGTTTCAGTGGGAAGCTGTAGTAGAAACTTTTTGCAAGTGGTTAAAAAGTGAGCAAGAATGATGGGGTGGATATTTTAAGTGCAAATAACTTTTAAAGAAGGTTGATTGGAAAATGAAGGAAAATAGTTGATGTAGAAACCAATGGTGGTCTTATGTGATATCCACTAATTGCACTATAACCAACGAGAATCACTCCCTGTAAGTTTTAAAATTCTCTCACTTCACTTAACTGAAGTTTTACCTATTCTGCATTCTGTTTTCCCATGCTTGTCAGGTAGCATTTTGCTCAACTGACAAATTAACCTGTGATCTATGGATAATAGCAAGTTACCAGTTTATTGTTCAAGGTAATGTAATAATACACTCACTCTCCAGTAAGTTCAAACAAACACCTCTAATAATGAAAGTGGTACTGGGGAATGAATACTGAGGGTGATTGAATTATCTGGCATCTCTGGAATGACACAACTAACAGGTCTACATAACATGAACAGCCATGATGAGGAGAAAAAGTGATAGAAATCTATCAATCATCATGAAAGATCTTAAGATTATTTCGCTTATTTTAGGGTTATGTGTGGAGATTCCCAAAGGGAAGTTTTCTTAGATGACTGGTATTGTCTTGGGTTTGTCATAGTTATGACCTCAACTGTTGACATTAAAGAAAAGAGAGAGAGTAATTTCCTTTGAGAGTCTCCACCCTCCGGGCTAAGAGAAATCAACTGAGAATCCAGTAGGGGACAAGCAACCTTAGAATATATTTAAAGTTCAAGAGTTGTCAGCTCCTGGGAGAGACTGCTTAGTTCCTGGGTTACTCACATCTTCTTAGAAAAGCCTTTGAGACCCACTGCTATGCTCTGTTTTCAAATTGACTGGCTTTTTCTCCTGGAGAACGTCTTTCTAGGTTGTTAACTCTTAGCATATGGCAAACCATAATGTTGTGACATCTATAATTTGGGTTTATTTGGGTTATTACATAGAAGTTTATTGGCTTGCAAATGTTTTAAGCTTTTTAAGGCTGAGTAACCTACAAACTTTTATAATGTATAGCATTACACATGGCAAAAAAGACATTGTTCTGCTACAAATGGGCTATATCATTTTAGGGTTGCCATTTAACACTTCTGGGATTCTAATCAGAAAATAATAATAGTTAGACTCATCATCTTCAAGACTCATTTTTAGAAGTAGTAGCTGTTTTAAAAAGAAAAATCAGTCATCTGAACAGAGGAACTCTGATAAATCAAACTTCTGGATAGCTGGAGCTACCCAAGATTTGAAGAGAAACTTTTCCATTTTTATATTTCTAGAATCATAAAATGTTACTTCAAAGGATTATTTACATAATCACAAATTCATCTATTTCTGAAAATAGCGTGGGGGCGTCCCACTGAGAGAAAAGATTTGCTTGTCCTCTCATATGTTGGACGAAGCAAAAGGAAATCTGAAAAACCTGAAGCATTCACCTAGAGTAACTAATTTGCAAAAGTGCTATCTGAAATCTGTGTCCTGCTGAGTCTCTAATGTCCAATTTCTTCAACAGAAGATTTACACATGAATTATGATAATGTTTGGCAAGAAAATTAACGTAGTCATAGATGGAACAAATACAGAGTACCACAAATTAACTACAGAGCAATTACAATGACATTGTGCACTGTGCAATAGTCCATTAAGCAATATTAGATCACCAGCTTCCTCCGTTCCTGGCTTTATTGTCAGGAACAAAACTAACTTAGCCTTAGTAGTGTTTTGTGCAGCATTTAGAATTTTACATATGCTAGCACACCAGGTCTGCCTGGGGTTCTGAAATACAATCAGACACACACACACACGCACACACACTCTCGTGCACACACACACACACCACTTCCATTTATTTCTTTATTTGCAATTCAAAAGAGTTTTTATTTTGTAACTCGTAAACACGTATCTATTGGTTTTTAGATATACAGTGAGAAATTTTCTTTAATTCTTAATGATTTTGTTAATATAAACATATAATATATACAAATGTATAAGGGAATATATGATCACATATGCTATCAAGCTACCTACTTACTGCCAGATGTTATATAAGTGTTAGGGGAAGGCGTATCATAAATCTACAAATGTGCCTAATTTTTCATAGTTTACTAGAACTACAAAGCACCATTCCCATAGTCTGTAGGAGCAATTCTGAGATCAGAGGAAATCATCCAAATAGAGCTCCATTCTTAACATTAGACTGTGGTCCTCTTCTGGAGAAGACCATATTCCTCCTACTACCCCATTTGTCAGAAGTGGAAATCAATGCTTAGAGTTTCACTGATTGACCCATATCAAACCACTTAAAAAGTGACAGTGACTAGACCCAGTGATCTTGATACCAACTTCTGACCTCTTTTTATGCTAACATGAAAAATTCACCTCTTTTGACTGAATTACCCAGTCATTTTCACCAGCTAACCAGTAGATTTTGTGTAAAGCATCAGTGTGAATTACTAGGTTGTTTAACTGGACTGATAGTTCCTTCTAGGTCAAAGTCTTTAAAGCATATGGACAGTCAGATATAAATAATTAGTCATCACTGAAATTAGCGAAGACTGCTACAAGGATGACTTATTTTTAAGTAGAAAACATGGAGGAATGGAAAATTGTCAGCCTCCAAATATGTAGTAGCATGACGCAGTCTAAGATCCAGACCCCTCATTTTATAGCCAGCAAGCATTTGCAGACAGATGTCATATGAGGAAGGAATGAATCAGCACTGACTCTAATTTGATATCTTCAGTGCTTCAGTAGCTGAATGATTTTCCATCTTGAATACTAATCCGTTAAGCCTGTATCTTAGTACCCAGCTATAAACTTGAGTGGCAGAAAATATATAGTTAAAAAATAATCAAATGGAAAGCAAGAGCCCAATGTGAAATAGAGAGGTGTAAACCATAACCAGAGGCTACTTTGAAAAAAGCATGAAATGCTTATATTCTGTAGAAAAGCAAGAATAAGATTTGTACAATCATGCAGAAAAAGTTAAATTTAAATGAGCAATGTGGTTTGGAGTGATCCGCCTGTATGCCTGAGATGACAAGTAAAAATGTAACACAGGCATTCATTAATCCAATAAACATTCTTCACTCACTATCTAGGTGTTACTACTGGACATGAATAAGATATAATTCTGGACCTTGGAAAACTCTTGATCTAATAGGCCATAATGAGCATAATGTTGAAAGTGCTAAGCAATAGTTATAACTAGGAAGCACAGAAGAGGGGCACATAACCAACATGACCATGCTGAGAATGCTTCTTAGATCTGAGCTGAGATTTTAAGGAAGAGCTGACAGATAAAGATATAAAGATAACAGAGTATGCAGAGGAGGGAAAAAGCATGAACAATTTCAAGAATCTCAAGTCATTTGCTACAACACCTCATGCATACAGAAAGGAGAAAATGTGAGGAAGCAAGGAAGCCAAGATGACTAAGATGCAGGATCATGAAGAGCCTTGGACTTTTCCATAGGAATTGACACAGAGAGGTATTACTGGACATTTAAAACAAGGAAATGGCTTAGTTTTATTTATGTGTTAGAAAATACCATTTTAAAGGTTGAATAAAGAATCGATTGAAGGGGTAAAAATTTGAATCTATTAGTATAAGAGAAGACATGCAAAAATTGAGCATTATTGAATAAAAATTGAGATAGCAAAATATATGTGAATTATTGACCAATTGGATATGGAAAACAAGTGACAACAAGATGTTTAAACAACCTCTGTTTTTTGTTTGTTTGTTTGTTTCAAATTAGTGGGTAGGTTGTGTTACCATTAACAGTGAGTTTACAAGTGTCAGAGAGGCAGCAGGATGTGGGATGTTTAAAAGAGGTAGGAAGATGGGTGGGTGCAGTGGCTCACGCCTGTAATCCCAGCACTTTGGGAGGCCGAGGCGGGTGGATCACCTGAGGTTGGAAGTTCAGGACAAGTCTGACCAACATGGAGAAACCCTGTCTCTACTAAAATACAAAGTTAGCCTGGCATGGTGGCGCATGTCTGTAATCCCAGCTACTTGGGAGGCTGAGGCAGGGGAATTGCTGGAACCCGGGAGGTGGAGGTTGCAGTGAGCCGAGATCATGCCATTGCACTCCAGCCTGAGCAACAGGAGCAAAATTCTGTCTCAAAAAAAAAAAAAAAAAAAAGAGGTAGGAAGAGGAAGAATTCTGTTTTGGACACAGGCCCTTGCTGTTAAAATCACCATTCCGAAACAGAAGGGTGAAGTCTTGGTTCAAGATTCTGATTTCAAAGTCATCAATGTATATGAAGTATTTAAAGTAGGATGAAGTTATAGAGAAGGGATAAACGAGATATGGAGACAGGAAACTCTAAGGAATATAATTATGTTGGGGACAAAAGAAGCATAAATACACAGAAAAAATGAGAAAAATTACATACGTAAAAGATAAGAACAAGGCAAGATCAATAATGCGGATGCCACAAGCAAAGGCAAAAACAAAACAAAACAAAAGTTTCAACAGTAACAGACTGGTTCCTGCTACAGCTGGTAGATTGAATATACATACATATTTTCAACTCTCTTGAAACCCCATTAAAGCAATAGTAAGGGGATTTTTTTAAGGGGTAAAACAAAAATCAAGAAAACAGAAGTTGGAAAGCAGATCTTTAGCTAGCAGTAGAGAAAACTGAGAAAGAAATTGATTTATGCTCTAGAAGTCCCAAACAGCCCCAGGTATTTCCAGAGATGGAGTCAGGGTAGGGCACAAACAGGAGAGTTGCTGGGAAGTCTGTATAAGAAGAACCTATAATACGAGATCCAGTCCTTTTTGCCACACAACTATACTATTATCCCTCTCCCAGGTACAAAAAGATTGGATTTGGAAAGATGAAACTGTGTCTCTGTAGCAGGGACACCAGATCCCTTAAGGGAAATGGACCTAAACTCAACAGAGAGAAATTAAGTGAACATTGGGTGACTATATATTACAAGCTAGCCCTCTTCTTTCACTGAACTCCCAGAAATCTAGCAGTCAGATACAGAGACTGGAGCTAGTGTTTCCAGAAGAAAATTAGTAGCCTATGAGCATGTAATACCTATAAATACATTGAGATTAAAACTCAATCATCAAATCCCTAATTGTCATAATCGAAGCCTGCAATTGACAAGTTCTGTCCAACCACTTAGAGTTTATTAACTTTGAAAAAAAAGTTTTATTTTTTAATGCTTCACTTTTAATTATTAGCAGACAATATTGGGTGACCTATCATTTGAGGAACATGAAAACTAGAAAAACTAGAAACCAAAACAAACAACATTTAAAAGATAATTTGGAGGAGGTAGAGGAGGAAACTTAAGAAAAAAACTCAAAAAAGTAACAAAATATACTGTTATGAAAAGAACATATAAAGAATGAAGATTATCAACTTGCAGAAAGAGAAAACAAAAACAAATAAAACAAAAAAGAAGTCAGGTGATATGCAAGTGATCATAAATGAAAATAGCTTCTGCTTTGTATAATATAATAGCAACAATGAATTTTAAAAACAGTGAAGCAATGCCTTAAAAACTCTGAAGATAAATCCCAATAAAATTCATACCCAGCTCACTTAGTAAATAATACTGATATTTCAGAATTCAAAATATCAAATATACTTCATCCCTGTACCTTTTGTTATCAAATTTTTGGAAGATATTCTCTGTTACAATGAAGGAGTAGAACAATACAGGAGAAAATGTGATATTCAGGCAAGAAGTGATTTGGCTCAAAATAAAGAGAAAATTTCTAGGAAGATGGTGAAAGTGTCCCAGGATGAAAGCTGTTCATAGGTTTGGAAAGAAATCATTCAGATTGGAAGCAGTCAGAAGTTTCTAGTAGAAGATTCTTTAAAAAGATCGACTTGGTAAAATACCTGATGTATTTAAATATATTGAGAGAAAATGAGAATAATTTGAGGAGATTTTGATATTGAATTAGTGGTAAGTACATAGAAACATAAACAAAGACCAAAATAGTTGTAAACCCTAGGGAAGATTTTTTAAGTAGTGGAGAGATTACAAGGGTCACTTAGAACAGCACTTAATACTCTAGTCAAAATACGCCATAAAGATATGAGGAAAATAGATGAGTAGAAGTAAGAATTGGTGGCGGGGGGCGGGGGGCGGTACAGAAAGCTGAATTCTCACCTTCCATAGAGAAAGTCAAGAGAAAATGCCTAACATAGAAAACTCAGGAAGTTACAATGTAAGTATGGTTTGTAGTGACATGGAGATTTACACCAAAAGAATAACGAAATGTTTTGAAAGTTGTTGCCAATGGGGAATAAGTTTGGAAGCAGGTGGAGAGAGAGGCAGGAAATTGCAGTGTTTGATTATATAACTTATACACACATACACACACACACACACACACACACACACACACAGAGTTGAATCTTGAACAACATGGGTTTGAAATGCATGGATCCACTTATATTCAAATTTTCTTCTATCTCTTTCACCCCTGAGATAGTAAGACCAGCCTCTCCTCTTCCTCCTCCTTCTCAGCCTACTCAACCTGAAGACAAGAAAGAGATGAAGACCTTTGTGATGATTCACTTCTATTTAATAAATAGTAAATATATTTTCTCCTTTTTTGATTATTTAAATAACATTTTTCCTTCTATAGCTTATTTTATTATAAGAATACAATATATTATATATAACATACAAAATACATGTTAATCAACTATGCTATTAACAAGGCTTCTGGTCAATAGCAGGCTATTAGTTAAGTTTTTAGAGAGTCAAAAGTTATACACAGATTTTCCACTCACAGGAGGTCAGTGCCCCAACCCTTGCATTGGTCAAGGGTCAACTATATGTGTATATATATTATATATATATATATGTGTGTGTATGTATATGAATATGCTTATACAGTTTGAGTATCTCTTATCCGAAATACTTGGGACCAGAAGTGTTTGGATTTCAATGATTTTTGAAATTTGAAAAATTTGCACATACATAATATGGTATCTTGGGAATGAGACCGAAGTCTAAACACAGAATTCATTATTTTTTAAATATTTCTTGCAACTCAAGAGACATAGATTTAGGTTGCCCTGAATATACATTTCCAAAATTTATCTATGTTTCATATCCACTTTATACATATAATCTGAAGTTAGTTTCATGTAATATTTTTAATAATTTTATGCATGAAATAAAGTTTTGACTGTGGTTTGTCTACAACTCGTCAGATAAGGTCGGGTGTTAAATTGTTCACTTGTTATATCATGTTTGTGCTCAAAAGATTTGGGATTTGGGGGTATTTCAGATTTCAGATTTCCAGAATAGAGATGTTCAAGCTGTATATAAACATACATATTTATCTATGCATATGTGTGTGCATATATACACACATAAATCTTTATTTGTATATAGATATGTATCTATGTGTGTATATGCATATATATATATATATATATAGTGTATACAAACACAAAACAGAGATAAGCATTTTTTTTAAATTGTTTACTCATGAATGGTGAGAATCTAGACCAGAACCCAGCACAAAGTAGGAACTTAAAAAATATTGATGGGACGATAACAATAGCAATTAGCAAAACAAAGTTACCCTCATAGAGATAACCACAAAAATAACAAAAAATATTTAAAATTTTAAAGTCACCTGAAAATAACAAAGATCTCTCTCAGGTCAAAAATAGAGCAGGAATAAAACATTAATCAAAACATAACTGAATACTTAAATTTTATGTATATATTTCTATAATATATACCCTAACCATATGTCTTCTACCTATACCTGAGCTGTCTTGATTCTTTTAATAATTTGGTAGTTTTCTTCTTTAGTTTCAAAAATGTCAGTGTCTGTCACAGAAATTGAAACTATAAAAATGATATTTCTCAAGGGTAGTGGAAGGTAAAGAAGAGGCAGAACATTGAAAAGTAGAATAAATGTTCTCTGTGGCTAATTCTCCGTGCCATTCTTTAGTACAGGGAGTAGTCCATCTAGTGAAAATGGAGTTTAAAACTGTGAGGGTTTGGATTTTCCACTACGCTTACCAGGGATAGCAAGATTTTAAAAAAATCGAAATCTCTGAATTTCTTAAGAACTTAACATCAAATATTTTAATACCATGGGATAGTAGCTCATTTTCACAAAATATCAAATGATGTGGGAACAAAGAATTAAATGTACCTATAGGGGCATAATGCTGGCATTTAACAATGTATTTCTTAGCTATGACTTATTACTTCTTGGCTATTACTTATTAGAAAAAAAAAACCTGTACTAAAATTAACATGAATCTTTAAATACATAAACACAAAAGATACATTTTTCAAAATTGCCAGGGAACGTGTTTTCTGGTGTTATTTACTAACTTTACAATTTCAGTAATAATGTTATTCATGGTTTTTGCTTTTATTTTTTCATCCCCATGTGATTACTTTTCTCACAAGTGGTAGAGACCAAGGAGAGCAAAGAGGCATGAAATTGAAAACAAAGTTAATTTAAGACCTCGTTCCTTTTCTGTCTCATCTTAGATACTCCTTTTCTACTCCCCTAAAAATGATAACTCCACATGAACATAGTTTCTCAACTAATCAGTGTAGTTTTCTGAAAAAAAAAAAAAAAAGTTTCAGGCACAGTTTAATTGATGTTTGGTTTCAGAATGTACGATTATTATTTGAATATGTGGTAAAAATATCTTCACTGGGGGAGAAAATACATGAATTATGTAATATTGGTTATTGTAATAAGAAATATATTCATCATCTCACTTCTTTGAGATCTAATTTCTATACTAAAAGTTAGAGTGCTGAACTACCAAATGATCTGTAAAGACCTTTCTAGCTCTAAACTTTTTGAGTCCGTATAGTTCAAGTTCAGTGACTAACTGAATAATGAATTGACTTTTTTTTTGGATTTATGAGTTGATCTTCACAAATCCTACCCTTCCATAAAAAAATCTGTTGATGCTTTAGGAGGTATTATAGGTTAAGGGAAGCCCTTTCCAAACTATCTCCTTCACAAACTCTGTGGTGATAAATGACATTATCTAAGGTTAAATCCTTGGTGTACAGCATTCATCCCTTCTATGCTATTTTCAAATGCAAATAGCTGAGCCAGTCAATGTCCTGTATCCCTAGAACTCTGTTAAGATTGAAAAGATTAGATCACCCTCTTCACCAGAAAGAAGGACAGGAAAAACACAGGATAGAAAGATTTGGGTGGAGATGGGTAAAGGAGACAAAAAGGGTGGCTTCACTGATAGGTCTATTATATTTTCCATTTTTTCTGAAGCTATCTGTACTGGTAATAAAAATATTCCTGGTTTCCAATTATATTCTATTTGCAAAACTCCTAAAACATGCTTTTAAACAATAGTTCAGCTACATGAACTCAGCATATTGAATAAGGAGGGCAGACCTGGCATTGACTAAAGATTTTGCCTGCATACCACCAAGCATCTGTTTCCACATGTTCAAAGGTTTGCTAGTCATGGAGAAATAAAAACATCAGCAACAGCACAACACAATTTACTAGTACATTACAATATGTAAAGTGCTATCCTCTGTATATTCTCTCTCATTCCAGCCTCACAAAAATTCTATGAAGTAGGTACATTACCTTTTTTTAAAAAAAAAAAAAAAGAGAGAGAGAAAGAAGGCAACTGGGGCTTAGAAAAAATAAAGTAACTTGCCCGAGGGGTAAAGTCAAAATTTGAAACAAAATGAAACACAAGAGCATATCCATTGTTACTTATCTCAAAGGACAGGAATGTCATGCTAAAACTACAGAGAGAATAAAGGAAAATATGGGATGAGAAACTAAATGAATGGCAGGAAGTGGGGAAAAGAGGTGGCAGACACTCTAGTAGTAGGGAGAGCCGAGAGACAGGAAAGCAATATGTAGAAAAGATGAGGGTGCCAGTCACCATGACATGCTGACTATTCTGGTTCTCAATTTTTCTCTATGCTTAGTTTTAAACTATGTAAATAAACTTTAAACCACATGCTGCCTGTGCATGATTAGTTCAATTTCAGAGGAATACATTCCTGGCTCTGCAGTGTGATTCTCATGACACCAGGAAGCCCTGTGTGAACCTTATCTGGACTCCTTGAAAGCCATCCCTCAAATGGATTCACTCTCTTTCCCCAACTATGGACAACTGTGCAAAATTACATCACTAGATCTTCAGCTTCGCATGTTGGTGCCTAAAAAAAAGTCAGATCCTCTAGTAAAGGGAAGTTGGTTTTCAATTTTTCTCTTGATTCATAACATGATATGATGAAGATTCTGAGACCAGAACCTTATTAAAGGGAGAAATGTATTGCATACGAGAAACAGGCAAAATGGTGGTTTCACAGTGCACAGCTGGGAAACACAAGAAAGGTCCTTGGTCCTGCACATACATAAATAGAAATTAAGCATTGGCCAATTCTTACTTTTTCAATTAAAATTTATTTTCTAATCTAAAGACTTCAACAATGCAAATGTAAACAGTTTCTTCTATTGTAAAGATTTCCATGTCAGTCACATACAAATACTAGTTGTGTTTATGCAAAACAGTTTAACTGAAACATGGATCCTCAACAAATCTGCAAGTATAAATATATAAAAAAGTAGAAGAAAACTTCTTTTACATAGACCTCAATTAAATTACAATATTAAGCAGGCTGCAGCAAGAGTCCATTAAAGATTTAGTTACCTTCTGTAGTGAACATTAAGAAGCTATTACTCAAGCTCTATTTAAACTGTTAAAAGGAATTAAAATGTATAAGAAAGACCATTACATATCATGAGCTAATATTCTAACGTAAGCTTAGCAGCTGATAGATTGTTTAAGCCTCTCCAAGGTTTTAGTTTCATACTCAATAATTCAGGGATGGGAGCAGGGTTATGTTGATTCATAATTTGCTCCCTTCCATCTCTCAGTGGAATGATGTTGTGATGGAGAATCAGCCTTCATTTCCCATTCTATATCTAAAGCTGTGCTCTCCAAGTTAAACTCAGGAATTATTAGCAAGAAAGTGATGTTGTGTTCCCCCAGGGCCACAGTTCACTAACTGTTCTCTGATTCCCAGTTCAGTACTGTTTACACTATGCCATGTAGCCTCTCTCTGCTTCAAAACTATTTCCAAGGATAGAGAAGTTAATTTTCTTATGTAAGTTTAGAAAATTTGTCCCCTCCTTCCTGAAAACAAATGAATTTTAGGAGTGTGGCATTCTTTTCTTTTTGAAGACTTGCTTTAACAACTTTCTGATATCTGCTTTTATCATCTTGAATATTCCTTCTGTTTGGCAGAAGAAAAATGCTGTTTCTTCCGTGTTAATGTATTCTCATCTTTTTTTAAAATTAAAAACTCATCAAGGAACAGTGAGGAGAAGAACAAAAGGGAACAAAATTACTAGAACTGTTAAATAAACTCTAAAATCAAAGTGTATAAAATAAATATGGGGAATATTACTTAGGGAAAAAAATGTTCCTAGATGTGTCTTCTGTGTTTTTACTCATAAGAATTTCTCTCACATTCTCAACCAGTCAAAAATCATTTATTAAATATAATCTTTTATGTGATCAGCATTTTTCTACTCGGAGGGGAACTAATAATATGAACCTTAGGGACTTTAATGTATGAAAAGTATAGACTTTAAATGTTTTTCCACTATATAAAGGCTTCTGTCCTTAGGGAACTTTAAGTCTCATTCAATAGATAAAGCACAAAAAGCAAATAAATATAGTTACATTTTAATAGTAAGGAAAAACAAATTGGATATAATGGAGATCTTATTGCCCAACAACATTCTCAATTTATTTTATTAAACAGCATCTTGAATTCCCCTTGGAAAATGTCTCCACACCCAGTCATATGAAGTCAGCCTCACCCTCAGGTCAAGGACTAGGTTAGGACAGCTAAGCCCAAGCAGCGTCTTCCATCATTCTAATGACATCTTTGGCTTTCAGAGTGTGGATCATGAGATACTGTAAATTTTTAAGAGAGCCATGGCGATACTCACATCTGGTGATACTCATTGTTATACATCTATAGTACACTACAAACAACATTGGATTGTGTGATGTTCCAAATGATATCATATGTTTATGAAGCTGGTTTTTCAGTTATTATTATGATAAAAACAAGTGCTGCATGAAAAAATTAATATGGGACAAGAAATAAGAGTGGAAGTGTCTAATCTGATTCTAACATTTGAGAAATTTTGCCGTAGCCCACACATCCCATTACTAAGTAATTATGTTTATTTAAAAATAAAAGTGCTTTTAAAAATATATATGTGTATTATATATTCAAGCAGCTACTATGTTGTTAGGGTATGGATACTTATCAAGTTGTTTGGACCTAATTACTTAATAAACAGAACTGTTGTGTATTTATTTTGACGTAGGATATCATGAAAAAGACTTTTGAGACACCAGATTGCTGTGAACAGAGAAGGTTTAGGATTCCAGGGACTGCAGCAATTGATTCAGTATTGGGCACAGGATGCAAATCCAGGCAATGAGAGGACTAGGGCTTCTATTCAACTGTTGTAGAGAGAAGACCTTTCTCCTCTGGCAGCAATTTTGACATCATGAGGTGGTGTCTGAATCTGCACAGGTCTACAGTGTAGATTAACCTTCAATGGATAGAGAGGAAGAAAGAGAGAAAAATTAGGTCTTGATCACATTTGAGCAACAAACAAGACATATCTGAATTTAGTTTTGTTTCTGGACTTTTAAGCCATATCAGCCAATCGATTTTCTTCAATGGCCTAGCCAGTTTGAGAGGGTTTCCTGTCACTTGTAATTAAAATAAAGTGTTACACTAAAAGAAAAAAGTCCAAAAATCCTTTTTGATTTTTTTTTGTTTTTTACTTAATATAAAAATTCACATATAGAGAAATTATTTTTTAAAGCAAGATGATGAAGGACAATGGAGATGGCCCTGGATATTCACTTTCCTCCCCAGTTTGGCAGTCTGGCAAAGGGTGAGACTGAATGAGTCTGTGGGACAAAGCCATTGGCTAATGTTCACATCCCTGACATACAAGATGTTCCCAGGGCATTTGTACACACTCCCTACCATGGTTCCTGTGTCCCCAGATCATTTGAAATAAGTCTTGTTACTTAGAGAAGCTAAGTGTTACTTAACCACTCTTAAGTTAATGTATAGATATTTTGTAAGGTAACATGATAAATTTTGTTGTTTCCCTCAGAGTACTTTCACTTGTAAGCCCAGCACACTGGCCAAGGCAGCTTCTACCCTTCTACACCTTTGGCCATGAGACATACAGAACATCTACACCTGGTTGGCCCAGGCTGAGGAATAATGAGTTTTGGCGATTGTGTTTGCTTTCTTATTTCTTGGCTTTTAAGTTTTCCTCAGTAGTATGCGTCCATGACATTTGGTTATCTAGAGGCACAAATAATATCTGGCTTAAACAGATTCAGTATGGATTAGTTGTGTGTCCAGTTGTTACTTTATACCTTATTCATAATAAATCAATGGTTGTTTTATTTTTGTATCATGAAATATAAAATGTGTTTAATTATTTAGCAAGTAATAGCTAGAATATATGTGTGTGTGCATGTATACACACACACACAAACACACACTTAAATTCACATCACATAAATGATTTTACAAGACTATGTAAGTGATTATGACTTCTTCAGAATGTTTTAAATATAGTTTAAAATGTAGTTTTTGAGATATAATATCATACCAGACAAAGAAATATTAGAAAATATTAAGTGTTAAAATGTGTGTTGCTGATGAATGCAACAGGGTTAAGAGAGTTTAGGTGATGAATAGGAGCTGTGGCAGTTATAGAAGACTTAATCTTAGAGATATTTTACAAACATGAACTGAATAATAATATCTCAACATGAGTTAGCTGTTGCAAGAGTGGCCCAGTGCACGATGTAGGTCATCACAGTCAGAACATAGACCACAAGTCAATAATTGATAGCTTTGCAGTCCACATCATAAGGGTGATAATAACAGAGTTGTTTCTGTTGATGAGAAAGTTCACCTCCAAAAGTGAAATATTCAGTCTTTTATGGGAAATTAAGCTGTTAAGGACTTGAAACGTTTGTGTACTATAAGGCTATTGAAAGGTATATTGACAAAACTGCTAAAAGCGAATTTCCTAAGATTTAAGGCTAAACTTCTATTCTGAATGTTCTTATCAAAGAAATTTTTTTTTTCTTATCATCTCAGCAGGGCTGCCATATTGCCCAACTTTATAGGAAACCTTTCACATGAAATACAGTGACATGCCGTTGCTTCTTGGCCTACCCTATTGGTTGTTTTCTTGCCTAGAATTTCCCTATGTATGGGATCTTCAGTAGTAGCGTTTTAAAGATGAGTCCTTGTTTCAAAAGGATTTCATACCTTTTGAGAATGTTGTTTTATAATTATTAGGTAACAAAATTCAATCCTAGAAAAGAATTATGGAAGGTACAGGCCAGGTGTGGTGGCTCACGCCTGTAATCCCAGCACTTTGAGAGGCTGAGGCGGGCAGATTCTAGCCAACATAGTGAAACCCTGTCTCTACTAAAAATACAAAAATTAGCCAGGCGTGGTTGCATGCACCTGTAGTCCCAGCTACGTGGGAGGCTGAGGCAGGAGAATCGCTTGAACCTGGGAGGTGGAGGTTGCACTGAGCCGAGATCGCACCACTGTACTGACTGCGTCTCAAAAAAATAAAAAGGTACAACAGCCTCAGAAGATAACTCAACTGAGTCTAGTATTAGGAAGAGTTCTAATTATCCAAGTTTTGTTAATATATAAATCTGAACCAGATGTATTGTGATTTTTCCTTAATTTGATTTTGATGTCTTTATGAGTGGCCATAAAACAAGACAAGTAGCCACTCTCTAGACCAATGTCCAGGGAGAAAGTTAGGTTAGTGTGTGTTTGCCATGTGAGGCACAATAAGAAGATAAAACTAAACAAAGAAAACAGAAGAAAGGTATTACTTACAGATCCCAGAGAGAAGAGGGGTGCCCGTGAGGGCCAATGGGAAGTCTGGAGGTGGCAGGGAACTCAACCAACAGGCAGAGAGTAGAGAAAGGATATGTGGGACTATACCTTTATTAAGGTCCAAGAACATTATCCTTTAAGCTTTCCCTCATGACTTGTGGATTCACTAGTTTAAAGAAAACACATAAAAAAGGGAGAACTTATTTACATGATTCTGTTGTTAATTATGAGTTTTACTGTGGTCAGCAGCAGTGAGCTGTGTTGGACTTTTGGTGTGTAAGATGAGGGACAAATGGGCTATATCCGAAACAACCATACAGGAATGGAAAGTTTTAACCAGATCAAAGAGGACAGGGTACAACTGGGGTTCAAACAACTTTTACATCAGGCCTAAAAATGAATGTTGGTGCAGCAACTATAATAAAAAATGTATGACGAGATGATAAAGGCAAGACCATATAAAGAGAAACAGTATTTTCCAATACTTAGTGAAGTATTGAGGCAAGTAGTCTCTGAGCAGTTATTATCTAAGAAATCAGAACTGAAATACTGTCATGTACAACTGGGGTCCCCAAAACCCAGGCAATGGACCTGTACTGATCCGTGGCCTGGAACCGGGCTGCAGGAGATGAGCAGTGGGGCAGCAGGCATGACTGCCTGAGTTCCACCTCCTATCAGATTAGCTGCAGCATTAGATTCTCATAGGAGCACGAACCCTATGGTGAACTGTGCATGTGAGGGATCTGGGTTGTGTGCTCCTTTTGAGAATCTAACGCCTGATATGAAGTGGAACAGTTTCATCCTGAAACCATACCCACCACCATCCACAGAAAAATTGTCTTCCATGAAACCAGTCACTGGTGCCAATAAGTTTGGGGACTGCTGATTTAGAGGAAATAATAAAATTTGTTCCACAAATGATATTAGGACTAAATTTAAAAGAAAAAGCTTGCGTTTAAATATATTTGGGATTCCATCTGGGGCAGAATTCACCAACTGGAGCTTCCAGCCATGTAACAGGCTGTCTAGTACAGAAGTGAAAGCCCCTTAATTCAAGGTATTCAAGCCCAGTCCGGACTGTCATCTGTCACAGACGTTTTATAATTGGTGTACTAAATTAGGAGAAAGGCTGGGGAAAAAAAGGCCATTGAGGTTCCTGATTCTGTGATGATTCTGATATTCCAATTTCCACTTGAATACTACCAAGAGTAAATTAAATAATGAATTAAAGAGTGGCATTCTTGTGCCTGATCATCTTTAAGTCATTGGTGAACCTTCCCTGTACACATTCTTTGGATCGATGCTAACAAAGATGGCACCATTTCTTCATGAGTCTCATGTATATTCCACCTCCATATAGTTGAGCATTATTTAACAAGTATTTATTGATTTAGTAAAGAGCATCCACAGTGTCTACACTGCTGCCTAGCATCTAACAAGCACTCATTTAATTTTTTGTAATGAAATAATGTGTGAAATTAAAAATAATGTTTGTTACATCCATCATGTACTAACCATAAGATCTTGAGCAAATTATGTAACATTGATAAGCCAGGCTTGGTTTCCTCAGTTTGCTTAAACTTGGGTTTTCACAGCTGAACCTAGCCATTTCTCCCTCTCCCACAAGACCAACATAATATGAGCTATTATTTTTAATAATTTATTGAGTATGGAAATGAAAACTAAGGAGCAATTATGAGAGATCCCACTGAGGAAGAAAAGACAGTAATAGACAATTGAATGGACCATTGATTTAAATCACATTTCTCAATGTGCATGAATTCACAGGAAAGTGATGGATTTACTTTCCCAGCAGTTAAAAAAGAATGTGTGGAAAAATATGCATGTGTGGAAAAATATGCACGTGTGGAAAAATATGCTTGTGTCTACTTTTTCTATTGGTAAATCTCATAGTATAAGTTAAGACAAACACTAACTTGCCCCTCAACTTCCAAACTTACTGATTTGACTTACCTGTGGAAAATACTCCTTGAAGTAAGGCAATGGTTTTCAGCACTGGCCACACAGTGGAATAGCCTGTGACATTTTAGAAACTTCTAATGCCTGAGATCCAACCCCAGAAATTCTGATTTAATTGATTGGGGATTCCAGAGGTTTAAGAGCTCCCCCAGATCATTCTAGTATACTGAAATTGCTGAGAATCGTGAAGGAAGTGATAGCACTTTTTTATTTTCCCTTAGAGTTGGGGTGTTGCTATGTTACCCAGGCTGTAGTGCAGTGGTGCAATCTTGGCTCACTGAAGCCTCGACCTCCTGGACTGAAGTAATCCTCCCACCTCAGCCTCCTGAGTAGCTGGGACTACAGGCTTGTGCCACCACACTCGGCTATTTTTTTTTTTTTTTAATTTTTGGCAGAAATAGGGCCTCGTTATGTTGCCTAGGCTGGTCTCCAACTCCTGGACTCAAGCAATCCACCCACCTCAGTGGTGCTGGGATTACAGGCATGAGCCTCTATGCCCTTCCAATAGCATTTTTTTCCCCAATCACCTGCACTTTTTAGGATATTGATTGCCTGTTAGACTAGTTAATTATAATTAGAGTATATTGCGACTGGATTCTATGGACATTTGTTTTCAAAGTGTGGTTCCCAGACCAGTTGCATCTGCTTGGAGTTTGATAGAAACATAGCTTTTTAGAGCAAATCCAGGCTTACCGAATCAGGAATACAGGACTAGGGCCCAGCAAACTGAGTTTTGCTCAGTGATTCTAATGAACTCTCACTTGTCAATCACTGACATAGGACATATGAATTTTACAGAATCCCCACAAAGCCTGTTGTCACCAGCCACATTTAATTAATGTTCTCATGTTAGTAGAGTTGACAGTACTAAAAAAATCCAAAGCAAATCAGTGGGAGATTATAAAGAAGCCTCCCTCCCAATTAAGGTAAAGAGCAGTCTTATGAGGAACAGTAAAGAATAGTTCACATTGAACACATGATGGCTCAATGTTGCTGATATAAAATAGAGATTTTTAAAGCTTACTCACTTTGGAAGGTGTTAAACTTAAAGCAGGAGATTCAATTAGTAAGTGCCCTTTGGTGACAGAGAACTAGGTGCAATCAAACAAAATAGAACAAAAGCCATGTAAGAAATATCAAAACTATGACTCTATAATGAGGACTTTTTGAGCTGTCTAAAGATGTTTAAATACAAAAAAGAGCCATTTAAATATGATTTCATACTGAACTGAGCTAAATAATACTGAGGTTAAATATTAAGAATAAAATGGGATTGAGGTATTTTCTAAAGAACTGCTAAAAATGACATTCATATAATGTCTGAAAGAAAAGAGTGACCCTAGGAGAAGGGGTGTTTTCTTTTTTTTTTTTTTCCTGACAGCACAAGATGAATATTAAAATAATTATCATGGTTAATGACGCTGAAGACCAGTTCCCAAGGGCATAAGACCTAGCACATGGAAAATAATTCTGCCATTTTCAATAGGAATAATGGGGGAATAGATGCCTGATTTGGGGAGAGATAGATCAGAGAGTTATCAGAGCTTGGGAAAGGCAGTTTAATGGAAAATTAAGAGACTGCAAGAAGGAGAAATACAATCTTTTCTTTCTTCACTATCTAGTACAGCATTGATTCTGTTCACAGACCACTTGTCTGTGAGAGACTATATTTTCATTTCTTTTACAAATATTAATCAACATTATAGGTTTCTTGGGATAAATGTACATTTGTTCCTTTTTGAATATTAAGTATATCTTAAGGATTGATAACAAGACATGTGCATTAGTTTAAGGTATCTATTAGTAACTTGAATGCTTAAGTAAGGGAAGATGGAAGAAAATAACCAGCTTCTCATGTCAATTGTTTCAAAACCATAATAAACACCCACTCAGGTCCAAGGCATCTTTTGTCAATTGCTTTATCTATGGACTGTATTGTGAGATGGCTTTACACAAAAGAAATAGATAAGTGATGGTGCTGGTTTTACCAAGCTTGAGGATCTGGATTTGCTGATAAGCCTCTTTGAGGTGATGGTATCACAGAAAAAGAAGTCCCAGGAGAAAAGTTGCCTAGGTAGAAATTGGTGGAAAGAACATTCCAGGCAGAAGATGCAGCCTGAAGACATTGGTAAAACATTTGGGAAGACATATGTGATCTGGTTTTTCCAGAATGTAGATTGCATGGGGCTGGGAATATATGCAGAGTATATTGTAGTTTCATGGGGAATGGCGGGGGAGGCTCAGAGTTAGATTTAGTCTTTCTAAATTCTAGCATCAACATATTAGCAGTCACCCAAGCAATCTGCATAACCAATGCTTCAAGTAGCCAATTCTGAAGTTCATAAAACTGAATGTCTCATTTTTCTTCTTAAAACTTCAATTTCTTATTCATATTTTTAAAAATCCAATACTGGAAGATAGAGTACTTGATTTTTTGCGCTTGTTGTCCTGTTAAAGGGCCTAGGAAAATGTTATTGAGTGAATGAGTGACTCATATCTAGAAAGTATAATAAATTTGGGGAAAGCCTCTTATGTTAAATTTCAAGGTAATATGTTTATACATTGCTATGTGCCTATTTACTTGAGATGCCATAATATACCATGTGAAGGCCACAGGAGAAATTTGGTCAAGAAATTAAATTCAATCTATCTGTGCTGGTAATAACAATAGCAGATGGGCTTGGATTTGCAGAACACAGGGACTCCACATCAGGTCCTCAAGGAAAGTAAGTGGACTGAGGCCCAACATAGCATGCCCAGGGACACATTGGGATGGCCAGCTATGCACAATCAGTCATCAAAACTTGCACTGGATTAGGACCAGCTTGCATTGGATTGGATTAGCATGCCAGAGTTTGTTGTGAGGGATTGTTACAAAGAACAGATAATACTGCTCATGGCTGAGGTGATATGCTGAGTCAGTAACTGGGCTATAACTAGTTGTGTGTGTGAAGTACAGAGTCTAACCTCTTAGGAATGAGAGCTGATAAGAATGAGTTACAAGATATGGACTCTTGTCAATCAGACTGAAGCTCAGGTTCCCAAAGAGCAGCTGAATGTCCATTTAGTAAGTAAGGCAGGTGGTTGGGGCTTTTTATACAAGGCATACATTTCCATACATAGGCAAAGATTGTGGGCACATGGTGAGCTGGGTCTATAGCAATCCCCACCTTTCAGGATATATGGAGCCTCCTAAAAATTAACCTGCCTTGGCGAGGCTTAGTGGAGGACTGAAAATTGTTAAGCTTGTGGGTTGAAGTCACTGGAATTTCTTGCTAGGCAGAAATGAAGACATTAGTGTAACTCAGGCTCTGTGAAAAAGGATCTGGTTCTTCACATTGGATAAATGGAAGAACAGATTGAGTGGCATGGTGTAAATAGCACAGAATTTCTCCCTAAAAACTCAAGAATTTCAATATGAGCGAGTCTCTTTGAAAACTGCCAAAATGATGAAGACAGAGTTTTCAATTCCATTCCTGTGCTATTCTCGTTTGAAGACAGTGCCCAGATGTCTGGCTATTTCCCATGAAAGAACAGCAGCTCTGACTTCCCATCAGAGTACACCAGAGTGCAGAGTATGCAATAGAAACCCAATTACTCTATTAATGATAACAACAACAGAAAGGCTTGACTAATTAAATGACTATTGTACACAGAGGTTTCATGTGGATTTGTAATTTATAAAATTTTGTTTTCAATTATTCAGGGGCATAATGTGGAAAAAGATGAAATTGAAAAGAAAATTGAAAATCACATTAATGGTGTGAGTACTTCAAGTGTTGATACCTGGTTCAACTTCCCCTGTGATGATTCAAACTTTCCAAATAAAAGGGAGAAAGGCATGGCAACCAACAGGTAGATGTGAGTGATTGATAGGAAAGTGTTACATCCTGTGTTCTGGGTCAGGAAGTTATTGAAAGGGCTGATTGACTCTGTTTAACAGTATCAATTTCATATCGTTTTTTTTTTTCATTTTCTTATACAATCTTGTCATTCAATTTGTGAATAGAGTTGCTAGTTCCCCAGAACAATTTCTTAATGATATCTCATCATTGTTTCTTTTTAACAGACCCAGTACCTGATGCAATTAGTTTGGCTTCAGTACCCCGATTATTTATTTTGGCTTCTCACTAGTTTATTTAGACTTATTCTTGAAATACACACCCTTTGCTGACCATTTGAAAGGGGCTTTCTAGAATTTTCTGTATTATGGCTTGAGATTCGGGTTGAGGTGTTCTGTAGCCATATTCAAAGCTTTTGCACTGCTAAAATACTTCACCTGGCACTAGTGGAAACAGGGCTGAGGACATGAGAAAGGTTCCAATGAATATACTAGGAGTTAATTCAGAGAAAGAATTGGAGAGTTCATTTCCTGGAATTTCCAAGAAAGCATGTGTGGCTTCCAAATTTAATTTGAAAGAAATTTATGTTACTGCTTATAAGAGGTTCAATAACATTGTTTGTTTACTCTTATCTAGATCGTTTTTCTTTAGTGAACTACAGAGACCAGGAAAGGTGTAGTGGGAGAATTTTCTTCTTCACTGGTAAAAATACCACAAAGAAAATCAGGCAGAGTTAAATATTGGTATATTTAACGGAAGAATAATGGTAGAGGTAAACTTTGATAATTAAGGTTAAGGGTCCTTTGATTTTGTCAAGCTTTTTCAAAGTGTCCTTTCGAATGATGAGAAGTCTAAGATAAATGCATATACACACCTACATACCCTTGAATTCCAAAAGCCAACAAAAGGAAGACTCTGCCAAATTAGATATGCTTGTCTAAAAGTTTTCAGTAAGGATGGATAATTTATTTTGCTGGCATAACACAGTAAATTCTATAATCTGTGACCAGAGGATGATCACAATTTATAAACATTAGTCTACAGTTTCCAGATTTGAGGCTTCTGCTCTATTCATTGGATAAAATGCCTCATCTTGTTGTTGGAGGTACAACAGTGAAGACAGAGGAAAAAAAAAAAAACAGGAGGCATGTGAATCCCAAATTGCTATCTGTGGGAAGTCAAAGTTTCTAAGTATCAACAGATTATTCAGTATGTGTTTTATGCTCCCCAACATTATCCTCTACCTAATCATAGGCAACAGTGAAAATATAAAAAGTTAGGAGATTTGTTCTTTGTTCTCAGGAGTTTCATAATCTTGTTGGGAGAGTTATATAAACCCAGAATAGAGAGTTGAATTGCAATGAAAAATGACACTTCCTCAGGAGGCTGAAACACTAATGTTAACCAACACGTATTTCAGTTCAGGCAGTTTGTATGTTGAGTTGTGAAGTGTAATGCATGATGCGTAGCACACAATAAAATACATTAGTAATAAATGTATAAAGGGAGAGCCTGTGAGAATTAGATCAAGTTTTAATGGACTCACAAATATGAAATTGGCACTACAATTTAAAACCAGGAACCTCAAATTATTGATTTCTGCTTTTGGATAAAGGTGGTTGTATCAAATAATATTTACCACAATGCAATATGTTTGGCTTCATCAGTCAAAGCATCTTTTTGTCTCTCTGGATCATATTACAGATGTGTGTGATATTATTGCATTTTATTGTAGCTTATTTTCACATGCTATAAAGAACTACCCGAGAGTGAGTAATTTATGATGAAAAAGGTTTAATTGACTCACAGGTCCACATGGCTGGGGAGGCCTCAGGAAACTTACAATCATGGCGGAAGGCAAGGGGGAGGCAATGACCTTCTTCACGTGGTGGCAGGAGAGAGAGAGAGTGAAGGGAGAAGTGCCACTTTTAAACCATCAGATCTCATGAGAACTCGCTCTCTATCATAAGAACAGCATAGGGGAACCAGCCCCCATGATCCAATCATCTCTCACCAGGTCCCTCCCTTAGTACATGGGGATTGCAATTTGAGATGAATTTTGGGTAGGGACACAGAGTCAAACCATATCAATTATTAATTTTTAAAAAGTAGAAAAAAGTAAAATGCTTTTCTCTTATTTTTCAACATACCAGATCCTCTCCTCTGTCATGCTTAAATATCAAACATCCAGGATAGAAGGTAGGATTAGGATTGTGGTAGTTGCAATACAGAGAGATCTAAAAAATTTTCTGGCATTCAAAATAGTATGCTTGGAAATAATATGAATAAAAGCCAGTCATATTTAAAGGAGATAAGGTGTTCTAGGTTTGTTTAGCCCCTGTTTAGCACAAGCCTACTGAAAGGGAGAAGAGGAGGTGTATTGGATAATTTGATGAAAATAGAGGACAGAGAGACTCTGGATGTATTTATTTTTAGAAACTCTAGAAGAAGATTGCTCTGCAGAATCTCTTAACAAAATGGGTGACCCCAACCCAAAATAAGAAGAGTATCAATTTGTTAATCTAGTGGAACAGCATGGTCAGAAAGAGATGGGGGTCTCTGTTATATTTCTGAGCCTTAGTCTATGCTGTCATGTGAATGTTCCATTGAGAACCAGCTTGCCTCCCATGGGGCATAGAGTGGTGGAGTAGTTGGTGATGTCATGACAGAGATGTGGATTAGAGAGTCTGAAATAAGTACCCAATGAGACTAAAAGGCAAGAAAGAAAAGGGGAAGTTGAGTCATCTGGCAGTCCCTGATTGAGTGCAAAAATACAGATTGCTGCTGCTGCTCAAATCAGTCAGGAGATGCCAGAGATGGAACTAAGGTCAAGCATATTTCAGAGAATGTCACCCAGGCAAGGGATGAAAAATGTCCTTTCCCTAACTGCCATCAGGTTAGTCAAACTCTTTCCTCATTACTCATATATTATCTGAGAGTAGCTGTAAGTGGAGGAGATAAATATGGAATATTGAGTAAACAGTTCAATGTAAACCTAAATAGTCTATTTAAGCTATTGAGTCCTAACAAGTTTTAAAGCAGATTGCCCAAATATAGTTGTTTTATTTTATTTTCTCACTATACTCAGGTGTAAATCTTATGAGAAAGATCAGGTCTGTTATAAACAAAGTAAAGAAGCTGCATCTTGTCCATACATTTGTGTACAATGTAAATTAATGTGTGATACAGAAACACACAAAAACACACACACCCATACACATGCATGCATCCTTTATAAACACAAAGCCTAATTCTCAGAGATAGATAGGTTTTAAGAAAGATTTTTTTTCCCTCATACAAAGGGTAACCTGCGCAGGTGCTTGCCATCCTGGGAATATAGGAACATGGCTGTGCAGAATGAGGTCATTTTTTCTCTTTGGATCATCTGCTTTCTTTCAGGCCCTGCCTTAACTCTAGTCTGCTGGCATAAAGAATGCATAAAAACCAGGGTTCATTACTAAGCTCTCTGCAGCCTAGTAGAGACTACATAGAAACTGATGGAAATTTTTATGTTTCTTAAAATAGGTAGCACTCCTCCTAGAGAGGGTATTCTCAGTCTATTCTCCCCATCCTCTTCCTAATTGGAGATCAAAAGAAATGGCATCATTTTTGTTCAAGTTCTAAAGGAACAGAAGAGTACTTCCAGAATGTTGAAGTAAGGATGTCTAAAAATCTGCTTCTCCATAAAAGCAATGAGAACACTGGAAAAAATTATTAAAATCAACTTTTTCAAAACTCTGAAAATTAACCAAATGCTTGCAACAATTCTATGAGTACTTATTAAAGAAAAATGTCTGAATCTCTGTAAGAACAACAAGCTTTGTGGCATTTTTAACTTGCCCCATTCCCATCTCCTTCTTCTCAGTTCCATGGTCTTAAAACAACTGTCTTAGAAACATGGTATCTGTTAAAAACTGTAGCCTAGCAGCCACCAGAGAGGGAGACAGGTTTTGAGCTCCCTAGAAACTTAATCTCTACAGCACTGCATGACTCACATGAAATTTCCCAAGAAAAGTCTCACTCACATGGTTTGTCTTTATTTGTCCTGGGTTGGAGTTGGAGCTCCTTGTGAGAAAAGACTTGTCCCCAGGATATTCATCAAAAATAATCAGTGACATTTGTTCAACTGTGCAACTGTCTGAGGTGGTAACACAAGATGGTATAAACAAGAGGCTTTCTAATTTTTTTTTTTAAATCAAGGAAATGAAATGTGTAGAGGGGCTCTGAAAATTTCTGACATATTCATAGTCACATAGCACCTGTAGTCCCAGCTACTTGGGAGGCTGAGGCATGAGAATCTCTTGAACCTGGAAGGTGGAGGTCGCAGTGAGCAGAGATGGCATGACTGCACTCCAGCCTGGGAGACAGGGCGACATCCTGTCTCAAAAAAAAAAAATTAACTTGAACTACTGTTAAATATCTCATACCATATACAAAGTCAAATAAGAGATTTAAAAATAGATCATAAATCCATATGTAGAAGGTAAAATTGTAAAATTCTTGAAAGAACACGTAGCAGCACATTTTCATAATGGATTAAGCAATGAACTCACAGATACAACACAAAAAGCACAAGCAACAAAGAAAAAAACTAGGATTTATCAAATTAAATTGGACGTACCAGATCAAAAACTCTTCAGCTTTAAAGACATTATCAAATGTATAAAAACCTGCACAATGAAAGAAAATATTGGAAAAATCACATATCTTTTAAGAGACTTTTATCCAGGCTACACAAAGAACACTTACAACTCAACAATATAGGGACAAATAGTCTAATCTAAAAATCAGCCGAGAATTTGAATAATCATTTCGCCAAGGATGATTTTTTTAAATGGTCAATATGCACAGGAAAATGTGCTTAACATTATTAGTCATTGAGGAAATATAAATCAAAACCACGAGACATCAGTTCACACCCACTAATGTCAAAAATAAACAAGGCATAGCCCAACAATAATTGACAAAGATATGGAGAAATCAGAACTCTCACACATTGCTGGTGAGATTTTAAAATGGTGTGCCCTCTGTGGAACAAAGTTCAGCAGTTCCTCAAAATATTAAACATAGAGTTACCAAATGACTTGTCAGTTCCACTCAAAAGTATACACCCAAAAGAAATAAAACCATATGTCCACCTAAAAACTTATACATGAATGTTCATACCAGTACAATTTATAATACCCCAAAAGTGAACACAACCAAAATGCCATCAATTGATGAAATAATAAACAAAATGTAATATATCCATACAGTGGAATGTTATTTAGCAATGCAAAGAAATGAAGTACTGATAAATGGTACAACATGGATGAATCTTGCAAACATTATGCTACATGAAACAATACAGACATAAAAGACCACATATTATGATTCCAGTTATATGAAAATTCCAGAATTGGGAAGTCTACAAGAACAGAAAGTAGATTCGTGGTTGCCACAGCCTCAGGGACCAGATAATGGGGAATTAGAATCAACTTCAAATGTCTATGAAGTTTCTTTTGAATGCGATAATGATGTTCTAAAATTACATAGTGTTGAGGTTTGCGCAATTTTTTAAATATAATAAAAACCACTGAGCTTTATACTTTAAGTGGGTCAATTTTATGGTATGTTAATTACATTCCAATACATCTTTTATAAAAAATTCTAATGGGGCAAGTTTCCATTCAGGGGACTCCTTTGTGGCATTAACGCTGCACTGTCTACTTCTGTGGGTTTCTCCTCTCCCGTTCTTGTGCCTAGTCATACATTTTTGTCCCTCTTCTAGTGAAGCTTCTGAAAATAGCACACTGCTATTGGGGCTCACTGGGAGAGTGCAAAGTGCCTCTACTCCTGAGAGCTCTTAGATTCCAGAGCAGAACAGGTATTCATACAGAAGTGCAGAGATGGTCCTCTTTCCATAGCTTTCATATATTATCACCTGATATTAAGAGCAACTCTGCTTGAACTCAAACTTTTAAAGTCTTTGCAAATGTTTGTTTGTTTTTTGAGACAGAGTCTCATTCTTTCGCTCTGGCTGGAGTGCAATGGCTCAATCTTGGCTCACTGCAACCTCCGCCTCCTGGGTTCAAGCAATTCTCCTGCCTCAGTCTCCTGAGTAGCTGGGATTACAGGCGCGCGCCACCATGCCCAGCTAATTTTAGTATTTTTAGTAGAGACAGGGTTTCGCCATGGTGACCAGGCTGGTCTCGAACTCCTGACCTCAGATGATGCACCCGCCTTGGCCTCCCAAAGTGCTGGGATTACAGGCATGAGCCACCGTGCACAGCCTGCAAATGTTATTAAATCACCTTTGGTCTTATCTATGTAGCCCAAGACTGATTCCCAGTACCTAGGTCTTGAGCATTACCAAATACCATGTAATTCCCTCCGTAAATCACTTTTGGCCTGCAACCTGTCCCAAATCAAATTGTCCAGTACACTCCAATTGCAGAAATAAAGATCCCCTTCATATCAATGTATGCAAAAACATCCAGGGCATAGCCACTTCATTGTACAATTCTTACTTTGTGATTTATGCAGGCCCTTTTCAGGGGCTGGCTATGATGTGTGTGGGATGTAGTTGTAAATGACACCAGCAGGATTAAGCTCTTTTACCTAAAATGTCTTGACTTGTCTTGTTCTATAATAAGGTATTTTTAGTAATTTATTTGTATAATTGTTTGTGTATCCAATTATAAGCTCTTATGCTAAGGATCTGTTAGACTAGGTCAGGAAAAACATTATACCAGGGTAATTAAAACTTTTATCTTCCAACAAATAACTCAATGCTGTTGTCCATAAATGTGTGATTTGATATAAAAATGAGCTGAAAAGAATCACATAGAGAAAAAAGAGTTAGATGAAGATTTATAGAATTTGAAGTGGGATCTTAGAGAAGTTTTAGTTCAGTATTTCTCAACTATAAAGCTACAGATATTTTAGGACACATAATGTTTTGCTGTGGAACGTGACCTTGTAGTTTGTGGGATGTTTCACAATATCCCTGGCCTCTCCTGACTAGATGCTAGTATCACAACTAACCCTAGTTGGATAATTAAAAACGTCTTGGCCGGGCCTGCTGGCTCACGCCAGTAATCCGAGCACTTTGGAAGGCCGAGGTGGGCGGGTCAGGAGATCGAGACCATCCTGGCTAACATGGTGAAACCCCGTCTCTACTAAAAATACAAAAAATTAGCCGGGCGTGGTGGCGGGTGCCTGTGGTCCCAGCTGCTCCGGAGGCTGAGGCAGGAGAACAGCGTGAACTGGGAGGCGGAGCTTTCAGTGAGCCGAGATCCCACCACTGCACTCCAGCCTGGGCGACAGAGCAAAACTCCGTCTCAAAAAAAAAAAAAAAAAAAAGAGAGAGAGAGAAAAGAAAAAGACTTCTCAAGGAATTGCCAAATATCTTCTTGGGAAAGATGGGAAAAATTCCCCTCTCCTACTATTTGAGAACCACTCTTTTAGTCTAATCCCTTCATATTCAGAAGAAAAATTGAACATGGGTGATTTTAAGGAGCTTGCTCTTGGAAGAATTGAAGGCAGAATCCAGTTAGAACAGTACTGTGACTGTTTGTCTTGTGTTCCTCTTGATATCACTATAGGGGTCATAGTTCCCCTTGGCCTTCTGAAGTTTTGCTGAAAAATCACTCCCCCTAAGGCAGATTAGTTGGAGAAAAGGCATACAAATGAATTTAATGTGTATACACAGAAGGCTTCATAGAATGAAAAAGGTTCAAGAGAAATTGTCTAGTTTTATGTGTAGGCTCAACAAAGTATAGATAGCTGTACAGAAATATGATTGGGCAAAAAGGGTGTGATCTAATGCTGCTAGATGGAGTAGGGTAACCCAGCAAGGCATGTCTGCCTAGATTGTTCTTGGCCTCTCTGAGTATGCAATTCCTTCCTTCTAGGTATGAGATAGGACTCTCTCCTGAACAAAGGTCTAATGACCTACAGTCAAACAAAGTAGATCACATACAATTTCTTTTTGGATAGTTTTTACATAGAAAGGTGAGGGAAAGTTAGAAGATTATCTTTAGGCTTTATGGATGGTTTAAGGAAAAGGGATTCTGGTCTCTATGATCCACCTTTGGAAAGAAGGATTCCAGTTTCTATGGCTAGGCACTTTCGAATGGGCCTGAGAAACAGGAGGGCAGAAGAAAGTCAAATAAAAACTTTTACTTCTGAGGCTGCTTCTGAGGGCTTCATTTTGGGGTATTTTTTGAGCCCCAACATCACTCTCAATAAAGACAGAACAGACATAGTGCCTCTTAAAAAAAATACTAAAATTTCACTAATGATTCAGCTAGCAGAGTTATCTATGTATAGTAGATGTTTATCAAATGTTTGCATATCATCATCCTTTTGTAGCATGTGATGTAATTAGTAACTCTGAGGCAAGCTAGAAAGCTATATGCTATATAAAATAGAAAAAACAGGATTCAAAATGTTTTTCTAGGTTACATTCTGTAACTATTATCTAAAATGCTGACTAGACTTTGTGAACTTTTTGAAATGAGAGGTAAGATTTATAAAAGATATATAGCTAAGTAATCTGAGGAAAACCATGAGACTACAGCTGGATGGTGACTTTTAGAAGGTATAATTCTGTGGCATTTACCCCCTTTCTACTTACAGGTTGGGTCAAGTGAATAGATGAATTTATTCCATTTTCTGTTCTCATTACAGGTTTTGTCAGGAAAAGTGAGTTATCACAGAATTTTATTGTGTGATACATTTGGTGAATTATAGCAGTGAGCAGAGATGGTTAACCTCTCTTATAATTGTATATCTTGAATGACTATTCTTCCCTTTCAAAATGCTTCTGGAATGAAAATTTACCTCTTAATCTCTTATAAATTTCACAATGGTAATGCTTAAGTAAAATCATTAGAAGGGTAGAGAGTATTTCCCTGATGAAAACTTTCTATACAATAATCTAACCTCAAAAAAGCAAGATCCCACCAGGCCTTGTTATCTCAAGAACGTAAAAACTGTGTTGAAATCTCATAAAATAACATTTGATAGAGATATGTCTTAGCTGTGCAAAATATTTTGCTGTTTTTTTAGAAATGAGAACACTTATAATATATAATTCTGATGACTGATTTCCCACCTGATTTAGAAAATTGTTGGATGTTGACTCTCCCTAAATTTTATCATAGAAATGTATTAATAAAGTAAATCCAAGTTTTTTACACCTACTCCAGTAAGGGAGAATACCACCTTTATAGCCTGTTATTAGCATCTGAAAAAGAGATCAGAGAAGAGTAGTTGTAGGATTTGGGGTCTGGGTAGTAGTTGTGTGATTTTAAGTTGGGTCCTGCAGGAAGGGCAAATAGTTGGGATTACTCAGTATTTATGTCATACTAGTATTGGATTGATGGATACAGTAAGGCCAAGGTCTTAATGTAAATTTTTATGATCAAGTTGTTAATCTAGATATAAAGCTATTTTAATTATAGTCTTATCTTCTTGGAGCAAATATTTTCTAGAACAAGTACTTTAGCTGTTTGTTTTTAATTCTCAGTATTGTTCAACGGTATGCCTGGTCTCATAGACAGAGAAATATGCAGAGAAATAAAACTATGTTTGTTTCGGTTCCAAAGGCCAAGTTAAGTTCACAGTTACTCTTAAGACCCTAAAAGAAAGGTAGGGGCTCAATTAATGACAGAGCATTCTGGGTATGGAAGGAGGCTTAAAACCTCCCCACACAAAAATGTTTCACCCTCTGCTGATTGGAAAAGTGAGGTGGAATTTTGCCTCTCACTTGCCTTCCTGGATAATCATGCAAGATCTCCCACTTGCTAGTTACTTATTATAAGCTTACTATCTTAAAGATCCTAGGCAAAGAGTTATGGAAATATAATGTGAATAATATAATAGGCCCCTGACAATCAAACTAAGGTTATATCATCTTCTTCTCTGACCTATTGATTGGAGAATTGGGAAACATATTAAGTAATAAAACTATAAAGGTACATGTACTACACCACTTTGTACTAATCTTAGTTATAGAATGTGGGGAACCAAAGTAGCGTAAGACATGGTCCTTGTCCTCAAGGAGTTTACATCATATTTATAGAGTTAGAGCTAATGTTTAAAGAATAATAATAAAGTTAAACAATGAATTACTAATTTCATGATACAGTTAAAGGATCAAACCATGTACTAAGCTACCAGTAATAAGAAATAAGAGAAGGCAGAGAAAGAATAGATTATCTCCTTTGAATCTAGTTTACACAGAACTTACAAGTTGAAAATAAGTTTTATTTGAATACAATAAATTTAATCATTTAATTGGAACATAAACCCAGAGTTTTTTTCTAAACATGCATTGCAACCTATTTTTAGGTTTGACACAGGTCAGAGATTTAGGAGAACAAATATTTGAATTGCCTTTTTGTAGAACCTAAAATAGCTGGAAAATCCATACAATTACTGAAAATTATTGAACATGTACACAGGACTTTACTAGACTGAATGAGAGATACAGATCTAAAAGGGCAAATCCTCAGATTCTGAGATATTCTGCTGTAGAGACCAAATAAAAATTATAATAATAGCTTAAAATATGAGTAAAGAAGCCAAAAATATAAATGTATATGTGAGAAATGAATCCTCCAATACTTGTAACCTGTATAATATTCTATGGGTCTTTATTTCAAGTTTCATGCTTTTAACGTGCAAAGGCTAGAAAATAAATACACATGATAAAATATTAGAAATTCTGCAAGGAATATTTTATTAATTTATTCCAAATGATGGATTCAGTTGCTATGTTTCAACGTAGTCTGAGTTTATGCCAATGACCTGGATGGGATTTTAACTTGTACATAGTCAGAATTTAAAAGTATAGCGTAGCTTGTTATTAAAATTGTGCAGTGTCAATTGTAACAACTCAACATCATCTCATTAAATACCCCAAATGACTTAGCAGATAGATCTACTTTTTGATCATTTTTATATCAATTGAAGGCATAACTAATTGTAAATATGCATACACGACAGGTGTCACAAATTTATTTCAAGTCATTACAAAATTCTGAAAAGAGGCCAGGCATGGTGGCTCATGCCTGTAATCCCAGCACTTTGGGAGGCCAAGGCTGGCGGGTCGCCTGAAGTCAGGAGTTCAAGGCCAGACTGGTTGACATGGTGAAACCCCGTCTCTACTAAAAACATAAAAATTAGCTAGGCACGGTGGTGGACATCTGTGATCTCAGCTATTTGGGAGGCCGAGGCAGGAGAATTGCTTGACCATGGGAGGCAGAGGTTGCAGTGAGCCAAGATTGCACCACTGCATTCCAGCCTGGGAGACAGAGAAAGGCTCTGTCTAAAAAAGAAAGAAAAGAAAGAAAGGAAGGAAGGAAGGAAGGGAGGGAGGGAGGAAGAGAGGGAGGGAGGGAGAGAGGGAGGGAGGGAGGGAAGAAGAAATTCTGAAAACAAAGTCTCAAAAGAGAATTAAGTTGAGTTCACTTAATTTTATGGACATGTAAATTAGAAACTATAAAGGCAGAGGTGACAAAGTTATAAAGGGCATGTGATCATAGAAGAGGACAAATCTGTTCAAAGGAGAACATCTGGAAATGGACTTCCACTTCCATTTAGTTTTGACTCTACTCCCTGTCTCTCAACAACATCTCCGAGTAACAAATAAATGGTGAAAGTGAGGAAAAAGTCCCAGAGCCTGAACACCATGAAGTAAGATTCCAATTAATTAACCCATCCTAAATCTCATATTTAGACACATCAGTTCAACAGTACAGAGCCTTATTAATATTTTGTTATGTATCCTAAGTCAATAGGACATTTATCTGTGATACCCTATATGCTAAATTCATTATTGTCTTTCTTACTACCTTCAATTTGTTTCAAAACTGGCCTTTCCTAAGTTTTAAAGCTGTAATCATAGATTTTAAAGCAACAGCAAAGAACCTGATTAATTCATCTAAATGTATTAAACTAAAAATGAGAGAGAATTATATCATAATCTGCTACCATTTTATTGTGTTAAGGCACACTTTGTATTTTAATAGCTGTCTTCAGGACTTAATGGCTTAATTTAGAGAACAGAATTTTATGGTCGAGTCTTGAGGGTGATAGTAGATGGTGACTAGCACTTTTATATCCTTGTGGTGCACTTTGAACTGGAGATCAGACTCACTACCCTGGTGTCTGGAAGCAGACAAAAATCAGGGAGGACTTTGTAGGCATCTGTGGGATCCCATGTATCCTGCAAACTGTCGCCTCTTCAGATACCTGAGAGAGCAAATATTACCCATGGGAGTTACAGTGCACTGCTGTGAGACCCTTACCTGTCTTTTATTTTATTTTATTTTTTATTTTTATGAGACAGAGTCTTGGTCTGTCACCAGGCTGGAGTGATCTCAGCTCAACACAACCCCCGCCTCCTGGGTTCAAGCAATTCCCCTGCCTCAGCCTCTGGAGTAGCTGGGACTATACGCATGTGCCACCACGCCTGGCTAATTTTTTGTATTTTAGTAGAGACGGGGTTTCACCATGTTGGCCAGGATGGTCTCGATCTCCTGACCTCGGGATCCACCTGACTCGACCTCCCAAAGTCCTGGGATTGCAGGCCTGAGCCATGCGCCCAGCCCTTTACCTACCTTTTAAGAGTTCAAGGGTTAAAAAAAATTGAAAACCATTGCCTTTCAATTTTTGCTTCTATGCCTATGACTGCTTCTAGAAATAAGATGTGATAGGCAACATTGAGCACATGTTTTGAGAATCCTCCACATTTTTCTGTGTTTGTTGCTTTTGTCTTGTTTTGCTTCCCAAACACATATCTCTAGATGTTATATTCAGTAATTGATTCTAAAACAATCAGCAAAATTAAATTATTGAATACACAACTGGCTTATTGTCAAAATTAGACAAGATTCTGTGTGAAAAGTTACATTTAAAATGATAAGCACACCACAAATGTAAAGTATCAAGTAGCTCTGCAGAGATAGAAAAGAGAAAAAGCCACCTCAAAATAGGGTTTTTGGAGTAATAGCAATTTCCTTTGGCTAGACTTTTGGCATCATCTGAATTAAAAAGTGGCACCAATTTGACAAGATTAGGTAAAGTTTGGTCATTTGCACTGCCAATTAATTCATTATAATTCATTTATTTTCTTTATTTTCTCACTCATGAGCACCTCTTATGTATACATCACTGTAAAAAGCAATGTGGAAGATATGAAAAATATATAACATCTGGTTCCCGGCCTCTGGGAATTATAGAGTAGGTTGAGAAAACAATGTATGTTATGGTGACAGAACAAAGTCATAAAGAGAATGCCTAATGTGTTGTGACAGTAATTTCAGAGATGGATGAGATCACTAGGTATAAGAACTGGGAGTTAAGGAAGCACCTTGGACAAAGTAGGACTTGCAGCCAACACTAAAGGATAGATCTGGGCCCTGAAAACCCCATTGTTAAGAAAACTTTATGTGGTTTTGCATGAAAACCAAAGAAAAATAATAAGGTAGATATTGTATCTTCTACATATTGCTCTCATGAAATATTTTTTCTTTATTTACATATCTTCAACATTTTCTATAAACATTGAATTTTGTCACTAGAAAATCAATTATAAGTGTTTTTCATTCATTCTCAATAATCTTCCCCAAGCCTTTGAAATCACTCCATCTTTCAGGAATATCTTTGCCAGTGGGTCGGCTTGATGTATAAAAGGAATTCATGCGTAAAGGCTATTAACACAGTCATCATCAAATGTGGTCTGCCACCAGATTTATGTCCAGGCCAACTTTACTCTTTACAATACAATCCATTAACCGTGCATAAACATGTTCAAGCAATTTAGATAATGTGGGTAATGGTGAAACTGAGTGATAGCCATGCCCTAGGGTAAAATGATTCAAAACTGGTGGCATTTTGCATTTTCTGTCCAGTTGTTAACTGATTGTTTTGATAGCAAATTAAACAGATAGGTAAAGAGCGGAGCATTCCAAAGAATTATCATTGCCAGATATTTTTCTTCCCTAAATGTCCTGTGTGGCCCCAGAATGGATTCATTAACCTTTTATTAATCTCGTTATGTATATTCACACACACACACACACACACACACACACACACACACGGGTGTATTTTTTTCTTAAATTAAAATTATACTTTCTAGTATATTTAAAAATTGGAGGGACATGAACTTTGGACCTTAGTGTCAGAATACTTAACATAAGAATTGTGGACTATTATTGTTTAAGGGAAACTTAGAGTTTATCTAATGTAGTCCTAATTATATAGATGAGAAAATTGAGGACCAAGAGGGTGAAATGGCTTTTCCCTTGTCAGACAGCTCTTATTGACTGAGCTGAGAGCACAGCTCCCTAGGGTTTTCCTGCCTTCCTAGGGTTTTCTAGCTCATCAAGCTGGATTGGGTTAGAAACAGTTAATTCATACATTATTGTTCTGTTTAGGTTTATATGAGGTGATGAAGAATAAATGTTCCATGATTCACTACATGATTTAGAAGGTTCTGAATAGAAGGTTTTTCACATTTTTCTGATTGTTGAAGTCCACTCTCAAACTTGAAGATAACGTGGTGCTTCAGTTGTACTAATACAGATGTTAATAATAATCAATGACTATATTGGGTGCTCACTATATGCCATGCACTGTACTGCACACTTTATTTGCGTCATGTCAGCTAATCTTCACACTTATCCTGAAAAAGACTATGAGTTGACTTTTACCCACGAGAAAACCGAGATTCCACAAAGTTGAGCCATTTACAGTACATAAGTGGCACTACTGAAATTTAAACCCAGGTCATCTGACTCTAAAATAAATTTAGATGCACTTGCAAACACAGACACTAAATCAAAAAGTATTCCTATTGGCGCACAACATGTATGACGAGATTTAGGTGGTATATAATAGAGATTGTTGTGGTCTGGATGGAGAATGTCTATTTGGCCTATAAATATTGAATTTTAGACTGGATCATATTCAAAGGCAGTATATAGAGTAGTTAGGCACTCAGGTGTGGGCCCAGATTGCCTGGGTTCACATCTCAGCTCTACACTGATGTCCTGTGGCTATGTGACTATAGACAGGTCGGCTTACTTCACTAGGTCTGTTTCCTCATCTGAAAATAGCAGGTAACTCAAAGAGTATTGGGAAGATTAAATAAGCTAACACATATAAAATCGTTTTTTAAAAGTATTCCTTTTGGTTTCTTGTGATCTAGTTTCATAAGTACAAGTGGATAGAAGGCCTAGAAATAGTGATCAATATGTTTACAGACCTATCTCAGATAAACCTTAATAATCAATGACATTTTCTTAAAATTAAACAATTTCAAGCACCAAAACATTGCTTCAATCATCAAACTATTCTAATAAATAACTCCTAAAGTTGAATAACCATTTCAGAACAGTACTTCAAAAATATTTTCACTAAAAAAAAACTTCACAATGTGCTTTCTGTAAATGACTTGCCATTTATGCTAACGAGAGAGAACTCTGTAGTCAAGCAGCAGCTTGAACCTGAGTCAGTCATTCTCTGTCTTTATAACCTGGGCTAGTTCATAGTACGTATGGTATCCATTTTCTTCTCTGTAAATTAAATTATGATAATAATAATTCCTACTTCATAACATTTTTTATGGAATAAATACATATACAATCCTGCAGAAATTTGCCACAGAATAAGTGTTGTATAAGTTGTAGCTACATTATTGTTCCATGCTAACTGCCAAGTTTCAGTTAGGACTACTGAAGCCTGTGACTACAGGAAAATAGGTATACACTGATATATCTACTCACTTAACTTGTATTGAGAAAGACCACTTAGGCTTCATAGTCTTGAACATGTTATACTGCTATAGTCCTTTTAAGTCTGTGAGCCTTGTAATAGGTTGTGTTTTGTAGGAAGGAGACTCTAAAAAGAAGTTCAGCTCTGCAGTGCAAACCCAATTACAGTCTCAGCCAAACCTATTAGGGGAAGGGTTTTGGAGCGAGAATTGCCTTTCAGCATTGTTCTGTATTGGGTCAACATGTCAACATGGCCAACATTGAAGAGTTTCTGATGAAAACCACCCTTGGAATGAGCTTGGCTAGACAGCTCCCAGAAGACAGGCAATGACCAAACGAGTTGACAACTGAACACTATCTGCCTACTACATTTCCAGCAGCTGGGTAATGTCTCTCATTATAGGGGGATCTAGGAGGCCTATCACAGTGTCTATCATAATACTTACTAAATTCATTATAAATTAGATTTATCATCTAGTAGCCAGCCTGGTAACATGTCTAGTTATTTTACCTTGATCCTGCTAACTGACTACTCAAAAAATACAGCAATTTGTTAATTCAAATTCTAATGCTCTTATCCTTCATTTAACTTATATTTTTTAAAATACATGTACATTGCATCTTCCTTCTTGAAACACTGAAAATTATACTGCAGACTATAAGTGTTATTCCCCAAAGGCCTACCTAGAACATAGCTACAAATAATTCCAACTATCTCTCCAGCAGTAAAAATATAATTTAAAAGACTTAAATCTCTTTAATAAAATATATCTGTTTTTAAAGATTAGAAATTATGGTTATATGGACTGGAGACATGAAGAATGACAGATGACGCAACCATCTTGGGGTGCATGAAGATTTATTAAATGCACTACCTACAATTTTTTTAGGGCAAAAAAGGATCTTTAAAGTGAAGGTAATTTTGCTACTTTTATTATTTTTTTTTAAATAAAATGACTTCCCTTGGAGTCTGAGTGTTGATCCAATGATAGAGAATATTGCTTACAGTAAGACAATTTAGTTCTGCAGTGTTCCTGGCATGGAGATAGCATAGTCAGGAAGAGCATTAAGTAGAGCCCCAGGACATGAATGATTATGGTTGTCAGGATATCTTTGTTTCTCTTTAGTTCTTTATTTCCTGTAGTCCAATAAGTTGCTTCTCTAAGGCAACACCTTTTTATACCACATTTTTCTTTGTTTAATACCCAAGTTAAAATGTGTATGCTTCAGTTCAGGTTTGTTCAACTGAATTTAACAAGTACTGACCATTTTCCTTAGTGAGGAACAGTCCAATATATGTTTTTTGAAGACCTTTTACCGCATGGCAAATGATAGTAATTTGTTGTCAACACTCGAATTTGGAGGAGAAAGAGGCGTATGTAACCGACATACAGCAAAGTGCAAAACATAAATGCACAACTCAATAGGTTATACCAGAGTGAAAACCCGTGAAATTATACTCCAGTTCAAGATACCAAGTGTTCTAACACTCTGGTAAAATGTTAAATAGTGTTATCAGTGGCTATTCATGACATTTTCCTAACCTCAAAAATAAAGTTTTAACATTAAAATTGAAGTATGATGTTTGCTCTGGAATTTTTATAAATACTTCTTATAAATTTGAAGCGTTCCTTTTTATCCTTTGTTAATTAAATATTTTTACATTAATGAATAATAACATTGAAGTATTTTGCATCTATTGATATAATTGTTTACTTTTTCTTCCTTCTTCTGTTCACAAAAATAATTACATTGGTTTTTTGTTGAATATTAAACCAAATTTTAATTCTCAGAATAACCTCAATTTGTGATTTAATGTTCATTTATATATTGATGGATTTGGTTTGCCAGTATTTTATTTAAGATTTTGGCACCTATGTTTGTGAGATTGGACTCTAATTTTCCACTGTGATAACTCTCTTGTTAAATTTTATTATCAAAGCTGATGCCATACCAAGCAAGAATAATTTATGTAAGTTTATGTTTTTAATAAATACATACTCAAATTCATGGTTTGAAAAGCTTGTTTTTACAAAGGTTTTTAGTTACAGATTTATTTTATAATTATAAAATTATTCTGATTTTTTTCTTTGTATGTGGCTTTTATGTATTATTTTTCTGGGAATTTATTTATTTAATGTAAATTTTGCTGAGTTATAATTAATCCTACTTGCTTATGATATTTTCAGTGTCTGATGAAGTTACTTAACACCCACTTTTTTCTTCCTGATTTTAGTTACTCTCTGCTATCTCTCTTTTTTGCTCAGTATGTCCAGGAATTAATACAACTAAATCGCTGTTTTTTAAGAGCTTCTGTTTTGCTTTGCTTTTTATTAGATTAATTCCTGCTCTTATGTATGTTATTTTCTTCCTATTACCTACTACATTTTTAGTTTGAATTTTTTGTTGTTTGGCTAATTTCTTAACATTGATAAGTAGCATACTGATTTTACAACTTTATTTCTCATATATGCATTAAAAAAGTTTTGAATTTCCCTCTAGGTTGCAACCCACATGTTTGAAGATATAATATTTCTTTCTAATTCTAAATATTTGAAAGTATTTTTTAAGTTTAATTGTGATTTCTTCTTTGATACTTTTTTATAGAAGTGTTTATTAGTCTCTGCATAGAAAAGTATTTCCTAATTACCTTTTGTATTTAATGATTTCTAGCTTAATTGCACATTTGTGAGACAATATACTCTATAATTTCTACAATATTTATTTAATATTTAATATTTATGTAATATTTCTATTATAATTTAAATTATTTGGAATGTAAGGAAATTTGCATTATGCAAATATATGACCAATATTTATAATTGTTTCACGTACTGGAAAAACATGTACATTCTACAGTTATTGGGCGCAATGTATATTAATTAGGTCAAGTTTGTCAATAGTGTTCCTCAAATCCTTATTTATACTGTCTATATAAATCTATATTTTTCCCTTAAAAAAATAAAATTATATAGTACATAAATATATAGAAAATTTATACATATATAAGAACATATAAATCTATATATTTTTTCCTCAAATCTATATATTTGGACTGTCTTCATTTGGAAACATATTTGACCTCTTCACACTGTTTGAAAAGTTTAACTACTGTCTAGTATCTGTAATCTCTTCACTTTGGCCTTTAATTTTTACTACCCCATTGAGTTTCCTCATTTGTTTTTCTCTACTCATGATCCCTGAAAAATCTCTTCCATTTTATTTTTTCCAGTTGTCTTCAATATGCCAATTACTACTAAATCTGTATTGTCATCAAGATTTTTTTTTTGCTGAATTGCAATCCCATATACTCAACTTCTTAATTTTAATATTCTAAGGCATTCAAAATTGAACGCATCATTTGCCCTCATTCTTAGATTTTTATGGCAATAATGGACAGCAATGTCCACTAATAAAACTCCCTGCCCCAAAACTTAAATATTACCCTTGATTACTTCATTGTCCACTTGTACAATTAATAATCACATATTTCTTGAATACCTGTTATGTATCTGTCACTACTTTTGATAGAGGGTGGAGGCAGAGAAATTCTAGGCAGATAGGGGCAGGTCCCCTGTAAAACCCCACCTTCAAGCCAAGGTAGCCTGAAACCTGAGGCCCAAAGTGAGAACTTCTATTCCTGTTTGCCCACCCTCTCCTGATTGGTTCTTTCTGAATAATGTCTTTTTACCAATCAATGTTGCCTTTTCCAAAACTACATACTGCCCGCCCCACCCTGCCCTGCCTATCCTGTGCCTATAAAGACCCCAGACTCAGTCAGTAGGGGAGAGAGAGGCAGCTTGTTTTCAGAGAGGCATCCTGACTTCAGCAAGACAGCATGACTTCAGGGAAGAGCCTGCTGGACTTCATGAAGGACCTGGCCAGAGTTCAGGAAAGATTACCTGCCCATCCCATCCTCTCTCCAGCTTCCTTCTACACTGAGAACCACTTCCATCACTTAATAAAATTATCTGTCTTCATCATCCTTCAAGTGTCTATGTGACCTCATTCTTCTTGGATGCTGGACAAGAGCTCTGGACCCACCAAGTTCAGGTACCCAGAAAAGGCTGTCACATTGTCCCTTTGCCCTCACCAGTGGAGGGCAGCTGCCCCATGTGACAAGGCAAGTGGCCAACTGAGCTGATACACTGCTATCCATGGATGGTGGAGCTAAGAGAGCATTATAACATGCCCCAAGGGCTTTGGGGTTGCAGGCACCCCCATCTGGGCACTGTCACACAGAGCTTGCTCTTATGTCAGTGCCCAGAGAGTCTGGCCAAGTCCCACACTCACTTGCTCACATTCTCCCTCTCACAAGGGGTTGAGCATGGTAGGCTGAGAAAACATATACCCCTGTTATGAGTCCAAAAAATGGTCTGAGAAAATCCTGCATCACTTTAATTATCAATTAGACTCTATCTCTTTTATATTTCTTAACTCCCTCTTTCCTTTTATTCCTGTAATAGGTAACATATTTTCTCTTACTCAAATGTTTTTATTTTTTGTCTTCACCAAAATAACCTTTAATTGTATTTCAGATACTTCCTTAGATATCAGTTTCTCTGGGAAAATCAATCTGTGTTCTGAGACTTCTCTTGAGCTGACAGACCCTGTTTCATCACTATCTCTCCAGTCATTGCTACAAACATCAACATTTTTCTGATATCCAAGTCTGTTATATACTTGCCAAAGTTCTATAGAAATAGGTCACAATAACTTTATAAATTGAGAACCCCCCTGAGCTTTCTTGCTTTATTCCAATGTCACTGAGGCTAATAAAATGATAAATGAACAGACTTATGCTTTGAATCCGGAGTTCTGGAGAGAGGTATAAAATCTCCTACTTCAGCTTTTACCTTTTGTGGCTCTATGTGTCTGAGTCCTGTGCACCAAGTTTCCAGACAGGTGGTCACACCCTGGAAGGGATCTTGGCCAAAGCATCAAAGAGTTTTATAAGTATGTATTTCATGATCTCTAAATTATGATCCTGAGATCAATATTTCATTGCTTTCTTTTGATATCTTAGTAGGGAAACAGGAGAAAATTATAAGAGATACCTAGAGGCAGCTGGAGATTTTTCAACGGCTGACATAGCAGGTTTTAAAACTCATGGGTTTGAACTATATACTCATTAATATATGGAATTTTTTCGAATAATGCTCCACAAGACAAGTATGGTGTCCCTACCTGGAATCACTATAGCCATTTTTCACTCTAACTATAGCACTCATCACATTCTATGTGAGGTGAGTGTTTACCTACTGCTTTGTCTGCTAGTCATGGCTATTTAATTATAAAGACTTCACATTCTTGCCCATTATATTCCCAATGCTTAGAAGAATATCTAGTGCAAGGCAGATGTTAGGTAAAAATGTTGACTTTAGTTGATTCTAACAAAAACATAATAATAGAAATATTACTGGCTTTAGAAATCAATAGGAATCTGATAAAATCACTAAACAATTTTGGGCCTCAGCTCTCTATTCTGTAGAAGAATTTTGGAAGAGATTATTTTCTAATTTTATTTCAGGTTTGACAAATTATAAGGCTAAGAGGCTCAGCTGAAGTCATCAGGACCTGCTTTACCCTATTTCTGGATCACACTTTCTCTGGGATGACTGAATTTTTTGTGTTTTGACTGCAACCCATTATATGAGGTCAGGTATGGAATTTTCCACTTGTGGCATCGTGTTGGTACATCAAAATGTTTCAAATTTTGGAGCATTTTGAATTTCAGATTTTTGGATATGGGATGCTCAATCTGTAATAAACTTTATCTTAGTTTGAGGTAGGAAGACATAAATTAGTGTCCTATTAAAGTCTTAGCTCTGCTTATGGTGGTTGATAAATATCTGAGAAGCATATTTATAAGAATTCTAGTCCCACCATCTCCTATAATGTATATTTACATTAATACACTTTCTTATACTGAGAAAAATACATTGAATATACTTATTATATTCAATAAAATGATAGTTTGGGGAAATAAAATATTTTACGTTAGTAATTTACATTTGCACCATCTATTTCTGACCAGGTAATTTATACATTTTGTTAAAAAATGACAGACATTGGATAATACGAGGCTCAAGGCTATTTTATTTCCCAGACACTTTGATAACATCCATGTATACTTTCCACCAAATGGAAATTAAGTCAAATTGTGAGTGATATATAAATGGATCAATGAATGCAAATAAAATTAACAAATGGTAATCAGACCTGCATCAACACAGAAGGTGAACCTGGCAAAGACATTAAAGGAATGTTTTCCCCTGGGGAGAAATATCATTAATAGGCAAATTAGTTGCATATCAGCCTACAGCAAATAAACATTTTTTACCTCCCTCAACTGGCTGGAAGTTGTCTGGAACAATGGGAAAATACCACAAAAGAATTTTTGTGAAAAATAATGTGATATCTTCAACTTGTGGTTAAAAGAATCCATTATGTGAATGCAGGATGCAGAATGTGCCAGACATGGGTGGCATAAGCTTTATGACAAAGCTCTTGAGTGCTGAGTGAGAAGAGAGATCAATATAAACTATAGTATAAGTCACCTGCTTCAGAGCTTGGACAATTTTGGGCTGGATTAATAAATAATAGTGAGATGATTCCCTTGTACAATCATGGAAGCATATACATATTTATAATATTAAAAGTAAACATTAACATCCACAAATAGGAAGCATGACACAACCTAAATTAATAAACTTATTTCACTGGTACAATATAGTTATTGAATGGTAGCTATGGAAGTACACAGAGAAGTTCAGTTCTTGATATAAGCTTAGGGTATGCAAATTGAAAGCAACAGTTTAAATGTCTTATTATTGACTCTAATTTCAGGTCTCCAGGATATAACAATGAAAAATTATGGGTGATATATTTTCATTGTTAGATGAAAGAAGCAAACCATCAAGAGGAGGAAATACTGTTTTCTAGAAATTGAATTTCACCTAAATTTATCATAGCTCTTTATAGAAGGAAAATTAGAAAGCAGTAACATTTTATGATTTTATAACTTTGAAACTACACATTTTCAAAAAGGAGCCTCAAATTTTATTTAGTTTAACCTTTATGGATGAAAAGCTGCTATTATGCAAACTGAAGGCTGTTTTTCTACCAGTTTGTGGTATACAAGAGATTGGAGAGAAAGGAAAATATCTGTTAGCTTATCTGATATACCTATTACAATGATCATGCCTGTTTGCGTTTTTTAAGATGAGGTTTTCATAAAAGCATTTAATGAAACATCATTGACATCATTCATTCTTTCTCATTTTCTTTCTTTCCCTAATCCAGCACATCTTCTGTGTTCCTTCTACTTAGTATCCTTAGGTACCAATTTCTGCCTGCTCGCTAGCTTATAGGTTAGCATTCAGGTCTTGCCAAACAGGAATTTTGTGCAAATTCCACTGTGGAAATGCCAGTCCTAACTTCGGAAGGTAGTCTAGTGGTAGAGGCATGGGATTTACCATATGACAGACGCGGTTTTGAGTCCTTTGTTTTAGGATTCAAGCAAATTGCTGAATGTCTTTAAGCCATAGATACCCCATTTAGGAATGATATCTACTTCAGAATATTGTGAAATTAAAAGCAGCTGGGCGCGGTGGCTCACGCCTATAACCCCAGCACTTTGGGAGGCCAAGGCGGGTGGATCACCTGAGGTTGAAAGTTCGAGACCAGCCTGACCAACACGGAGAAACTCTGTCTCTATTAAAAATACAAAATTAGCCAGGCATGGTGTCACATGACTGTAATCCCAGCTACTCGGGAGGCTGAGGCAAGAGAATCGCTTGAGCCTGGGAGGCAGAGGATGCAGTGAGCCGAGACTGAGCATTGCACTCCAGCTTGGGCATCAAGAGCAAAACTCCGTCTTTGAAAAAATAAAAAAGTTAAAAGCAATGTGTGTCAAACTCTTACGGCAGTTCTTGGCATACTCTAACTATTGCCATACAGTAAGTTCTTGGCATACAGTAAGTATTGCCATATAGTAAGTTCTTGGCATATAGTAAATATGGCATTTGTTGCCAGAAATAGCAAATGAAAACACTAGATGCCCAGTTGGATTTAAATTTTAGATAAACAGTAAATAATTTTCTAATATTGTATGGCCTGTGGGAATAAATGAAAGAAATAAATGAGAATAAGCAAAGGCTATTTATTCATAGCAAGAGAGTCAGCTACCATCACTTGTATTTTGGCAGAGACTGAAAGGCAGGCAGAGAAGTGAGAAAGCTTTATAGTGGAAACAAGCAAAAGATTCAGTTCTGCCCTGATTGGAGTTTTTTGCAATACAGAAGCTTTAAGGTGGGCTAACCTGAATGGGACATCCTATGTGATAGATTAAGAGTGTACATTCAACCTTTTTTGGTTGACCCTTAGTTGAAAACAGACACAAAAATTAGGGAAACTTTCAGTCGTTAATCCAAACCTAACCATTTTGATTTTTAAAGAAGTTATTGTTTGGCTTCCTGGATTGTTTCTGTAGATAGCAATCTGGCTTCCTACAAGTCTGACATAGAGTGGAATGGCTTCCTGGACTGGTTATTATAGATATGAAGTTGGTTTCCTGGGGAAGTTGTTGAAGGTTGTGGGTCAGCATTTTATTTTTAGGTATGGTCTGGCCACTGTCCATTCGTATGTTCATTCTCTCAGTCTTAAATATTGCATGGTGTTCTGAATTTTATCTGGCCACAGTAATATTAAGTACTTGCTAAATGGTAGATGCTACATAATTGATGTTACAGTGATAATGACATGATGTATTAGCCTCCTAGGAGCACTTAAATTTTATAAGAAGACCATGAAGACAGGACTTTGTTACATTATAGTATCACATTATACTTTCATATGATTCATACTATGGAATTTTCTTGAGGAAATCATTTAAGTCAATCAAGCCCTCAAGTCACACTGTGATATTAACCATCTGCACATAAAGTCAACCCAGGCCAAGATATAAGCTTTTTCAGTTGAGGGAAATAGTTTAGATTAGTGAGAAAACACATGGCTCTCAAGAAATTCCCATACCTCTCATTTCAGCAAAGTCCAGTATTCTCATTGTATTTTTTTTCTTTCTTCACTTTCTCTAGCTCTTCTAATGTTTATTGATTCTGCTTCTTTTATCACTTCCCATTGATTGGTGGGTGTCTATAGTTATGCATTAGGGGTATTGATCCTAAAAAATGGCCCTCTAATGGAGGTCAGCTGAAGTCAGACATGGAGCTTCTCCCTCTCTTGATTTTTGTTAATTTGTTTTATGGGGATTTTGCTCTTCTCATTTTCCAGTGTGCAAAGGATTGGTTTAGGATGAGGGAAGATTTTTAATATGTTTACTAACTTTCTGTCATGTTAGCATTTCTCTTGTCATTATGGGCTGGGTGTTGTGATGCCTATTGCCAGGACCCATCTGGCTTGAACGTCTTGTTGTCGGAAGTTGCTCTGCAAGGTGAGGCTTGCACTAGCTCTGGCAAGCTCCTTCTTCTCAAGTGAGAGAAAATTGTGCATGCCAGTTTCAATACCATATGTAGCTGTTTCTAATGCTTGTTCTTTTTGGTTGTAAATAACAGCTGAAGCAAACTTTCTAGTGCCTAATCCGGACTCATGGGCTTTAGGGTATCAAAGTAAACCCACAGATTTTGGTTTTCAAATTCTGAGGCGTGTAATCAAGAAGACATTGCAAGGCTAAAAAGGCAACATGTCTATAGGAAAAACAAAGCAATATGAATAAAATGGGCTTTGGACTGAGACAAAGCTGTTTTGATGCTTTGTACTAATGCTGCCTCTTAGTAGCTATGTGACCAGGGACGAGTCATTTGACCTCCTTGAATTTCAGTTTTCTCACTATAAATTTAAGCCTCATGCCCCTTAATTGCCATGGAAGATTAGAGGTAGTATTACATGACATACAGCCAGAGATCTTGGCATAAGCATACACTAATAATAATAGTAATTTTTATTGTTATAATTATTATTAGAAAATGAAGAAGAACTTCTAGAAGTTATTTTAAAAATCCATCAGGATTCCAGTCCATCATGTTTTTTAACCAAAAATGATATGCAGAATAAAGTTTTGGGGAAGTATTTACAAAAAGACTGAAAAAGTAGAAGGGCTATTTCTTGAAACCTTACTCTTTCTTGCGGAGAAGAACTTCACATAAATCCTATGCAGTTATATAAAGAAAAAAAAACATATGCACAAACTCTGCCTTTGGTGAGCTTATTTAATCTGCTTGGAGAAATGAAAAAGCAATAAAATATATAAAGCAATTAAAGAGTAGTGCAGTGGAATGTGTAATGAAGAATCCGATTTTGTAGTGGGATCTGGGAATTTCAGCACTTTAGAGATGGGGTTAATCAGTGTTGAGCTGGTCAGGTTTTTATATTGCCATGACATCTTTTTCTCCCCAAAAAGTCACTCAGGTATTTTCCTTCCTGGAAAATGTTAATTGATATGCTTCGTTTATTTTTCTACTTCATGTTTTACTGCTATAGTCCTATATTTACCTAATTTCATTGGTACTGTGTAGACAGAAACCGAGAGTGTTCTGCTTCCAAAATGCCTGGTTTAATATCAATTAAAAGATTTTTTTAATTACATGTAAATAAAAACAAAGCAACAAAAATAAACAACACCACCTGGGGAAATTGGCTTAATGGCTCAAACTGGGACTACAGAAAGACCAGGTTTTACCCCAAATCCGAATACTTTCTTTGCTCATCTTCCTGTCATGTAGTTTTGCTTCTCTTATCTAAAGAACTGTGTTATTGGAGAAAGCTTTGGCTAAATTCTTTTGCAAGTCTCCTAACAGCTTTGAATAGCATTTTTGCTCAAAGTAGTTCCCTAAACAGGTGCCAGCCCATAAACTGCATATGATCAGCATGAAAAAAGTATAGAATGTGAAAGTACATTTTTTTTTTTAAAAAAGAGGCCAGGTGTGGTGGCTCATGCCTGTAATCCCAGCACTTTGGGAGGCCAAGTCGGGCGGATCATGAGGTCAGGAGATCGAGACCATCCTGGCTAACAAGATGAAACCTCATCTCTACTAAAAATACCAAAAGTTATCCAGGCTTGGTGGCAGGCACCTGTAGTCCCAGCTACTCTGGATGCTGAGGCAGAAGAATGGCGTGAGCCCGGGAGCTGGAGTTTGCAGTGAGCTGAGATCACGCCACTGCACTCCAGCCTGGGAGATAAAGCGAGACTCCGTCTCAAAAAAAAAAAAAAAAAAAAAAAAAAAAAAAAGAAAAAGAAAAAAAAAGAAATTTTTATAGCACTTTAACATTACTATGATATTCAAGGGCATAATCAGTTGAATTGTTTTATTAAAGAGCGCTTGATGTGATGTGGGTGTGCATTAGGACTGTGTATCCAGGTATGACAGTTGGAAGAAGAAAACGACAGCTGTCTCCATAGATAGTTTGAAAAATTATGCATTAGTGAACCCAGTGTGTCTGTCTGATGTTGGTAACGACAACTAGAGTCCTTCCCATCTTATCAATCAGGAGCAGTATTCTCGAGAGTCTTTGTATTGGGGAAAGGTTTGATTAAATTCTTATGCAAATCAGAAAGCATCTTAAAAACTGTGATGTACTTAACTCATAGCTCTTTTCCTTCTGAAGGGAGATGGGAAACAGGATGATATATCATTTCTGAATATTTTGGTAATCTCGAAGTAAAGTGAACATTACTTTACTCAGCAGAGGCTAAAATAGCTGGTGGCATTTTTCTTCACTATTACTGTTCATATTGTTTCTATGGGGCTTAACGTTCCTTTTCTTTGTTTTTATTAACCTACAATGAGGAAAACTTTTGTTAGTATCCCCAAACGAAGCTTCTCCTCTGTCATTTTGAGATAAAGCTCTGAAGAAGTAGAATTTTGTTGCTTTGCCTGTTGACCTCCTTTTTTTCTGCTGTTTTCTTGCCTTCTGGTCTTCAATGTCCAAGGCTTTCATGCTGCTTTCTAGTATGTTGACTATTCCACACACATGGGCTCCTAAGTGGAGGCAGATTGGAGGACTTCAGCTTTACTCTCCCCATCCCACTCTGTGTCATTTCCTTCAGCCTAGCTCAGCCGCTGATGATACTATATCTAAAATAGATACGGAATCTATTGTAGATCCTTACTTCCAGGTTAAACCCACTGTGACCTCCAAGACAAGAAAGGAAGGAGACTTACTTGAGAGAAAAAAAAGAAAGTCAAGTATGAGATGAAAGATTTCTTATTTAATATTGGTTGGTTTGGTTTGATTAAAGTTTGTGTCACATTTGCCCTTATGGATTATTACTGTCCAAATTTTCTTTCTTCCAACAACTTTGAAATGGGAGTAAGAAGTGTGTAAGAAATAAGTTCTTAAATAAGAAATAAGATTCACACCTAGAAAGGAAACTTAAAGATTACCTCATTTCCCACTTTCCAAAGTAGAAAACTGAAGCCCAAAGAAGTGAAATGATTTGGATACTTGACTACAAATAAATGCATTGTTATTGATAATGAGATAAACAATTTTATATTTGGCAAATATCAATTTACTATTTTTATTTAAATGACACCATATTGAGCAAACAACAGTCTGACTTTATAACTTTTATTTTATTTAATAAAATTAAATGTATAACTCTTTAAAGAGTTTAATTTATACCTATTTATTTATAACTCTTATTTAATCTCCAGTTATTCTGAAAGTATCTGGTGCCCATGGTATCTAAAACTGATTCCTGCCTTCACATGCATTAATTTCTTTACATTGAAAACCTTATCTTTAAAGATCATCATTCTGAGGTACAATTCCAACTTTATTTGTGCTTCTCTGCACATCATTTGTACATATCCTGCTATAATATCTATTAAATATTGAGTCAATAAATCTTTTAATAAACAAGTAGCAGGAGAAGTTTTTGAAAGATAATATTATATAAATAGAATGGACTAATGTAAGCTTTGGAGAAATCTTCTTACAAGGGCATTGAGTGAGGCCAATATAGAACATAGGTTTCCAGAAATATTTTTTACAATAAATTTTATTGTGTATATTTAAGGTATAGAACATGATGTTATAAGTTGTGTGTGTGTGTGAGTGTGTGTGTGTAAATGATTACTGTAGTAGAACAAATTAATATATATGTTGTCTTACATAGCTACACATTTTTTCCTCCTGGGTCAAGAGCAGCCATAATCTACACATTTAGCAAAAATCCTGAATACAATATACTATTATTAACTATAGTCCTCATATTGTTCAATACATGTTTTGACTTGTCTGAAACATTTTGACCTGAAATCTTACTCTAGTTAGAAATAGTTAAAAGTGAAACATTGTAACTGGAAGCTTCACAGATTATAACTGTATGATTCTTCAAGTGGAAACATTTGACTCCTTATGTCAAAGGGTAATGTGAGGACAGTTTGAGGACTCCTGCTTGACCAGCTCATTCAGCAAAATTAAATGAATTTTGTTCTGTGCTTGCATTGTTTAACAATCATGTCTGTTATGAGACTAATTTATGTCAAGCATGCCAAAAACATCCTAAAGGATGCAATGAATTCACTCTGGCATGAACTACTTTTAGCTTAATTTGTAGGTACATATTTAAGTGTGCAAAATATTAAATGTATTTATTGGACTGTGATATTGTTTGAAAAAATAGTATAGTGCCTCACTGTATACTTGCATGTTTAAATATTTTTCAACTGTTTTAAAACATTTATTCATGTAATTCTAATTCATTTCCCTAACTACTCAGTAAAAATTAATTTTTATATAATCTTATTTTACTTCTGCAAAACATTTTGAAAACTACTCAAAGCTATCATAGAAGTATGTGTGTATGTGTGTATGTGTGTGTGTGTTTTAGAGAGAGACAGAGAGTATGATAACAAAATTCTACCCCACTCCCATCATTGCAGGTATAAATAATGGAGTTTCAAATATCTAGTCATATAATTAATGTAGATCAAACTCAGTTAAAGCATCATTTTGGAAATAAGACAAACCTTTGGGCTTGTCTTATTCCATTAAGTTACAGGTAAGAAAATAAAGTCTCTTGGAGTTTATACGAATTGTCCATGTACCCAGAATGAGTTTAAAGCAAGTACAAATCTAGACTGCAGACTTTTGGATTCTCAGTCTACAAAACTTGCAACTATACCATGAGCAAACCAGGTAAGAATCTTGGACAAAACAGTCAGTCCTATGCTGTTCTCCTTGTGAGCTTCATGGTAGATGAGTTTTTGCCTTTTGTTTGCTTATTATAATCCCTGGGAAGGAGGAAAGCATGGTAGAGAAAGACTTCAGTCTGATGGAGTCCACTCCACATCAGCTTGGGGAGAGGGCAAGTTATTTTACGTCTCTTTGTTTGAACTCCTCTGTGTAAAACAGAAGCAATATGTATTTTTAGTGGTTATTGAAAAGTCTAAAATCAATAGCACCATACCTAGCAAACAATAACAACAACATAATGTTTCTTCTCCCTTCCCCTCTTCACAAAGCTAATCCTTTTCACCACAGGAAGAGTGTACCCTGAGAACAATACTGTGTTTTTATTTTATTTTATTTTATTTTATTTTTCTTTGTTTTTCTTCCTATCCATACATACCAAAGGCTGAGCACAGAGTTGGTGCTCAATAAATACTTGTTATATTATATTGTCCAATTTGATTTGAATCAACAAATACAAATGTATTGAACAAGTCACTTCTCTAATTGAATAAGAAATTGAGATAACTTGGGATTTTGACTCAAGAGAATTAGTTTGAGTCCATCTGTAACTTTGAAGTTACTTGATCTTTGGTGCAAGTTATTTTACTTATTTAATTACATGAGGTAGTATATATAAATGTATTTGTAATGTAAAATGCTGTACAGATTAAAGTAGCTTTCGTGCCCATAGAGTTTATCCTCTCTTTCAAAAAGACAAGATCTTCAATATATCAAAGGGATATCTGCACTCCCATGTTTATTGGAAGACTATTCACAACAGCAATGGTATGGAATCAACCTAAATGTTCATCAACAAAGGAATGGATTAAGAAAATGTAGTATATATACAGAATGGAATACGATTTAGCCATAAAAATAAATGAAATCCTATAATTTGCAGCAACATGGAACTAGAGGTTATTATGCTAAGTGAAATAAGTCAGAAATAGACAAATATCACATGTTCTCACTCATATGCAGGAGCTGAAAAGACTGATTTCATAGAGGTAAACAGTAGAATAATAGATACTAGAGGCTGAAAAGGGTGTGTGTTGGGGGAGGAGAGATGAATAAATGTATGTTAATAGGTACAAACATACAATTAGATAAAACAAGTAAGCCGTCTTTTTTTTTTTTTTTTTTTTTGAGATGAAGTCTCACTCAGTCACCCAGGCTGGAGTGCAGTGGTAGGATCTCAGCTCATTGCAACCTCTGTCTCTGGGGTTCAAGTGATTCTCCTGCCTCAGCCTCCCTACTAGCTGGGATTACAGGCATGCAACACCATGCCCAGCTACTTTTTTGTATTTTTAATAGAGACGGGGTTTCGCCTTGTTGGCCAGGCTGGTCTCGAACTCCTGACCTCAAATGATCTGCCCACCTCAGCCTCCCAAAGTGCTGGGATTACAGGACTGAGCCACTGCACCCAGCCAGAAAGAATAAATTATAATATTTGATAACACAGGAGGGTGACTATAATTAAGTACAATATATTGTATATTTCAAATTAACTAGAAGAGAAAATTTGAAATGTTTTCAAACAAATACATGATAAATGTTTGAGGTAGCAGATATCCTACTCTGATTTGGTCATTAAATAGTCCATGCATGTGTCAAAATATGTGTACCCCATAAATATGTACAAAAATTGTACATCAATAGAAATAAATAAAAGATAAGATTTGCATTCAGGATCTTTTTACAGAATTATTTACTAGGTGTGTTCTGACAGTGGGAATTGCTTGGAAATCAGGTTTTGTGTGAAATAATCTAAGAAGAAAAATTCCTGGTTTCATCATTATGGGTGGGATCAAGTGACTGGCCTATATAAGTTTATTTCATCAACATTTTTCACTTGGTATTTACATTATTTGGAAATTAATCACATATTTATTACATCACTTAGCTATTTACTACTGCTACAGACTCAAGATTAAATGTAATGGTTGGTTTCATTTTAACTCTGACCAAATACTAAATGATTAAATGCCAAATCTAGTGACACGCCCTGGACCATAAGCTGCCTCTCTATCGATTTCCTCCTTGCTGCTTCATTTGTTTCCCATTTTCAGCCTATTTTGTAAAATTTTTCCTCTGGTTGTTGCCTGCCCTGAAGCTTTCTCCTGTGAATGTGCCTTTAACCTAGGAATAGCAACTCAAGTATAAAAATAGTAGACATGATAATTTGTGGCTTGGGTCTGTGTGGATGTTTGTAGGATCAGAAGAAAATTGAGTGGATATCAAGTTTGATCTTCCAAGTAACTGCTCTAGAAGCTACAGGATTAGTGTAGGGTCACAGCCATTGCAGGCAAGGGGCAAGGCCTGGAGGGCTAGCAGCAGGGTTAATCACTCAGGTGATTATGATTAACTTCATGATTAACATGAAGATGTATGTTTGATACTAGGGAGTGGGGGAGAGACAATAGTCATCTTACTTGAACATCCATTTCCTAGTTAAGTGTATGTTTTATCTACCTGCATTTCCATACCTGCAAGAATTAGATCAAATGTAGAACTTAGTATTCACAAATGTCAGCCTCATTACAGTTCTTCCTGCCTCCAGTTCTCTCTTCTTCCTAGACCCTCCGTCACATTTCCTGTTCTTTGGAACTCTCCTTTAAGACCTCAAACAAGCCCCGTGTCCAACCCCACACACACTACACCCCTATCTGTGTTTTGATTAAAGGATCTGACCACACTACCAAGGCAAATGTGCCCAAAGTAACAATGGATTTAAACTAAAAATAATCGTAATAATAATAAAGAAAAAGATTCTTAGCCACAAAGGACAAATCTGGTAGAAAAGAAAGCAATAAAAAACCAAATTAATTTTATGGAGAATGGGAGTTTCCTACTGTCCTTCAAATTACTCTTCCTCTGAAGCATTTGCTTGTCTAGATATAAAACTATCTTTATGAGAAAACAAGTGTTTTAACACTGAGACAATCCTAAGCACAGATGTTTAATTCATTTTATTTGAGAAACTATTCCTGCCTTTCATAGTATACACAAAGAAAAGAACTAACTATCAAGCACACTCATTTACATAATCTGTTCAGTTTAAAATGATAATTAGTTAGTCCCAGGGTGGAATATACAACTCAGCAGGCAAAAGTAATTTTAAAATCATTAGACTTATACATCATGGTCAGGAGGTCAACACACTTGAATTTCATTATGCAATAAGAAAAAGCACTTTCAGTTCCTACATCTTTGTTCTGTGCCCTTATTTAGAAGAGTAAATTAGAAAATACTATTGGAAGAATCCATTTCTACCAATTACTTTTGGGACAAAAGTAAAATTGGTGACCCCATGATTCTGTTTTTAAGTGGAGACCTTGATCAGCCTTGATTCATTTAATGGTCTTGGAAAGGAACAGATTATCACCAAAAAGCACTTATTATAAACCTATCTATGATTGAAGCAGAACTTGTTCCCTATCTTGCCTTAAATTCCTATAGCATCTATTGTTTTTATATTTACAAGGCAGTCAGAAAATATAGAAAGAGTGATATGGAAGGACCTCTGAGTTCTAGTCTCATTTGGCAGCCCTGTTTTCAGCTACAGATTATTAGTAAATTCCTGTCTTGATTTAGTTCCTGTAGAGCTTGGCTCTATACACGTTACGGATCCAAAGTTTAATCTTCTTAATCCAGCAAGTCTGTTGAATGGGCAGCATATAATTTCCCCTGGGTTATTCCTCAAAGCTTTTTCTCCCTGGAAAATTCCTCAGCAACTGAGTGAAGCCTCTCAGGAAGGAGTTCTCACTACTGTCTGTATTTGTGAGTCATGTGATATCCTGACCATGTTGACCATCTTATCACAGTAAAGAGCAGCTCAAACTGCCATTCCAAATGTTTACTGTGACTAGAAAACAGAAGACCAGGCAACACCAAATTGAGTTGTTGATGGTTGATGGTTGCTTTTGTAACCCAGAAACTGCACCTTTGGCTTTGTATTAAAAACACATGTCCTTACCACTTCAGATAGTGGCTTTATGAGCCTGACCTTGAAAGAAGTGATAGTTCAGTGTGTACAGCTGGCTAGTTATGGTCTCTAAATTCTGCCCATTACATTAGGGTGAGGGTATATGTCAAGAAAAACAACTGGACAGCTGCAAGAATTTTTAGAAATTCTCACTCCTTGTTTGCTTCTGGTAATTTTTTTATTCCTCTATTTTCCTCATCTATGTATCTCATTTTCCCACTGTTTGAATGATAATTTAAATACAGCTTTCCTCAATCCTCTTTATTTCTATTACTTTTTAGTCCTTGCCATGGATCCTTACATTCACTTATTTTTACATTTAACTTTTTCATTTCAACTTTACCATTGATTTATTTCCTGTTCTTTTAATCCTCTAAATTATAACGTATCTTTTATATGATGTTTTGTTTGCTTTTGCTATTTCTACTCTTATTTATTTTATTTTTAATTACTTTTTAATCCACATCTCCTAACCTCACACACTATTTATATTCTCTCTGCTCCTTGTTATCCTGTAGTTTTCCTTAAGTTTCTTTGAGTTTGATTACCCTTTATGCTGACTTTTAAGAAACATAGCAAGAAAGGTGGTGTTAATTTGAGAGAGTCCCATCTAACAACAGATGGTCATGGACCTTTTCTCTGTCCTTTAATTGCCATTGTATGCTCTCTAGTACTGGAAGTCACACCTGGCTCTCCTCCTCTCCCTCAGAACGTCTCCTTGCAATTTAGGCTCAACCAGAGACACAGGAAGCTCACAGAGCCACCCTCCAATTAGAAATAATTATCCCTGGGTAGGTAGTAGAGTTTAACCTTTTGTAAAAGTATTACTTTCTGGTGTGTCATACTATCCAGATTTTATATGAAGAGATGCGTGTTTTATAGCATTAATATTACTTTTACTTTTGTAATTCTAGATCTAAAAATCATGTTTGAAAAAGTCATGATAATCATATATGTCTTTAAGGTGACCATCATATATATATTAGGCATCAGAATCAGATTTTGGATGAATTATTCCAATTGTACTCATGAATCATAAGACAAAAAAGAGCCATGTAAAGAGGATAGTCAGGCTTCTGGCTCCAATCCATCTGTAATATACTTATTTCCACCTGTCCAGATGGTTCTTCCAATGATCCAGGAAGGATCCCAGGAATTTCTTTCAGTGTTCCACTACCCATAGACAACAGTGAGAGGTCACCGAGGCAACACCTGTGCCCTGCCAGAAAAGGGCACAAACTAGTCAGAAAACTAGTCTAGGGCAGCACCTGTGCCCTGTCCAAAGAGCCTCTTAATTTTTAAGATTTATTTAAGATAGTCTATGCCTGTCCTGAATATCAGAGCCTAAGGAGAAGGGATGCTAATTTTTACTTCCAGAACATGAATTTAGTTTTTAGGCAACAAGAGAAGCATGATAAGGCTGAGTCTAAGCCTTTTCAGTCGCCTGTTTACTTCCAATGTGAGAATAGAATATGCTATGAATCTTTACGCTCCAGGCCATGGTGACAGTTCCCTTGACTTTCCATATTTCTTTCCCTGGAATTAGTGGTGAGTCTCCTGTCAAGTTACCACCAAGGTTCAATTTTCATTCCATGAAAGATCTTGGGTGACCATTGCCTAACCTGACTGATTCTCTTATATTAACTCAACCAACTTAATTGCTTAACAGCCAACTGACTTCGTTAATTATTTTCTACAAAAATGAAGGGCTACATGCCACCTATTCTAAAACCAAAGTTATCACTAAATAATAGCCTTGCATTATGTAAATGAATGGTAGTTTAAAAATCTACAGGTAATTTAAACAATTTAGTCACCTAAGTGGATGTTTTACAAATTATCTATGCTGATGCTCCAAGTAATGGACACAATGAAATATTCTATTGTTACTCAACTATGAGGTTTATTTTCATTTTAATGATCAATGTAAGTGTTTGATAATAATTTCACTGAATATTTTATAACTATTTTTTGAATTGATAATTGCATATGTGTAACATACAAAATATTGACAAAGCCCTCTCTAGAGTGGTTGTAAAAATTCATGGTCTTGCCAGCAGAGTCTGAGAGTTTCTTGTCAATGCATATCCTTGTCAGCACTTACGATTGTCAAACTTCTTCCTTTTGTTTTCCAATCTGATAGAGAATAAAATGGCATTTCATTGTGGTTTTTATTTTACATTTTTCTTTTTTTTTTTTTTTTTTTTTTTTGAGACGGAGTCTTGCTCTGTTGCCCAGGCTGCAGTGCAGTGGCGCGATCTCATTCACTGCAAGCTCCGCCTCCCGGGTTCGCACCATTCTCCTGCCTCAGCCTCCCGAGTAGCTGGGACTACAGGCGCGTGCCACCATGCCCGGCTAATTTTTTGTATTTTTAGTAGAGACGGGGTTTCACCGTGTTAGCCAGGATGGTCTTGATTTCCTGACCTCGTGATCCGCCCGCCTCGGCCTCCCAAAGTGCTGGGATTGCAGGCATGAGCCACCACGCCTGGCCTACATTTTTCTAAATACTTGACATTGAACATCTTTATATGTTTATTGACCATTCCATTTTATTCTTATTTGAATTGCCTATACATATCCTATGTTTATTTTATATTTTGCCATATTATTTTTCTTACTGATTTGTGTGTGAGTTCCTTGCCCATTCCCTTTTTCTTTTTTATGCTGGAAATATCTTCCCTAGTTTTTTTACCTTTTAATTTCAATTTTATTTTTGCAGTCCTTTGTTTTAAAAAAAGCGTTTGATTTTTGTACAAATATCTTCATTATTTTGTGCATTATTTTTGCCTTTTGAGCCTGATTTAAGAAATGTTTTACTACCCTGAGGTCTTTAAGTCAGTCTTTTTTATATTTCCTAATAATTAATTTACAGTTTTATTTTTTATGTGATTCAATGAAGATATCTAATGCTATTTTATTTTTCTCAATTAGAAAACCTATTGCTTCAACAATGTTTATTAACATTCTTCTTTTCCTCAGCAATTTCTGATACCTCCTCTAAAATATAACACAGTCTTATGCTGGTCAGCATCTAAACCCTGTATTCTGTTCTTTCTTGCACAAATACTGTATGGTTCTCATTACTATAGACAAATAGCATTACGCAAAACCTCTAACACATTAGGCAAAATCTTCTCTCCTTGTTTTTGGTTTGCTTGTTTGTTTTAAGAATTGAATTTTTGGACTTTTCCATATGAATTTAGAGAACTGACATATATTTTAAGTAACCAAATAACTGCCATAACCTGGATTTATTTTCTTTTATGTTTTCAATAATATTTGGTAATTTTATCCAATAGAGACAGATGTTATTATTAGATTTGTTTATAAGTATGTATTTTATTTTACTAACATGGATTTTAGTTTTTAGTATTTTATTTTTCTAATTTTCATTACTTATATTTAAAAATGCTACTAATTGTTGAAAATTCACCGTGTATTTGGCACATTTGCTGAACTCACCTAATTCTTACATTATATTTCTGAAAAACCTTAGAATAGTCCATGTAGATATCAAATTGTCAGTAAATAACATTTTTATTCCAACCCTTAAATTATTTTTTTCATCTGAACGTACTGCCTGTATCTTCTTGTATAATGTCAACCTACGGGATGGTAGGATTTTGATACATTCTTGCTTTCATGGAAATAATTCTAATATGTAAACATTAAAACATGATGCTAGCTCCCAGTTTCTTTATCTCAGGTTGCTGGGAGAGATTGGTTGTTTGGTTGATTGGTGTGGGAAGATATAAACGTAAAATTTTATGAAATGTTTTTTTGCATCTTTTGAGATGATTAAATCTTTGTTCTCTCTTAATCTGTTTCTCTATCAATTACAATATTAAACATTATCATGTTGAGATAAACCTAACAATCCCGATGTTCATATTCTGGCCATGCCACTTAATACGTGAATGGTCTTGGGAAAGTTACTTAACATCTACCTGCTTCAGCTTTCTCTTCTGTAAAATGGATGTAAGAGAGTGCCTGCTTCAACTGGAGATTAAATATATATAAACCCAATTAGGATTTTTTGTGTGTGCGTGAAAAACGTAAAATCCTCACTCTCAAATAAATATACAATGAACATTTGCCAATAATTTTAATTGACTAATTAATGAGGGATTTAGCAAGATGTCACAACCGATTAAAGGAAAGTTAGAAGTACTCCACATATAGATAATAAGCAAGGGAGAAATTAATTTACAAAGAGATGTCAAATGAGTCTATCCACAGGGCAATAATTAATTGCAATTCCACCAGATGAAAATTATGCATTTATATAGTCAAGAATTATTTGCATTGTTACCAGTTTTCTACAACTTACAGAGTTGTAAAATAGCTGAAAAAGAGTGAAAGGCATAGAGATTGCACAGAAGACTTAAGCTCAAAGGGTATTCTAGCCAAACCTTAGTTTTCAATTGAACAGACCTAATATATTTTTTTGATCCATTTAAAACCTATTATAATTTTTCCTAGAGATTATTGTAAATTAATATACATACATACATAAAACACATAAAACAGTACCAGGCATGAAATCTTTGCTACTGTTATTCTTGTTGATATTATTTTATATATTATTAGAATTGATTTGCTTATATTTTATGTCACATTTTTACATTGATGTACATAAGTAAAATTGTGCTATAGTTTTGTGTAAAATACTTAGTCTACAAATTTTTTTAATCAAATATGTTTTAGTACTCAAACAATGTATACTTTAAAGATGTTTTGGGGGACATTATGGATGCATTATTCCTTTAAGAAAAATTTTTATAGGTCCTAGTACTAGAAATATTTTCTTTTAATCAAGCAATCAATTAACTTATACCATAAAGACACTGAGTTATGTGGCTGATCCTATCTCCCGGTTAACACTGTCTGTTAAAAGCTTAGAACTAAATTCTTAATCTATCTCTAGCTTATATTGAATACATTATGGAATGAATTTGGCTTCATGTATTTTTTCTACTCTTTGTCCCATATTCTCCATATACTTATACTAATATTTATTTTGTCTTTAGAGATTATATATATTAATGGAAATAATTTTCATCAGTTACTTACAAACCTGAGGTGACCATTATTTTTCATTAAATTAAATAACATAAGTTTGACCAAATTATCAAATTTATTTGACTAAATAGATTAATGAATTCAGTCAAAATTGTAGAACTGGTTATATGTGCAAAATGTCAGATTCCTGCAATTAATGGAGTTGATGGGAATGGTCCAATCTAATATTTTTTAGCTTGAAAATAGAAGTTAATTCAGCTTCATGAATATGGCTCTCTGAATATGACCTTTTATCAGGCATAGAATAACTTGCTGAAATTCTATCAATAAAGTCTTGATAGTATGTGCTCTGCATTTTTCTTCATTATCAAAATTTTTCTCCTTAGTTTTTTTCTCTCATAATTAAACACAAACACACACACACACACACACACATACACACAAAGCCCCTACAGGTTTTAAACTAGCTATAGCTAGAGATTTGCCTAGGAGAATAACTTGATATGAATATCCTTATTAAAATCCCACTGCTTCAAATGGATTTTTAGATTAATATATCTTCAGAGATATAAAATTATCTGATTTATAACCATGCATTATTAGGTCTGAAATGTCAGTTATTATCTCTTCAGCTTAATACTTAGATTACCATATAATTTTATGCATCTTTGAGAAAAAAGGTTGAAAAGTAGCAATGAAATGAATCTTGTGCATACTGTTGCAATTGTCAATGGAGTGTCAAAAATAGCTATGAATATTGCACTCTTATATTGACTTAATTCCAAGAAAGAATGGACAGTGGTAATGAAAGTGGAACACATCTTCATAAGTCATTCCTTGTTGATGACTAATCTTTGTAACAGTCTAATTGACTTACTGTGTCAGTTACAACCTTCCCCTTGTTCTTTGGCTTTTAAATTGTAAATGTGTGAAATTAAACTAAGAGAATTTATCAACTCAACATTCACTTCTTTCAGTGTATAACATTCAAGGTTAAAAATATGGTACATTTTGAAGAAGAGTTGAAAGTTCAATTATTTCTCAGGAAGTTATAAACTCATGCATCTAGAACCATTAGTAATAGTGAAATTATTATTTTCTCATGATTTTTTAACATCATTTACTGAATAACTATTTGATTTAAATAAACAAGGAAATGAGTGGAAACTGTCTGAAGATGAACGAAAAGTCTTCATTTGAAAAGATGACGACTTAAACGGAATTATGCTGTACATGTAAAGAGTGTTTCCTGATAATAGTAAGGTTGAACACATGCTTGTTCAAACAACTTCCCCACGCTTGAACAGGAAAAGGATAAGATGATAGGGAGAGCATGAGCTTCAATCTCAGTTCTGCCTCTTTCTCATTTATTGACTCCGTGAATTGAGCCCATTTTCTTATGCATTAAATATGTATATCTATCTCAAACATTTTCTGTAAACATTAAATAGAATGGTGAATATAAAACTTCTGGTGTAGTACTGGTGCATAATAGACGTATAATAAATTATACATGTACTTACTAGTATTATTTTATTCTAATCCACATTCTCTTTTTATAATTAGAAAAAAAGTGTGCAGGGATAAATTGCCAGCCACAGGCACAAGCATATTAGGCAGAACTTAAAAGTAGAAACTTGATCTCTTGATTCTCCTGTAATGCTGTTTACACCTAAATATGCTTTTTATATTAGCAGTTATTTAATCACCTAATCTTTGCTTTCACAGTTTTTATCAAAGTTCTCTGCACCAAGTAGGTATTTGATAAATGCTTGTGGAATGCAGATGCATGGAAATAACAAGTTCATTTTCCTCTCACTGAGTTTTTATCCAAGCTGTATAAAGGTAAACTTAAATAATCAGTTAGGGATTGGCCATATCCATCTCCACAGTTTTGAAACAAATGTGTGAAATATTTTGTGATGAATATCCTTGCAGTAAAATTGGCTGGCTCTGAGGCTTTATTTTTGTAAAATACCACTGCTGAGGGAGCACTCAGAGAAATTTTTCTGACTAAAAATGAAAATGGGTATTTTTTGTCTTTACCTATCACAAAGCAGGCATTAGAGTTATCTGATTTGAGGCTCTCAGTACATTTACCCCATCAGGAATTTAATGCCTCTTTCTTGCCCCCCAGTGCTGATTTCTTTACTAGAGCCTCTGGGGATGCTCCACGGATAGGCTTTCCACCATAGTTTTCTTGGGCACAGTCTCAACAGTGGGAATCACTTAGTTTCTTTCTCCTGCCTAAACTCTGCTTCCAAGGGCAAACGCCTTCGTTGCCAACTTTATTGTAGTTGTTATTCTCTTTGGATGTTGGCCAGTGTTTTTGCATTTTGAATTTCATGCAGATGCTTTTTATGCTATGAATTCCCAATTCTTATTTTCAAATAGGTGTGTATGTCTTTACATTTGCATAGTACTTTATGCATTTTTGTGTGGTTTCAAAGACATGGTGTCATTGTTTCTTCAGATATGTAAAATAAAGATATTATTGATAAACCTTTAGCAGAAAAAAACAGGATGCACAGTTTTAGGAAGGTTCTGATTATTATGGAGTAATTAGAGCAGAGCTGGAGGTATGGTGCAGGTCTCTTGACACTCCATTTAGTGTGCTTTCAACCCGTGTGCCAGATTGGGGCAGTGATTTCTGGTGTCTATTAATATTGTACAACAATGTATTGGAACCAACCATTGCAGATGAAACTGACTAGAGTATAAAATCTAAAGAGACCTGGGCAGCTCTTTTTTAAACTGCCATGATCAACCGTCGCCAACAACATGTGCATAAGTTTTCTTCAACGTGAGTGAAATTGCCAAATAACTTCAGGGTCTAAATTTTGGATCCCAAGTTTTATGCATGATTAGCCATTGAGCCAATTATAATTAGGGCCATTTATAAAGCATTCCCTACAGGTGTAGAAGCTTTAAAAGGAATAGAAAACAGTTCTGAGTTCTGAACTGCTTATTCTCTAATTGGAGGAAAAATAAAACAGTTTCAAACACAAATGCAATACTAAAGTAAAAATACTCTACATGCATGAATGGTATTAGGCAGTGTCTCATATCTCCAAGCTCTGCACATACTGTCTCCTCTGCATTTAGCTTCCTTCCTGCCTTACCTAATTCCTACTGGATTCCTGCAGGAGGGCATACACATCCAGACTAATTTAGGATCCTATATCAGGTCTTTTCTGATCTCATTAGATAGAACAACTCCCTCTCCTTCCTCCCATTTTAAGTTCCTGTATTTTCAATGGTCACAGTTACCTAGTTTCTACTTTACATGAACTTCTGTTAATAGTTTGATTAATGTGTTTTTTACTTCATTTAGTTCCAGGCTCTGTGAGGTTAGGAACTGTGTTCCTTTTTATATGCTTTTGTATCACAGGGCTTCACCCAGTGCTATGCAGATAATCTGTAATTAGTAAGTATTTACTGAATGAATGCATGAACCTTCCCTGACTGCCTGCATTGTAATGGAAGGGCAAGTAGTCAAAGGACACTACACATATTCCAAACTAAACAATTGACATTTTAAGCTGAGTAATTCTTTGTTGAGAGGGGGCTACCTGTGCATTGCGGGATGTCTACGGCTCCGTGCCTTCTACTCACTAGATGTTAGTAGCATCTCCGGTGCCTCCTCTTCTCTTCCAGTCTTGACAACCATAGATGTCTCCAGATATTGATTGCCAAATATCCCCTGGGTGCAAAATTACCCCTGGTGGACAACTACTGCTTTAAAGTAACAGTTACGGCCTTATCATCCACATTTTCACAGCATGAACTGTCTACTCTATCAAAACTAACCTACTTATAGTCATGTGAATCTACCTTGTACCATCCTGATGCCACAGTTTAAGGTAGTATTTTTGTTCATCACTCCTTCTTTAAATCTTCTCATCGTGCTACATCATTTCCTCAAATCCTCTTTGTTATACAGGGTCTGGTTCTAAATCCCATTAGTTACATAAAGTCTTCTCTATCAGGGTCTGTATTTGTCCGTTTTTCATTGCTATAAAAGAATATCTGAGACTGGGTAATTTACTAAGATAAAAAGGCCTATTTTGGCTCAGAGTTTTGTAGGCTGTACAGAAAGCATGGCACTGGCATCTGCTCCTGGTGAGGGCCTCAGGAAACTTTTATTCATGGGGGAAGATGAAGGGGCAGCAGGAGTGTCATATAGAAAGAGAACAAAGAGAAGCTTGACTCTTTTAAAACAAGCAGCTCTCCTGTGAATTCAATACCATGGGGAGAGTCATTCATGAAGGATCCACCCCAGTTATCCAAACACTTCCCACCTGACCTTACATCCAAAATTTCAGATCACATTTTAACATGAGATTTGAAAGGGACATACACCCAAACTATATCAGTGTCCTAGCAGGAAACAGAGGGCAATCAGATAAGGAGAAAAAGACCATACACAAAGGTGGCAGAGTGTAGAAAGGATGGTTCAATATCTCATAGTTTTTTCTATCTCCAGACCTGAAAGGATAAAGAGAAGAAATGGTTAGCAGAATCTGGCAAGAAGTCTTGTAGAGAGACCCACCTTAATAGGCTTGGTGACTTTCAGTACAAGGGCGAAGGCAAACCAAGGTGAACCATTAAGAAGAAAGCCAGGGGAATATAAAGTCTGATGTCACCCTTCTTCATTCCAGTCCCTTCCACGGTTCCACATTGGCTGAATCCTACAGGAGGACAGAGAGTTAGAAAGCCTATTGATGTAGCCCCTGTAGGTCAAACTGCTGGGGCAGAGACCAGAGAAGAATACTAAATGTAAAGAGATGAATGAAAGATAATTCAGTTCACTTTTTTTTTTTAACTGGTTTGTTTCTGCCTTCTACCTAAACACTCATTTTCTGTTCGAGGTCAGGGTCCTGATGATGTTCATCTGTATATCTACAGCTCCAAGAATAGTTTCTGATGCTTTAAATGTAGTGATTAAATGAATGAGTATTTCAGTCAATGCTGAACTAAAGGTGAATGCCAGTGGTGAAAAGAAAATGGAATTGGCTTCATATCTGTGGGTTCATTATCCATGGGTTCAGCCAAGAGTGGATCAAAATATTTGGGGAAAAAATAATTTCCAGAAGTTCCAAAAAGCGAAACTTAAATTTGTTCTGTGCTGAATACTATATTGAATCCACATGAATAAAATGATATGTAGACATTATATTGGTATTATAAGTAACCTAGAGATTACTTAAAGTATGCAAATTATATGTGTAGGTTATATGCAAATGCTCTGGCCTTTTATATAAGGGATTTGAGGATCTGTGGATTTTGGTATCCACAGGGGATCCTGAAACGAATCCTTTGTGTGTAACCAGGTATGGTAACTACTGTACTCTACCCACATTAGTATCACATAGAAAACATCCATTGTTTTTTGTACATGTTGATCTTCATTTTTACTGCTGTTTTTACTGAATTCTCTGCTGACTTGAATGCATTTAACAGGTGAATAAAATGGGACAATGAATACAGGTAGAACAGTTGTACATGTTTGTAAAGTCATTGTTTTCCTAAGTAATGAAAGGCAAGCACTCCATCTTTTAAGAACTGGGGATAACATAAGCAGGGTAAACTAATTGATATTTGTAGAGTACAATGAGATACACATAAAGATGTACTTTATTTAAATATAAAAACATACAATAAAACCCACTTTGCTGGAGAATACATCACCAAGACACAGTCAAGCTTGCTTTAGAAGGAAAAACAACAACAACAACAACAAAACCACACCTAAAATAATAAAGATTCAACATGATATTCTTTGGAAATGAACAGTTTATTAATGGCAATATTTTCTATGTTTGACATATCCCTTACATGTTTTTCCAAATCTCTGGTGATTTTAATGAAATGGAACTAAGAGTTTTCAGCATTAAGTGTTAGGATAGAAATGCAAGGACTGTGGCATTTACATTGTTTTTGCATAATCCTATTGGTGAATACAAATTTGGTGACTCCAATGATTTGGATGCTATCAGTTCCTCCAATTTCAACTGTAACATCTTATTATATAAGGCAGAAAGAGAAACATTTATTTTAGATAAGAGTATCTCGCTTTTGCTCACAAGCTGAGTTTCTTACCATCTCTGCCTTCATTTGTATTTCATATTCTTGAGCAAATGACTTTTCTGATCTAAACTTTGATATAGCATTGACCTGTCATCTCCTTAATTCTGTGCAATATGTTTATAACATTTAGCACTTGTAACAGAGAAAGGAATAGGAACATATTTTAAAGACTCAATATTTATGCACCTTTTGGAGACCACTATATCCTTTCTACTTTGAATGTTTCTCCATTTCAATTCTTTCTACCTAGATCAATTCTAACTGTCAACTGGATATACTTTCTGTATTATGTCACTGTTCACTCTACCACATTGTTCTGAAATGCTGCTGTATTGTAGTCCAGATGCTCCATAATTTACCCATTTCTACTTACCCAGCTATATTGACTGTGTCTTCTGAGATTGATTTTTTTAGTACAGTCAGTAGCATGCGTACAGTATTTCATGCTCAAAGCTTATTGCTCTGTTTCTGTGCTTCTTGATATACTCAGCTAAGTGAACGTGATCCATTAATGCTTATAGCAACTTTTCCCAATCCACCTAACATTCAAGGTCAAAAATTAGAATCTATGACCTCTGCAAAGACTTAGTTGATGATTCCATTATCCAGAGTTCATTCTTTTCTAAATATTTACATATAGAAAGGGTTAGCACTGTACAGTCTATCATTTAAGGTTCTAATTGCTTTATGTGTGAATCCTATCTTTCAATTTCTCAGAAGAAAAGCATCCCACTTTATACATTTAAAGTGTTTTTCATAGTGCCAATTGTAATATGTAGCACAAACAGGCAAAAGTGGAATTATGAAGTTCTTTACAGATCCATCTTGCCTAATTTTGCCCATTCTAGGCATCAATATTTTAACTGTGTGTATCAGATAATGCATGACCATTTTTTCTGGTGGAATATTTAGTAACTCATATCTATAACATACTTTATTGTTTTCAAAGAAGTCTCATAGTATTTCACTTTATGTTAACAATTAAGCATATTAAGTAGATGTTTTATTAGTAGACATGATTACTCTTTTTAATAAAAATTCATCTTATAAAATCAAAATAACCTGACAAATATATTACTCTAATAATACCTACTTTAATATGTGTTAGGAATAAATGCAATTTAAATAAATCTGTATATTATTATTAACAGAAAATATAGCACAAAATAATATAATTTTTCTATAATAACCATGAAAATTATTTACTCCAAATGTCTACTCATTGGATGCTTGTTTTGTGCATGCGCTATATTAGGTACATTATAAATGTTATCACTTATTTTAACAACAGTTCTGAAAGAGAAATGTTGTTTCCCTATTTTATGTATTAGGAAATTGAGGCACAGAAAAGTTATGTGGTTTGTCTTAGGTTGCACAATTATTACTTGGCCAATCAAAATTTCAAGCCCAAATTTAATTGGCCCTAAAGTCCTCCCTCCTTCCCCTGGACCAAACTCCAATTCTCAATCTCCATTTAAAGATAAGCGACACTCATCAAAAATTCAATGCTGATAGACTGAATTACAATACAGTTTTACTTCCATTATAATGCAATTGCCTTCAAAAGCCATGCTAATCTGTTATTTTAAACTCCTTTAGTACATACCATAATTATGACATCTAATAAATGTTAACCTTTTGATGGAAGTAATTTCAAACCTACATGAACATTATCCAATTAATTATTCAAAGACATTGTTGGATAATAATTGTGAAACTAATTATTACAGATCAAACTGATCACAAAATGGATTTTCTTTTCAATTATGCCAACAAAACTCTGCAAATCTAATCCATTGTCTTACATTCTGTGAAACCTTTTAACTAGATGAAAAATATTAAAAAAGAATCAACTTTGAGAACACAGTGAATCAAATAATCAATTTAGCTTCAACTAAATCGTGGATGTTCTGTCTACCAAAGTGAATTCAGATCTGTTTAAATAGCTAATGTGATTCAAATACCTTTTTTCTCCCTGAAGTTCTTCCAGAGCCAGATTGGAGTCTGAGAAACTGACAAAAAAAAAAAGTTTTACTTCAATCTAAATCTTTGCTCTTTGAAGTCTGATTCTCAGACAAGCAGTATAGCTTCCCCCTGAAAGCTTGTTGGGAATGCAGATTCTCAGACCCTACCCCAGAATGTCTCAATCCAAATCTGCATTTAACAAGATCCCCAGTTATTTTTTATGCACCTTAAAGTATGTGAGGCACTTCTCTAGCTGATACTTTCAACTATCTGGTGCACAGTAAGCAGTGGAACCAAAATAAAGAGTTTCCTCTCCCTCTCCTCCTAGCTAAATCAGGGTCTTCTGTTTGTTTATTGTTGGTTTTTTTATCCTATAATGGAGTCCATTCAAATGTACAGCCTTTTGAAAACTAATTATCAGATGTAGTATCATTCCTTGTTAGCTTAGATACAGTAGTCATAGGGCCTTGCCTTGCTGTTTACATTGTGTTATTATGTGGGATTATATATTTTTGAATAGGAAGAGTTCTTGGGAACAATGTTATGTAAGCCTTTCATTTACACTTAAAAACCTGAGGCTCCAAGAATTGAGCAGACTTGCTTAAGTATCACAGGCAGTTATTGGCAGAGAAAGGACTAGATAATACATCTCTTGACTCAAAATCTTCTATTTCCCAGTGTTGCATTTTACTTATCTATGCGCACTTCAATAACAATACTATTTGAGCATGATGGTAATATCTAGCCTTCCTAGGTGAACCATTTGGTGAATTCATTCCCCTAGATACAGAAGGACATGAAAGTGCCCCTGATTCCATGGTGTGTTAGAGTTGGCTCCCACTGGCTTCTGCTAACTCTCAAGAGCCAATTGTGCACAAGCATCTCTTTCCAAGTCTGTGTTCAGTGACATCATGAAATCAGCAGTTTGAAATCAGCCATGGGGGGGTATTTATACCATGGAAACTGGCAAACTACAAATCAGACTTTTTTTTTTTTTGCTTGGAGATCTGATTATTAAATATTTACTGGCACACCATTGTCCTGACTGGATTGTTATTTCCAAAGGACGTATCAGCTGATTCAAAGATCAAAGTTGAGGCGGTTCTTGGAAAAAGACTATGCTGTCATGCTTTCTGTGTAGACTGGATTCTGAAAGCCAAGTCTTTCAACTGTCTCTCGCCATTAATTAATGACGTTTTCAACATGTATAGTCTATGGTTGTTATGTTTGTCCCCTGCTATCATGAAGATTTTTAGATTTTTAAACATACATTAATGTGTCAAATAAAATGTAGTTACTATTGTATCCCTGATTGCTACATAATTGGATTTTGAGTGATTTGTATTGTTCTGATTGCCTCGGATACCCTGGAGAACTTTCTAAAAAGTACGTTTCCCCCCTTCATAAGAAAGGCCTTACCCTCAGCTATATTAATTTCTACATTCATGCAAGTACAGGGCTATTCTACTAAAATTCATCAAATTATTACCTACTTTGTTTCATTCTTCTCCACTCTTTGAACATGTCAATTGTCTCAATTCTGCATACATACTGTATATAGATAGCAACATGTTCCTCAGTTATTCCCCCAAATATGTTTGCCAAACTTTCAGGCTTCTCTTTTTCCTTGGGAACAGTGATAATTCTTAAGTTTGGTCGTTTAACATAATCCCAGACTTCTTAGAGGCTTTGTTCATATTTTCTCATTCTTTTTCCTTTGTCTTTGTTGGATTGAGTTAATTTGAAGACCTTGTCTTCGAGCTGTGAATTTCTTTCTTCTACTTGTTCGATTCTATTGCTGAGACTTTCCAGAGCAGTTTGCATTTCTGTAAGTGTGTCCATTGTTTCCTGAGGTTTTGACTGTTCTTTATTGATGCTATCTGTTTCATTGAATATTTATCCCTGGTGCCTCCCTGACTAGCTTAATAAGTAACCTCCTGAATTCTCTCTCAGGTAAATCGGGGATTTCTTCTTGGTTTGGATCCATTGCTGGTGAGCTAGTGTGATTTTGGGGGGATGCAAAATACCTTGTTTTGCCATATTACTAGAGTTGGTTTTCTGGTTCCTTCTATTTTGGGTAGGCTGTGTCAGAGAAACGGTCTAGGGCTGAAGGCTGTTGTTCAGATTATTTTTCCCACGGGATGTTCCCCTGATGTACTACTGTCCCCATTTTCCTATGGATGTGACTTCCTGAGAGCTGAGCCATAGTAATCATTATCTCTCTTCTGGATCTAGCCACCCAGCACGTCTACCAGGCTCCAGGCTGGTACTGGGGGTGGTATACCAGCACCTGATCCAGTGGAGGTGGCGGCGGGAGAGGAGAATGGACTCTGTAAGGGTTCTTAGCTTTGGTGGTTTAATGAACTAGTTTTGTTCTGGTTGGCCTCCTGCCAGGAGGTGGCACTTTCCAGAAAGCATCAGCTGTGGTAGTATGGGGAGGAACAGGTGGTGGGCAGTGCCCTGGAACTCCCAGGAGTATTTGCCCTTTGACTTCAGTTACCATGGTGGGTAGAGAGGACCAACAGATGAGGGCAGGGCTAGGCATATCTGAGCTCAGACTCTTCTTGGGCAGGTCTTGCTGCACCTGCTGTGGGGGATGGGGGTGAGGTTCCCAGGTCAATGGAGTTATGATCCCAGGAGGATTGTGGCTATCTCTACTATGTCATGCAGGTTGTCAGGGAAGTGGGGGAAAGCCGGCAGTCACAGGCTTCACCTAGCTCCCACACAATCCAAAGGGCTGTTCTCACTTCCACTGTGCCCCCACCAATAGCACCGAGTCTGTTTCCAGGCAGTGGGCGAGTAGGGCTGAGAACTTGTCCCACGCTGCTTGCCTCCCAGCTGCAATAGCAAGTATGGCTTTCCTTCTTCCCCTGCCTGTGGAGTCTGCACACCAGATTAATGCCCTCCCCTGAGTTCAGGCTAGGAGACTTCTCGATCAGTTCCAAGTATTATGAAGTTCAGCTGGAGATTTCCTTTTCCCTGCGGCCTTTTCCCAGTGCCTCTGGCTGCCCTCCCGAAGGACCCCTGTAAGGCCAGGCAGAAATGGTTTGCTAGGGGACACAGTGAGCTCACAGGCCTTACCCCACTGCTTCCTCTACCCCTGTATTTCACTCAGCTCTCTCAATTGACTCAGCTCCAGGTAGGGTTAGAATCTTCTCCCATAATCTAGACCTTCAGTTTCCCCAGTGGGGATATGTGTTCTGGGGTGGATGATCTCCCATTCCCACTTCCACAGTTTGGGCACTCACAGTATTGTGGTGTCTTTCCAGTCCTGCAGGAGCAATCTGCTTCCTTCAGAGCGTCTGTGGGTCCTCTTGGGTTTCCTGACTTATTTTTACAGTCGTTCTGCAGCAAAGTATCATGACGCAAGCCTCCACATGCTGCTCTGTCCGCCTGAGTCAGAGCTGCAATCTAGTCTAGATCCCCACTACTTTGACTTTTATTTTTATTTTTGGAGTACTAACTTTCACCAGAAGGTTACTAAATGAATTTATTTCTTTTACTGAATGGTTTCTGTCAAATTTGAATAATACATAGCATCTTTTTAAAGAGGGACTATCTTTGTAGATGCTCAGTATTGACTTATATGGCTGTTTTTGATATATTGAAAATATGTACAAATATAAGTTTAGACATGAATTATTTTCCTAATTTTTATATTATTATTAAACTTAAAAGAATAAAACATAAAACTGCAATGCCAAAAAAATTCAGAATAATGGACAATGATACTTTTCTAAAGCTGTTGATATTAGAAAAATCCATCTACAGATGTAACTCCACCACTACTTTTTCTTTCAAAATACATGGCCTATTATTGGAATTCTTTCAATGATTATTTTCTTAATTCTTCTTTGTTAACGATAAAGTCAATTCAACCAATGATGTTTATTTTAATAAGAGAACCTATTAAATAGGCACCTTCAAAAGAAAATACTGAGTATGTAAAAATAAACTTTAGTAAAAACTCTCTATTTATTCTTACTACGCTACTATCTGCCAATGATTTTTTGCAAGTTTGTATATGCCAAACAAAAACTAATTCTATTCTTCTATACTTTCTTTTGCCATAAAGCCACTTTCATGTGGACTGAACTAGATACTAACATGAACCTAACTTTAGGATCTAATATTCATTGAGGTGGCTGTACAAATAAAACAGAATATGGTTTAAAGCACATATTGACATTCATTAGAAACTTAATAGTTTAATTTTCTGTAAAACTTGTCAACAGGCTGAAAGGTTTACAAAATTTACTTTTTGAGAAATACTCTGTATGATTACAACATTAAAGCTTATGAAGGGCTTTTTTAAGAGTAGATTTGTCTCTGGGCAGGATAAATATAAGTCACAAACTCTTGAATAAATCAGTCTATCCAATCAGCATGAATAGCCTGGGAGACTTGCATCGATCCACCTTTCTTTAATTTCTTCCTTTCTTTCCCCTTTTCTCCCCTTCCATAAAACACATTGAAGATCTTGCTAAATGCCAGAAGTTTTGTTAAACCCTAAGGATATAAAATAAAGATATGCATTCTGTCTCTGAGAGAGGAAAGTTCCTAGGAGTAGAACACTTAAAATCAATCACTTTACTATATTACCATGTAAGAGAGGTACAGTAAAGAAATGGGGACATTCTAACAAAATTCTCCAAGCCAAAGATGCCATTTTACTCATTCAATATGAACCAGTTTATGCTGAAAATGTTCTTCTAATGACTTTAAAGGACTTAAAACAACAAAACTTGATTTTTTGTCTATACTCTTGTCAATCTTAAGTTGGCAGACAATTCTACTTCCCATGATCCTCACTAAGAGACACAAGCTGAGGGAAGCTCCATTTCTGGACTACTGTGATGTTCAACGCAGGAAAATGGGAATATGGAGACATGTACACTAGCCTTTAAAATGCGACTCACATGTCATTGACCAAAGTGAGTCACATAGTCATAGCTATTTTCAAAGTCTCTAGGATGTAAAATACTATTATGTCCTGGTTTCAGAGAGCCAGAAATAGTCAGTGAACAGCACCAATAATTTCTGTACCAATGCAATCTACTATGAAAAGTTGCTTCTATCTCACTTACCATACATCTTGCATATTTATAGGTAGCTGTGTTTTCTTCTGCTTCCAAGTATCTTCTTTATGTACCCGTAGCCCCATGACTTTCATATTTATGAAGAATGATTCAATATTCATACATAAGTAGCTCATATTTACTTTATTTACCCAATTCTCGCTTGAAATAGATCTAGATCTTTGCATTCTCTGAATAACTTAGTTTTCATGATATTTGCTCATTTATTTCTTCATCATTTTATATATGTTCTTTTGACTTTGATGTCTTTTAATCAGTAATTATATACTCAACATTCTAGCACCTTGTCATGCTTTGCAAACGAATCCTTCCATTCCGTTTCAACTAAGGCATGACAATATTTGGATTGACATGACATATTTTTCAACTAAGCCATGACAATATGTGGATTTTTAATGCAGTGATATTTATTTTTAGTTATTAGATATTTATAATTTTATTTATTTTTAAATTTACTTCTTTCAAAACAACTTTAGATCTCATCATTAAGGAAGCTAAATATGGAGTTCAACCATTTGACTGTATGTAAGTTTTGGAACTCTTGTCAGATCTTTACAATCTTGGAGACTTTCCTGGATCACTAACATATGGTTCTGTCTCATCTTGGTCATTTGTAAAACCATTCAACACTAGTGTAGTCCTTTGTTTTCTGGCTGTGGCCCTACTTTACATATCCTTACATCTACATATCTTCTACAAATATGACTTCAATGTGAAATTTTGTACACATAAAAAAATGTTATTATTGGCTATAGATGGTGCTGCATTTAATATTCAGTGGAAAACTATGGATAATACTCAAGAATCAAGAATAGCATTTAAGTAATTTTAAGTCTGTGGTAATCATCTCTTTCTAGATCTTTTATTTGGTCTGCAGCCTAAAGCTAGGTGATCCCTCAGGGATGAATAAGAAACAATCATATCTAAGAATTAAAAGAGGCTTTTGAGGTCATCTACTCTAACTTTCCAGACAAAATCTATAATTTTCTGCACATTTCTAAAGTTGAAAGGAATGAGTCTATCATCCCAAAGTGAGAGAATGGCAGAAACTAAGGCAAAGCTAGGGAAAAATTATACCACTTTTTGGAAAGATAAAAATTGAAAATATTTATCTGAAGCTTCAAGTTCAGATTTAGAGAGCAGACAATGCTAGGAGGCTGAAACTAGAAAGGCAGTCTGGAGTCACAACGTGTAAAACCAGGCAAAATAAAAAGTTTAGATTTTGTATCTGAAGGTTTATGGGCTTCATATTGGAATTAGTGAGAAGGCATTAGAAGGTTCATGTAGAGAAATTACTCTGAAATTTAGCACCTATTCTCCTCTTGAAGAAAGCCAAGAAAATTTCTATGGAGTAAAGAAATTTAACGTCATAGGTAGGGGTTTTTGAAAGGCAAGCAGTTATTTATAGTGAGGTCAGTGAGATTCCTTGCTTGAGATTAATGGACTGGTCATTGCAGAGAATAGCCTCTCTATTTCCAGGTAGTTGAATACAGATGACCTAATGGTTCTCTTTCATCTTGGATTTTTATGGTGCTGATTACGTTAATTAGGAGAAGATATTGTATAATGAAGCTCTTCAGGAAAAAAAAAAATTAATAGGTTACTTTAATAAGTTTTTTCTGTGATTTGTGTTGCTGGTGTGAACAGCAATTAGCCAGCTAAGTAATGAGCAACTAATGAGCATGTCTTTCTTAGATTACTTTGCAAGTGCACTAGAGGAGTTGTACTATAAAGGCAAGCAATGATTTCTTTTCTGTGGGTTATTAGTTTTGACAGTATTTGTAATAGCCCATAACAATGAGCCCCATTATTTATTAATACAGCCCCAAAACACCTCATTAAAAGTTACCTTACAATTCTTAAATAATCTCTTTCTTTAGACAGTTATTCTCGGGATTTTGGGATTTTTTTTAATTGATACATAATAGATATACATAGTTTTGATAATTTAATATATATGTTATGTATAACATATATATAACATATATAACATATGTAACTTATATATACATATATGTAACATATATAACTTATACATATATGTTATATATAACATATACAAATTATATATAACATATACAAATTATGTATATCATATATTAATATATAACATATATACAAATTATATATATTATATATAATATATATAACATATATACAAATTATATATATTATATATAATATATATAACATATATACAAATTATATATATATTATATATATAAGTTATAAAGATCAAATCAGTTTACTTGGGATATTTATCACATTAAATATGTGTGTTTTCTTTAATCTAGAGCCATTCAAATTATTGTCTTCTAGCTATCTTGAAATATGTAATAGATTACTGTAAACTAGTCATTCTACTGATCTATTTAACATTGGTTGTTATTTCTTCTATCAAACCTTATATTAGACAGTTATTTTATGACACATATATTCATACAAAACTGTATTCAAGGCTGGTAGAAATCAGTTCTACAAAGTAGCCTCATACAGGTGAGATGGGAAAGGTTGAACATTCATCCAAGTGGGTAAGTGCTACAAGATTTCATTTAGAACTGGCTTTTCATGACTAAGTAAAAACAAATATTCAGGGTAGCTTTGGAATTTATTTGAAATTCCCCAGTTTCATGGCTCAAACTGAAGCCTTACTTAACAAAACTACACATCACATGTGATTGGGCAGCTTAGTGTGGTGGAGAGCAAATAATACTGGGATTTAGGAAGCTTGAATTTAAATCTTTCTCTAGTTACAGAACTTTGGTCAAGTCTTTTAACCGTGCCCCTATTTTTTAATCTGAATAGGGCATTTGGCTGTGATTTTCTCTGAGTTTCCTTCCAACACTAAAATTTTATGACTCAAATCAGATGATTTTCAAAACACAATATAGTCAGAATAATTTCTCGAATTTCATATTTCTATTAATCACATAATGCAATAAGTATCTATGACCTTTACATTTTGTTTTGCCTATCCTATCTCAACAGTGTGTTGAAATCCTTGAAAACAAGACCAGTTTGAATCCAAAATTTCACCCAATGTGCGTACATTCTAAACAAAGCTCTCTTTTTATTTTAACGTTGCTAGAAAGCTTGGGAAATCCAGATCTTTACTGTAAAGCTTGAGGTCAGCATTTCTGGTATCAATATTATTTTATATTTAGTAACTGTTACTAGTAAAGAGCCTGTCTGAATAGAACAGTATAATTATATTCTGGCTGTTTTTAGAGCTAAGATCTTTTATTGAGCCCAGTCTTTGATGAATTTTTCCACACAGTTGATGATTTACATGAACAAATTACATGTCCTACCATTTTTTCTGGTATTTAAAAAATAGGGCAAAGGTAGTTTAAAGAGGAAACTCTGCTGAACAAAGATGGCCTACTTTTCAGTTTAATCAAACTTTTAACTGATAATGTGTTAACTATGCCTTTCCCTCTTATTCATCATGAAAAAAAAAACGAATTCTTTTTTGCCAACTTATTAATTCAAAAGATATTTACTTAAGTTTGTTTAATTTTAGATATTTTTATCATGAAATCGACACTGAAATAAGATATAGAATCAGGTTTCGTCTTTAAAGACAGAACTGTGGATCTTCCCTTTAACAATAGGATGGGGGAATAAAATCTCTACAAAAAAATATGACTTTACATGTCCTCTATGTGTATTTTTTGCATGAGTGCATAATCTCTCTTTTCTATGAAGTACATCATTTTCCAGATCCTCTTGATGTGTTTTAGCAGAATGCAGACCTCTGAGTATGGTAAATATCCAGCATCTGTGATACAGACCTTCATGTTAATATTTTAGTTCTTCTCAGCAGTAACTCACTCTTCTCAGTTATCTTGTGCAACTCTGAGGCGAGAGAATGGATGCTAAATGATTTTGCTTTTGCTCCATTGAGCAAAACAACCTTGAAAGATGCCATGCTAAGTCTTCCAGGAATTCATTAATCCTTTGTTCGTATTTATTCTGGCATACTGAGAATTCTGACTAGCTGGCCAACCGACAGCTCATTAGGATCTGCGGGGCTCTTTCAAACACATCATCCACATATGCCAGGAACTAGCTTTGAATTGCTTTTCATTTCTCTATAAGCCAGGATAATCAGAAAGCCTTCTTTAACATCTTTAGCATTGACTGTTACCTACACCATTACCTGCTGAAGTCCTCAAGGAAACTCACATCTAATTTATTTTCCTTCAGATTACACACACACACACACACACACACACACACACACATTCACTTTGTGTTAAAGTAATCTTGCCTCTAGGCTTTGTGCTTCTAAGGGACAAGGGTTCTCGTAAATAACAAAAGCACAAGCACTATAAATGTTTTGTTTTATGTTTTTATTCTCACTCAGGATAAACAGTTTCAAATACTATTTTTTGTTTTGTTTTGTTTTGTTTTTGTTTGAGACGGAGTTTCGCTCTTGCCACCCAGGCTGGAGTGCAGTGGTGCGATCTTGGCTCACTGCAACCTCTGCTTCCCGGGTTCAAGCAATTCTCCTCCCTTCGCCTCCTCAGTAGTTGGGATTACAGGCACCTGCCACCATGTCCAGCTAATTTTTGTATTTTTAGTAGAGATGGGATTTCACCACATTAGCCAGGCTGGTCTCGAACTCCTGACCTCAGGTGATCCGCCTGCCTTGGTTTCCCAAAGTGCTGGAATTACAGGAATGAGCCACTGCACCCAGCCTACTATATTTTAAAATATCAGAAGTGTTCTCTGAACACAAGACTTTATTCAAGGCTGCTTAAAATGTATGAAATGAGTGACCTATTCACCAAGAAAACAGAGGAGTCTAAGGTCCATGTCTTGTCAAGAATATTGAAAGGAAGAAATTACCCAGATTAAAATGGCTTTCTTTTTTGAAATTTAAGGTAACAAATTTATAAATTGAAAGATTCAAAGATACATAATTTGAAAGGCCAATGCCACAGGGATAATGAAGTCCAGACAAGAAAGAAAGAAAATATGAACAGTTACAATTAATACAATATATAATTTAAAGCCACGCACCCTTCATAAATATATCACAGCAGTAATTCTTTAAAGTTACCATGATAAAAAGTTATTTCCTTCAGAGAATAATAATTCTTTTAACCCGCTAGCCTAGAAAATCCTGTTTATAATTTACTCTCCTGAATTTTCTCAGTATTGCTTAAGTATGGACTCAGCTATTAGAGAAATATTACAAATTTTATAACTATTAGCCTTTGCAAATGCAGTAATCATTTATTTTCTAAAGTCAAGCAAATTTAGTCTAATTGCTTTGCAAAGTGTTAATCTAGAATAGTTACACTCAAAGTGTGGTCCACAGACCCCTGAGATCTTATGAAGTCAAAGCTATTTTCATAATAGTAACTTGCTACTAGCTTATTTCACTGTGCGGACATTTACACTGATTATGTAAAAGCAAATGAGGTGAAAGTTGCTGGCCCGTTAGCACAAATCAACGCAGTGCCACAAGTTGCATTTATTGCCATTGTGTTCTTCATGGTCATGCAGGCCTGAAAAAAATAAAAGTAAAAATAAATTCTTTTTTTCTTCTCTTTTTTTTGAGACCGAGTCTCACTCTTGTTGCCCAGGGTGGAGTGCAATGGCACAATCACAGCTCACTGCAACCTCTGCCTCCCGGATTCAAGTGATTCTCCTGCCTCATCCTCCCAAGTAGCTGGGATTACAGGTGTGTGCCACCACACCTGGCTATTTTTTCTATTATTAGTAGAGATGAGGTTTTACCATGTTGGTCAGGCTGGTCTCGAACTCTTGACCTCAAGTGTTCCTCCTGTCTCAGCCTCCCAAAGTGCTGGGATTACAAGCATGAGTCACTGTGCCCGACCAAAATAAACTTTAAAAAGCCAGTTTAATTTAAGAATGCTTTTAATGGATTTGTAAAATATATATATATATATATATATATATATATTAATTTTATTAAATCTCCACTTTTGATTACCTATCTCTTTAATCTGTCAATGAAATGAGACGTGAACCTAAAACACTTTTGTGACATGAAGTGCAAAGTACTTGAGAACAAGTACTTGTGTCGTTAAATGGTGAGTGGCTTTTTTCGTAAAACACTATTTTTACCTGAAAGTATGACTGACAAACAAACTATGAGTATTCAGTGAAAGGCTGGTAGACAATTTCTCAAAATTGTATTAAAGCTAGCCTGTCCATTGAAAGGAAAGCATGAGCAGTATTTGTAGTCAGCAATAAAGTTTGAGTAAGGGACAGTTAGAAATTTTGAAAGCTTTTATCTGCATCCTGACTTTGCAGCCTCCCTACACATAAAGATTTGTCTTATGAGCTGGGTAGTGACATCAATAAGTGTGATTCTTTGATATTATATAATCAATGTGTTAACATTTGTAAGATAAGCATAGCTCAGTGAGCCAATATTTTCCAAATGATGACTACATGATGTTACAAAATCAGGCATGAGTACAAGATTCATTTGAAATGCAATCTAGAAAAATAAATTTAAATGTAATATAATATATGACATTTACTCATGTGATTTTAGATTCTACATTAGAGCTTATTTTAGTCAAGTTTTGGTACAAAAGCAAAAAAGAATATCCATAATCACTTGGAAAGGCTGTTGAAATACTCTCTTTTTCAACTTTGTGAGCTCAGAGAGTCTTCATGTATTTCAACTAAATAATATCTTGCAACATATTACATTTCAAAAATAGGTAATCAGGCTCCAATTCTCTTATATTTGGCCAGATATTAATGAGATTTGAAGAAATGTAAAGCAATACTGTTCTCACAAATTTGCTCTGTTTTAGAAAATTTATTTTTCATAAAAAGTTATTTATGTTAACTTGTAACAGATTCATAATTGTTATTTTAACATGAATTAATAAATGTGATAAAAATTCTTAATTTTAGTTTTTAATATGGTAAAAGTCAATAGATGTAACTCACATAAACTATTTAGAACCATTGGTCTAGAATCTTGGTCTTTAGTCTTAAATTTTTGTATTCAGAGAAAGGTGGATGTTTTCTTTTGCTTTTTGCTGTGCTTTTGCTTTTTAAAATAATTTTTGCTGATGAAAATTGCAATAATTGTCAAGCCTCACCATTAAAAATCCTTGTTCCCTTTCCAATGGCCTCACACTGCCCTGCGCACTATCTCATGTGTGCCTGATTAGGGAATATCTAGGAAAACAGAGAATTACAAATTCCAGGTTTTAAAATTTATGCCTGCAAATTAAAACAGGAATCAGAGGTTATTAGTTCTGGTAAGCTGATGATGGTAAAGACCCTCAAGTGAGTTGAGTCAGCATACTCTGGTCATAGTCACAGTGGGCTGTGACAGTTGACACTTACTTTCGGGACCAAGGCCATGAGTTAATCATTTATTGTGTTTAATATGGAAAAACCCTTGGGGATACCTAGAATGCATTTATCTTTAATTTCTTTTTTTTTCAATTTTTTTTTTTTTTTTTTTTTTTTTAGTTTTGAGGCACAGTTTCACTCTTGTCGCCCAGGCTGGAGTGCAGTGGCGCAATCTCAGCTCACTGCAATCTCCGCCTCCTGGGTTCAAGCGATTTTCCTGCCTCAGCCTCCCAGGTAGCTGGGATTACAGGTGCTCACCAACATGCCTAGCTCATTTTTTGTATTTTTAGTAGAGACGGGGTTTCACCATGTTGGTCAGGCTGGTCTTGAACTCCTAACCTCAAGTGATCCACCCACCTTGGCCTCCCAAAGTGCTGAGATTACAAGCTTGAGCCACCACACCCAGCCTCTTTAATTTCTTAAGAAAATAAGTCTTAATCCATGTTGGAGTGAATGTTCTTTCTTGTACAATTTACGCTTGATCTGTATTTTGTTATCCTGAAAGTGCTGATGCTTTGTAAAAACTTCCCTTGGGACATCCTGACTTTAAAAACTTATTCTCATTTTTTGTTGTGATGTATAATCCACCAGATGTGGCTCTATTCTTCAATTCACTTATAAATGGCTTGATTCATTCACTAATAAGTATGTGTCAAGTCCTTTCGGCTCATGTTTTCCTTTTAGGCTTGAATGTAACTAAAATTACGATGTTAACAGGCTTTCTTAACAGCAGCACAACTTCTCAATACTTACCTGTACTTTGTCCTATTCAGGATCCAGTTCTATGCTAGCCAATATAACAACTTCTGTTTCTTAAAGAGGAAACATATTTTGAAAGTTAATTAAAACAGAGTTGTTACTGGAATTGAATTTTTTCAATTAATGTTTTTATTTTTATCAAAGCAATGTTGTTTGCAAAATGCTTTATAGGACTATTAATAAATACCACGGGCAGCAAATAGCATCAGGTTGGAATGTACCAAAGCATGTATTAATTGCCCCATAAAACATGCTGTATTATTTTATACTGCTTAAATTAGGTGGAGTTGCCAAGGAAACCCCTGCATCCTATAATACCACAATAGTCAAAAGAATGCATACTAAATTTCTGCTCCACTTACAGAAAACTAACAGGAAAGCTGCACAGAAATGAAGAGCTCCCATTGTTTACAAGCCACTGCAAACATACTCACATGGCCATATAGTATCCAGCAACAAACAATATCAGATCAAACACTCACACCAACATACAGTATTCAGTGACAAACAATATCAAATCAAACCGGGTCAGATACCTCAAAGCAATATAAGATCTCTAAGTGGTCAGAATAACAAACTTCTACTTCATATTGTTAATTCATTTTAGTATTAAATAAGGTGGATCTAAGTTCCTTTCTGTGGATAATATGAGACTGAGAAAATTTGGCATATTCAGTTTAATTTAACAAAAGAAGCCAATATATTTGAACAAAAAATAGGTTGGAATGATGAAGTCATTGGAATTTACTAACGATAAATACGCAGATAATCTAATGTTTGTTTTATCGTAGTAGATGTACAATGCCTATGGTGGTTGTTAATGAATATTTAATTAAAATTATATGTGAATGAAGGAATGAGTGACACTATTGTCTCCAACTTACAGAAGTGGAAATTAAGATTTAGCAAGGTAAAGGCTTTGCCCAGGGCCAGGTTCTGGTAGAGGGCAGAGCCATTACTCTCTAAAGACTATCTCACTCCAAAGCATATAGTATACTGCCACACACACACAAAAAAAGCTGGAAATAAAATGTTAGAGATTTTTATTTTGTTTTGTTTTATAAATAAAAAGGGCATAACATTTCAAAATGCCTGACAATAGCATGACTTTGAGATTCTAGGACACCCAATATAGAGAAAGTGAGGAAGTATGAAAACATTCATGTAATCAGCAGTGTCAGAAGAATCAATCCTGAAAACAAAATAAAGAAAAAGATGGTTCAGCAAGAAAACTTTCATATGTGGTTTGAAAAGCCACTTTAAGAAAAATCATGTCCCAAGTCCCAGGAATTGTTTACAAAATAAATAATGCCTCCATCCTTTTAGCCATTATTCTTTTTAACAAAGTTTTTCATTTTTTATCTTGTCAATGTGCAAACAGGAAATGATGATACTAGACAATGTTGCTCATTGGTCTTCCATATCAGTTCATCCTTCCATAAGTATTTTCCGTAAAACACAATGCCTAAAACTGCACACGAGACTACAGATGTTATCTTATCAGGGCCAAGAACAGTGCAATTTCTGACTTTCTTATTTTTAGTTTTTATATTATGCCACTCAAAATTGCATTTACTTTTTGTAACTATACCATATCACTGTTCGTTCATGCTGAGCATGCAATCTAATGAACTGCTTTCTCATTTTGTATAAACTGGTTTACAGATAAAAATCTCAAGCATCTTGGCATTTTTACTGATTGTTTGCACCCAAGTAGAAGACTTAACGTTTATCCTAATTATAATCCTAATTAAAATTCATGCTTTTAATTTTGACCCTATTTTCAACTCTATCTAATTCTGACTATGATATCCTATATTTTCTGCATGTGGGCTTCATGATTTGTGTTTCTTGCATTGTTTTCATGCCTTCTTTGTAATCTTTTTAATAAGTCAGATAAAAATTACAAAATAAATAAATAGGGCTGTTAGTGTGGTTACAGAAAAAGTCCCATGACTCCTGGCATTTGGATGGCCAAAATGACATTGAGCAGAAGCCCAGTTTTCCGTGCTGTGAGTACATTGTTCAACAAACCGCAGAAACATCTGGTAGCACTAGCATCCAGTTAACATTTTTGTGTATTGTAAAACAGCATCATGGGAAACACTTTCAAATAGCTGTTTAAATACATCATATTCCCTCTGTAACTCAGGAGATGGGTATGAAAGAAAGAAAGAAAGAATGACAGTCATCAGTAATTGGTACTAGTAACCAAGGGAGAAACCAGAGTTAGCTATTTGTAGCTTATTGGTATGATTTCCTCTAGGCCTGAGGTACATAAGTTAGTGCTTATTTTCATTATTGCTGCAGAATTTCAGATGGGAAATCTTTAATGAGTTAAATCTGAATTCAAATTTTTCACATTTTGTAACTGGCTAAAATCACTGCAGTGTTTTAGATATTCTGATTCTAAAAAGGACCCAGATGTTGTCAGTGTTCTATGCTTAAAAAAAGAACTAGTTATTCCCAGGGTATTTCCAGTTAGACTTCATGACATTCTGGATCTTTCTGCCTTCCAATAAATTTCAACATCAAAGAATAGATACGTAACTGAGCTCTTGTTAATCCAATAGAATACATGTATGTGGTCAGCTTATATTTAGTCAGGAGCTTAGACTTTCAGACCAAGCAGCCAGCCATGTTATACTCTAACATTTTCAAAACTAGTCTGGGATTAGTCAAGGCTGATTGTCTGTGTAATTAAAAATTAAAGACTAGAAGTGAAGCTTGGTGCTTCTCTGTGGATATAACAACTGTTTCTTTTTTTTCTTCACCATCGCCATCATCACCACTTCATCATTATCAACACTAACATACATTTGTATGATGCTTTATAGTTGACAAATCATGACACATGAGGCTGTTTGCTTTTTTTATTGTTTCTACTTTCCATTAAAGATTAATAGTAAATTTTTAAAAAAATTGGTGCTACGGAAACCTACGGGAGAAGACAAAACTACCAAGGGAATGCATGCAAAATTAACAGAATGAAGTAGAGAACAGAAGTGTGGACACAGTCAGAGGTAATAATTCCAATATAGGAAACTAACGGGAAAACATAAGAGAGTTTGGAGGAGAAGAAAGAATGCTGGCCGGACGCGGTGGCTCACACCTGTAATCCCAGCACTCTGGGAGGCCGAGGCGGGCGGATCACGAGGTCAGGAGATCGAGACCATCCTGGCTAACACAGTAAAACCCCGTCTCTACTAAAAAAATACAAAAAATTAGCTGGGCGTGGGGGCGGGTGCCTGTAGTCCCAGCTACTCGGGAGGCTGAGGCAGGAGAATGGCGTGAACCCGGGAGGTGGAGCTTGCAGTGAGCCAGATGGCGCCACTCCACGCCAGCACTCCAGCCTGGGCGACAGAGCGAGACTCCGTCTAAAAGAAAAAAAAAAAAAAAAAAGAATGTAACTGCTTCAAACAAATGGAGGAAAAATTACCTTAAGAGTAGATCGGCTCTGACATTTACTTCCATATGTGAATTGAGCAAGTTCAAATCAATGTGTATAATGGTTTAAATATTAATCCCTGAAGTACCACAGAAATCTAGAGATCTAGAGGAGGGCAGCTAAAGGTTGAAACCGGATTCCATATACAGTGGATAAAGTTACAAATCAATATCATCTTAAAAAATAACAATATATGCTTCAGGGAAATGTGCTGTCCTCAAACATGTATAGGACCAGCTGTGCACAGTTCCAAAGAAGCAACATAAGAAAGAAATGATCGAATTTGTAGTCCTATTCACAGGATGAACAGGCTCACAAAATAATAGTTAATAATGATTTTTTAAAAAATAAATGCCATTTATTTATCCATTCTTTTGATTAACCAATGTTTATTGAGCCAGACTGCTTTTCAAAGTGCCAGAGATATAGTGGTGTCTAAGACAGGAACATTCTGTAACTTTATGGAGCCGATAGCTTCGTGGAGGGAAAGATATAAAATCCATATACAAATAATTATTTAAATTCCAATTATAATAAATTAATGAAAGAAAAGTGCAAGATCTATAATAATGGTGGGAGAATTAGATTAGTCTAGGAGGTTCTGAGAAGGCTGCTTTGTGTTGAGGTGAGCTCTAGCTGAGACCTGATTGTCAAAAGAAAAGCTAAGAAAGTGCAGGATCAGGGAACTTAAGTACAAATGTTGCTCATTGCAAATGAGAAAGTAAAGTAAAACCAATATGGATGGAGACGTAAAATATGGGGAAGCATGTTCTTAGATGAAACTAGAAGGTTTGGCAGGATCCAGATCATGCTCAGCTCTGTGAGATTTTAGTCTTCATTGTATTATAAGAAAGTGGTCATTGAAGAAAAGAAGAGGCCTGGGTTTGTTTCTTTAAGGAGATTACTCCAGTTGCTGAAAGGAAAATAGATTAAGGAAGCTGAGAGAGAAAAAAAGTAACTAACATTTAGGAGGAGATTGCAATAGCTCAATTGGGAAATATTGGTAGCTTGGGCTATGGGAAGAGCAGTGGAGATTAGTAAGTTAATTTGGAATATTTTTAGAGTTATTTATTTGGGCATTCAAATGGATATGAAAGATGATTATTTATGAGAAATGCAATAGTAAGAAATTCTACTTTAGGTAAAGGGTTTGGCTAGATTATTTCTAAAGCCCATTCCAAGAAATTTTCTAATCTTATTATTCTGTAACACTCTTTTAGCTACTTATATTGCAACTTCATGAAAGGATTGCCTTTTAATCCATTGTTCCAACTCCACTGGGGGCTTTGGGGTAGGGAAAAGAATTTCATTTGGCTCTTTCTACTTTTCTATTTTCTATCTCTGAAGTCCTGACAGAGATGCCCTATTTATTTTTCAGAATAATTCCCTCCTGATAACTGCTGAAGTTAATATGTTGACAGCGTGACAGTAGTTGAGGATAACAAGTAATTACAAACAAACACTAAAACTAAAATAAACAGTTTATGCAATGAGACTGGCTGCAGTTCCTTGGGTTGATTATGATTAAAGACCTGTGAAAAACCTCCAGAATGATTCTCCAGCATGCTGAGATCCTGAGGGGAGGGTTCTTTATGGCTCCATCTGCATCAGAGTTATCACCAGGCTCCCTCTAACAGAGAGACAAGAGATTTTCAATTAAGTCCTTGTGAATAAAGACAGAACCCTTTTCTGAAGCAATTGTCTGGAAATCAGTGGCAACCCAATTTTCAACATGCAATGTAGCCATTAACTGGCCAGGTGCCAATGGTGGAGAGGAGGGGTTGGAGAGAAAGAAAGCCAGAGTAGAACATAAGGTGCAATGTCATGTCCCTTGACAAGTTTGCTTCCCTATAGTCCCATCAGAAGGGACAGTCTGATTGAAGATCTGTAATTATCTTTCCAATTTAATTTCTATTGGTTATGTGCTACATTCTATTTGTTTTTGTAATACTTTATTTTAACTCAATAGACATTAGGAGGGAAAAGCCAATATTATTATAAACTATTGGAAATTGAATTAAAGTAAATTAGCTTTCATCAAATATACATAATCTCAATGCTTAAAAAACAAAGAGAGACTGTTGCTTGCCAGAAATGCTTTCAATTTTAACTTTCCATGACTGTGGGGTACCATTTCCCCTAATATTAGGTTCACAAATCCTAAACCTTTTTGTCTTTCCCAGAATTAACAGAAATGGATCTGAATGAAAACTTCTTGAGATAATTGTTCAGGGCTTTCTAAATTCAGAATGGTTCCTGAAACATAGGGGTTACTTAATGATGAATTTTGAATAACTGAAGACAAAACACCACAATCTCAACGCATATATGCTGAAAAGGCAGGCAAAATTTCTATTGGGATAATGGCTTAAAAGATCAGAAAATTAAAATTATATATTTCATGCTATTATATGATAGCCTGCATATCTTCAAGGAAGTTAAGCTTCATGATCTAGAATAACAGAATATGTAGATCTGAAAGGAAATATAGAGGATGACACAAACCTGATATTTGGCAAATAAGAGTATAGAGAATCAGCCAAGAACAGTGGCATGTTTCCCTTTATTTGTCCACCTTCTTGTAAGCATTGTATGTCTTATATTCCCTTGTATGCCTTGCCATTTCAGTATTTTCTAAAACATTTAAATTTGCCTTATAAATAAGTTAAGCCCTTAGTTCTTCCCACTAGTGACCTATATGTTGTTTTCCATGCTTTCTATCCATGTAAATTCAGCTCATAGCAAGGTAATCATTGTCGAACTCGGCTAATGAGGAAAACATATTTTGAAAACTTCTGAAGCAGTACTGCTTCAAGGCCTCATAGTGACTCAGGAAATGGTCCTAGATCTTGGGGGTCTTGCATTTGCCTGTGCTGAGGTTAGTTGTGAGGTCCCTTTCTCATGTTTTGCAACAAACAATAGTAACATGCCCAAGTTTGCAAATAATTACTTTTAACAAAATAAAATAAAAAACTATAAATTAAACTGCATAATATGATTACTTGAGTAATTTGATTTTTTTTGAGTCTTTTGATTTTTTTTTTCTTCTGATAAGATAGAAAGAGATAAAATTTTGGCTGTAGAGCCCAGAATTTCACAGGGAAGTGTGATTTCTTCATGTGCTTTGGGTGAATGAAAGTGTGACCACCACAAGAGTAAACACATCTTGTCCTCCTTTTCAGTACTACAATTCACAACCATGGACTTTCTGATTTTTTAAGTGACCTTTCTTAGGACTTTGAGTTTCTTTTTAGATTATATGCCTGATTTCCAGTCCTTTTCATTTCTCCTACAAAGTAAGCTAAAGAGCAGGGAAGGAGACTAATATTTATGGTCTCCTCTGCTCAGGCCATCTCCTGAGGGCCTGGTGTATAGATGCTCTCTGTAGATACTGTTTATTTTATTTAATTCTCTTAATAATCTTATGAAGTTCTTATTCCTTGTTACCAATAGGTACATATGGATTTAGAGATATCTAAGATTAGCTTCTAGGTAAATTCAGGAAAAAAGGGATTTTTAACTTCTTTTTATTTCTTTTACCAAGTGAATTACTTCACTATTCTGATATCCTGAGCTCTTCTGTCTTTACTTAAGGAGGCAGGAACTATAGTTAGGTATTAAGTAATATTTACAATTTATTCCATTCTGAATTTATAATGCAGTTCTGGCAACTGAGTCTTCTGGAAGACCTGTCAAAGGAAAACCAGAGCTGGACAGGAAAGTGGTAAAATCAGATTTATTCAGAAACTCTTCCATGAAGGGAACATACCTCAGTATAGAAGTGGGCTCAATTCCAAATACAACATGGGCAGGTAGAAATATATAGCCAAGAAGCGCAGTGGAGGGTAGTGGATGGAAAATCACTAACAGAAAATATCAGGGCTAAGGGAGAGCTTCAGCTTAATTCACTGTATTAGTCTGTCCATCTCATAGGAATGCCTAAAGAGAGTTGACCCACAAGAAAAACCCATGTAAAACCCTGGGCACAGCACCCAGCTGTGTCCGGAATTGGTGGGTTCTTGGTCTCACTGACTTCAAGAATGAAGCCGCGGACCCTCGCGGTGAGTGTTACAGCTCTTAAGGTGGTGCGTCTGGAGTTTGTTCCTTCTGATGTTTGGATGTGTTCAGAGTTTCTTCCTTCTGGTGGGTTCGTGGTCTCGCTGGCTCAGGAGTGAAGCCACAGACCTTCACGGTGAGTGTTACAGCTCTTAAGGCAGCGCGTCTGGAGTTGTTGGTTCCTCCCAGTGAGCTCCTGGTCTTGCTGGCTTCAGGAGTGAAGCTGCAGACCTTCGCCGTGAGTGTTACAGCTCATAAAAGCAGTGTGGACCCAAAGAGTGAGCAGTAGCAAGATTTATTGCAAAGAGTTAAAGAACAAAGCTTCCACAGTGTGGAAGAGGACCTGAGCGGGTTGCCACTGCTGGCTAGGGCAGCCTGCTTTTATTCTCTTATCTGGCCCCACCCACATCCTGCTGATTGGTAGAGCCAAGGGGTCTGTTTTGACAGGGCGCTGATTGGTGCCTTTACAATCCCTGGGCTAGACACAAAGGTTTTCACGTCCCCACTAGATTAACTAGATACAGAGTGTCCACACAAAGGTCCTCCAAGGCCCCACCAGAGTAGCTAGATACAGAGTGTCGATTGGTGCATTCACAAACCCTGAGCTAGACACAGGGTGCTGATTGGTGTGTTTACAAACCTTGAGCTAGATACAGAGTGCCGATTGGTGTATTTACAATCCCTGAGCTAGACATAAAGGTTCTCCAAGGCCCCAACAGACTCAGGACCCCAGCTGGCTTCACCCAGTGGATCCCGCACCCGGGCTGCAGGTGGAGCTGCCTGCCAGTCCCGTGCCGCGCCCGCAGTTCTCAGCCCTTAGGTGGTCGATGGGACTGGGCGCCGTGGAGCAGGGGGCTGCGCTCATCCGGGAGGCTCAGGCGCACAGGAGCCCATGGAGGGGGTGGGAGGCTCAAGCATGGCGGGCTGCCGGTCCCGAGCCCTGCCCCGCGGGAAGGCAGCTAAGTCCCGGTGAGAAATCGAGAGCAGCGCCAGTGGGCTGGCACTGCTAGGGGACCCAGTACACCCTCCACAGCCGCTGGCCCGGGTGCTAAGTCCCTCATTGCCCGGGGCTGGCAGGGTCGGCCGTCTGTTCCAAGCCCACGCCCACCCGGAACTCCAGCTGGCCCGCAAGCACTGCACGCAGCCCCGGTTCCTGCTCGCGCCTCTCCCTCCACACCTCCCTGCAAGCTGAGAGAGTGGGCTCCGGCCTTGGCCAGCCCAGAAAGGGGCTCCCACAGTGCAGTGGTGGGCTGAAGGGCTCCTCAAGTGCCGCCAAAGTGGGAGCCCAGGCAGAGGAGGTGCCGAGAGCGAGCGAGGGCTGTGAGGACTGCCAGCACACTGTCACCTCTCAGTGCGACCAGGAGCGGATATGGGTCCTCTTGCCCATCTCTCTCCTTAGTTTCAAAAAAAGAAAAACATTTAAAATGTTAGTGTCAATTTTTCTACTGTCTTTGACATATTAAAGATTTTTTTCATGGAAAAGAAATGTCATAAGTAAATGGTATGTGCCTCTCACCAGTGTCAACTTATCTGGCAATTATTTTTATCATTTTTATTGTGCATTATTTCTCATCAGGCTAAAAGAAAAATTAGCAAGGCAGTCCTCAAAGATTTCTCATTCCTCTTTTGATAAATAACATGCTATAAATCAGCTTTTACTGCATAATATGAACTGTTTCCTATAATAAACGTGCACCATACAATAATTCCATCACTTTTATTAGCTCTGAGGGTTTTAAAAAATTATTTCAGCTGTTTGCACAGACATCCATGTGAAATATTTTTTTAAATCAGAAGTAGAAATCAGAGATATAAACTGTGTCTCTAAGATTTAACTATCTGTATTAACCTTAAAAAATGTAAGCTCATGTTTGCTTATGTTTCTAGCTTTGCAAGAGAACTGTTAGGAGAATTTTGGAAGATGTACTGTAGAAGCAAGCATTGTAATTAATGCAAAACTGATTCACTAATTAGTCAAACCTAGATTATTCAATGATCTATACCTTTCAATATGATATCATATAAATGACTTATTTTATTTGGGCTAGGTTGATATTGCCTACTTTAAAAATGAAGATTCCAATGATTGAAAAGATTAGTGGCTTGTCTGATGCTACTAAGTCAGGGAAGAACCATGGCTACAACATTGCTACAACATTGCATTCTTTATGCCTGGGGAAGTTCTGACTGCTTGTGTCTGCTAGGCAACGTGTGGCCTAGCACCCTGCAGGGCACTCTGGAAGGAGGAAAAGAAGGAGTGCCTGGCCTTACCTTCACCAGAAAGAGTGAACTGTTTTCTTGGAGGAAAATAGAATGTATGCTTATGAGATAACCGCATTCTTTCTTATACTCTAGTTAAATAGTGAACTTGGGAGCACAGAAAATTTAAGTATACGACAGTCTCAGGAAAAAAAAAAAGTTAATTGTAGGGTGCTAATGAGAAATTGTAAGGGATTTGGATATGAGAGAAGGCTTTTCCAAAAGTCATTAGGGTGTCCCAGAAAATGTGGAAAGAAAAAGTCAAGAAAGTTTTTGGTTAATCTTGATACCCATCTTCCTCTATCAAGTAATAAATAACAGGAGTAGAGGAGTAAAAATTAATCATGATTCAAAAATAGTATTTGACCCAGTGGATCACTCTTTTCTCCTTAGAATACTTCTTGCTTTCACTTGAATGTTTACTTTGAAGCTTCTGTCTACTCCTTCTTAGTCTTTTTTCCCTTTGGGTTCTCTTTATCTGTCCAACTTCTAAATTTGGAATGCCCAGGTCTCAGTCCTCAGGCCTCTTTGTTTGTTTGTTTGTTTGTTTTCTAACTGTACTCACTTATTGGGTGATCTCATTCAGTTTCATGACTTTATTTGGCATTAATATGTTGAAGTCCCCCAGATTTATTTCCCTTAATGAGACCTTTTCCTTAAACAAGAACAAAGAAAGATGACTGGCTGAGAAGTCAGAATAGGATTTATGTAATAGCTATATGGAATCTGAGCTGATTTAAAATGATAGTGTAGGTTCTTAGATACAGAGGAAGAGTAGATGTATGAGGGATGATTAAAAATGCCTGTGTACTGTTCAACAGGCCAAGAAGTAAAACAGTTTAAATGAAGAATTTCTGTCTGGCAGTATAGGGGGAAAAGCTTAGAAAATTTGACTGGTATCATTTTATAGATAAAAATTAAACTCAAAAGATGAAATTTTATTTTACATATAGCTGCTTCCTCCCATATTATGCACATTTAACAGAGCCACTTGTATTACTACTAGCAGGTCTTATATTAGAGTCCATTCAAACCATTTTAAGAAGTAGTTAGAAACTAATAAATACATTATTATTGAAACACACATTTTTTTTTTGAGGGCTCTAGGTTAACAGTGAGAGTGCTTGTGAAGAGGGAGCATTTTCTAACTTTCAGTATTTCCCTTGGTATCTGAATAAGAATACTGGCAAATCAGCTATTACTTTGGATAGAAAAATAAAGTTAACAAAACATGACTCACTGCAGTTTTGCACAGGAGGGCAGAAAGAGTGGAATTTCACCATTCACTAAAGCTGACATTAGTGAGGCAATTATTCAATGACATATTACTAAAAATAAATAGATTTGGGATGCATTTGTATTTATTTTACAAATGAATTTATGGTTACACAAAAAAGTCAACCTGTGGAATAGGACAGTAAATGAAAAAGCTCTTCAACTAGAAATGGGGTCTTGCTTGACTTCACTATGGACTTGGTATATGAACTTCGACACACCGTGCAATCTATACATTCCTTATCGTTCTCATTTGTAAAATGTAAATGCCACCTGCCCTAATTCATTGAATTGTCTGTGGATTAAATTAGAGAATGAATATGAAAATGCTCTGATATATATAAAATACAAGGCAAATGGAAGTGAAAATTGGCTACTCTTATTATTATAAATAATGTCGTATATGCATAGACTAGAACAGATTGGAAAATAGCAATGGAATTGTGAGTTGAGCCTAGTTACATTGCAATGACTGATATTGTAAATAGCAAGAAGTCAATTAAATTGACTAAATTATAGTTCAGTTATTTCCCCCGTGTACTAAGCTCTGATGCCATTAAGCATTTAAGTCATGAGTACCATGCACTCTTGCTCCAGGTGTGCATTAAATCAGCTGCAAATCAAAGAGCACCCAAATAAAGTTGAATTAAGGAGAGGAAAAAAGTGGGGGAGATAAATTCATTGAGTTAATAAACAAAAATTGCAAGACATAGATGAGTTTTTTTGTATAGTTGGAACCAAGGTTAAATATATATCAACGAGATTTATTTTTTCCCTATCCATTGCTACTTTCTATGTTATGGCTCCATCTTCGGATCAGTTTTTCCATCATGATGTCATGAAAACTACAACAGATCCAAAGTCCTATCCTTCCAAGTTCATGGCCAGTAAAAAAGAACACATTTTTCTTCTCCAGCAGTCTGCCAAAATCCTTATGATGTTTTATTAGCTATGACTGGGTCACATTCCCATCTTTCGACAAATTACTGAGACCAGTAGAAGGCAGTACTCTGACTGGTCATGCTGGAGTCAAATAAGTGCCCCTGAAATCATAGCTGGAATCAATAGTACTATAATGACATAGGCCAAGCACAGAAGAAAGATTGAACCATTGAGGAAAATCTTGTTAAGAAAAGAAACAGGAATAGATTAAAAGAACAGAAATCAGCAAACGTTTACCACAAAAATGGATTAAAACAATAAGAATTGAACGTGTCAACAAAATGTATTCATATTTTCTAAGTCTAGTTTAGCTTTTTAAAATTAAGATTTAACAATCTTAGAAAAACAGACTTGTTCACCAAAATACAATGAATTGTATAAAGGAAGTGGAAAAATAATGAAACAGGTCAGCGGGACACTAATAGGTAGCTCTCAACAAGCTACTGCAATGAAGTAAATATTTGGGTACTTGCAAAAGTTTTATTATGAAAGCATAATATAATTTCATTAGCATAAAACAGAAACAGTTACTAAGGTTATTGACAAAAGAAGGTTAAGTACCCAGTCACGTACAGAGTAGTCTGGGATACAAACTCATTTTCCATATATTGTAACTAAATGGCAAAGCAAAGAACTGAAGATACATATCTAATTTGGTCAAGGCAGCACTTTAGGATTTGTCTGGGGTTGGTGTAGACAGCTGAAAACATATGGAATAAAAATTGTGTAATTAAGAAAAAAAGAAAATTAGATTATCTTATATGACTATATTAATTCAAATATGCATATTTAATAACTTGGCGATCCTACAGTCCTGCTGCTTCCCAAGTTAATTTATTTAATATCGATTTTAAGTTTATTGCCACATTAGATTGCTTATTCTATGAACAACAAAAGGCATGTAGGGAGGAAACCCTTAGGCCAAGAAAGGGTGGAGCATCACTCCCTTGGATTTCTGTGTCTGATGGGCAGCCAAGAATGGAATCACCCAGGAAGCTTGTTGATGGCGTTGTCTCTGTTCTTGCTATCACTGGGAAGGTTGAGCCAGACCAGAGGAGCAGGTAGAACAGAGTCAACAATGTCTCAGCTTCTTTGAGCATAAATTTGCTTATCTGTAAAATGAGAACACATCATTAAACTTTTCTTCCTGTAGGCATGTTATCAAAATAAAAAGAATTTAAAAACTTTAAGTTAGAGATTAAAAAAATAAAGGGCCGGGCTCAGTGGCTCACGCCTGTAATCCCAGCAATTTGGGAGGCCGAGGCGGGTGGCACACCTGAGGTCAGAAGTGGGAGACCAGCCTGGCCAACATGGTGAAACCCCATCTCTACTAAAAATACAAAAATTTGCTGGGTGTGGTGGCAGACGCCTGAAATTCCAGCTACTCGGTAGGCTGCTTGAACCCAGGAGGCGGAGCTTGCAGTGAGCCGAGATGGCGCCACTGCATTCCGGCCTAGGCGACAGAGTGAGACTCCGTCTCAAAAAAATAAAAATAAATAAAAGTAAATTAAGGTATTTTCGTGTAAGTAGGTCTTCTCATCCAATGTTTTTTTCTGTATTAGAGGACCTTACATCCTTAACATAGGCAGGAGGTACATGTGTCTAGTGGCAAAGATGCATATTGATCCATCTGCTCAGTCGGGTGTTATTTGAATAGGAAACACAAGAGGAAAGATTAGCTATATCTCAGATTGTCTAAATTGAGGGCTTTCAAATTGCAGGGAAATTATAAATGTGTGGGAGTGGGCCTAAGAAATATGAAATTTCGGATTTGTAAATTAGTTTGTAAAGATTCTATGTGAAAGAATTGAAGTTAATCTGCTACATCACATAAACAAAATTAAGGACAAAAATGATATGATCATCTCAATAGACACAGAAAAAGCATTTGATAAGATTCAGCATCCCTTCATGACAAAAACTCTCAATAAACTAGGAATAGAAGGAATATACATCGAAACAATAAGGGTCGTGTATTATAAACCCACATAGCCATTATCACATTGAATGGGAAAAGTTGAAAGCATTCCCTCTAAAAACTGGAACAAGACAAGGATGCCTACTTTCCCCACTCCTGTTCAACATAGTACTGGAAGTCCTAGCCAGAGCAATCGGGCAAGATAATTAAATAAAAAACATCCAGATTGGAAAAGAGGAAGTCAAATTATCTCTGCTGATGATGTGATCTTATATCTAGGAAACCCTAAAGATTCCATCAACAAATTCTTAAGTTTAATAAATGAATTCAGTGAAATTTTAGGATAAAAAATTAATGTGCAAAACTCACTAGCCTTTCTACACCCCAATAATGATCTTGCTGAGAACAAAAATAAAGAAGACAATCCCATTTACAGTATCTCTAAAAAAATACCTGGGAATAAATTTAACCAAGAGGTGAAAGATCTCTACAAGGAAAACTGCAAAACATCAATGAAATAAATAGTAGATAACACAAACAAATGAAGAAACTTCACATGCTCATGGACCAGAAGAATTAATATTGTTAAAGTGACCATGCTGCTCAAAGCAAGCTACAGATTCAATGCAAAGGAAGAAAATAGTTTAGCCTAAATATTGGCATTGGTGATCCAACATAGATATAACCTTAGACCAGTGATTCAAAGTGTAGCCTACGGACCACGGTGATAATCAAGACCTGTTTAGAGAATCTACAATGTCAACACCATTTTTATAATACAACTAAGAGCATTTTTACATTTTCACTCTGTTGACATTTGTACTGATGTTACAGAAATTATGGTAGGTAAAATTGTTGGTGCGTTAGAATGAACAAACATAGTGGCACCCAATTCTACTAGCGGGCATTTTATTATTGATCACAACACACGGTAAAGATATGCCAGTTTCACTTAAGAATGTCTTTGATTCACACTGACAAACTGACAAAAATAAAAGAATGTCTTTGAATAATTCTTAGAAATTATTAATTTTATTAAATCTCTACCCTTGACTACATAGCTCTATAATATTCTGTATGAAGAAATGGTAAATATACATAAGCCAGTTCTGCCCCATACTGATGTTACATGGTTGTCCACAGGAAAAGCACTTGGGCAATTGAGTGGCATGCAAAATTAGCCACTTTGTTTAGAGCACTGCTTTTTATTTATAATAACCAACTGACAAACTATGGCTTTTCAGACTTGGGTATTTGATAGATGTTGCCTCAGAAAGGAATGAATTACCTTGTTACTTGAAGAATAAATGACAGTATCATCAAACTTTCAAATAGTAATTAGAATTTTGGAAATTTACATCTACTACATGGAGCTGGAGAGGTTTCCAATACTTAAAAACTTTTCTGACAAAATTGGTGGTGATATTAATGAATCTCATTTTTGAAATTACATAATAAAATACATCAACATTCACTTGAGAGTAAACCATGATTTCAAATGACAAATGCAGGATATTTCAAAACAATTCATGGATAAAGATTCATTCAAATTGCAAGATTGACCAATGAATTCTAAGTGTAACAAAATGTGGAGCATTTATTAACTTGGTTCTGGATTTCCACATTGCAATAGAACTTCAGAAAACTATCATCTTGCCAAGTATTGGTGTAGTATCAAAAGAGAATATCCAAAACTACCTGAAGAAGCTATTAAAATACTTTTCCCTCTCCCAACTTAGTGTCTGTGTGATCTCAGATTTTCTCCGTATATTTTAACTAAACAATATATTAGCAAATATTTCATTAAGAAGCAGATATAAGAATCTAGCTGTTTTGTATTAAACCAGACGCATTTGGAAAAATGTAAAACAATGACACTCTTCTAAACAAATATTTTTGTTTGCAAATTGTAATTACTTTTTTCAAAAGTTATTTATGTTAACATATAAAGTGCATATTAATGTTATTTTATGTGAATTAATAAATTATCAAATTTTCAAGTTAAAATTTGATAATTTAAATTTTAAACTTTTATTAACATTCATATTAATTTTTAATTGTTAAATTTTACTAAATTAAAATAAATTTATTTTAAATAAACGAATACATTTTAATGTATCAGTTTTAATTTTTAATAAGTAAATAATATTAACATATAACCAAGATAAGCAAAAGATCCAGAGAATTCTCAATAATTTTTAAGAGTGGAATCTTGAGATCCAAAATGTTTGAAAACTCCTGCTTTAAACCATTAGGATTCATGTTTACTAATTCTAAAAGTTTCTACTGAGTATTCAGATGAGACTGATAAAAATAGTTAAGGAAAGACATATGCTTGTCTCCTATAAGCCGATTTAATTTGAGAGACAAGATACATTCATGTTCATTAAACTAAAGTTCATGGTATCAAAGAACTTATCACAAATGAGCAATTGCATTGACTCCGAACCTGCTAACTCATGTTTCTCCGAACCTGCTAACTCATGTTTGGAAAACATAGCTTGAGCTTCAGATTTTTACAGTTGCTTCTTTAGTACTCAAAAAATATTTCTTTCTGCATTGAGTGTTTATTATATTCTTTTTTTTTCTTTTTTTAAATTATACTTTAAGTTCTAGGGTACATGTGCACAACGTGCAGGTTTATTACATATGTATACATGTGCCATGTTGGTGTGCTGCACCCATTAACTCGCCATTTACATAAAAAAGTATGAGTTCATGTTCTTTGTAGGGACATGGATGAAACTGGAAACCATCATTCTCAGCAAACTATCGCAAGGACAAAAAACCAAACACCGCATGTTCTCATTCATAGGTGGGAATTGAACAATGAGAACACTGGGACACAGGAAGGCAAACATCACACACAGGAGCCTGTCGTGGGGTGGGGGGAGGGGGGAGGGATAGCATTAGGAGATATACCTATTATATTCTTTATGGCAGATTGCATAATAGAGTTTCTGTAAGGAAGCCCTTCATCCCTCCTGGAAACATGCTGATGTTATTTTCTTTTTCCTGGAAATTTCATTTTACTCTTTGAAAGACTCCACTTTTCCTGTCTATAAATTTTGTCACCTCTAGAGTATTTTCTGAAATTCTATGATGGTCTGGTATGATAATCAGAGCTGTAGAAATTCTGAACAGGATGAGGATAAAACAACATAGGATCACGGGGAAGTTCTCGGGAGCAAAAAGACTGGATCTGAACAAACGAGTTTTGATAAATGGAAAGAAAGGTGATGGGTTTTTCTGATGTGACACGAAGTCATAGCATTGAGATTTATTATGTAGGGTCTGTGGGTGGAAATGAGGAGCTCTATGTGACTGGAGCAAAGAGTTCACATGAAAGATAGGTGAAAAATATCAGTGGGATAATAGGATGAAACCAGAGATGATTGTCAGTCCCGAGAATTAAGATCAATTAATTGCCAAACTGCTCCAAACTGTACTATGTGAACTAACAGTAAAGGCAAAGCCATTTAAGTAAGTATACATTTGTATTTCAGTATCTCTGTGTTTTAATAGTTGCATATATTTTAATAAGTGATTTTATTTTAATTTCTATCAAAAACAAATATACCAAGTAGTTCTAAAGGCATAATGGTAGTGATGTAAAATTATTCTATAAATATATTTACTTCATGAATAACAATGTGTTGTGTCAGTTTTTAAATGCCTCGAGTAAATAAGAGTACACACAGAAGGTAGAAGATAGATATCAAAGTGACAGCTATCTAGAATAAATTCAGACCCCTTGTGTACAGGAAAGTTAAAACTCACACTAATATGAATCAATCGACTACCAGACCAAAAGTCTTAACTTGGAAAAAATAATTGTCAATACATTGAGCCTCCTTGCCAGTTATATCTCTAGGACCATTTTCCAGTCACTGGTTTTTGTTTTCTTTTTGCTGTCCTCATGTGCCAAAAATTTGAGCCATTCACCTCACTTTTTCACCCTTTTCATCTGCTGTGAATTACTGTTCTACTCATCTAGTTCCAAAGTTGTTTACTTTCATCTATAGTACATTCAATTTAAGAAATTATGGCATAGCATAATATAGTATAGGACATTCAATTTAAGAAAGGTATTTTTAACTGCCTACTCAAGGATAAACTGTGTACAGATTCATGTTAGCTGCATTGCTTTGGGCAAGTTACCCTGCCGTCAGTATTCTCTGATGAGTGTGGTCACCCTTTCTAACTGTAAAATGTATGAAAGATGCAAAGTGTGCTGGGCACGCTACCCTGTGTGTTGCCTGCCATCTCATTTAGTTCACCATCCCCACAATTCTATAACTGTAGGTATACACAGGCAATACTATTTTATAAGTGAGATTGCTGACACACAAGGAGGATGAGTTCCACATATGCTCAAATACAAAACTATCCCTCATAAACAGAATAACCTCATGGTTGAGTCCTTTGGTACTGCTTAAAATTTGGGTCACTCTCAGTTACCTTATTTTACACAATAAAATAGCATGAGATGGAGACATCTTAATTTGAAACATTCTCAGTCATAGCTGGAGTTGGATGAATCTAGAAATATAATTTAAATTAAAAAAAAAAAAGAGAGGCCAAGAAACTTAACATGGATTTAATAATGATTCCTGATATAATCTCTCAACTCCATGTACTGGGATGATTATAAACAGAACTTTAAAGTCCTTTAAAAACCAAAAGCAGTAAATAATTTGGATCACAGCTATTCCTACAGAGCGAATGAAAAAAGTAATCAACTATGCCAACTATTTCATTATGCAAATGAAACTTGAGACTTAAAGTAAAATGTCCATAGATAGCATCTTTTAGAAATTCAAAAATGCAGTATCTCAACTAGCTCTGGAAAATAGGGTTTGATGACCTTAGAAATGACTTACTTATGAGATGCTGATACCAAAGGTGACTATGAATGGATAAATAATTTTTATAAAATATGAGAAAATGCTATATCTGAATTAATATATTATTTAACAAATGCTTTTATATGTATAACTACATTTTAAAATTAAATATTACATTTAAATATGTGACTCATAGTTGGAAAGTAGAACAGTTCTTTTAGATCTTTTTATATGGAACTTGTAAAATCCCTTACCTTTGATCAATTATAGTTACGTGTCTAATGATACATAGCAAGGAAATGACAGAGAAGAGATTCAAGTTTCGGTCTGTTTGAATTCAAAGTGCATTCAATGTTCTATAAATCATGTTGTTAAAGTATTATGTAACTCCCTAAGAATGCTAGGGTAATTCAAAGGAGATTAATGATTACTAAGGTATTTGAGACAGTCTTAATGATAGATAAAAGATTTGACTGAATATGGAAGGCTAGTTAAGATTTTTATTGACAGAAAAAACATTGCAGTTGGTGTGAATGTAAAAAATGGAGTTGTTTCATTTCTAAAAATTTCTCTGATTTGGTGGACTAATAGTAATTCTAATATTTTACTAGCAGAAATGTCTTACATTTACTGAGAATTTACAATCAAGTACCATGTAAAGCATGTTGGAAAATCTTCTCATTCAATACCTATAACTGCCCTGAACATTGCTATTGCTCCCATTCTACAACAGAAGAAATTGAGGAAAATGAAGAGTAAGTAATTTGCCTGACAGCTAAAAGAAAATAGCAGCACAGTGGTTGAAACCCAAGTATTTTCAAATCCACCACCTTAGTTCATCAACCATGGCATTCTCTTGCCTTTATCTTTCATTTCATTTTAAGATTAATTTTTTTTTTTTTTTTAGCGCAAGGGAGAGATGAACGAAGACTAGAATCATCAAGGAAGGGTTTATGTAGCTACCATATTTTGAGTTTGGCCTTGAAAAATATGCACAATTTAGATATGCAAAAGGGAGATGGGCAAATATAATGTGAATAAAATGGTAGAACTATGGTAGAACTGTGTATGGTAGGAGAGTGGGAAGTGTGTACAACTACCCTCACTCCAAATAACTAGTGAACAAGGAAAGCATGGTTTTGCCATTGTTAATTCTTTGAAAATGTCTTCCCCTGAAAGTTTTCCTTAATATCTAGAAGTACAGGAGTGCTGAGTTATGGTGATTAATTGAAGGTTTCAGAAACAAGTATCTGTAATATGTTACCCAATAAGGAATAACAAATGACCTTGCCATCATGGAGTTGATATAAATTTTACCTTCCATCAGCTTGTTAGAATTATAATCCAGCTCTCATGTCCACCAAATGTTTACAAATAAATTATTTTTAAAGCAAGATCCACACTAATATGATGTCATGTTCTATGGTACTTACCTGATTGAGAAACTCAGGGAAAATGAGCTATTAAATGTTCTTTTCTCTCTCCCAACTCACTCCTCTAAGCAGAATTAAGTAGCGCTTAATATAACTATGAATATAGACATTTCACATGTAGCTCTCACCTAGGCTGTGTGCCCCCTTGTGTCCTCTGTCCAGCCTCTGGAACTTGTTTTAAAATTATAAACTTAAAAAATCAACATTTTTGTTTAAAATAGAAAAAAAATTTAAGTGTTATTTCAGTTGAAAACCACCTAATTCTTTATTACTCCTGAAGCTGGTATTCAGTACTGCATTTAACATTGCACAGGCTAAATGTAATTTGGAACATTTCATGTAAAATCTTTATTTCCTTCCACTTATCTTGAAATCCTCTCATTATTTCTCCCATAGCTTTACTCTTTGCCCTAATTTCTCCATCACCACTTTCTGCCTGTCCATTTCTGCCCACATATCAATGACCAGCTTAGGTTCCATTTTTTGGAGTGGCTTTCTGTAGCCACTCCAGTCCTCACTATCCTCACTTTTGCCTTGGTTTCCTTATTATTTTGAGTGATATACACACACATTACACAATTAATTCCATTCATGGCATCAGAATCTGGACAAACGTGTTTGGTAAGACACTAATACTCAGAATGAAATAAGTTGGACTTAAAAGTATTTTAAACGCAGCATCTATCGACTTTGTAGTACAAATTGAGCTCCTGGAATATCCTGGTTGGTCCACTGGCATATGTTTGCTCATGTATAACTGTACCCATCAACGATTGTCCTGTTTCTCACCTTCCTCTGTTATTGCATTCTTAAGACCATTACCTTTCCAGACTCCCTAGTAATGATCTTGCTTGTTCTTTGCCTGTCTCTGGCACTTAACTTAAAATTTTCCCAGTATATATAAGATTCTGCCTTTTGTTGTCCATGTTTAGAGCTCTCTGTCTTGTCATTGAAACATTTAGATTCCCTACCAAGGGGATTCTAGGCCACATTAAGCTTGGGCTTAAAACCATAATTACTAAAGCATATCTGCTTTTCAGTTTCTATGATTCTCCTTATGAACACTGACCTGCAGAATTCTTACAATATTTTTAGAACTTTTATTTTCTAGCCTGCATGATGTTTTGTATGCTATTCTTTTCTTTGTCTAAATTGTCTTACACTTATAAAGCACTATTGTCTTATATTGCATCTATCTACCTATCCTTCCACCTACTTATCTATATATCTATTAATCTATCCATCTATCTTTCTATCAATCATCTTGCTAGCCAGGCAAATACGTGTATAAATGAACACATCATATATTATAAATACCTTATAAGATATATGTAAATATAAATATCTCTATTTCTTAAGCAAATTATCCTGCTGCCTGTTATATGGTGTAACAATTTAGAAAGGGCCAAATAACATATTATATAACACTAAGGAATAAGAGCATAGTAGTTATTCAATAAATACTTTACTCAAAAATACATGAGCACTAATCTCTAACTATTAATTTTATAAATTAGCTATAGTAGCAAAGAACAATTTTTGAGCAGCCCAACTAAATGTCAATTGAATGGATGGTTAAATAGCTGTCTTCCAGACTCTTAAGGCTGATCCAATTTTTACATCAGATAAAATCAATACTGAACACACAAAGAAACTGTACATTTTCCTGTGCTTTGAAAGATATTGAACAGTTAGATTGTTTTCTGAAACTTGAAGCTAATCTTTAATATATTTTCAAGGAGTTGTTATAAATATTTATTTGCTGTTGCATAAGAAAACTTTTCTTAGTAGGAAAAATGCCAGAAATAGAACAATGCAAAAAGGTGGATGAAATTACCCATTTTCCCAAGAGCAAAAGTCAAATGGCAAATGCCTGTCATTTTCAGCTCTACCCCATTAGACTTTTGCTTACAACTGTAATAGAAGGGATTCATTTAAGTTCGCATTATTCTCCTTATCCTTGCTTATCTCTCAGAATACATTAATGCAAGTGTGCAAATAATTGAAAAGCAACGGGCAAGACCGAGGAGAGTCACAGAACAAAAATCCCCAAATAGCAGAACTAGCTCATATGCACTAGTATGTTTTAATACACGTTATCAATATTTACCAATAACCCAGCTAAATTTTACCATTCCTCTGGGTTCTGGTGCCTAAAAGTCATGAGGAATATGGTGACAGATGTGTGGAGCACAATCCTGACCTTCTGGGTAGCAGCAGTTGAGGCCCCCAGGGAGAGATCAGAGAGGCTGCTTTGGGTGGTTAGCCAGGTGGAATAAACAAAAGGGAAGGTTCGCAGCTCTTAGGTTTTCTCTCCTTTGCTTTCAGTTGAGAGAAAGCACCAATTTCAATCTGTTCTTCTTAGCATTATGAAGAAAAGCATTTATCAAGGGATTATGCTGCTGATTTAGGTATGTAGAAATTTAAGCAGAATTTTCAAATAAGTATGAAAGAGGAAGACAGATATTTGATCTTGTAGAATATATAAATTGAAAAGAATATCAGGAAAACATCATTTATAGAGTTTCTGTTTATTACTCCTTATACAATACATAAAATCAGAAATTTAAAAGTGAACCAGTTTTCATTATTTTCAGAGTGGATTTCTTTTTATACTTATTTTCAGTACATTTGATTCTTTTTTCAGTTTGAAAACACTTTCACAGTTATTATTTGAGTCAAGTAAGCAGTAAAGTATAGTGCTTAAAGTTTCACTGCAGGTCAACCACAAAGGAAATGATTATTTTTACCAAGATATTTACTTTCTTTTTGCCTCAGTTTCCTCATATATAAAATAGAGATGATAATAGTACCATCTAACATTGTGAAAATTGAATGTGTGAACCAAAAATAAAATTCTAAGCCCCCCGCAACAGACTGACTGGACAACTTCTTGGCCAATGGGTAAAAAAAAAAAAAAAAGCCTGAAAAGCTAGTTCAGGCTATGAGGGAAAGTGAGTCAGACATGGCGCATTACACTTTCCTCCCTTTAGAATTCAGTCATGACTGACCAACATCAACATTAACGCAGAAAGATATTACGACTGACAAAACATATTCTTTGTAGCAAATAAGATACCAAGTTCCAACTTGTCTCTGGTGTAAAATCATGTGACAGACAGTGGGCCCTGAAGGAAATCAAAGTATTTTACCTCAAAATATGTTTCTTTGACATATGTTGAAATGGTCCTGCAAAAGTCTCTTACAGGGAAAATTTACATTATGTAGAGAATCTCCTTCTCTTACTAGGTCTTTTCCAGAGAGTCTGACACCTTTTAAGATCTGAGAAGAGACATTTACATCTATTCTCTCTGAAGCCTGCTACTTGGAGGTGCCATCTACATGACAGGAATCTTGGGCTTCCAGAACCCTTTCCTGCCTTACCTTGACTCAAGCTGAGTTGAAGTCTTCAGGCAGAGCTTAACTCTTTCAACCAACAGTCAATCAGGAAATCTTGAAATCCTCCTATGAGCTGGAAACCCCCTGCTTCCAGATGTCCTGCCTTTAGGGCTGAACCAATTATACCAAACCAATGTATTGATTTATGTCTTTGACTATAACTTCTGCCTCCCTAAAATATATAAAATCAAGCTGTAACCCAACACCATGGGTACATGTCCTCAGGACCCCTTGAGGCTGTGACAGGGGCCATGATCCCTAACCTTGGCAAAAAAAAAAAAAAAAAAAAAAAAAAACCTCTAAATTGAGACTTGACTAGGCATTTGATTTTTAATATATATAAAACATTTAGAAATTTATAACTATCATATCATAGTTACTCAATGGCTATTTTTAAGTTTCATTACCTAGCAAAATTGACTATTCTCTCCATTTCATGTATAAAAAATCCAAGATCCTTGGATATTAAGTAACCTGCTCAAGGTCACAGAGCAGTTAGTGGCAAAGTCAGAGTTGCTCTTTGAACAATATTACCTTTGTGTTCACACAGGTGTTAACTTATGATCTTATTTGTAGGCCATTTCCAAATCACATTGACTTCTCTCATAGAACCTCTATTCTCTTGACTTTTTCAGTAATTCTCTCATGCATTTTCATTTCTATTTATTGAACAGACTGCGAGCTGTAGGATGAGAATTACATTTATATTGTGATCACATATTTCACAGTTCCTGTTATTATAGTATAAAAAGTAATTGCACCAGGTACTTATTAAAAATGGAAAGGAAGATTTCATTCAAGACTATTGCAGTAAGGGTCAAGACTTGCAATAGAAGAGTTTGAATTTAATCCCCCTGCAAAAAAAGCTGGGAGATTTTTAACCACCGGGGTGAGCTAATTGAAAAGCACTGTAGGATGTTATGAGGGAATTTTCTCCATGTGATCAGGTTATGTGTTTGTTAATTGTCACTTGTTGAAGAAAAGCCTCCTACTCTCCAACAGAGGAAGGGAGACAGGGGCTCTATCTTTTTTGACAATTACATTTCAATGGGATGGCTCACAAGTTCTTGAAAAAAAATATTCCTGCGTTGAAGATTTACATCTCAAAGGAGAAGAGAAAAAACAAGGGCAAGTTTTATAAAATAAATCCTCTAAGTAAAGGGAGGTCAGGGGTCTCTAGGCAGGAAGAAGCCAGTCTAAAGTTCAGTTGAGCTGAGGACAACATTAAGGACATCTTGATCAATATGAAAATCATGGTATCTTCACTAAATTTATTTTTTGGAATCAAAAAAGATCTCAGTCAAACTTCTGATTTTTATAATGTGCTGGTTCAATTAACATTTTTCTGGGGAAGGGGGTTACTAGGGAAATCGAAAAGAGTTCATAGTAAGTCAATGAGTTTAATGAATCATAACCAATCTCTTGTCCAGAGGGAAATAGATTTTTCAGAGCTGCAACTGACAAGCAGTCAAATGGATTGCCTCTTTTTTTGTGTGTGCCGTCTTTGCCCATTATGGGATGGAAGTGCTCAAGAGCATTTAGATGCTTGCAAAATAGCTAAGGAAAATATGTAAAATAAGAAATTAGCTCTTCGGATATAGACATTTGGAATGTTTCAATCTAAATGGAATTTTTAGCAGCTAGGACTCGAGAAAGGATACAGGCATCATGTGGTGGGTAATAGAGCTGGTAATGGTGACTGCAGAGTTGCTGGCCTGGTGCTGTCAGGGGACCTGGTGCTGTGAACAATAGAATGACTTCTAAAAATGACAGATAATCCCATGTACATGGGTTATCATTTTTCTGTTAAAATATATTTATTGTGTTCACTAGGAAAATGTATTGGTCTTTCTTAATTTTCAATTTTATATGGAGTATAAGTGTTTATAAAGTCCAGTAGATATTTATAGATAATTAATCATTAGCAAACATATGTTAAGATCTTTTACAGAGTTAATAGATTTAAAAAAGAGAAAAAAATGATGACAGTAAGATTTCCAAGGGTTAACTAAAATGATCTGTTTTCTTAATTGATGGAAAGTCACCATCTGGAGCTGCCACATTTTCTGTAAAGATTTTTTTTTCTTTTGGTGACACTATAAGAGAGGAAATGAGCATGTAATTCCTGTTCTGATTGCAGAAGGGAGCAGTCCAGACCTAATTAACTAAGGGGCTTAATGATACTATTTTAGAGTACTTGTGTAGATCAGTCCTACTCTGTGCCTTTGCTCTAAAAGCACAGCAGCCAGCCATAGGCAGCATGAGGGCTTTGAATAGCAAATTTCCAAATGGCAGTTGTAGGGCAGAACACACACAAAAAAGTTTTCCTGAAAACCAATATGCAAAGAGGATCAATAGGATAAATGATGTGCCAAATTGGAGTTACTATGTTGCAAGTGTTCTTTACTTATTGATGATCATTTTATGAAGTATGTTTTTAAATATATATGATTATTTTATCATGTAGCAAGAGATTATGTGGTTTATGCTGGCTAAAAATTCCAGACACCACTGCTTATCTGATACTAGCTATTTAAGTTAAACATATGCTTTTAGGAGAAAACAACTAGCCTCTTCAATGGAGTAAGCCTTGAAAATTCAATTTTTGGTAACAGTAGCTTCCAAAGAAAAAATAAGACTGTGGTCTAAAGCTATGTTACTAAAATCTCTAACAAATCTGAAGTGAGGGGTGACCTGGATCTAAATGACAATATGTATACTGACAATGAACTCCAACATATTAAATCCCATTTTACTTGACATATCAGCAGCAATTTTTGACACAGTTGATCACTTTTTTCCTTTGAAACTGGAAGCATTCCTTACATGGCTTTCAGGATTCCACATTTCCCCGGTTATTTTCCTGTTGTATTGGCCACTGCTTCTAAGTCTTCTTTGTTGGTTCCTCTTCCTTTTCCCAACCTGAAAATATTGAAAGTCCCAGAGATTTATTTACACTCAGACATCCAGGACTATGACTTAAATGCCATCTATATGCTGTTGAATCCCAAATTTATGTCTCCAGTCCTGTTTCTCTCTTTCTTTTTTTTTTTTTTTTGAAGTCCAGACATGTGTTTCCAATGGCCAGACTGACATTTCTTCTTCTCCATTGGAAGGCTTAATATTTTATTTCAAACTGAAAGATTTCTGAGCAGAATTTTTGATTTCTCCTGCCCCCAAATTTTTATGTTTTTCTCATCTCAGTAAATAGCACATTATTCACCCAAATGATCAGGACACAAACCTCAGAACAACTTTCCCCACTCTTTTTTTAAACCCACATGCAATCTGGGAACAATATGTTCAAAGTATTGCAAAATCTGACCATTTTCCTCCATCTTTTCTACCACCACCCTAATCCAATCTCATGCTTTTAAAATACTTCAATAAATTTCTTTGTTTTCCTTCTTCTTCTACTCTAGACTTTCTAAAGTCTATTCTAGATACATGTTGACCATCACATTTTGAAAATGTAACTCTGATAATGTTATTTCCCTTCTTTATGCCCTTCCCATTGCTTCTCATTACACTGAATCTCCTGCATGTGAATTATTTTATTATTATTATAATTTTGTTGAACAATAATTGAGAGTGTGAGAAACAGGGTCATAATTCTTAAATTGAATTTAGGCTCTTGTGCAAAACTTTTGGTAAGTTGTTAAATCTCTCTGAGCCTCAGTGTCCTTGTTCATAAATGGACATGATACTAGTATTACTTCATAAGTTTGTTTTTATTAAATTAAATAAGATATTTGATATTGATAAATGTAAGAAGCAGGTTGAAAATTAAATAAGATATTTGATATTGATAAATTTAAGAAGCATGTAAAATTGACATTTTTTACTTTTTTGGTATAATTTCCAATGAACACAGAGTGCATGCATTTGTAGTAGTTCTCAGTGAAGGTTAAAAATTAGTTATGATAATAATATTACCCTTTTATGTGTAAGTCTATGAGTTCCATGGAGTGAATGACTGGGTTTATCTTGTACTTTCTGTATCAAGAGCTAACTACAGGTTTAACAGGTGTCAGGCATCAGTTAGTAATTGCTGAAAGAATAAATAAGTGAATGAATGAATCTAATAAAATTGTCACCTATCTTTATTCTCAGGTGTCTTTGCTCTTTTGATCCTCTATTTTCCAACTGTTTGTATATTTGCATTTGCCCAAGCCCTGGAAATACTTTTCTTCAGATTCTATCCTTCCTATCACTGTATCTTCCCTTTGTGTTTATGCCCTTTTCCTACACTGTTATACTCTTGAGCCAAAATCCAGAGCACTTGCAGCTGCCAACTTTTATCATAAAGTTGAACCCATCTTCGAGCTTTTATAGCATTTCTCATGATCTCATCACATCAATTTATTGCCTTAAGCAAGATACTTATTTATTTTTTTACTCAATAGTACTGGGAAGGAGAAAAGAAAGTATGAAAGTGTGTGTATGTGTGTATTTACATCTCTGTGTGTGTGTGTGTGTGTGTATGTGTGTGTGTTAGTTTCTTCTGCCCTCAGAACGGCCTTGGGAAAATCTAGCAAAGAGGAAATCCATAGATGGGTATGAGGAATATATTTTGGTCCTGACGTCACTGTTTACTCTTAAGAGGGTATGGCATTTATTTATTTATTTATTTATTTATTTATTTTTGAGATGGAGTCTCGCTCTGTCGCCCAGGCTGGAGTGCAGTGGCGCGATCTAGGCTCACTGCAAGCTCCGCCTCCCGGGTTCACGCCATTCTCCTGCCTCAGCCTCCCGAGTAGCTGGGACTACAGGCGCCCGCCACCACGACCGGCTAATTTTTTTGTATTTTTAGTAGAGACGGGGCTTCACCATGTTAGCCAAGATGGTCTCGATCTCCTGACCTTGTGATCCGCCTGCCTCGGCCTCCCAAAGTGCTGGGATTACAGACTTCAGCCACCATGCCCTGCCGGGTATGGCATTTATTAATGTGGTACCTAAAATATTTCTGGGTCTCTACCTTCTGGACACATAGTTGATTTACCCTTCATGGTTTTCTTATGATTGTATGAAGCCATGTCACTTCTGGGCCAAAATATTTAATTATTACTGTGAGGCCTTTCAGAGATGTCTTTTCTCTCTAGCATAGTGATTAGCCTTATTAAAGATGGCAGCTCTTACAATACAATGGATTCCTGAGTGGCTACAATGAACAGAACCCTCAGCCAAACTGTGGTGAAGGTTGCATATGTCAGAAATAAATTTAATGTATGTAAGAAACTTTTGTTATGTTGTGCCACTAAGACTTGGACTCCCTGTTATATCAATATAAACTGATAAACACATAAGTTCAGTTTTTCAACAAAATATCATTTTCTACTCCTCTTGCTTATTTTGCAATGAGAAAAGTATAGATGATAAGGTGTAATGTGCTCAAAAGCATAATACAATTTTAAGTCTCAATCTCTGCAATCATACTGTTGTGTATAAAGTGTCACTAGAAGAACATATATGTGGTCATGGTCGTGCTCATGTTTCCATCACTACCTATTAAAGGTAATGGAATTTCAGAATCTAGTATAAGCTTCTCATTCAGAAAATGTTTTACTTTTGGGAAAACTAAGATAAGAATAAAAGACATTTAGATATAGCTCTCCTAATATTTCACAATAATATTGATATTTAAAATAAATAAACAAATTGAGTAAGGCTATCTCTCCATGGTGTCAAATTATTCATTTGGTTTAGTTAAAAAAAAAAAAGTCTAGTCAATTTGAACGATTGATAATGTTCAAAAAAAATATCCCTGTCTACCTGATTGACCTGATTTCTCTGTGTCACATAAATACTGTCTGGGGAAATGATAGTGAGAATATTCTATGTTTTACCTTTTCTTTTTTTTTATCTGAGGACAGGTCTTTCATAGATACACTGATACAGTCAAGTTGTGGGGCAGCAGTGAGAGAGTATGCTATTCTCCAAGGAAGACACATAACGGATTTACCCCTCATGGTTTTCTGTCTTCTTAGACACTTTCCCCCTGTAGTTAAATTGCTAGGTCCTGTCTGAAAAAATCGCCTATGAAGTTGGGAGGAGAGTGGGGGAAAAAGCAATGCAAAGCAAAGTGAAGCAAAGAAACCACCATTGAGTCTACCGTTTAAATATGTAGTCATTAAAATAATACTAGTCTTGCAGTGAGACATCAAAGAGAAAAAAAAACATTTTGTAAATGGTCTGAATTGCTTTCCTTTTCTTAACTTTTACAAGTGTGAAAATATCTTTTTTGTTTAAAGGAAGTGTTAACCTACTGGCTCCTGGTGACACTGATGAATTGCTTTTCACAGCATTGGTAAAACTGTGAATTCCATTGCTCTCATTCATGTTTAGTTCAACATTTTCAACAAACCTTTTTGTGTACCAATTAGAATTTAGAGGAAAACCAAGTAAATGAAAGAGGAAAATGTTTTCCTTTTAGTCATTTTAAATAATTACTATTTTAAAGAATAAAATATAGGAAGAGTCCAGCTTTTGTGTTATAGAGATAGACATGGTATATCTAGTTAATGCCAACTCTTCTGTCATCTCTCTGATCAATTATTATCTCCTGAGGATCCTTTCTTCAACTTCCTTGATTGGATGTATTCAAATTTGTGTACTCATTAATTCTTCATACAATTATCCTTCATAGCATTTATTGTAATTGCTATTGTATATTAAATTGACTAATTACTATGCATTTCAGTACTAAAATATACACTCAAAAATTGAGGATAGAGACTATATTAGATACTACTCACCCAGCATGTAGTATAGACCTGCCACCAAATAAACTATTTAAAACAAATTTGCTTAAAGGAGGGCATATTTCAGTCATCTGGTCTCTGTACTGGCTAACTATTCAAGTCCACCGTTGTTAAAAACCTAGTCGACCACACCCATGTTAATAACCTTAGTTTGCCACACTCATGATCTAGAAAATGAACTGTTTTTTTCATCAGTTTATATTCCCTATATTCTTCCCTTAAATTGTTTCTTAATGCTATCACTCTGTTTTTATTATTTATTCCAAGTATATACAAAAAGCTTCCTTCCATTACCTTTGGTTTGAATTGATTTCCTTTCAATCCGTTTTCTCAGAGAGTCAGAGATGTCAGTTCTGCATCAAACTTTATCATCAGTTCATAAATATCAGGAGTTTTAAAGACTTTCACTTTATTTACATACACATAAATATTTATTAAGAAAACACCAATATTTAGTCTTTGCCTTGCACAGAAGGGGGTTAAAAACAATTTTATTTTTCCTTGGATGAAGAGATACAGTGTATAAAGAAACAGGCCTTTTTAATATGGCTTAAGTTTATGGCTCTGATTGGAGGGTAAGTTGTCTCAAATGAGAGGAGAATTTTAAATAAACACATCTTTGCTCTCTACTCTTGACCCTTCTCCCAGACCCATGGTTCTCCCAAGGTCTCACTAGACCTGGTGTGCAGCAGCAGCAACATGTATAAAGAGCTTCCCAAAGGTAAGGGCAAAAATCATTTCCAACTACCCCAGGACTTCCCTTCCCAGAGTTTCGGGGGTGAGGCTGAAAATTTCAACTTTTAATCATGGCTTGGCCTTTCTGGTGATCAGTTCTCATCCAGGAGCCCAAGAAAGTCAAAAGTCACTTCATTAGAACAAAAGACAATTTTGTCACAGAGAACATTTTATTAGGAGCTCTACATCAGGAACCACGGTCAAAGAGCAAAAATTAGAACAATAGGTGAACCTAGCATCCTAATTGCTCAAGAAATTACAGAGGTTTTAGTAGGTCTTTGCCAGGAACTGGTAGCAGAGACCAAATATACATTTTTTATTATGTCACAATGTAAAAACCAGGATTCCTATACTTCAAGAAGGCCTAGAAGTTTATTGGATTTATGTGCTTGAGAACAAAAGGTTGGAGGGTTGAAGGCACTGCTGAGGGAATTCTTAATAAAACTAAGCAAGAGGTTTATGTTTGGAATGAAAGAAAGTGAATTCAGGAGAAAGATACTTACTTTGAGATAAAAACTATTAGGGTCAAAATATTGCCATTGAGAACAGTGAGCAAGTGTGTGCCAGTGTCAGATATTGTATGCATCCAAAGACAATGGCTTTCAAGGAGAAATTCTGAAGGAAGAGGAAGCACTCACCATGTCATTCTAGCATTGATGTGGTGTCAGAAGACTTGGGGGTTCATGCCAGCTTTATTATTAATTTGCTTTGTGACCTAGGGTGAGTCACTTAACTTCTGGAGATCCCAACTTCTGTCATTGGATAACTTCTCACTTATATTTGTCTCTAATTCTTTGACTAACCCCCTTCTTGCCAGCTCAAGAAGCAGATCTGAGTTGCTTGCACTATCACTATTCAATGACCCTGACCCTATTAGAGTGATTTTTTATCTTTGTGGACATAGGATAAATGTCCTATCAGCAAATCATACATGGACTGACAGCCATCAAACAAGTTGCAAAGGGCAACGTGTCAAAATTTCTAATTACTGCCTCACTTGAAAGGTCACTGTAACTCTTTGAACTACTATATTGCTCATATTTGAGGAAAGAAATATACCCTGAATAACATTGCTACCAGTCAATAAGCACAAAACTCTGCTAATTAGGCTGCATCCCAACAGATATAACACAAATTATCTGGAAAATAAACTAGAAAAAAATCTAAATTGTTTAGTGACTTCTTCCCCTTACTAAAGATGAGGCTGTCTTAACACCCTCCATGTATTTGTTCAAATCAATCCATTCATGATTTTAATAATCAAACATGTATTACATATACTGTATAGTAATACCAAATTCTGAGAAAAAAATACAAAAACAGCTAAACTGATGCTCAGAGAGGTAAAATAGTTTGCCTAATGCTCCATAGGATTTGAATTCATGATTATGAGATTTCATTACAGATATGTAAGTACAAGAATTTATGCTTTTAACTATTACTGTATACTTCCTCCCTTCCCTCAAAGAGCTTAATTTTAAGTAAAATATGTCAATATAAAAACAAATATTAAAGAGAAATGTGATAAATACCATTATAGAGGCAAGTACAAGAAACATAAGAGAAAATGACATCGCAGTGAAACTAACGTTTCATACCTGTCTTGATAATATAATTATTGATTGTTTAGACTGATGAGAAAGGAAAGACATGTCTAGCTAAGGGAAGTACAGATACAGAAATAATGAAGGGAAAACTAGCAATGTATATTTAAATAAAAAAAAATTACGTAGTTTGATGTAATTTGAGCCAAGAGTAAAGAGGCAAAGTGGGAGATAGTCTTGAAAATGTAAATGAGTGGGAATCATAGAAGCTCTATCAGAAAGTTTGTATTCTGCATCCAATTGCCAGTTCATACAATTTGCACAATTCTTCCATAAAATAGAAAAAGGAGAAAGTAGAGGTCATATTAGTTCTTTCCTCCTCATTTTATGTTTTGCTTTGAAAATGACCTTTTTAACATGAAATGATGGCAGTAATGGATTGAGTCCTTTCCTTTTTTTCCCTTCCTCTCTCCATCCTTCTCTTCTTTCCTTTCTTTCTTTATTCTTTTTTTTTTTTGAGTGTCAGTGAAAAGATTGTATTGAACAGTCTCAACTCACAGACATAACTGAAATATATTTTGCTATTTTAAGTTCCAACCCATTGTGAATTGGCATGCAAAAGTAGAAAATTTAATATTGCCAAATAACAATATCTCTATCCCTTACCAAGAAAATATTAATTGTGTCCTTTTTGTTTTCAGTCTTTTCCAGTTTACAGCTATTCCATATCTGGTAAATATTTAACAAAATCTAGATGCTACTGTTTGTCACTGTCTAGTTCAGAATCCCATCTTCAAGAGCTTGGACTGAACTTTCACAGAACTAGAATGAGGCTCATGCCAAGGAAATGGAACACTAATTCACTTTCCTCTCACTCTCTTCCTTCCTGTTCCATCAACTTTCTCTCACTGCAGAAACTGCAAGAATATACGTGTGTAGTCTATGGAGGGGCACATGAGGATTGTTATGTTCTACTCAGATAGGAAGCTATGCCTCTAGGTCGTTGTGACTTTTCTGCTGGCTCTGGATGGTGTGACCATCCTACCAACTGGTCTTTGGCATTGACACTGGTCCAAACTATTTGTGTTATGTTAGCTTGTCATTCAGTGCCCAGGTGGCCCAAATGATTTGGAACATTGGAGATCCCACAGGACAATTCCGTATTCTTCCTTTCCTCCGTGTATGCCCCAAACACCAATTCTTGACCCTATGAAGCAGTCTCTGGGTGGACAGCCATAAACTGCACTTTCTTTCCAAACCCGGCCTAGGCTGCAAAAAAAAAACTAGGAATCTCAGCCACGACTGTCTTGGATCTGTAGAAACTGATATTGGAGTTCTTCCAACTCACTGTGACACTCTGCCCTTTTCCTAAGGTTCACTCATTCTCCCATTGTCCAGTGGCTCTAGGCATGGTGGTATATCTTTATTATTATTATTATTATTATTATTATTATTATTATACTTTAAGTTTTAGGGTACATGTGCACAACGTGCTGGTTACTTACATATGTATGGTGGTATATCTTGCAATTCAGAAATCATTCAATATCCTGCTAGGAAGTAAGACATCTTTCTTTCTTATAAATATAATCATATTTCACAGGGAATCATAGATAGAGTGGCCCTCTGAGTCCTATGAGATGGAAAGAGAAAGTGATAGTACCCTGCTCACCAATTTCTGGTGTGCCAAAACAAAATTTTTGTTTTTGCTTTCAGTCTATTTTAAAACATTTATGTTTTAAACAATACATAATCAATTCTTGAAATTTGGTACAAAATATGAAGATCTAGTAAAAGGTATCAGGCTCCCATTGAACCTGGCCATTTAAAATTTATCTTGTTTTCAACTGTGGGATCTTTTCACAGTAATGCCTACACAGTAGTTGGCAACTCCAGATGACTAGAAAGGAGTCCCAGGCAATGGCTTACATAATTGTAAATTATTTGCTGAAAAAAAACTTGATAACTATGTTAGGACCCATTCAGTCTTTACAGAATACCAATGTAGAAGTTTAAAAAAATAAAGTCACAGAAATGAATGTATTAGCTCCTATAACTGGGAAATTCCGTTGGCTTCAGGTATAAGTGGACTCAGAGCCCCTAACGATATTATCAGAATATATCTTTCTCTTTCTTCTTATTACCTTTCTATTGACTTTTTTCTTAGGTAGAAACACTTCACAATCTTAGCTTCTACTATCAAAGGACATGATGATTTCCCAAGAATACTAGCAAAATTCCCACAGAGGAATCACATCAGCCTGTTTAGGTCAGAAGCTAATCACACAACCAGCATTTGGATAGAGTGATGTAGTTCTCTGAATAGCCTGGCCTGGGTTACTTGCCTACCCCTGAAGCCAGAAATAGGGTCAACTCCATAAAAACTATTGAGTTGAGAAATAGAAGGGTATTGGTCCAAAGGGAAGTTGGGATATCATTTTAAACATGTGGGAGAAGGCCTTCAGGGCAAGCAGTGATAAATATCTATCATTGAAAGGTATGTAGAACCCAGCCCAACCTACTTCAAATTGTAAAATGTACCTTATCCATGAAAAACAGAAATCTGGGCATGGTCGTATATCCTGCAATTCATAAAACATCTAGTATCCAGCTAGGAAATGGGATATCTTTCCTAAAACATAAATTTGTGAATTTCTGTTTTAAGCAACAGGAAATAATTCAATAATATTAAAGGAACAATAAAAACAGATATAAGTTTAAATCTCTACTTTCTTTCACAATTTCATTTCTTCATTTCTATTTGTCCTGTGATTAAAGTGGGCTCTGGAAACTGTCATAGAAACTAATTTCACCCTGGTAACTAATTAGGCTAACCTCCACTGAACTCTCAGGCATCATAGTTATGCAAAGAGCTTTTGAAGAGTTATCACTACACCTGTGCCCAGGATGAGGTATCCATGGAAACCTTGAACTTCTGCTGACTGTTGGTTGGCTGGCTCAGGCACCCAGAGGGAAATTTATTGCTTGGCTACCTTGAGGCCAGCACTTGAGCCTGCCATCCTGATTTAGATGATTTTGTTAATGGTAACTCCTCATCAAAATCTGTCTTGGGTTGATCCCAGTATCATTCTGACAAAATTATTCAGAAAGGTAACTAGATCAGTGAGGGTGAGGAGCATAAATCTATAATGATAAGTAAAATATATTTAAAAAATCACTGCATCTTATTTTTATTCTCATGAGGTTATATATATATATGCTATATACTATAATATGCATATATTACTACATATATACATGTATATACATATGTATTGTATTAGTTTGTTTTCACACTGCTGATAAAGACATACTTGAAACTGGACAAAAAAAAAGGTTTAATTGGACTTACAGTTCCACATGGCTGGGGAGGCTTCAAAATCATGGTGGGAGGCGAAAGGCACTTCTTACATGGTGGTGGCAAGAGAAAATGTGGGAGAAGCAAAAGTGGAAACCCCTGATAAACCCATCAGATCTTATGAGACTTATTCACTATCAGAAGAATAGCACGGGAAAGACTGACTTTCATGATTCAATTACCTTTCCCTGGATCCCTCTTAAAACATGTGGGAATTCTGGTAGATACAATTCAAGTTGAGATCTGGGTGGGGTCAGAGCCAAACCACATCATTCCACCCGTGGCCCCTCCAAATCTCATGTCCTCACATTGCAAGACCAATCATGCCTTCCCAACAGTTCTCCAAAGTCTTAATTCATTTCAGCATTAACTCAAAAGTCCACTATCCGAAGTCTCATCTGAGACAAGGCAAGTACCTTCAGCCTATGAGCCTGTAAAATCAAAAGCAGACTAGTTACATCTTAGATACAATAGGGGTACAGGTATTGGTAAATACAGCCATTCCAAATGAGAGGAACTGGCCAAAACAAAGTGGTTACCAGGCCCATGCAAGTCCAAAATCCAGCAGGGCAGTCAAATTTTAAAGCTCCAAAATGATCTCCTTTGACTCCAGGTCTCACATCCATGTCATGCTGATGCAAGAGGTGGGTTCCCATGGTCTTGGGCAGCTCTGCCCCTGTGGCTTTTCAGGTTACAGCCTCCCACCCAGCTTCTTTCATGGGCTGGTGTTGAGTGTCTGTGACTTTCCCAGGCACACGGTGCAAGATGTTGGTGGATATACCATTCTGGGATCTGGAGGACCATGGCCGTCTTCTTACAGCTCCACTAGGCAGTGCCCCAGTAGGGACTCTGTGTGGGGGCTCCAACCCCACACTTCTCTTCTGCACTACCCTAGCAGAGGTTCTTGATGAGGGACCTGCCCTGCAGCAAACTTTTGCCTGGGCATCCAGGCATTTCCATACATCTTCTGAAATCTAGGCGGAGGCTCCCAAACCTAAATTATTGACTTCTGTGCACCTACAGGTACAACACCACATGGAGCCTGCAAAAGCCCAGGGCTTCCACGCTCTGAAGCCACAGGCCAAAATCTAAGTTGGCCCTTTCAGCCACGGCTGGGGCAGCTGGGACACAGGGCACCAAGTCCCTAGTAGGCACACAACACAGTGACTCTGGGCCTGCCCATGAAACCACTTTTTCCTCCTGGGCCTCCAGGCCAGTGATAGGAGGGGCTGCCCTGAAGGTCTCTGACATGGCCTGGAGACATTTTCCCCCATGGTTTTGGGGTTTAACATTAGGGTCCTTCCTACTTATGCAAATTTCTACAGCCGGCTTGAATTTCTCCCCAGAAAATGGGGTTTTCTTTCTATCGCATAGTCAGGCTGCTAATTTTCCAAACTTTTATGCTCTGCTTTCCTTATAAAACTGAAGGCCTTTAACAGCACCCAAGACACATTTTGAATGCTTTGCTGCTTAGAAATTTCTTCCACCAGATACCCTAAATCATCTTTCTCAAGTTCAAAGTTCCATAAATCCCTAAGGCAGGGGCAAAATGCCTCCAGTCTTTTTGCTAAAACATAGGAAGAGTCACCTTTACTCCAGTTCCCAACAAATTCCTCATCTCCATCTGATACCACCTCAGCCTGGATTCTATTGTCCGTATCACTATCAGCATTTTGGGCAAAGCCATTCAACAAATCTCTAGGGAGTTCCAAACTTTCCCACATTTTCCTGTCTTTTTCTGAGCGCTTCAAACTATTCCAACCTCTGCCTGTTACCGAGTTCCAAAGTTGCTTCCACATTTTCAGGTGTCTTTTCAGCAACACACCACTCTACTGGTACCAATTTACTGTATTAGTTCGTTTTCAATGCTGCTGATAAAGACATACCTAAACTGGGAACAAAGGGAGGTTTAATTGGACTTACAGTTCCACATGGCTGGGGAGGATTCAGAATCATGGCAGGAGGTGAAAGACACTTCTTACGTGGTGGTGGCAAGAGAAAATGAGGAAGAAGCAAAAATGGAACCCCCGATAAGCCCACTAGATCTCATGAGACTTATTCACTATCACAAGAATAGCACGGGAAAGACCAGCCCTCATGATTCAATTACCGAAAACTGGGTTACTCCCAAAACACGTCAGAATTCTGGGAGATACAATTCAAGTTGAGATTTGGGTGGGGTCTCAGTCAAAACATATTATGTATTATATGTGTCCATATAAAAATATGAAAGTAAACATTTATGCATCTATGCATATAAACATACATAATAGAATAGTCTTTCCCGTTAGTCTAAGGCTAGAGGTCACTGATGTCAACACACTTTGTTCTTTCAGCCTCTCTGCTTTCCCTGGGGCTTGGGTTTTGCTTTTGTCCTCTCAGTATGTGAGGGCTGACCTTAGCAGAAAGTTGGCTGTCTTAAATATGGCAGGTCATCTATCAACTCCTCCCCAGGCTGTCGGAGTTTCTTTTAATCTCACTTGTAACTTTCCAGGGAGGTTTACAAAAGCCACAAACAGAATTTTAATGTTGTAAAATACCTGTGGAGACAGTAAATATTTCCTTTTTCATGAGGACAGGCTGTATGTCAACAAGTCTCAGAGAAGATAATGACATGTTCCAAGTTAAAGTTTATTGTTCTTAAATTGTCCATGAATTGAGTCATTTGCATTACTGTTCTGACATTATTCTCTCTACATATAGTTAAAGCTTAGGCATTGGCATACATTTCTTGTTATTGGATGCATGATTCTTAAAATATTTTTTTCTTACACAACCAAATATTAATTGCTTCTATAATTGCAAAACATTCACCCTACCAATTTGCAAATGTATTTATTATGCATTCCAAGCATCAGCTACAGAAACATGGTAAAATTAATGGATATTCCAATCCCCATTGAGAAGAAAATATAGGCTCAGAGAAACTTACTGATGAAGGATATACTGAGTGCCTAAACATGAAGGCTTCAATAAGCCACAGTGACTTTTCAAGATAGCTTAGATAAATGGACTCTCAAATGTGTCAAATCAGCTGGCAAGTAAACACTACAAAGTAAGTAAGACTGCATCACAAATTAGTTTTTTAAGCAAACTTTTGTTTTAATTATTTATGCTAATACTTCATAGCTTTCTCAGAGATGGCACATGCTTAGTGAAATAAGGTTAGCAGATGAGAGGATAACATTAGTGATGTGATGCTGTGACTTTGTGAATCCAATCCATTCAAAAAATATTTATTAAAACTCTGCTGTAGTTAAATTCTGAGGATAAAAGGTGAACTTGATAGTTTCTTCCTCAAGAACTGGTATTTATGGGGGAAAGAGGACATCTAATCTATAAGGTACCTGGAAAGATGTGTAATTAAGTGATAAAGATAATGGCTCACTTCAAAGACAGTGGAGGTTAAACCTTCAAGAGATGGGGTATGTCCCTGGAAAATGCATCTAGGTAGAGGTAATAATACATTCTAAAAAATGCAAGTACTTTTACGTAGCTAGGGTATAGCATATGGAAGGTGGGAGGTGGTTAGCATCTGGGTGAATGTTGGTTCTACTCTTGGAAATGGGACATAAAAGATTGATTCAAGAGGAAAGGATAGGCAGGCATGGAGGGAGGCAAAGAAAAACAAATTTAAGAGATCATTAAAAGCTGAGAGTAGAAGTAACTTCAGTTATCTTCTAGACCTCTCCATTGATCTTACTGATCAGAAAACTAGTGTCCAAATCAGTGTGATCACGATGCTGCTTTGCAGAACACTAACTTAGCTTATCTCCTTTGGAATGAAACTCATGTGTAACAGTCATTTCTGAGTTCTGTTGGTTTAATCTTCTCTGCAGCATTATTTATTTGATCAGAACATCTTCCTCATCCTTCAACAATTTAGTGTCACTCACCTTATACCCAGAAAAACAGATATACAGTCATGTGCTGCATAACAACATTTCGGTCAGTGATGGACTGCATCTACAATGGTGGTCCCATAAGATTATAGTGAAGCCAAAAAATTCCTATCACTTAGTAATGTCTTGATGATTCTGACCCCATGTAGGTCTAGGCTGATGTGTGTGTTTGTGTCTTACTTTTTAAAAGAAAAGTTTAAAAATAAAAAATAAAACAATTTTTAAAATAGAAAAAACTTAAAATAGAAGAAAAGAAAATATTTTGTACAACTATAAAATGTGTTTGTGTTTTGACCTAAGTTTTATTACCAGAGTCAAAAAGTTATAAAAAATAAAAAGTTTATAAATCAACAAAGTTACAGTCAGCTGAGATTAATTTAATATTAAAGAAAGAAAAATATACTTTGTATTGAATTAGTGTGGCCTAAGTGTACAGTGTTTAGAACATTCACAATGATGTACAGAGATGTCCTAGGCCTTCACATTGACTCATCACTCACTGACTCATGGGAGCAACTTCCAGTCCTGGAAGCTTCATTCATGGTAAGTGTCCCATACAGGTGTACCTTTTTTTTTTTTTTTGAGACGGAGTCTCGCTCTGTTGCCCAGGCTGGAGTGCAAAGGTGCAATCTCGGCTCCCTGCAAGCTCCATCTCCCAGGTTCAAGCCATTCTCCTGCCTCAGCCTCCTGAGTAGCTGGGACTACAGGGGCCTGCCACCACACCCAGCTAATTTTTTGTATTTTTAATAGAGACGGGGTTTCACCTTGTTAGCCAGGATGGTCTCGATCTCTTGACCTCGTGATCCACCTGCCTTGGCCTCCCAAAGTGCTGGGATTACAGGCGTGAGCCACAGCACCCAGCCGGTGTACCATTTTTAATCTTTTATATTGATTTTTTACTGTACCTTCTTTTGTTTAAATAGACAATACTTACTATTGTGCTACAATTGCCCACAGTATTCAGCACAGCAATATGATGTACAGGTTTGCAGCCTAGAAGAATAGGCTATATCATATAGCTTAGGTATATAGTAAGTTGTACCGTCTAAGTTTGTGTCTATGATGTTTGCACAATGATGAAATTGACTTATGGCACATCTCTTATGAATGTATCCCCATCATTAAGTGACACATTGCTGTATTATGAAACTCATCTTGCTAATGTTCATCTGAATGATTTGAATTTAGTAAATATTTATGGAGGGTGTACTAGTTACATATATACTGCATTGGTTGATTTGAGATCAACAAAAATGTTGCTAATCCAATGTTCCTAAGAAGCTGCAAGCTAGGGAAAATGCATTTGGAGTAGGTCATTGAAGGAAGCTATTTCCTAGAAAGCAGAAATTCTAATATGACAAATAAATTTAAGTGCAGTTGTTCAACTAAAAAATAATTTTTAAAAATTGAGAGTGAATTCAGGTCACTTTGATAGTCACATATTATGAGAGGGGGACAAACTAAGACTTGAAATTCTACTCTTATCCAATCAGAGGGAGTATCAAGCATAGTTTAAAAAACCTTTAATATCTGGTGTGGTCAAGCAGTTATGCATCCTTTTTGTTAGAATGTAATGATCTTGCAACCGAAATTTCATTGTTGTTGTTGGTATTTATTTGTTCTGTGGATACTTATTTTTGGTTTCTATAAGAACAAAGAAAGATAGAACCATATACTCATTTTTCTTCTCTCTGTGTCATTGTTGTTTAAGATTCTGCAGGTTGAAGTCTGTCTTCTGAAAATAAGACAAAACAATCTTTTGAATACAGTTCAGTGATAAAACAATGAATAGAAGACATGATCTATATTTTCCATATTAGAAGAGTTATTGTACAGAAGGAAATGGAGGGGAGGGTTATTCTGGATCTGTTTATAAAGGCCAGGCATAAGGCTAAAAGATATAAAATTCACAGAGAATTATTTTCCTCTTAATATTACTAACTTCCTCCCAGTGAGACCTATACAAATGGCCTGGAATTCTCTCACATGTAAATAAACTTATTTCTGGCAGTATCTCTAATGACAATAATTCCATGATTTCTTGGCTTACATCTCTACCAGGCAGCCTCTAATCCCTGCCTCCTCCATCTCAATGCATGGTTTGCACTTAAACAAATTACAGTTGGTCAAAGGAACTGGTACTTTTGCTGAATTAGGTGTCACTGAGAAAAATTAATTGCTGATCTCAAGAGCAAATTCATAGCTGGGCAAGAAGGTGCATTCCTGTAATCCCAGCTTCTGGAGAGGCTGAGGCATGAAAATCACTTGAACCTGGGAGGCAAAGGTTGTACTGAGCCAAGATCGTGCCACTGCACTCCAGCCTGGGCAACAGAGCTAGACTCTGTCTCAAAAATAATAATAATTTTTTAAAAATAAGAGCAAGTTCAGGTTGCTTTGATACTCACATATTATGAGAGGGGGATGAACTCAGAATTGAAATTCTTAAAGAGTTGTGTTAATTGGAAGAAGAGAAGGACTTTATAAACAATTAGTTTGTTAATAGTTAATATTTGGAAATAGGGGTCAGGTTTTCAAGTCAATTTGATTATTTTTCTACTTGTAAGAGACATAGAGATAAAAGGAACACTGCTCTAATGTCCATGAAAGTTACCTTTGGTAAAGAATAAGAAAAATGTTACTTGTAATAATAGACAAGTGATAAGCAAATGCTTAGGGATTTCTTTATTTAAAAAAGAAAAATTATACCTAGTCTCAGAGATCAACAAACACTTCTTGAAGTGGAGACTGGGAGTTACTTTAGAAAACCTGTAAGGATAAGCAGGATATTGACTAGTGAAGTTACAAAAAAAGACAAGTCCAAGGAGAAAAGCTAAAGGGATAAAACAGGATAATGAAGGAAAACAAGGAATTTACAGGAATATGCAGAAGAAACATATGGGAAAACAACAAGGAAACTGAAACAATATCTACGTCTCTCAACAGATTGAAGAGAAAAGTGACTCTAGCCTGCATTGATTAAACATAACTGTGATTGCTTTTGCAAATGAAGACTTGTGATTTTAGCAAAATGCTTTTAGGTCTGATTCAATAAAATATGCCCAAAGGAAGAATCCACCACTCTGAGGACAGATATGGCAATAAAGTCAACTATATTAGAATATCTAATCATAGGAGTCCCCAACCTTACCCTCTCATGGTGGTCATTAAAACAAGAATCAAACTTCTCACTCATATTAGGATGCATGATGCATGCAGGGAGACCAGCCATGCGTTAAATGAATAAACAAGCAAAAGGTCCCTATATCACTGCATTTAGTGCATAAGAAGCAAATGGCCTTCTGTTTATTATATCAATCATGTCTCTTTTTAACCCATTTTAAGATGAGGACATTGAGTATTAGAGCATATATGTAATTCAATTAAGGTCATTCAACTAGTAAGTGGCAGAACTGGGACTAGAACCCAGGCCGTTTGATTTCAGCAACCATCCTCTTAAACAGGATGCTTTTTTCCAGTGTATCTCAGTGAGATCTACTGTTTTGACTAACACAGACTATGTTCTCAGCTGCTTCTGTGGAGGATAAAGCACAGATAATGTCAGTGAGCTGACAAGCCATTGCAGTGATAGTGTTGTTTGCCAGGTGCTCTGACATGACCAGAATCTGGAAGAGAAAACAGGTGTCACTGACTTAGAAATGCAGTCTCAGGCTGCTGCTTCTTAACAAACTTGTCAAGATTACCTTCCTTACTCCAGCATGCTGTGTGTCCAGCCATTGAGGCAGGTCATCTTGTTCACCTGAAGAATGATCAAGCAACTAGGCTTGGGAAGCAACAAATGAAAGGAGTCTCTAAGGCCACAGAGGGGTTTCTTGCAACAGTTAAAAGCTGTCATCTGTGCAGTCACTTGCATCTACATATAATATCCCCACAATCCAAGGGGATGGAGACTTGGAGACATATATTCTATTATCAAAGACACTTAGAGAATGTAAATTTTAAAAATATAGGCCAGGTGCGGTGGCTTATGCCTATAATCCCAGCACTTTGGGAGGCCAAGGCCGGTGGATCACTTGAGGTCGGGAGTTCAAGACCAGCCTGACCAACATGGAGAAACCCCATCTCTACTAAAAATACAAAATTTGCTATGCGTGGTGGCACATGCCTGTAATCTCAGCTACTCAGGAAGCTGAGGCGGGAGAATCATTGGAACCCAGGAGGCGGAGGTTGCGGTGAGCCGAAATCATGCCATTGCACTCCAGCCTGGGCAACTAAGAGCAAAACTCGGGCTTGAAAAAAAAATTTATATATATATATATATATATCCGTATGTGTGTGTGTGTGTGTGTGTGTGTGTGTGTGTGTGTGTGTGTAGATTTAACACAGTGAGAGCCCCAGCTCTAGCTGTCTAAGGTCTTCAGCTGCTTTCCGACTACACTGGAAAAAATGGCAGCAGCCTCTAATCCCTGTCTCCCCTATCTCAATGCAAGCCTGATTGCCCCAGGAAGTCTCTTTCCTAAACCTTTTCTTTCGTTTTACTGTATATTAAAATGCTCTTGTCTTGTGCACCATCTCTTTAACCCATTATTTTTGTGTTCTAGACAAAGAGACAGGGTAATAAAAAGTCCTGGGTTTTAATGCCAATTCCAATATTGAAGAACTATATTATCTTGGAAATTTAAGTATTCCCAAACTGTTTTCATTTTTTCAGTTCATATAAGATGGAATTTGGAGTACCTGATGACCAGGAACAATTCTAGCTCAGAAATTCAAATTTTCTTCATGTAAGAAACATTGACAGAAATGGTCATTTTATGGAGGAATGTGCAGTAAGTGCGTGCCTACAGAAACTAGACAGTCATTAACAGAGATGTGGAAGAGACATAATGATTTAATGTCCTGAAAGATGACCCTTAAGCTTATTGCAATCCTGAATTCTTTTGCTTTTAGGATTGTATCACTCAGGGTTCCCCAGAGAAACAGAACCAATAGGATATACAGAGATATAGTGAAAGAGATTTATTATGAAGGACTGAGTCATGCTACTACGAAGGCTGACAAGTCCCACATCTGCAATCTGCAAGCTGGAGGCTCAGGAAAGCCATTTGTATAGCTCCAGTCCAAGCCTGAGGGCTTGGGAACTGTAGGAGTTGATGATTTAAGTCCTGGTCAGAATCAAGGACAGAATCAATGGGCACATAATTGTGAAAAGCCTGAGTAAAGAGTCAAACATCAGAATATTCAGACAGAATATTCAGAAAGGGTAATCAGGCCAGGTATGGTGGCTCATGCCTGTAATCCCAGCACTTTGGGCAGGCAGATCACTTGTGGTCAGGAGATTGAGACCAGCCTAGCCAACATGGTGAAACCCTGTCTCTACTAAAAATACAAAAAAAAAAAAAAAATTAGCCGGGTGCAGTGGCACATGCTTGTAATCCCAGCCACTTGAGAGGCTGAGGCAGGAGAATTGCCTGAACCCGGGAGGCAGAGGTAGCAGTGAGCCAAGATTGCACCATTTTACTCCAGCCTGGGTGATGAGAGAAAAACTCCTTCTCAAAATAAAAATAAAAATAAAACAAGGGTTATCAAAAAAAAAAAGGATTAGAATGTCAAGAAAGGAGGAAAGCATCAATTCAAAGGAGAGGAATTGAAGTAAGGGACTAGGCAAGTTGTCAAATATTGCAGTTGGTAAAAATTGCTGGAAACATCTATTGGATTTGACAGTAAGAATGGTACTTTTGCAAAACCATGTTAGAAGAATGAGGTGAAATGGAATACAGATTGTGAATATTAATGTGCAAATTAGAAGTGATTAAGACAAACTAGCACATAAACCTATAATGTATTTTATTTTGAAATTGTACGTCTTTTTTTTTCTAATCCTTTCCTTCCCCAGCCCTATCTTCTCTCTGTTTAACCTTATAAAAAGGGCAGATATAAGAGCGTAAATGAACTGGGCACTAAAAATAGTTGAGACTTGAATATTTTTCTGAAACCAAAGGGGCTGTTATAGAAGAAGACTAAAAATATAGGAAAAAGGTGGGACAACTAATACTGCAGGATTGAAATAGATTAAAAAAAAAAAAGGTTATTCAGCCCAGATAGAGGTATCAAACTTGACAAGAATCAGTAACCTCTCTTTGCCTGAGAGGAGAAAGAGTAAGATAAGATGTCTAATAATACAGATGAGTTTCTAGGTGCTAGTCCAGGATGTTGAAATCATTCTTTTGGGATGCTTTTATTTCCTCACTGAGGTGAAATAGGAGGGTGAGAGCATCTGCTTAAAATAAGGATGGGGTCAGAGATCTGAGACAAGAAATGAAGGATTTGAAGAACTAAACGAGAAATAGGACAGGGAACTGGCTGATAATAAGCAGAACAATTGACAAGAGCAGTGATGACTCTGCTAAGATTGAAATATAAATGTATAGTGGTACCAATAAGCACAGGCACGTACATTTTCAAAAAATGCCTGTCTCCGTGTGTGTAAGGCCAGAAAACGTAGAATATTGGTTCAGTTTTGTTTTCTGTAGATACTAGGGTTAGAACTTTTGTAAAATTTATTTTGTTCTAGTTCATCCTTCTTTTCATGGCAAGCCTTACCCAAATATAATCCAAAAAGATATATAGGTTGATTGTGAGCTTGAAGGAGCCCAAGATACCTCTGGGGAACCTTGAGCTTTCCTATAGGCTTCATCAAAGTCATCTGCTACTCTGGTCCCTAGATTCCATTCAAGAAGGCATGATGACCCGGTCTTCTTATTTTTCTGTCCAGAGATTCTGCAGGGCCATGTTCTAACCTGACAACATATGTAATCAAGCATTTTGACACTTTGCATGAATTGCACAGATATGTTAATGAAAATAAGTTAAAACCTTAAGTAATTCAAATGAGATTTCAGCTTCTAATTCTCTAGTTAATTCATGGAGGGTTTCTTCTGTAGTAATTGGTTGGTTACTCTTTGGTCAACTTCCTATCCATTTATTCAGTCTCCATTCAGTGAAGAGATAGGAAAGGTGTTTATTGAACATGGTTCACTTGCAAAGCATTGAGGTGTTGCTGACAATATAATGTCCTTTGTCTTCTTGATCTTATATTCTGCAGGAGATCCAGACATTGTAGAGTTATATAATTTATTATTTAATTATAATTGTTTTATGTGTTACAAGTATAATACATAAGTTTTTTTTCTATTTTTACCTAATATAAATTTGTTAACAGAATAGATTAAATAATAAAATTTTTTGGTCTTCAAAGAGTACATTTTTAGGCCATGTTAAAATGGAAAATTTAGCTATTCACAATAACCAATCCCCTGAAGGTTCAGAAGGACCATTGATTTAATATACATCAAACACACATATTTATTTATTAGTGCAAATATGTGAAGATATCCTTAGGCATGCACATACATGTATGTATATTTACACGTTCAAGGTCCTGCATTTATATATATTGCACGTACTGCCCAATTTTATTGATTTATATTTTTAACAAAGTATTTTAAAAAGCAAAATCTTTAGGAGAAAAATTCAAAAAGAAGGCAGATATTGCTGTTAGCAAAATATTTAGCATTAACCTTCTCTTTTTTCCCTTCATAGCAACTACTGGCTGCCATGGCAACCTTTCCCCCCTGCACACCAGAGCTTCTGGGATGAAAAGCACAAGGCCTTTGAGACTTCAAATGTCTCCTGTACAAAGCAGTCTAAAACCCTTTACCCTAGAGCCATTACCATCCCGTGTCTCAGAACGACTGGCTACACCATTTAATTTATTATGTCCTACTTTTCTCTCCATTCAATCAATATCTCTCCAGAACAGCAAGAGAGAGAAATCCTATTACATTTCCAGAGTAGGCGCTCAAGAAATAGGCTTTTTAAAAATTACTTATTTGATGGGTTCCTAACAAATTTCATACAGATCTGAATAAATTAGACATCTAAACTCACTAATTGCCTCTGATTGTGCTCTTATTCACTTCTTCTCCCTTGTGCTCTGGTCTAAACCATATTAACTACTGATGATCCCACAAAAGCACCATGATCACTTCTGCCTTAGGCCTTTCTTAGTCCCTTTACCGAGACTCCTTCCTATTCCCCCAGCATCCCACCTCCCCTCACCAACCTAAATAATTACTACTTGCCATTCAGGTCTAAGATTAAGGCTCCCTGTCTCAGGAAGCTGAGAACCACTAAGACAGGGCTGGGCATTACTTGTAAATGCCACCACAGTGCTGTACCCTGTGCTAGCCACTGTCTTTGATCTGAGATTTCCTTTTAATTTGTCTATTTGTCTAAATCGACAACCAACTCCTCTGTTTATTGTAGCCTCAGCTGTATTCTCATGGCCTGGGTTCCAGTGATGTCATCCACAAATAATGAGCCCTCTTAAGTGCCAGTCACTTTGCTGGAGATCAGGTAGAGAGATGAACAAAACAGACACATTTTCAGCAATAACTAAGCTTACTTTATACTGATGGGTGATGAAAAATACATATAGGCAAATTAGTGAGATGAATTCAGATAGTAATTAAGTGCCCTTCCTATCAACAAAATAAGAGTAATGGGATGGCATTAGTGGGGATGTGTGAGAATGCTTTTGAGAGGACAGTCAGGCAAGGTGTCTCAGTGGAGGTGATATTTCAGCTGGGACTTGAAGAAAACAGCCAGGAGGAGACCTGTAGGGGAGCACATTTCAGGCAGAGGAAACAACAACTGCAAATACTTGAAGGCAAGAAGATTTTGTACTGAGCATGTATCGAATATGATAGGATATAATCGATGAGGGAGAGTGGTATGAATCGGGCTTGGGGAAACAGACAGAGATAACATCATGTAGAATTTGTAGGTCATGGTAAGAAGTAGAAAAAATTATAAACAGGACTAAAATGTGATCTGAAAGAAGTTAAAATTTCTTCTGTCTTTTTTTCAGACAGTGAACAGACAAACCAAAAACATATTTATTGGGAGTACACAGTATACTAGGAACTCTATAAGTGCCTTTCATGTGATAGCTCATTGAATCCTATTACCAATTCTATGAAGGAGAATTTTATGAGGAAATTAAACCACAGTCTAAGCAACTCCCTGAGAATTCATGGCTAAAAAGTGGTGTAGCCAGGATTTAGATCCTAGTAATGTGATTCCAGAACCTACCCACTGTAGCACAATTGTAGGCATTTGCCGAAGCCCACAATATAGCAAAAATACAGTTGAGGGCAATATTCTGGCCTCTGAAATTTCAGTTTTATGAACTCATTATAATGGACTCTGTGGTCTCCAGTGACTGTTTATTTGGTGTCATTTTCATCATCATCCAAATTAAATATTTAATGAGCACCTGCCACTGCAAAGTGTGTGGCTTGCTTATTGTGTGGCACAATGAGGATTAAGATAAGACAAAATATGATTTCTGTCCAGCTGCCTTGCATTTGGTTGGTGAGATCAAACAACTAAGGCCTATGAACTTCCCTCAAGGATGATAAGCTGCACAGCAAAGCAGAGGCCACCAAGGTCACCATAGACTGACTGCACTGTCTGTAAAGACTTGAGTAGGTCTGGAAGAAGTGAGAGAGAAGAAAGATGAAAGACTTTCCAGATAGGGGAAAAAAAGCAATACGCAAAGGCATAAAAATATGTATTGAGGAATGATGGGCTCTACTGTGTAAAATGTACTCCACGTTCTAAAGAGACCTACACACAAGCACACAACCAAACTGCCTCTGTTGACTCCTACTCTTGCCTTTCCCCACTCCACACCCCTTACCAGTCTAAGAACCCAGGTGGAAATCTGAGTTTTTGATACCAAGACCAGGAGTTCTTTTCCTTCTGCCTACCACAAAGAAGGGAAGGAGGACTCTTGCCCTTCTCCTTTACAATACAAGAGAAGGAGGCCCCAACATAATCCCTCCTAAAAGAGGGACGTGCTAAGAAGTTACTGACATCTCCTCACCAGTTGAGTTTTTTGCTTAGTTTGCAGACTTGTTCACTCATCTAAAAAAGATAATTGGGGAAAAATAGCAGAGCAGATAGAGCACTCTTGGAAGGAACACCCTATAAGCACACTCTGATCTGTCAAGAATGGTTTTCCATGTGTCAGTGACTGCGGCTAAGGGTGGGACATCTTGCCAGTGCTTTGCTTTGTTTTGCTGTTCCCGGAAGGAGTTTGAAATGACATGTAGCACTTACCTTTAAATGGAAGATGATTTTCTTTTTTTAAAGTAACTCTCGTATTAAATAAGTGAATAAATCAAATTTAATAAATCAAAAGCACTTTCACTAGAACTGGTCAAGAAAACTGGCAAGGTCATTAATATTATTAAAACTGATCAAAATCAATTATACAACTAAACAAAATGAAAATAGAAAAAAGTTCGGGCCACTTTTCCTTCAAGTTAGCAAATAAGATGTGTTGTTCACAAATTTCTCAGGAAATTTTGATTCCTGCTACTTTGATGATGTAGACTGCATAATGAAAATTAATAGCTCCATGGGAAATAATGCAGTGAAACACTTACAAGAAGATATTAAAAATATAAAATAAATCCAAAGAGTTTGCTGTATGCACTAAGCATTTTAACAGCACCCAGTAGGCATAACCACTAAGATTTTTGCTTGCAAAGCTTCTGTTGGAAGAGCCAGACCCATCTTTCTGCCAGTCTCCCTCACTCCCTCACTCAAGGTTAGCAATTATAGCAAAGCAGTGTCAGAGTTTCCTTTTGTGTTGCTAGGAATTATATAGCTTATTAGGCAACCACCATTACCCTGGCTACCTTTACAATAATTTAATTTAATTTAATTTATTGTATTTTATTTTTACCAAGCTCGGGTAAAAGATAAAAATATGCAGAGAGCTAGAAAGCTCCTGAAGTCAGCAGATTGTTGGGACTGAAAGTCTAATTGGCCAGGATGCTTGCCGCTTCCCACTAGCAGCTGGGCTGGACTAGAACAGGCTCTGCCTGCCTTTTTGCCCCAGTGGTCTCATCAACCCCCCATGCAGCTGTGGCTGTGTTCTAATGCCTCCTCTGGCAGATGGGAAATAGCATTTCAGGGAGTACCTGGCATATTACACGGTGATCTTCTTCGGTGAAAAAGGTCATATATATTAAAAAGATGGCACCCCTGGGTTATTGAAATTTTCTATTACTTGTATGAAACATTTTTCTTTATTCCTTCTTTTCTGCCATTGCTTTCTAAGGCCTCCAGGTGTCACATTAAATCAAAAACGTTCCTTCTTTGCAGTTGAGGGGCACTGTGGTATAATGATATCTGCATCAATTGCTTCTTACCCCTAAAATAATCTCCCTGCAACATTTCTTCCCCACCCCCACCCCTGGTGTGTTTCTGCATTTATTTAAAATTTAACTTTTCATGTAAATGCAATATAAAATATTGTGTGCCATTTGTTTACTATTTAAGAATTATTTTAAGTTGTAAAACCTCACATCAGAACAATCAACTAAATATGTACAGAATCCTAGCACAGGAGACTGGAAAGGTTTCCCCATGAGAGACAGCAAGAAAGAAGGGAAGCGGTGCTTAATGGAAGATAGTAGAACTTGATGGATATTTTACTTAATTAGATGTGTGACCTTGAGCCATTTCTTAACCACTGCTTAACCTTTCTGAGCCTGAAAGTCCTCATTTGAAAAATAAGAAAATTTAATTCCTTTCTACCATTGTGCTTCTTTCTTAGGAGTTACTATATAAAGTAGATGAATATTGATGAATATTCAATATTTAATTTTACTTAAAATTTAATTTTACTTAAAATTCAGATAGACAAGATATCTTATGCTAAAAGAATATGTTAATTACCTTAGTTCTCAATTCTAATATGGAAGCTGTTACTTCTTGTAATACATTCTAGTTCCAAACCAGTCAGACCACCACTAGTGGACTGCTGTGGTCCTAAAAATTACTCCCTCTGATGCTGTTGCAATATGACCTTCAAATGGACCATAATAGTAAGCATAAAACCCAGAAATCTATAAAAATTAATATTTTGGGGCTTTTTTTTTGACATGTTTGGACTCAAATTCTTGCATTAAACTTATGGCATGTAAATTTCAAGCTCAAAGGTAGGTATGACAAATGTATGGTTTGTCAATATTCGTATGAGGTGAAATTTCCTGAAAACATGAAAATGTATTTTCTTGAAACATAAAACTTTATTGTTAAAGTATGCTTTCACTTTTGGTATTTTTCTTAAAACATAAAAACTTTAGGTCACTGATCTGATGATAATTTTTAAGGAAATATAGAAAAGATTAAATATTTTACTAAGTATAATTTCCATTTAGATATTATAGCAAATGTGAAAATTAATGTTATTATTCCATTAGATAGCACAGAATTAATATTTTGATAATAAATCTAAGATCATGTGAAACTACATTTTATGCTTTGAATTAGATGGTCGATGATTCCTACATTACTTATCAAAGTAATGAGTAGGCACAATTTAAGTATACTTCGGCCTGCTACAAAAAATAAAATATTCACTTATATCATTTATTAAAGGTGCTGTTTTGCTGTATATCATTCGAACAAGAATATTTGCATGGGATTTGTTTACTAATTTTATTTCTGGTCGAGCTTGATTATCACATTGGACTTTTAACTGAATTTTGATGTCCCTAATGATTGATTTGTGATGCTTATATTTTAACCATTAGGAAATATTTTATAAATATGTATGTGTTTGTATAAAATATGCATATATATATCTATATATGTACTATAGATATACAACTAAACATATTTTTTCAAACACTTAAAGAATTTATGGATTTAGCTAAAGACTTAACTTCAATCCTTCTCTACTTCTACTCTTCTTAAAGAAAAATTACCTTTCTATGTTGGTGGAAATAACTCCTATACATCTTGGTCAAAAATAATCCAAAATGATAACTCAATGTCAGGGCACCACTGACAGCACCTTCATTTCTCCACTGATTTGGAAATGATATCCCAATAATATAAAAAGCTTCCATAGATATGTTGATCTTTTTCCAGGTTCTCTATTGCATTGTAGTAAGATTATTTGTCTAAGCCTTAACTAATGTCCCACTGCCTGAACAATTATAGGTTTACAGATGGCCTTAATCAAGTGAGACCAACATTATTGTTACTATTCTTCTTCCTACCTCCTTCTTATTAGAATTCAAATATTTCTTCTCTATTTGTGCCTTTATTCTTCTCTATGAATTTTAGTATCCCTGTATGACATCCTATGATTCAAAAGTTTTCAGGGTTTGAATATATTTTCATTGAAATTATACGCTAATTTGAAATGATTTATTATCTTTATGATATCGAACCTTCGAACCAAAAACTAATACAAGTCTACAATTTGTCATCTGATTGGTTAGATTTAGATAAATATCCAAACTAATATGATAAGTAAAAGTTTTTCTTAATGTATTTGTTAGCATAACCTAACCAGACTCAACTCACTTTTTGTGACAAAGCATGATTTGATGTGATCTGAGTTGATTTAGAGATCTTACATATCCTATTTGCTGTGAATGTTGCAATATTTAGCTACGGAAATATTACTATACTGGAGGACAAAATTATGCCCCAAATTCAAAGGGAGTGCTGCATGTTTCACAATGCATTTATTTAATTGAGTGTTTAATTGCAGTTTCATATAAAGCAGACAAATTATAAGTATAGAGCTTCATGAATTACAACAACATGAACTCACCAAAAATCACCATATTGGTTAATAATGGAAGATTATTAAAGGTGCCCAGAAAACTTTCTTGCATCTCCTTCCAAAGAAACACTATACTGACTCCTAACACTAAACAATAGTTTTTCTGTTTTTAAACTCTCGAAAAATGTAATTGTGTAATGTGTTAATGTAAAAATAGAGAGAACTGGATGTGGGGTAAATGGGAATTATATGTTGCCATATTCTGTAAATAGAAAACTATACTAAAATTAAAAATTTACTAACAATGTTCCTTAGGTCTGATTTCTTTCACTCAGCATTGTTATGTTTGTAAGATTTATCTAAGTTGTATATAATAGTATGTCATTTATTTACATTGAACAGCATCACATTGTATTAATATATAGCAAATTAGTTATCAAGTCTCCTGGTAATAAGGTTTGTGTTGCTTTCAGTGTTTTTGTTTGCTCGTTTTTGCTATTGTGAATAATGTTACTGTAAACAATTTGCATGTCTTTGTTGCATACATCTACACATATTCATCAAAGAAGGCTTCTGGTCATAGAGACTTAATTATGGGAAAGGTTTTAATCACGAATTTAATTTTTTGTCTAATGTTTAGGACAATATAGAATTTCTATTTTTGTGTGTAAGCTTTTGAAAATTATATTTTGGTAGAAATTATTCCTTCACCTAATATTTCTGATATATTGGGACAAACATCATGTTCACATGTTATCTTTTTTATGTTTGTAGTATCTGAACTGATATACACTATTTCATTCTTAATATTGTTTATTTATGACTTATTTTTCTTCATCACCCTTAATCTGTCTTTCCTGGGCTTTATAAATTTTGACATCTTTATAAAAAGAATTCATGTTTGATTTCGTCTTCTCCATTGCATAATTGTTTTCTATTTTACTTACTTATCTGTTTATCATTTCCTTGTTTTTGCTTTCTTTAAATTAATTTGCTGAGCTTTCTGGTTACTTTTTGTGGTTAATATTTTGATCATTAAATTTGAGTGTTTATGCTTTTTAAAAACATGCTTGTAATGCTATAAGCATCATTATGAATAAAGCTAGAGATAGTCCTATAAGTTTTGATACAGTGCATTTTTATTAGCATTTCGTTTCAAATATTTTGAAAATGTTTTTATAATTTCTTCTTTGACCTATTGACTATTTAAATACATACTTTTTCTCAACTATTTGAGAATTTAGTAGAGTTTTTTAAATTTCTAGATCAATTTCATTTATTTTGGACTATGTTGTAATTTTTATTCTTTGCAATGTTTTGAGATTCACTTTAGGATAAAGTCAATTTTTATAAATGTTCCAAGTTAACTTGAAGAGAATCTGACTTTTTCATTTGTTAGCTATGACATGTTGTATATGTCAATTGGATCAATTGAGTTTGTTTTGTTCAAGTCCCCTATATCCTTACTGAATATTTGCCTATTAATTTTTTCTTTATTTCTTTACTTATTTTTATTTCAATAGGTTTTGAGGGAACAGTAGGTGTTTGGTTGCATGAAAAAGTTTTCTTGTGTTGATTTCTGAGATTTTGGTGCATTCATCACCCGAGTAGTGTACACTGGACCCAATGTGTAGCCTTTTATCCACCTACCTCCCTTTCCCCTGAGTCCCCAAAATCCATTGTATCTTTCTTATGCCTTTACATTATCATATCTTAGCTCCCACTTGTTTTCTGCGCTGGTTTCATGTTTTTGCATTTGTGAATTGTGCTGCTATAAATATGCATGTGCAAGTATCTTTTTCGTATAATGACTTATTTTCCTCTGGATAGATACCCAGTAGTGACATTGCTGGATCAACTGGTAGTTCTACTTTTAGTTCTTTACAGAATCTCCACACTGTTTTACATAGTGTTTGTACTAGTTTAAGTTCCCACCAGCAGTGTAAAAGTGTACCCTTTTAACCACATCCATGCTAACATCTATTATTGTTTGTTTTTTTTTGATAATGACCATTCGTGCAGGAGTAAGGTGGTATTGCATGTGGTTTTGATTTGTATTTCCCTGATCATTACTGATGTTGAGTATTTTTTCATATTTTTGTTGGTCATTTGTGTATCTTCTTTTGAGAATTGTCTATTCAGGTCCTTAGCCCACTTTTTGATGGGATTGTTTGTTTTTTTCTTGCGGATTTCTTTCAGTCTCTTGTAGATTGTGGATATTAGTCTTTTGTCAAATGTATAGACTCTGGAGATTTTCTTCCACTTTGCGGGTTTTCTTCCACTCTATGGGATTGCAAAGATTTTCTCCCACTCTGTGGGTTGTTCATTTACTCTGCTGATTGTTTATTTTGATGTGCAGAAACTTTTTAGTTTAATTAAGTCCCAAGTATTTATCTTTGTTTTTGTTGCATTTGCTTTTGGGTTCTTGCTTATGAAGTCTTTGCCTAAGCCAATGTCTAGAAGGATTTTTCCAGTGTTATCTTCTATAATTTTTATGTTTTCAGATCTTAGATTTAAGTCCTTTATCCATCTTGAGTTTGATTTTTGTATAAGGTGAGACATGAGGATGCAGTTTCATTCTTCTACGTGTGGCTTGCCAATTATCCTAACACCATTTGTTGAGTAGGGTGTCCTTTCCCCACTTTATGTTTTTGTTTGCTTTGTCAAAGATCTCTTGGCTGTTAGTATTTGGCTTTATTTCTGGGTTCTCTATTCTATTCCATTTATCTATATGCCTATATACCAGTACCATGCTGTTTTGGTGACTACAGCCTTATAGTATAGTTTCAATGTAACGTGATGCCTCCAGATTTCTTCTTTATGCTTAGTCTTTCTTTGGCTATGTGCTCTCCTTTTTGCTTCCATATGAATTTTAGGATTGTTTTTTCTAGTTCTGTGAAGAATGACGGTGGTGTTTTGATGGAAATTGCATTTATAGATTGCTTTTGGCAGCATGGTCATTTTCACAGTATTGATTCTACCCATCCACGAGCATGGGATGTGTTTTCATTTGTTTGTGTCGTCTATGATTTCTTTGAACAGTGTTCTGTAGTTTTCCTTGTAGAGGTCTTTCACTTCCTTGGTTTGGTATATTCTTAAGTATTTTATTTATTTATTTAGCAGCTATTGTAAAACAGGTTATCTTATTGATTTGATTATCAGCTTGGTCGCTGTTGGTATATAGCAGAGCTACTGATTCGTGTATATAAACTTTGTATCCTGTAATTTGCTGAATTCATTTATCTAGGAGCTTTTTGGAAGAGTCTTTAGGGTTTTCTAGGTATACAATTATATCATCAGGAAACTGCATCAGTTTTACTTCCTCTTCACCAGTTTGAATGTCCTTTATTTCTTTCTCTTGTCTGATTGTTCTGCCTAGGACTTCCAGTACTATGTTGAATAGGAGGGATAAGAGTGGCATCCTTGTCATGTTCATGTTCTCAGGGGAAATGCTTTCAACTTTTCCCCATTCAGTGCTACATCGGCTGTGAGTTTGTAATAGATAGCTTTTATTACAGTAAGGCAGGTCCCTTCTATGCCAATTTTTCTGAGGGTTTTAATCACAAAGGGATGCTGGATTTTGTCAAATGCTTTTTCTGCATCTATTGAGATTATCATGTTATTTTTGTTTTAAATTCTGTTTTTGTTATGTCCTTTCCTGGATTTGGTATTAGGGTTATACTGGCTTCAAATAATGATTTAGACAGGATTTCCTCTTTCTGTCTCTTGTGTACTAGTGTCAATAGGATTGTTACCAGTTCTTTCAATTGCTGAGAGAGACACATTAAAATATCTCACTAAACTTTTGGATTTTATTTTGTCAACTTTTAAAATTTAAACTGAGACTGTATTTTTAGTACATAAGAATTAATTAGTATAATGTCTTCCTTTATTATTATAAAATATTCCCCTTTTACTCAAATAATGCTCTATTTTTACTTACTGTCTACTTTGATATTTAAACTATAGCAGCTTTCTTCATGTGTAAATTTCCATTCAAATTTCACTTTCTATATCTTTACATGTAAGGTACTGCAACTGCAGGTGATTTTTGTAAAATCTGGTTGAACAGTCTTTGTCTTTTAAAGTTGGAGACTGTAATGCATTTATATTGACTGTGGTCAGTTGAATTATTCTTTTAAAATTCTGTGTTTTCTCTCCACTCTTGCCATGCTTCAATGTGAGTTGAGCATATGTCCTGCCTCATTGACTTTAGGTTTCTCCATGTGTCATTTGGGATATAGATAAAATAATTCCTGCCTCCTGTGCATCTGCTCTATATTATGGGAATATCATTTCCCAGATAAGAAGGGCTCTCTTAGCCTGAGTCCCAAAATAAGAGGATAAGAGGAATACACCAGAACCCACCTGACAGCCTGGAGCAGAGCTGCCAAAAATCTACTCCTTAGCTGCTAAAAAGCAGTCTAGCAACAAAACAAAGCAAAACAAAACAAAAAATATTTGCAAGCCACAAGGGCCTTTAGGCTGTATTAATATAAGTGTAACCTAATGAAAGCCAATAAATATAGAAAATAGTTCCAGAACTGTTGTATTGCTATACAAAATGTAAAATATGAGTCATTAGCTTCTGGGTGGGGAAAATTCTTACAGGTGACTGAAAAATAAATGGTAACCCACGTTATACAGTGTCATACCATTTGGTAAGATTACCACTTGTGATAACTTGAAAATCAGGGAAGTTACTTAATAAACATAACTTTGCTCAATTGCTGGCAAGTCAGAATGTTATTAGCTTTAGTTGATTGTTTTCGCTGCATTTCTTAAGTTATTTTAAGGTAGAAATGAGCTAAAAAAAATTGGCATGTTTACCAGTAGGAATGAAAAAAATAAAATAAGAGAGATAATCCAGACATGTTTTATCTCATAGGGTTAAAATGTGACAAGTTACTCATCTCTGTTTAACAGCTACTAGTGGGATCAGTGAGATCTAGTCAGACTAGAGTGAAGAACCTGTCTTTGCTGTCTTTGGGATCAGATAGACTTGATAGATTTTTTACACCCCAGCTCAGCCACTTATTAACCATATGATGTGTTGTAACAGTTTAAAAAGTTGGTTTCTGCCCTGATTACAAACAATTGCAAAATGTCAACAGCTTAAAATAATGAAGGTTTTTTTTCTTAGTTATGCCAGGTATCCAACATGAGTGAGCTGGGAGGTCTATTTATTATTCAGAGTCCTGGTAACTCAGGATTCTGGGGACTGATAATCTGGTAGGGCTTTATGGGATCACTAAATTTTGAGTAGGAATGTTAGTACCAGCTATAGGAACATAGAATCCACTGTGCTAATTTATGTATATAATTTATCTTTATATTTTAGTTAATACTTATTCAACCCTGGGTAATTTTGTTGATCATTCTTTAAACTCTTCTAATACTTCTAATGGTGATGTAGGCACCAGGAGCTGTAGTAGAAACTAAAGGAATGATAAGTGAGACAGACACGGTCCCTGGCCTCAGTCAGTTTATGATTTCTAGAGATCCATTACAACAGCATGAACCACAGCATGGGTAACTGCCACCAAAGACTTATGGAGTGTCAAACCTGCTCTGGAATACTTGGCTAGAGGGAGACTTATTTACCCATAATGGTGGTGTTTGCTTTTCATTTTCTTTTGATAGATTATTATTTTTTAATTTTATGACAACTCCATCTCTTCAACTTATTCTTCAGTGAAAGCTCTGGACTATAATAACAACTAACATTTATAGAGCTTTAAACATGTGCCCAGCATGTGCCTCTTCTAGATGATCTCACTTAACCCTAACAAAGAGGTTTTGAGGTAGGTATTAATATCTTATGTTGAGGAAATTGGGGAAAAAAAAAAGTCAAAAAAATTAACCAAGTTTGCAAAGCTAAAATGCAGTTGAACTGGTATTTGAAACAAAGGAGATTTAATATAAAGCTATTCTTTGACCACTTTGCTATATTGCTTTTTTGAATTCTGGAGAGCTGATTTCTAGTTCAATTTTTTAATCAGTCATACTTTCAAGGATTCTAATTTCTCATTTGTCCTTCAAATTCTAAAATTCTAGGATTCTCTCTTAAAACAAATTCTCACATTGCTATATATTTTTAAATGTGACTGAGGTCCACAGTTTCATGTGCGTCCATGTGAAGAGACCACCAAACAGGCTTTGTGTGAGCAATAAAGCTTTTAATCACCTGGGTGCAGGCGGGCTGAGTCCAAAAAGAGAGTCAGCAAAGGGAGATGGGGTGGGGCCATTTTATAAGATTTGGGTAGGTAAAGGAAAATTACAGTCAAAGGGGGTTTGTTCTCTGGCAGACAGGAGTGGGGGTCACAAGGTGCTCAGTGGGGGAGCTTTTTGAGCCAGGATGAGCCAGGAAAAGTACTTTCACAGGGTAATGTCATCACTTAAGGCAAGGACCGACCATTTTCACTTCTTTTCTGGTGGAATTTCATCAGTTAAGGCAAGGACCTGCCATTTACACTTCTTTTGTGGTGGAATGTAATCAGTTAAGGCGGGGCAGGGCATTTTCACTTCTTTTGTGATTCTTCAGTTACTTCAGGCCATCTGGGCGTATACCTGCAAGTCACAGGGGATACGATGGCTTGGCTTGGGCTCAGAGGCCTGACACACAGCTCTAGTAGAGAACGTATTTTTAATTGAAGAGTCTTTCTCTTTCTGTCTTTTTAATATTATTTGTTTTTTCCTTAGGTTTCTACAGAAGAAGGCTTGAGTCTTGCCCAAGAATATAATTGTGGTTTTTTTGAGACCTCTGCAGCCCTCAGATTCTGTATTGATGATGCTTTTCATGGCTTAGTGAGGGAAATTCGCAAGAAGGAGTCCATGCCATCCTTGATGGAAAAGAAACTGAAGAGAAAAGACAGCCTGTGGAAGAAGCTCAAAGGTTCTTTGAAGAAGAAGAGAGAAAATATGACATGATATCTTTGCTTTTGAGTTCCTCACGCTCTCTGAATTTTATTAGTTGGACAATTCCATATGTAGCATTCTGCTTCAATATTATCTCTCTATGTGTCTCTCTCTCTTTAAATATCTGCCTGTAGGTAAAAGCAAGCTCTGCATATCTGTACCTCTTGAGATAGTTTTGTTTTGCCTTTAACAGTTGGATGGATTTTGTCAATCAGCTGGATATGCTGTTTAGTTTTTACAACATAGTACTAAATAAAATTGACATTCCAATTGCCTCATTTCCCTTTAAAGAGTCTAGCTTCATTTGGTATGCTGTCTGGTTATAAAGGAAATATGCAAAATTGCAGCCAGAATGATAAAAGGCTCAGGGGATCTGCCTTTGCCTGATAACACTGGTTGTTTGCATTTCAGGAATCTCAGTAAATAATGAAGAAGCTCAGGAAATATTTCAGAGCAGAAATCTGCAGCCTGGTCTTTTCTTAATTGTAGAAAGTCATGGTGCTTCTTCTTGAATGCTCCAGAGATAAACCTTACAGGAATTATTAATAATAGGAACTGGTTTGGGGTCATTGGAGAGCTGAAATAAAATATCTGTGTATTTACAGTGCTCTGCCCCAGTTAAGCTGTAGCAAAATTATCACAGTGAAGGCACTGAGCTGTGGCAAAAGGATATTGTCTCTGTAGTGGGAAGAGAGAAGCTACTATGAATTTGGTGGTTCATATGCTCATTAAAGGATGCTTTGCTCCCCTCATTGAGGAGTCCTTCTTAGGGCTGCTTCACCTGCATCAGGACCATTTGTAGGGTATGAGGCTTGATGGCTCCAGAGACACTATGAGCTCCCTATATTGCCAAAATCTCCTCTCTTCCCTTACATGAAATGCTACCAGAGACTTTTCTCTTGTTGGTTTTACAATGGCTCATCATGTAAAATGAAATTGCCCATTCACTAATTTTTTCCCATTGGTGTGAATTGGTTTATTAAATTCAAGCTCAGAAAATACACTACCAGAGAGCACAGTTCTGAATGTTTAATAGGCAAGCATGAAGAAGAAAACCATAAAGCTAAGCATGAGATGGAATCCATCAAGCCCATCTTCATGGGTTAAGGACAGTTTTTAATCATTAATTAGGGAAGAAGAGGGATGAGGGGCATAGTTTTCATGCGCGTCCATGTGAAGAGACCACCAAACAGGCTTTGTGTGAGCAATAAAGCTGTTTATTTCACCTGGGTGCAGGCAGGCTGAGTCCGAAAAGAGTCAGCGAAGGGAGATAGGGGTGGGGCCGTTTTATAGGATTTGGGTAGGTAAAGGAAAAAGGGGGGTTGTTCTCTGGCGGGCAGGAGTGGGCGTCACAAGGTGCTCAATGGGGGAGCTTTTTGAGCCAGGATGAGCCAGGAGAAGGAATTTCACAAGACAATGTCATCAGTTAAGGCAGGAACAGGCCATTTTCACTTCTTTTGTGGTGGAATGTCATCAGTTAAGGCAGGAACTGGCCATCTGGATGTGTACGTACAGGTCACAGGGGATATGATGGCTTAGCTTGGGTTCAGAGGCCTGACATTCCTGTCTTCTTATATTAATAAGAAAAATAAAATGAAATCGTGGTAAAGTGTTGGGACAGAGAAAATTTTTGGGGGTGGTATGGAGAGATAATGGGCGATGTTTCTCAGGGCTGCTTTGAGCAGGATTAGGGGCGGCGTGGGAACCTAAAGAGGGAGCGATTAAGCTGAAGGAAGATTTTGTGGTAAGGGGTGATATTGTGGGGTTGTTAGAAGAAACATTTGTCATTTAGAATTATTGGTGATGGCCTGGATGCAGTTTTGTATGATTTGAAAAACTAAACAGAATAAGAGGAGAAAAACAGCTATTAAAGGACTAAGAATTGGGAGGACCTAGGACATCTAATTAGAGAGTGCCTAAGGAGGTTCAGCATAGCCTTGCCAGCAAGGATTATTTATTTACTTTAAGAGTTAAAAGTGGCGGTTTGGGGATAGCAGCAGGAGGTATCAGCTGTGATGGCTTGGAGAAACAGTGTAAACTGGCAGTGTAAATAAGAGCAGAGCATGTATGAGTAGTTGAGAATGGTGAATAGGAGTATGACTAGACAGAAGATAGTAGGGATGACAAGTTTTTTGGGGCACAGTCCAAGTTGGTCTGGTGTCTGGCATGAGACTGGGGCCTAATAAAAAGGAGCGTCTATACAGGAGCTCAAATGGGCTGTACCCTGTAGCATTCTGAGGACAGGTCTGACTTCTGAGAAGGGAAAGTGGTAAAAGTATTGTCCAGTCCTTTTTGAGTTGGTGGCTGAGCTTGGTGAGGTGTGTTTTTTAAAGACCTTTAGTCCGTTCTACTTTTCCTGAAGATGGAGGACTGTAAGGGATATAAAGGTTGCACTGAATACCAAAAGCCTGAAAAACTGCATGGCTGATTTGACTAATAAAGGCTGGTCTGTTATCAGACTGTATAGAGGTGGGAAGGCTAAACTGAGGAATTGTGTCTGACAGAAGGGAAGAAATGACTGCGGTGGTCTTCTCAGACCCTGTAGGAAAGGCCTGTACCTATCCAGTGAAAGTGTCTACCTAGACTAAGAGGTATTTTAGTTATCTGACTCGAGGCATGTTGAGTAAAGCTAATTTGCCAGTCCTGGGTGGGGGGCAAATTCTCGAGCTTGATGTGTAGGGAAGGCAGGGGGCCTGAATAATCCCTGAGGAGTAGTACAATAGCAGATGGAACACTGAGAAGTTATTTCCTTGAGGACAGATTTCCACGATGGAAAGAAAATGAGAGGTTCTAAGAGGTGGGCTAGTGGCTTTTACTATAGCATAGCCTGCCTTTGCTGGTGTGTGGCGATTAGGCCTGGTGGAACTGCCATCAACAAATCAAGCGTGATCAGGGTGAGAAACAGGAAAGAAGGAAATATGGGGAAATTGGGTGAATGTCAGGTGGATCAGAGAGATACAGTTATGGGGGTCAGGTGTGGTATCAGAAATAATATGGGAGGCTGGATTGAAGTCCGGGCCAAGAACAATGGTAATTGTGGGACTTAACAAAGAGTGAGTACAGCTGAAGGAGCTGGGGAGCAGAAAGTATATGCGTCAAGTATGAGGAAGAAAATAGATTTTGGAAGTTGTGAGAAATGTAGAGAGTGAGTTGAGCATAGTTTGTGATTTTTAGGGACTCTAAAAGTATTAAAGCAGCGGCAGCCGCTGCACGCAGACATGAGGGCTAGGCTAAAACAGTAAGGTCAAGTTGTTTGGACAGAAAGGCTACAGGGTGTGGTCCTGGCTCTTGTGTAAGAATTCTGACCACACTAATCATGCCTAGGAAGGAAAGGAGTTGTTGTTTTGTAAGGGATTGAGGTTTGGGAGATTAATCAGATATGATCAGCAGGGAGAGCACGTGTGTTTTTATGAGAATTATGCCGAGATAGGTAACAGATGAGGATAAAATTTGGGCTTGACTAAAGTAATGGGGGCTATCTGTGAAGCCTTGCAGCAGTACACCTCAGGTAATTTGCTGAGCCTAATGGGTGTCAGGGTCAGTCTAAGTGAAAGCGAAGAGAGGCTGGGATGAAGGGTGCAAAGGAATAGTAAAGAAGCATGTTTGAGATCCAGAACAGAATAATGGGTTGTAGAGGGAGGTACTGAGGTTAGGAGAGTATATGGGTTTGGCACCATGGGGTGGATAGGCAAAACAATTTGGTTGATAAGGCGCAGATTCTGAACTAACCTGTAGGCCTTGGCTGGTTTTAGGACAGGTGAAATGGGGGAATTGTAAGGGGAGTTTATAGGCTTTAAAAGGCAATGCTGTAGCAGGTGAGTGATAACAGGCTTTAATCTTTTTAAAGCATGCTGTGGGATGGGATATTGGCATTGAGGGGGGTAAGGGTGATTAGGTTTTAATGAGATTGTAAGGGGTGCATGATCGGTCGCCAAGGAGAGAGTAGAGGTATCTTATACTTGTGGGTTAAGGTGGCAGGATACGAGAGGAGGATGCAAAGGAGGCTTTGAGCTGGGGAAAAGGGCAGCAATGAGGTGTGGCTGTAGTCCAGGAACAGTCAGGGAAGCAGATAATTTAGTTAAAATGTCTTGGCCTAATCAGGGAATTGGGCAGGTGGGGATAACTAAAAAGGAGTGCTTAAAAAAGTATTGTCTAAGATGGCACCAGAGTTGGGGATTTTTAAGAGGTTTAGAAGCCTGGCCGTCAATACCCACAACAGTTATGGAAGCAAGGGAAACAGGCCTTTAAAAATAAGGTAATGTGGGGTGGGTACCCTCGTATTGATTAAGAAGGGGATGGACTTACTTTCCACTGTGAGAGTTACCCAGAGCATCTGTAATGGTTTTGGAGGCTTCCGAGGCAATCAGGCAGTGTCAGTCTTCAGCTGCTAAGCCGAGACGATCTGGGAAGGAGTCAGTCAGAGAGCCTTGGGCCAGAGTTCCACGGGCTCTGGGAGTGGCTGCCAGGTGAGTTGAACAGTCTGATTTTCGGTGGGGTCCCGCCCAGATGGGACGCAGCTTAGGAGGAATCCCGGGCTGTGGGCATTCCTTGGCCCAGTGGCCAGATTTCGGGCACTTGTAGCAAGCTCCAGGGGGAGGAGGTTCTGGAGGAACCCCTGGCAGCTGCAGTTCGAGCATTTGGAGTTTTGCGTGCTGGAGATGTAGCTGGGGTTTGTCTCACAGTGGAGGCAAGGAATTGCAACTCAGAAATATGTCGCTACTTGGCTGCCTCTACTCTATTATTGTACACCTTGAAGGTGAGGTTAATTAAGTCCTGTTGTGGGGTTTGAGGGCTGGAATTTAATTTTTGGAGTTTTATTTAATGTCAGGAGTGGATTGGGTAATAAAATGTATATTGAGAATAAGACGGCCTTTTGACATTTCAGGGTCTAGGGCTGTAAAGCGTCTCAGGGTTGCTGCCGAACGAGCCATGAACTGGGCTGGGTTTTTCATATTTGATGAAAGAGCCTAAATGCTAACTGATTTGGGAGAGGTTGGATAAAGAAAAAGGAGCATTAATCTTGACTATGCCTTTAGCTTCAGCCACTTTTTTAAGAGAAAATTGCTGGGCAGGTTGGGGAGGGCTAGTCGCGGAATGAAACTATAAGCCTGACCGGGTGTAGGGGGGAGGTGGTAAAAAGATTATAGGGTGGAAGGGTGGAGGCTGAGGAAGAACTGGGACCTAGCTCGGCCTGGTGAGGAGCAGCCTGGGGAGGAGGGGAGAGGTCAGATGGGTCTGTAGAAAAGGAAGATTAGAAAGACTCAGTGACGCTTGGGGTTGGGACTGAGGGGACAGGCGGGAGGGAAAGAAGATTTGGGACGAGTGGCATTGGGCACAGAGACTAGGGAGGAACTGATGTGTAAAAGAATGCCTGGACATCAGGCACCTCAGACGGTTTGCCCATTTTACAAGAATTATTTAGATCTTGCAGGATGGAAAAATTGAAAGTGCCATTTTCTGGCTATTTGGAACCACTGTCAAGTTTGTATTAGGGCCAAGCGGCATTGCAGAAGAAAATATGGCATTTAGGTTTTAGGTCAGGTGTGAGTTGAAGAGGTTTTAAGTTCTTGAGAGCACAGGCTAAGGGAGAAGAAGGAGGAATGGAGGGTGGAAGATTGCCCATAGTGAAGGAGGCAAATTTAAAGAGAAGGGTCTGATACCTCTGAAACTTGGGTGAAAATCAGAGAGGCGTCCCTGCAATGATTAAACACCAAGGGAAGGCTGTCTTCCCAGTCTGTGACCAGCGCTGGAGTTTTGGGTCCACTAATAAAACGTGTCTCCTTCGTCTCTACCAGAAAATGAAAGGAATTGAAATTAAGAGAAGGGAGAGTTTGAAGTGTGGCGCCAAGATTGAAAGGAGAAAGAGGTTGAGGGATAGTGAGGGAGGTTGGAGAAGAGAATAAAAAGAGGCTGCTTACCGGATTTGAAATTGGTGAGATGTTTCTTGGGCTGGTAGGTCTGAGGACCTGAGGTCATAAGTGTACCTTTCTTACGGAGCAAAGAGCTGGAGGACAGGAGATTGATCTCTCAAGGGAGGTCCCCCGATCTGAGTCAGGGCACCAAATTTCACTCGCGTCTGTGTGAAGAGACCACCAAAGAGGCTTTGTGTGAGCAATAAAGCTGTTTATTTCACCTGGTTGCAGGCAGGCTGAGTCTGAAAAGAGAGTCAGCAAAGGGAGATAGGGGTGGGGCCGTTTTATAGGATTTGGGTAGGTAAAGGAAAAAGGGGGGTTGTTCTCTGGCAGGCAGGAGTGGGGGTCACAAGGTGCTCAATGGGGGAGCTTTTTGAGCCAGGATGAGCCAGGAAAAGGAATTTCACAAGACAGTGTCATCAGTTAAGGCAGGAACAGGCCATTTTCACTTCTTTTGTGGTGGAATGTCATCAGTTAAGGCCATCTGGATGTGTACGTGCAGGTCACAGGGGATATGACAGCTTCGCTTGGGCTCAGAGGCCTGACAATAGTTATCATTCGATATTCAATCATTTATTCTTATTTATTCACAATGCCTCTGGTACTTGCTAAACTCTGAGAATTCAGAAATGAATCACTCAGACATGGGCCCTGTAGCTTAACATTTACCTATGAGTTTGACTCCACTGAAAGAACAATGGGATTACAAATTCTCAGACAAGAAAAAGACATTTTACATAGTGTTAAAGATACAGCTAAAAGAGAATTTAGGGATTATCATTTTTTAGATGCTGAACTGGAAATTAGCCTTTCAGGATATTGTACTTGTGGGACCTTTTATTGCTTGAGGCCAAAGCTGTTTCTCAAACCCTCTTAGACTTCACTTTTGTTCTCTTAGACCCTGGGATGAAGGACCTTGTCATGTACTTATCTTTTGCTAGTAACTACTGCCACTTTATCCCTAGGGTTTTACTCAAGCCACATCTTCTATGGAGTGAGGCACAAACTAACCAGTTTTCTCCCATCTTATATTGCCACTAAAACCAGATCCACTGCACCTTTTAATTGTAAAGGATTCATAATTAGGAGGAAAGCCCCCCCGCCCCCAAAAAAAAGAACAAACATGGAAACAACATGAAGACATGAAGATAGCAAGAGTCTTTCTTATAGTCTTAGAACTGGTCATTGTTTTCTCCTTTCTTTGCCTTGGAATGTTTAATGCTTTGCTTTTGTCCCATTAAACTGGCACACTCACCTCCAGTACATTCTTTGCCTTTTGCAGCCCAGGGCCCCAGAACCCTCCAAGCCTGGGAAGGCCATATGAATGCTGCCATCCATCAGTGACTCACTCTCCTGTTTGCCAAAAGATGCAATCTAGGAAATAATACTTGGCACCTATTTTCCAATGATGAGCCTGCGTTTTTGAAAACCTGTTGATTGCCCTATACATAAATAATAGTGTTTGGCACATCTTCTAACACAATCAAATCTTCATACATTTTAACTTTTATCTTTCATTGTCAACTCTTCTGCCTTTGGCTCTAGAGTTCTCTAGCTCATTTCTCCTTTGCTCTATCTTTTCTTTATGCTTCTAGAGTCCTGGTAAATATTTATGTAGCTTAGAAATTGTCACTGAGGCTTGGATTGGGGAACAGATACCAAGTCCAATCATTTTATTCTATAGTAGAAAGGAGTTTTGTAAATTATAACCCACATGCTAAAAGAATATAAGGTAATTATCACCAGCAAAGACAGAGGCAGACATTGAGCATTATTTTAAACCAGTCTTTCAAAAGAATGAACCAAAAGAAAGTGTCCCATAATAAAACCTAGATATTTATGCCAAGGGCTATTGAATCACTCTTGTTTGTGTAAGAACAAAATATCAAGATCTTGTTTCTAATCATATCCCTGAAAATTTCTTACCAGACTTAGGACATCTAAGTAATTCCCAAAAACTCAGAGAACTACAGTGTTCATACGCCTTCATTGCCAAGCAAGTCTCTAAAAGCTTTTGCCCAATATGCATAAATGTTCGTTGTAGGCCAATGTGTAGTCACCCAACACAATTGATCAAATAGCAATGAAATGCCTACTATGTACCAAAAACTTTTCTGGATACTGCACGTGTGTATGTGTGTGTGTGTGTGTATTTGGTGAAAAGGTACTAGGAAACTCTGAATACAATCTCTGTCCCTCAGAAAAGTATCATTTACCTATGTTAGGGTATTTCTTTATTAATTTATCTTATATACATGCATGATTAAATAATTTCTCAGATCAGAGACAAATGGGAGCCTAAGATGTTATATTTTTTGTTCAGGAAGCACTAGTTGAAGCTGCAAACTTCTGTATAAAATATTAGTGAGGAAAAAACTTGGGCAGTTGGGCTACACATCATTTGTATGATGCTCAGTGCACAAGGAACAGATAGCTGCTTTATTTCTCTATAATTTATCTGTTCTTTCTCATGAACTCCTGACTAATGGGGAGCTGGTGGCAGAAGCGACTAAATTTTAGCTCATGCCAGTAATTTAGTGCTAATCTGAGGCAATAATTTAAGACATTTCTTTAACTAACCAACCTCTGCTGGGTGCAGTTGGGTCAGTGTTTGATTATTCAAAGTTCTTCTCTGTTTATTCTCCCTTTCAAATTGCATCTGGGTATAGGAGAAAGGTGTGGCTTTAGTGACCTCATAGCAGTAGTTTCCTTCTCTTATCTTCTATGCCCTGTGGTATCCCCTGTATCTTCTGTGACCTTTTAAACTCAAGATCTTCTCTTACTCTCTTTACTGGGCTGGTTGACTATGAGGTATGTCAGGGGTTGGCAAGTGTGCCATGAAAAACAGGCAGTCTCTACCGAAGCCAATGAACTTGTCCCTTTTCCATGGGTCTCAAAGTCCTTTCCAACACAGTATCTTTATTCTGGCCCAGGTCCTTCTAGTCCACCTCTCCCAGCGCCTCTGCCACCATTTGGGATCCCTGACATGACACAAAGAGGGCAGTGGGATTCCTGAGTACTGCTTCGGTGAAGCTGTTCTAGTTCTCTGAAACCCCTCTGTCTAGCCCATGTGTGGATTTCCCAAGGAGTCCAGATTATTCCTAATATTTCTTGGCGAAAGTGATATACAAGCACAGACCAATGGGAATGGAGGTTGACTGAAAATACTGAGTGTGCCCATGGCTATGAGGAAGTTTGTCAGTAGCTCCAGGGTTCCCAAAGCAACCTCACACCATATTCAGCCTGAAGGGCTTTGGGTGGGGGTTAAGAAGAAGATCATGGTGAGTGACCCATATGCTTTATTAATTATTTATTTATTTATTTAGAGACAGGGTCTTGCTCTGTTTTCCAGGCTGAAGTTCAATGGTGAGATCATAGCTCACTGCAAGCTCGAACTTTTCTTTTAAGTAATCTGACAAGATTGCTCTTCTTCTGATAAGAAACAAAACAGAATTTAGTAGTCAAAGATGTGAAATGATGCCTTTTTTTAGGGGGCTTCTGTTCTTCCACTGAAGCACTAAATATATATAAAGATATATTTATATATCTTAAAAAACATATATATGTATGTGTGTATATATATGTATATATTTGTGTATGTATATGTATGTATATATACGTGTATATATGTGCGTGTGTGTGTGTGTGTATATATATATACAGAGAGAGAGAGACAATGATGGGTCAATACAACTTTCAAGATATGGAAATATATTTTAAAAATTTAAAAATATAATGATCTGGCCAGGTGTGGTGGCTCACGCCTGTAATTCCAGCACTTTGGGAGGCTGAGGCAGGTGGATCACCTGAGGTCAGGAGTTCAAGAACAGCATGGCCAACATGGCAAAATCCTGTCTTTACTAAAAATACAAAAATTAGCTGGGCGTGGTGGCATGCATATGTAATCCCAGCTACCTGGGGGGCTGAGGCAGGAGTATCTCTTGGACCCAGGAGGCGGAGTTTGCAGTGAGCCCAGATGGTGCCACTGCACTCCAGCCTGGGTAACAGAGCGAGACTTCATCTCAAATAGGTAGGTAGGTAGGTAGATAGATAGATACATAGATAGATAGATAGATAGATAGGCAGGGCACGGTAGCTCACGCCTGTAATGCCAGCACTTTGGGAGGCCGAGTTGGGCAGATCACCTGAGGTCAGGATTTCAAGACCAGCCTGGCTGACATGGTGAAACCCCATTTCTACTAAAAATACAAAAAATTAGCTGGGCGTGGTGGTGCGCACCTGTAATCCCAGTTACTTGGGAGGCTGAGGCAGGAGAATCACTTGAACTCAGGAGGCGGAGGTTGCAGTGAGCCGAGATTTTGCCATTGCACTCCAGCTTGAGCAACAAGAGCTAAATTCAGTGTCAAAAAAAAAAAAAAAAAGATAGATGATAGATAGATAGATAGATGACAGATAGATAGATAGATCTCCATTACATATGACCATCTTTGTGTAAAAAGTCATAGCTCTTCTGATGTGAGTCTTTACATGATTTAAGACTGAGCCCTAAAACCTACCTGGCTTAAATCCTCTATTTTCAGCTTGTGCTTAAACCCTTCTACTTGGCTTGAAGTTTTTCTCTTAGAGTTTCTATTTGGGATTACATAGCAGAAGTGCAGCCATTCTTTCAGCCCACCCATCCACTATTAAATGTAAATGTTAAGAAAGTAGTAAATTTAGTCATCTCATTAAAATATCAACAACATAAATATATTTGTCATATGATCTAGTTGCTATTTTTGAAAGCTGAGCAAAGGGGCCTATGGTAGAAGAATCAAAGAACACGTGAAATTTGAAGATGAGAAAGGGAACCTAGACCATTCATCATTTTGGGGGTAACAGGTATAAATCATATATTGTACCTAAGACTTTGGATTCATGGGATAGAACAAAGTAACCAGAGGCTGCAGGATAAAAGGATACTAAGAGAAATAAATGGATGAGGAACAACAAAGCAGGGTGGGAAGTAAGAAAGTAATGCAAAACTCACCTGGATTTACCATATTCTACTTTTTTCATCCATTTGCTTCAGTCTAGTTCAACCTTTAATTCCCCATGATATATGAAACCTGGTGTCTCCGTCTTCCTTCAAAAATACTGGTCCAAATTATTCTTATGGACAAAAGAGTACATTTATAAATCAACATTTCAGCCCTGTAAAAAACTGGTGCATAGTTTTAATGATAATGTCAGTGTGATTTGTATTCCATCCACTTTTTAAATATTCCATAGAAATTAACCTTGTATCTTAAAGAAAAAGTTAAATTACATAACAGATAAACAGTGTTTCAGGAAACCACATAAATTATTTCAACCCAGTCTTCCCCTACAGAGAGAGAAACTGAGGCACCAAGGAAGGAAAAGTCCCAAGGCATGTGAGGTCAGTCAGGCTCCATCTACCTCTTGAAGTACCTTCACTGCCATTTAGGGACTTAATATGCCAAAATCCAGTGTAAAAATGCCAGTGATGAAAAACTCAAGGAAGGGGCAAATGGAAACAAGACGTGACAACTTTAGGCTTGAGTGAAACTTCAGACATCAAATTTTGCTAGAATGACTTTAGATTATTGTATTTTCCATTTTAGTAAAATTTTAGTAAATATAATCTCAAAAGTAGATTTTTTAGTAAATTTAATCTCAAAAGAAGGAATAAACGTATTTTCCTTGTGCACCTGTTATGCCATTAAGATTATAACAATAATTTATGCTGTGAACTGTCTGTGTTGCATTGTTCAGTCTTCTCCAGAGTTGTAATTAAAGCCATATAATAAATACATTTTAAAATATGGTTTCTGGAACAGATCCATAGTGTCTCTTTAAAATCTAAATTCCTTTAAAAATATAAGGACGGTTTTCCTTCCTTTCTAGGTAAGCCAAATAAGACACTGAAAGCAATGCTATTGAAAGTCACTCCCTTCAGGGTAGTACATTAGACAAGGGAGTGAAAGCATCAATTAAGAGAAGTTTGCCAAAGGTTTTTAATTTATTACTGGTGAGAAATGCTGTATTTACAGCAATTAGACTATATGTTTAAATGTAGAACAGGTAAAGTGAGAAATAAAAGCACTGTTAATGTGTCAGTACCCTACAGATGTTTAGTAAGCTCAAAAACCCTATCAATTATAGACTCAAGAGCTTTCTGTTTGCATCATGCCAGAATCATAGACTCTGTGACTTTGGGTCAGTCAAGTCCTTCACCTCTCTGAGCACTAAGCATTACTATATAAAGTGGGAATGGGATTAGGATATAGAAAGATAGACATTCCCTGAATGCTTTAGCTCAGCCTCTGGAATACATTGTATAATATACTATATATCATATCTTCTGAATTCATTAGGATTTAATAGGTTAATAATAGAAATTACTCATATCCTTTCAGTTATCAGTGGAAAGAAAGAGGACCTCTATGGTAGTAAATGTATGGTCTCAAATGTCAAACTAAAATGATAGGTGAACCACAAATTCAGAAGTAGATAATTGGCTCACAGATCATTCAATTTCACTTATTCATGTATTCATTCAGTTACTTAATATTTTGAACTCTTGTGTGCAACACACTCTACACAGCACTGTTTATTAACCCCTCAGTAATCAACACAGTGAGCCAAACCATTCATCCATATAGTAAGAAAACATTTTCTGAGAACCCATTATGTGTCAAGGACTGCATTAAGCTTGCGGATAAAATTGTACTAAAACAGCCATGGTCCTTGCTTTCTTTGAGCTTATGGTCTAATCAGGGAAAGATGGCTATGAAATAGTTACATTTGTAATTCTAAATTTGCGACTGCAGTTAATGCAATAAAGGAGAGTTTGAGTACATAAATATTGTCTATAATAGGAGAATTTGACCTAGTTGAGGAGGTCAGGGCTTCCCTGAAGATAGGAGGATTCAGTTGCCATGTAAAGAATGAACACCAGTTATCCAGACCAAGAGGAAAGGGAAGGTATTAAGGGGTTTCTGGCAGTAAGACCAGCATGGGCATCATCCCTGTGGCAATTGGGTGAAAGGTAAGTAATGGAGAGCAATATTACAGGAAACGAAAGAAAAAAAAAAAGATCTGTGAAATGATGAGACAGGAAGGAAAATTTGGGAATAATACCATGTGTGTCCACTTGAGGGGGGTTGAGAGAAACCAGAGGCTGCTAAAGGAATTTAAACAGTGGGATGAAATAACAATTATTTGCCTTTTAAAATGGTAATTCTTGCTCTGGAGAATTGATTGGAAGGAGAAAAGAGTATGCCATGATTGTATTTTATTTATGAGCAATTATGTAATCTAATACCTATACTCAGGGCTGAATAAAAATTTAAAAGAATTGGTCACTCCTTAGAGAAATGTGATGCTATCATTTTTCACAGCAATGACAACCTATTCTTTCTTTCTACTTACAACAAATTTTACAAAGCCCTTCTCCAAACAGTCTGAGTATTTTATTCAGGCCAAGAAGTTCTTCAGACTTCTTTAAAGGCAGTTTGATGTAGAGCAACTTTATTTGGCAACTAAATGCAAGATGGATTGAGATGAGAAAACAGTGATAGCTAGATGATAATTTGACAGGTACCAGCTATAATCTTGGTTCAAAGTTGGGCAAGTGTGGTCTGGGGTGATAGTATGGAAGTGAAGGGGAAAAACTATGTGTATAGATTCCCCAGTTGTACCTTTTTCTCTGAGCACAAGACTGCACAGGGCATGACTTTTGGAAAAGGCTGTTTCATGAGCTAGGGCATGGCAAAATAATAAAATCATGTTCCTGGGGACTTATCTCTTTCCTCCATTTTGTGTGTTTTCTTCATCATTTTAATACTATTGAAGGTGACCTTCAGTTTGTTCTTTCAAAACTGCCTATCACTTTATGCTCACTGGTTTCAGAATGAATGGTTTTAAACAACCAAATAAGCAGTAAAATGTTAGGCAAGCTACAATCTCTCTGAGCTCCAAGCTTCTCATTTCTTAATCTGTAAAATGGGAATAATAGTGAGGCCTATTTCACAAATTAGTATAAAATATAAATGAAATTATGCACATTAAAATACATCACAGGGTCTTATATAGTGAATAATCAATGAGTAAGTAAGTAAATGAATAAACATATTGTGTTATTGAAGTAACACAACTGTGCTCTTTCCTAGAAAGAACACTTTTTCTAGGCTTTCCCTAGAAAAGATGGGAAAATCAGGCCAGGTGTGGTGGCTCATGCCTGTAATCTCAGCACTTTAGGAGGCCGAAGCAGGTGGATCACTTAAGATCAGGAATTTGAGACCAGCCTGGACAACAGGGCAAAACCCTGTCTCTATCAAAAATACAAAAAATAGCTGGGCATGATGCCATGTGCCTGTAATCCCAGCTACTTGGGAGGCTGAGGCAGAAGAATCGCTTGAACCTGGGAGGTGGAGGTTGCAGTGAGCTGAGATTGTGTCACTGCACTCCAGCCTGGATGACAAAGCAAGACTTCATTTTAAATAAATAAATAAATAAATAAAACAAAAAGGAAAAGATGGGACAATCTTACTATAACTCTACTGATACGTACTTTAGCAGAGAATACATGAATTCATTTAGAAAATATTTGCCTTCTACCTTCTAGAAGCTAATCAGCAGGGGGTTCTCAGATAATTCAAAATGAAGATAATTTATGACCCTTAAAATAAAGAGAGAAGAAAAGTCTTTTTTTGCCTTTCCAGTCTAGAAAAAAAGTTAAAAAGCATCGTTCTCCCACTAAGACTTCAGCCTACAGGAAAGAACCACTGCTAAAACCTCATGGTCAGAAAAAGGAGAATAAAGTATTTGAAGATAATAAGTTACAACCTAGTCCACTGAAAGTCAGGTCATTGTCTCGTGTGTCTCATTTCTTAATCAAGTCAATGAACTTCAAGTAATCAAAGTCTTCATGGAAAAGGATTTTTCCCACTGCTATTATCACATCTGTATGCTTATTGAATGCCTTATAATTCAACTAATATTCAACAACACAATTTTATAATTTCCCAAATATAGAACAGCTAACAAGTTTGAAACCAAATGTTCATGTGATACAGACAATTATATTTCAATTTATCAAAGAAATGAAGTCTAGAAAGTCTTTGATTAACACTGCTTAAATGTTTAAGCAGGCATATTTTGGAGAATATGAGATAAAACACAGCATAATTAAAGGAAAATGGATGGGAAAGGGCATCTCAATTTTAAATAAATTATGTTTTACCCAAATCCCAAATTTCACTCAACTGCAAAACTAGCAAACTCATATCTTCAAAGAAAAATCTAAAGGTTCCACATTATTAAAAAGAGAAAATGGGAAACAACATATTTATTGTAGTTCAGCCTTTCCAAATGTCCATCTTAAGTATGGAAATTTAATTTACACTGAAATATTAATTCAAGACCACTGATTTACTTTGCAAAGAGATTCTTCAATTTTATTTATATCCACTTCAGTAAATGTAGCCCTGGCCCTGACCCCACACTTTTAAAAGAGTTTTCTTTTTGGAGAGACTAAAAGCCCTGAAAAGCATACAACAAAGCCAAGGGGCAAATAGAAGAAAACACAGAAGAGAAAGAAGGTCAAAAGTCCAGAGCTGGATTAATGGCACTAACGTTAAAATCATAAGAATTGCAGAAGATCAATAAAAAGACAAATGGCTAAGGGAAAAGACAGGCAGAATGAAAGCAAAACAGCTTTGTTCTATATAAATAATTAACTGTAATAGAGTAGAGGAAACAATGTTGAAGGCACAAAAAAATGAATTTAAAATAGTAGAATCAAATATTATTTGCTCCTTGTTCAAAATCACTGAAAGCTTCTCATCACTGCAAAGCTTTGATGCAGATCCTAAATTTCTACATGACCAGCCCCCTGACTAAGTCTCTTACCTTGTCTTCTAGCCCTTTGTGTCTACTTAGGAATCTCACATGATATTTCTAACTGAATTCAATTCAACAAACCTTTTCTTTACCTTCTCTATCAATTGAAATGTTTTCAGCTTTGAGTAACAGAAAACCCAAATCAGAAGGATTTAAACCACACAAGGGCCTTGTTACTGCATATAACAAAGAGTAAAACAAGGTAGGATTGCTTCAAGGTGGCTCTGGGTTAGTTAATTCAGTATCTCGAATGTGTCTGGAAGGACTCATACTTTGAACTTTTATTCTGCTGTTCTTAATATTTGACTAGCTTCCTCTCAGAGTTACAAGACAGCTGCGGCATCACATTCTCCCCATGTCCATGTCCATAAGAAAGCAAAGGGACTATTTCTTCCTTGTTACTTTAAGAGCTAAGCAGCTTCCCCAGAAGCAATATCTGCAGACTCACCCTTACATCTCATTGATTAGAATTAAGTTACATGACATTGGTTTGGGGAATGTTATTACAATGATTAATTTAGACAAGTAGAGATTTGTCTACTTGTTCAGACTTTTGTAAAAAGCATAGAGCCCTGTGGAAGAGACTAGTTAGTTGACAGAATCAAAGTTATCTTAGCAAGGAGATGTTGGGGGAGAAAAGTGTGGAGTATGTCTCTGGAGTAGGCCACAGACACAAGCTGCAACACCTTCTATATGCCAGGCATATGCCTGGTACACCCCATGAGAAGGTAAAGACACAAATCATCATTTGAACTTCAGAGAATTGCATCTCAAATGCAAAACTTTCCCAGTTGACTTTGTGCATGAGTGTTAAGGCAAGCATCTTGGGAATATCATCTAGGGTGTTTTTGAATTTTATTTTTTTCTTTTTAATTTTTTTTTTTTTACTGACACATTGTAATTGTACATATTTATGTGGGGAAACTTGATTTTTTTTTTTTTAATTTTACTTTAAGTTCTGGGATACATGAGCAGAACGTGCAGGTCCGTTAAACAGGTATACATGTGCCATGGTGGTTTGCTGCAACTGTCATTTAGGTTTTAAGCCCCGCACGCATGAGGTATTTGTCCTAATGCTCTCCCTCTCCTTGCCCCCCACCATGTGACAGGTCTCAGTGTGTGATGTTCCCTTCCCTGCGTCCATGTGTTATTGTTCAACTCCCACTTATGAGTGATGAGTGAGAACATGCGGTGTCTGATTTTCAGTTCCTGTGTTAGTTTGCTGAGAATGATGGTTTATAGCTTCATGTCCCTGCAAAGAACATGAACTCATTCCTTTTTATGGCTGCATAGTATTCCATGTTATATATGTGCCACATTTTCTTTATTCAGTATATCATTGATGGGCATTTGGCTTGGTTCCAAGTCTTTGCTATTGTAAATAGTGCTGCAATAAACATATGTGTGCATATGTCTTCACAGTAGAATGATTTATAATCCTTTGGGTATATACTCAGTAATGGGATTGCTGGATCAAATGGTATTTCTGGTTCTAGATCCTTGAGGAATCGCCATACTGTCTTCCACAATGGTTGAACTAATTTACACTCCCACCAACAGTGTAAAAGCATTCCTATTTCTTCACAGCCTTGCCAGCGTCTGCTGTTTCCTTACGTTTTAATAATCACCATTCTAACTGTCATGAGGTGGTATCTCAGTGTGGTTTTGATTTCCATTTCTCTAATGATCAGTGATGATGAGTTTTTTTTTACCTAAGTTTGTGGCTGCATAAATGTCTTCTTTTAAGAAGTGCCAGTTTATATCCTTCACCCACTTTTTGATGGAGTTGTTTGTTTTTCCTTGTAAATTTGTTGAAGTTCCTTGTAGATTCTGGATATTAGCCCTTTGTCAGATGGACAGATTGCAAACATTTTCTCCCATTCTGTACATTGCCTGTTCACTCTGATGGTAGTTTCTTTTGCTGTACAAAAGCTCTTTAGTTCAGTTAGATCCCATTTGTCAACTTAAGCTTTTGTTGCAATCGCATTTGGTGTTTTAGTCATGAAGTATTTGCCCATGCCTATGTCTTGAATGGTATTGCCTAGGTTTTCTTCTAGGGTTTTGCAGTTTTGGGTTTTACATTTAAGTCTTTAATCTAGCTCAAGTTAATTTTTGTATAAGGTGTAAGGAAGGGGTCCAGTTTCAGTTTTCTGCATATAGCTAGCCAGTTTTCCCAGTACCATTTATTAAATAGGGAATCCTGTCCCCATTGCTTATTTTTGTCAGGGTTGTCAAAGATCAGATGGTTGTAGATGTGTGGTGTTATTTCTGAGGCCTCTTTTCTGTTCCATTGGTCTCTATATCTGTTTTGGTACCAGTACCATACTGTTTTGGTTACTGTAGCCTTGTAGTATATTTTGAAGTCAGGTAGTGTGATGCCTCCAGCTTTGTTCATTTTGCTTAGGATTGTCTTGGCTATATGGCTCTTTTTTTGTTCCATATGAAATTTAAAGTAGTTTTCTCTAATTCTGTGAAGAAAGTAAATGGTAACTTGTGGGAACAGCATTGAAACTACAAATTACTTTGGGCAGTATGGTCATTTTCATGATATTGATTCTTCCTATCCACGAGCATGGGTGGAATTTGTTTCCATTTGTTTGTGTCCTCTCATTTCCTTGAGCAGTGGTTTGTAGTTCTCCTTGAAGAGGTCCTTCACATCCCTTGTGAATTGTATTCCTAGGTATTTTATTCTCTTTGTAGCAATTGTGAATGGGAGTTCACTCATGATTTGGCTCTCTGCTTGTCTATTATTGATGAAGAGGAATGCTTGTGATTTTTGCACATTGATTTTATATCCCGAGACTTTGCTGAAATTGCTTATCCGCTTAAGGAGGTTTTGGGCTGAGACAATGGGGTTTTCTAAATATACATTCATATCAACTGCAAACAGAGACAGCTTGACTTCCTCTTTTCCTATTTGAATGCTCTTTATTTCTTTCTCTTGCCTGATTGCCCTTGCCAGAACTTCCAATACTATGTTGAATAGGAGTGGTGAGAGAGGGCATCCTTGTCTTGTGCCAGTTTTCAAAGGGAATGCTTTCAGCTTTTGCCCATTCAGTATGAAATTGGCTATGTGTTTGTCATAAATAGCTCTTATTATTTTGAGATATGTTCCATCAATATCTAGTTTATTGAGAGTTTTTAGCATGAAGGATGTTGAATTTTATGGAAGGCCATTTCTGCATCTGTTGAAATAATCATGTGGTTTTTGTCTTTGGTTCTGTTTCTATGCTGGATTACATTTATTGGTTTGTATATGTTGAACCAGCCTTGCATCCCAGGGATAAAGCTGACTTGATCATGGTGGATAAGCTTTATGAACTTTATTTTTTATCTCTTTATGGATCCAGAACAACAAAGAACTCCTCTACCATTCAGAAAATTACCTATAAATGAACTAAATATGCAATGTGCTTCTAAAACACAGAAGAAACAAGTGAGGTCTATCTGCATACACCATTGTTTTCATATATAAAAAGTGTTTTAATATTTTCTGTTCCCCAATTTTCCAATTAGTCTGTATCTATATGTTCTATATAATCTGAAGTTGTTAATTTTTTGTTTTTTTTTTAAGTTTATGTGGGTACATAGTAAGTGTATATATTTATGGGGTACATAAGATGTCTTGATACAGACATGCAATGTGAAAGAAGCTCATCATGGAGAATGGAGTATCCATCTTTCGAGCATTTACCTTTTGAGTTACAAACAATGCAATAACATTCTTTATTTTATAATATGCCATTAAGTTATTATTGACCATAGTCACTCTATTGTGCCATCAAATAGGAGGTCTTATTTAGTCTATTTTTTGTACCCATTAACCATACCCACCTCCCCCTCAACCGCTCACTACCCTTCCTAGCCTCTGGTAACCATTCTTGCACTCTCTGTGTCCATGAGTTCAATGGATTGGATTTTTAGATACCACAATTACGTGAGAACATGTGATGTTTGTCTTTCTGTGCCTGGTTTACTTCACTTAATGATCTCCAGTTCCATTCATGTTGTTGCAAATGACTGGATCTCCTTCATTTTATGGCTGAATAGTATACCATTGTGTATATGTACCAAATTTTCTTTATTCATTCATCTGATGATGGACACTTAGGTTGCTCCCAAAGCTTACCTATTGTTATTAGTGCTGCAACAAACATAGGAGTGCAGATATCTCTTAGGTATACTGATTTGCTTTAAATATTTAAATAGACATTTCTCAAAAAAAGACATACAAATGGCAAACAGGTATATGAAAAGGTGGTCAACATCATTGATCACCAAAGCAATACAAATCAAAACTACAATGAGTTATTATCTCACCCCAGTTAAAATGGCTTATATCTTAAAAGGCAATAATTTGAACTTTTGATACCAAGAAAGTAAGATGTTAATTATTTTGCAAAGAGAAAGATGTATATGATAGTACTGATATATCTAATTACATAGTAGATATGTTCTTGAAAATTGGCATGCATAAATTTATATTTTAAAACTTTCAGAATGAAAAATGTCCTTCAAAGTATTGTGTGTGTGTAAAGTGTTCATTTATCTGTATAAATTATGTATAGTTAACGTAATGTATCTACAATTTAATGTCTTTCCTTTTTCAGTCAATTCTTTATAAATATGATTCTTAATGACTACAGAATAGTCTATCATATGTAAGTACTATATATTACTTGATCATTCATCTAATTTTGGACATTTAATTTGTTTCTGGGTTTTCAATATTAGTAATACCACAGGAATGACATATGTATACATGATTTTTGTCTACCTTTCAAATTATTTCCTCCAGATTTTAGGACAAATTATTAAAAGTGTCAAATTATTTTCCAGGAAGGTTATAGTAATTTATACTCCCCAAAAGGTGCTACGAATAATGATATATTTCAGCTGTAACTACAGCTAGAACTTGTTACAGGGCAAGACATAAAACATTACTATTTTTTAAAAGATTTACTTTTCTTATTCTGGTGTCAGACTGGGGAGTTTTTTATTCTTTTCCCTCTTTGTTCAAAAGTCCACTGTCACTGAAAACTTAATCTCCCTAAATTTCTAAGACCAGTGGCATTGTTCAAGGACTGATGTTCACACAAATAGACACATAGACTTATACATACCCTTGCTTTTTGCCTGAATCTTCTCCTGTTCTCAGGTTAAACCTCTCCTAACTCTTCACTCTCATTACCAGGCAACCCCTCTCTAGTAGGTCAGGCTTCAACTGACTCCAACCTTAATGGAAAGTTTATCTCTATGATATTCAGGTTATACTGCCCGGATGTTCCACAGACTGCCTTGTCTGAGATCTCACATTGAGGAAAACATTGAGTCTTCAAAATAATCTATATCTTAGAATTAATAATGGCAATGTAAATCATAAAATTAAGCTAGCTAACAGAGTAGAGATCCAAAGTCTATCTGTAAACTTTCCATCTTCTAGCCAGTGTATCTGCTTCTGCATCCCCTTTTCACCATCTCCATCCATATTTATTCCTGCTTCTTGTTCACTCTTACTGTACTTTCTGCCTTGTGATAGCCTTGAATCCCCAACCCCTAACCTAATTCTCAATTACAATATAGACTAGATATCTATGTCTGGTCTCCTGAACAGCATCTTAGGGATTGGCACACAATGACTGTTCTTTGAAATTTAAGCAAAAAAAAAAAAAAAAAAAAAAATCCTTTTAATTGTAAAATCAATATATATTTATTACAGAAAAAATATAAAAGAATTTTTTTAAAACAGTCATCTATAATCATTATTATCACAAACAACTACAATTAACACTTTGGTGTATGAACTTTCAAGTCTACATTTGGTATATTTTTTAATGATTTCTTTATAAAAAGAAAATTGTACCCACTACTATCTTTGATGAATTCCTTGTTTTTTCTGATATATATCATAAATTTGTTTCAATATATATTCTTAAATTTCTATAGTATGCATTTGAATAACTGGAATATATTAGTGGCTTACCAGCATCCCACCATTTGGATGTAATATAATTTATGCAAACCAATTTTCTGTTGTGGAGACCTAGTCGTGTTTCAACATTTGATGATTACAAATAGAGTTACAGTGTATAAGGCTGCCATTTCCAACAGACAGGCATTGATGACTGATGAAGAGAGGCTTGGGGGTTCTCAGGATACATAAACTCTCACCATGGCCCTGTCACTCTCCACACGTACAGCTGTAAAAAGCCGTGGAAACTCAGTGGTCCTCAGCTTTCCTATCTACCAAATAAAATCTGTGACTCAATGATCTCCTAGTTACTTTTAGTGTAAGGATGAAGATTTGACATTGGGCAAATCATTTATTTATATGCTTTGCAAGTCTTCAGTTAATTCTGCCTACTAGACTCTGTGCACTCCTAGTTACCTATACTTCTCACTAAAGTGCTTGTATTAGTTTCCTGTGGCTACTGTAACAAGTTACAACAAACTCAGTGGCTTAAAATAACAGAAATGTATTCTCATACAGTTCTGGAGCCTGTAAATTGGAAATTAAGGTGTCAACAGAGACTTGCTCTCTCCAAAGTTTCATGGGGAGAACTCCTGGCCTCTTCCAGTTTCTCCTGGCTCCAGGAATTCTTTGGCTTGTCACATTACTCCAGTCCCTGCCTCAATAGGCAAATTGCTTTCTTTTCTTCGTCTCAAAACTCCCTGTGCCTCTGTTTTCTACAAGTTTGCGTGTTATTGGAGTTAGGGTCAACCTAGATCATCCAAGATAAGATCTTACAAGATCCTCATCTTAATCACATGTTTTACTATATACAATGTTATTGACTGGATATTTGTGCCACCCTAACTGCAAAAGTCATTTGTTGAAATCCTGATACTCATTGTGAAGGTATTAGAAGATAGAGTCTTTAGAAGGTAATTAGGTCATTAGGATAGGGGCCTTATGAGTGAGATTAGTGCCTGGCTTAGTCTGTTCAAGCTGCTATAACAAAATACTTAGGTAGCTTTTAAACAACAGAAATTTATATCTCACAGTTCTGGAGGATGAGAAGTCCAAGAGCAGGGCTCCAGCAGACTCAGCATCTGGTGGGAGCCTGTTTCTTTGTAGATGGTATCTTTTAGCTGCATCTTCACATGGTGGAAGAGGTGAGGCAAGTCTATTGGCTATTTTTTTTTTTTAATAAGGGCACAAATCCCATTCATGAGAGCTTCACAAACATTCAGATACTAGTGTCCTTATAAAAGGAGACACAAAAGCTTGCTTTTTCTTGTTCTGTTCTCTGCCATGTGAAGAGACAACAAAAGGATGGCTTTCTGCAAACCAGGAAGAGTGCCCTCATCAGACATGGTTCTGCATGCAATTTGATCTGGGACTTTCTAGTCCCCAGACTTGTGTGAAATGAATTTCTATTGTTTAAGCCACCCAGTCTATGGTATTCTGTTACAGCAGCCCAAACGAAGACATACAGAAATATTTACTCTTGCAATAAGATAATATTCATGGGTTCTGAAGATGAGGGCATGCACATATCTTTTGCAGGGCTATCATTTGGTCCAATGCAGTACTCATTATGTATTATTTCTTTCTGAGTTGTGCTCCATGCTTGGGAGCAACTGCAAACATTCAGGCTTTACCAAAAATAACCCTCACAGCAATCACTAAGTTGTAATTCTTCAAGGTAAATGATTTATTTCATTAAAAGTTTGCATTTAAGTATTCATCATTAATAAGGATGCCTCTGTCAAAAGAACTACCAATAGGCTGACAGAGCTGCATGTAAGGAGAGCAGAGGTATGTGACAAAGAATGGAGCTAGAGAGCCTAGAAGGGTCTACTTCAGGAAAGGTATTTTATGTAATGCCAAGCAAACTGGATTTTATGGTAAAGGATATAGGGAACCTTCCTGAAAAAAGCAGTACTGTGAAAAATGGGTTGAAACAGGCAAGACTAAGAGCAAAAAGGCCAGTTAGAAGGCTCTTGCAGCAAGTTAATGACTAAATGGTGAGTAACTGAATTAAGCAAGGCATGAAAAATATAGAAATGAGAAAAACCTTTGTGATTGATTAGAAGTGAGCATCACTGGCCCCTCAATACATCTGTTTTAAAAGTAACTCCTAATAGTAATTTGGTTAATTTCCTTTCACATGGGCTATTTAACATGGTGTTTTGAAAGGCTGCATACGTAATAATAAGAGTTACGTTTTCTGTTGCCACAAGGCAGGATGCTTATTTGATTGTCAATTATCCATCCCACAATCCATTTGGCACTGTATCATAGGCAGTGGCCCACGAAGCCCTCAGAGCACCCTGCCAAGAAGAGCAGTTGGTGATGGCACAACTGAGTGAGTATCGAGTGATTCACAAGGAGAAACAGTATCAGCAGTTTAGCAGGGATTGGCGAAGACAGGGATGTCAAACTCCTGTTCCAAGTCATTTGGTTCCCTTTGCTCCTTACAAAGCTGAGTGCTGTTATATGTGGGGTCCTATGAGCCTGAGGCTATAATGCGTCCTAGAGGCATTCTGTAGGAGATGTTCCTTCTTTCCTGCAAGGAACTACAAGTGCTCTTATCCGCAATGCCAGAGAGCAGGATAGAGTTATTCATACAGTGTGCATGATTCTTACCAATAAATAACAAACCATTAAAGACTTTAGAGCAGGAAGAGACAAGAGAAACTCAAACACGACACTCTCCCTTCTTCTTCTTTTATTTTTACTTTTTATAAATGTAGAAGATAAGATCCAGAGAGAAGTTATTTGAATAAAGTAACAAATCTAGTATTTAGCAATGCTAAGACTTAAATCTAGAATATCTTATTACAAGCATATTGTCTTTTCTAGTACTAGAGATTTACTTGGTTTTACCTAGTCACTAAGCTAAGTAGAGGCCTGCAATTAGGCCTAGATTAATAGTAAGAGATGTGGATATATTTTCAGATATCAGTAATTGAATTTTTGATCATAAAAATATTTGACATTTTTCTAGGCTTTTGTTTTTCTCTTTGTAAAAACAAGAATACTGACCCTTATCAATTTCCTTGTTGTGAAGATCAAATGAGAGAATAAATATGAGGTAAAAAATAATATATGCCAGGTGCAGTGGCTCACACCTATACTCCCAGCACTTTGAGAGCCCAAGATGGGAGGATCACTTGAGCCTGGGAGTTCAAAACCAGCCTAGGAAACATAGTGAGACTCCATCTCTATAAAAAATATATTTTTAAAAATAGCCATGTGTGGTGGTATGTGCTTGTAGTCCTACCTACTTAGGAGGCTAAAGCAGGAGGATCGCTTAAGCCCAGGAGTCCAAGGCTGCACTGAGCTGTGGTCATGCCACTGCACTTCAGCCTGGGTGATAGAGCGAGAGGCCCTGTCACAAAATAAAATTTAAAAAGTTACCTCATGGGTAATTCGGCATCACATTCTTTAGATTCATATAACCTGTCAAGAGTTTTATGTGGACACCAAAGCAAGATGACAGCACTACCGGAGAAGAAATGGATAGAAACACAAAGAGGCAATTATTATTACAGAAGAAACATGCAATCAGGGACCACATTGTGAGAAATTGATTTGGATATTCTAATTCTTATGTATAATAATCCCCAATAAGCAAGTTTTTTAAGGGGAGGAACAGAAAGGAGAAATGATTATAAAGTGTTCACGAGGATCAAGGAGAACGAGTAGAAATGGAATAAAGAACAAAGAGCAAGTTGCAAGAATGATATTCATTTTTACAACTACACTTACAACTATATGCACAGATAGAGAGACTTATGCATGTACATAAACAACTTCATGCAGTTCAGGGCCATCCTGAAGTTGGTCTATAGTGTTCTAGACAAATAAACTTCTACTCTGCTCGATATTAGCTAGAATTTTTTTAAAAAAATAATCTGGTAATAATTTAAGTAATAGAAAAGGAAAAACTCTAAGATCGAAAATGAGCACATTAATACCATGATATAACATAGCATAACAACAACAACAAAAAAAACAGTTTAACCACAAATGTATGAGCTAGTTTTAAGGTAAATGGACACACTGCTAATAATTCTATTCATTTATAATAGAGCACATTTCATCCCATGCAATAGTCGGTAAAACATTGGTTAAAGCAGTGTATTAAAAAAGCCATACAAGCCTAGCATAATATTTTAATTAATATACACATGTATCACATTTATCTACCAACATTTGATGTATTCTGTAGATCTTTTTTCTAAAAGAAGATCATGGATTGGTATGAGAACTTAAAGATACTTGCAAAGTAATCTGGATGCAAAATTATTTCAAACTGTTAAATTCTTTTAGAGTTGTATTGCCCATGGCTATATATACGTGTGTGTGTGTGTGTGCACATGTGTCTATATACACACATAGACACACACATCTGTAAAGTTTGCAGATAGGCAAAAATATGCAACATATTGCTGATGAAAGCAGTTGTATGTAGTAAAAGAATAAAGGAAAGCAAGAAATGATTCATTATAAAACTCAGAATTGTTTCATATAGGAGATAAGTAGGAAGTAGAGGTGAAAAAATACTGTAGTATCCCAAGGTGGAGGTAATGTTGGTAATATATCTCATGGTATGGTAATATATCTTAACCATCTTCACTTTTAAATTGTATATAGATTTGATATACATTTCGTGTGTATGATATATTTCATAGTACAAAATGTTTACAAAGTAAATGGAAAATTAAAAAATATTTTGTAATGAAAAACCTTTTTATTATTATTATTATTATACTTTAAGTTTTAGGGTACATGTGTACAATGTGCAGGTTAGTTACATATGTATACGTGTGCCATGCTGGTGTGCTGCACCCATTAACTCGTCATTTAGCATTAGGTATATCTCCTAATGCTATCCCTCCCCCCTCCCCCCACCCCACAACAGTCCCCAGAGTGTGATGTTCCCCTTCCTGTGTCCATGTGTTCTCATTGTTCAATTCCCACCTATGAGTGAGAACATGCGGTGTTTGGTTTTTTGTCCTTGTGATAGTTTACTGAGAATGATGATTTCCAGTTTCATCCATGTCCCTACAAAGGACATGAACTCATCACTTTTTATGGCTGCATAGTATTCCATGGTGTATATGTGCCACATTTTCTTAATCCAATCTATCATTGTTGGACTTTTGGGTTGGTTCCAAGTCTTTGCTATTGTGAATAGTGCTGCAATAAACATACGTGTGCATGTGTCTTTATAGCAGCATGATTTATAGTCCTTTGGGTATATACTCAGTAATGGAATGGCTGGGTCAAATGGTATTTCTAGTTCTAGATCCCTAAGGAATCGCCACACTGACTTCCACAATGGTTGAACTAGTTTACAGTCCCACCAACAGTGTAAAAGTGTTCCTATTTCTCCACATCCTCTCCAGCACCTGTTGTTTCCTGACTTTTTAATGATTGCCATTCTAACTGGTATGAGATGGTATCCCATTGTGGTTTTGATTTGCATTTCTCTGATGGCCAGTGACGATGAGCATTTTTTCATGTGTTTTTTGGCTGCATAAATGTCTTCTTTTGAGAAGCATCTGTTCGTATCCTTTGCCCACTTTTTGATGGGGTTGTTTGTTTTTTTCTTGTAAATTTGTTTGAGTTCATTGTAGATTCTGGATATTAGTCCTTTGTCAGATGAGTAGGTTGTGAAAATTTTCTCCCATGTTGTAGGTTGCCTGTTCACTCTCATGGTAGTTTCTTTTGCTGTGCAGAAGCTCTTTAGTTTAATTAGATCCCATTTGTCAATTTTGGCGTTTGTTGCCATTGCTTTTGGTGTTTTAGACATGAAGTCCTTGCCCATGCCTATGTCCTGAATGGTATTGCCTAGGTTTTCTTCTAGGGTTTTTATGGTTTTAGGTCTAACGTTTAAGTCTTTAATCCATCTTGAATTAATTTTTGTATAAGGTGTAAGGAAGGGGTCCAGTTTCAGCTTTCTACATATGGCTAGCCAGTTTTCCCAGCAGCATTTATTAAATAGGGAATCCTTTCCCCATTTCTTGTTTTTCTCAGGTTTGTCAAAGATCAGATAGTTGTAGATACGCGGCATTATTTCTGAGGGCTCTGTTCTGTTCCATTGATCTATATCTCTGTTTTGGTACCAGTACCATGCTGTTTTGGTTACTGTAGCCTTGTAGTATAGTTTGAAGTCAGATAGCGTGATGCCTCCAGCTTTGTTCTTTTGGCTTAGGATTGACTTGGCGATGTGGGCTCTTTTTTGGTTCCATATGAACTTTAAAGTAGTTTTTTTCCAATTCTGTGAAGAAAGGCATTGGTAGCTTGATGGGGATGGCATTGAATCTGTAAATTACCTTGGGCAGTATGGCCGTTGTCACGATATTGATTCTTCCTACCCATGAGCATGGAATGTTCTTCCATTTGTTTGTATCCTCTTTTATTTCATTGAGCAGTGGTTTGTAGTTCTCCTTGAAGAGGTCCTTCACGTCCTTTGTACGTTGGATTCCTAAGTATTTTATTCTCTTTGAAGCAATTGTGAATGGGAGTTCACTCATGATTTGACTCTCTGTTTGTCTGTTATTGGTGTATAAGAATGCTTGTGATTTTTGTACATTGATTTTTGTATCCTGAGACTGTGCTGAAGTTGCTTATCAGCTTAAGGAGATTTTGGGCTGAGACAACAGGGTTTTCTAGATATACAATCATGTCATCTGCAAACAGGGACAATTTGACTTCCTCTTTTCCTAATTGAATACCCTTTATTTCCTTCTCCTGCCTAATTGCCCTGGCCAGAACTTCCAACACTATGTTGAAGAGGAGTGGTGAGAGAGGGCATCCCTGTCTTGTGCCAGTTTTCAAAGGGAATGCTTCCAGTTTTTGCCCATTCAGTATGATATTGGCTGTGGGTTAGTCATAGATAGCTCTTATTATTTTGAGATACATCCCATCAATACCTAATTTACTGAGAGTTTTTAGCATGAAGCATTGTTGAATTTTGTCAAAGTCCTTTTCTGCATCTATTGAGATAATCATGTGGTTTTTGTCTTTGGTTCTGTTTATATGCTGGATTACATTTTATTGATTTGCGTATATTGAACCAGCCTTGCATCCCAGGGATGAAGCCCACTTGATCATGGTGGATAAGCTTTTTGATGTGCTGCTGGATTCTGTTTGCCAGTATTTTACTGAGGATTTTTGCATCAATGTTCATCAAGGATATTGGTCTAAAGTTCTCTTTTTTGGTTGTGTTTCTGCCCGGCTTTGGTATCAGGATGATGCTGGCCTCATAAAATGAGTTAGGGAGGATTCCCTCTTTTTCTGTTGATTGGGATATTTTCAGAAGGAATGGTACCAGTTCCTCCTTGTACCTCTGGTAGAATTCGGCTGTGAATCCGTCTGGTCCTGGACTCTTTTTGGTTGGTAAGCTATTGATTATTGCCACAATTTCAGATCCTGTTATTGGTCTATTCAGAGATTTAACTTCTTCCTGGTTTAGTCTTGGGAGAGTGTATGTGTCGAGGAATTTATCCATTTCTTCTAGATTTTCTAGTTTGTTTGCATAGAGGTGTTTGTAGTATTCTCTGATGGTAGTTTGTATTTCTGTGGGATCTGTGGTGATATCCCCTTTATCATTTTTTATTGTGTCTATTTGATTCTTCTCTCTTTTTTTCTTTATTAGTCTTGCTAGCGGTCTATCAGTTTTGTTGATCCTTTCAAAAAACCAGCTCCTGGATTTATTAATTTTTTGAAGGGCTTTTGTGTCTCTATATCCTTCAGTTCTGCTCGCAGAAATAAAGATGTTCTTTGAAACCAACAAGAACAAAGACACAACATACCAGAATCTCTGGGACACATTCAAAGCAGTGTGTAGAGGGAAATTTATAGCATTAAATGCCCACAAAAGAAAGCAGGAAAGATCCAAAATTGACACCCTAACATCACAATTAAAAGAACTAGAAAAGCAAGGGCAAACACATTCAAAAGCTAGAAGAAGGCAAGTAATGAAAAATCTTAAGGCAGTTTGGCTACAAAGAGAAGAGGGTAAATAGGGTGTTGGTTGAGAAGATACATCTAAAACCACATGCAAATCTGGTTCTTGTCACTCATTCAGTCAAACCCTTCAGTGGTTTCCCATTGTCTTGCCTGACACCCTAGGCTAGGATAAGTTCCTTTGGTCTATCTTTTCAAAGCCCCTCATTTGACAAGTGTAACTGTGAGTTACTTAATATGTAAGTGTGTAGTCAGTATATGTTTTCCACCTGAAACTACATGTATACTCTATGAGCACAGAAGTCGTGACTGCGTTCTTCTCTCCATACACTTATAAGGATGTGCTCTGTGTATTATTAGCTTCTCAACCAATGCTGGATTATTGAATGAATTAACAACAAAAAATAAAACCTAAGTTCCAGAGCCCAGATAATCTGAATATAGACCCATAGTACCATGGGATGAAACTCTGTTAATACCTCATATATACCTCTCTCCACAATACCCCATATATATCTGACTGTAAGCAGGAATGAGAAAACTGCCTATACCATGTGACTTGGGGTTAATTGTGAATTATTTTCCCCCACTTGAAATATAACTTTCTGTAATTTTATCCCCCATGAATTTTATTATTTTTGAGTCATGCTTTTGAGTTAATATTTTACCTTTGTTAAAATACAAATAGTCTTTCATGAAATGTGCATGAAGTTATTGTAAGCTATTAATTGGTAAACTGTTGATAAACATTGTTAAATTGTTGGATCCTTTTTGACCTGACAGCTTCTATGAGCATCTTTCTAAAGCTGTGATAAATAGATAAGCCATGGTGGAAACGTAAGTCTTTGCTTAAACAAGGTCTTCATATACTGGACACTAAATTAGTAAAAGGGGAGGAAAGTCTGAGTGAGAAAATGATAAGAATAATTTTTATCTATTTTTTAATTATAAGAAACTTGATCTTGATTATATAAACACAAATGGACAATGAGACTAAGATGGAAGATAGGAGGCAGGACTAGCTTGCAGCTCCCACTTGGGCAAAAAAAGACCCGATTTTTTGACATCCAAGTTTTTTGCATTCTGGACTGAGAATACACCAGCTTTATAACCATAATGCCTAAATAATAACCCTGGATGATATACTCAGAAGTTAAGCGAGCATGGTCAAATACTTGAATTATATAAATCTTACTGGAACCTCACAGAGTTGTTATTAGCTTTGAATGAAGTATGTGTCTAATGTACTTAATAAAATAGCTATTACATAGTAGATGTTCAGTAAATATGTTATTATTACAATAATATTGTCATAATGATCTTTAATGTGAATAAGTGGGACCAAAACTGGACAGGTTCTAATTGCACAGAAAGCACAGGTATAACACAGAGATCCAAAGAAGTCAGATCCAAAATACAGAAGGCAGTGGCCATCACAGAGACTTTCAAAAATGAAAGCATGAAGCCAGCAACTAAAGTAAGAGTCTGCCTCTCTGAAAGCTTTTACCTGGGTACTATTTGGCCCATTTATAGAGCCATAAGGCTCTTACCAGTGAGACCACAGACAATTAGTTCAGTCTCAGAATGATTTGTAGTCAGAAGGTAAGATAAGAATACTAAATGGAAATCTGCAAAAGGCTTATGAGTCCTGACACAAGCGTTCTGAGTTACCCTGAGAAAATAAACCATTAAGGCTCATTTTCCTTGTTTATGTTAAAAAAAAAAAAAAAAAACAGGGCAAGAAAATACCAGGTCAAACATCTTCTATTGTTATTTTCACTCCTTTGATCTGAATATTCTGTGAAATAGTTTATTGTGTATTTATATAATAGATCATTGGATAGTTTACATTAGGCTTTAAAAATATTTGAAAATAGCTCTTTAGAAATCCCAGATTAGGAATGACTAGATGAGATCATTCCCATGCTCTCTTTTAGCTGTCAAAAAATTTATGATTTTAATATAGTTTATCAATACACCTATGTGGCTAAGAAACAACACAATTCACTAGGGACAAAAACATTTTTACTTTGCTTTTTATTATATATGTGTATATTTGCTTTTTATCATATATATGTGTATCATACGTGTGTGTGTGTGTGTGTGTGTGTATACATATATATATATATAAAGATTTTAAGGTAATCCCAGCTAGTGGCATAAATGCAACTAGGATGTAAAATAAACCTTTACTGCCTTTCAAATGGTCTTTTTTTTTTCTCTTTGTTTCTCAGACTAGCACATACGCTTTCAGTCTTCTCAGGAACCAGAACACACATAAAAGTAGTTTTTGTATGAATATACTAGGCTTTTATGTGAATCATTAAATTCACATGTCAGATTTCTCGAGTTGTAAAATCGAAGGAAAGAAACCAAATCAAGTATTTTAAAAAGTCAATTTTATTTGGCCCAAAAGGAAATGCCTTTTTATTATACAGACCAGAAAGGTACATAATGACTGGAGTACTAAAAAGTCAGTCTCTTTGTCTACCTGCAGATTAAACCTAAACAAAAGACAAATGATATATAAGGAAAGTGTGACTTTCAGAAGTTAGAATTGAAAGCGAGTTTCAATATCTTGACTTGAAATAAAGGCGAAGAAACTTTGCTCAACTAAAGGACTGGCTTGGTGTGCTCTACAGTTAGATCACATCTAACTATAAAGCCTAAGATGCTCATTACTCTTAGTAGGAACAGAAAATCTTTCAATGGAGATATTAAGAATATGATAAATATCCATCTACCTGGAGTCATCTGAGTTGCAGATATTAGGAAAAAATTTAGAAGCCAATATTACTTTAAAAAACTATTTTAAAGCTTAAAGTTTGACTTGATTCAACAAACACATATGGTGTTCCTTATAGTTTTGTGCTATATGTAAGGCACTTCAGGAAAGAGAGAAAATATACTGTCCCTGCATAAAATAATTAGAATGTAGAAAGAATTGTAATAAATATAATAAGTGCCCTTAGAGAAAAACAAGAAAAGTACAATCAGATTTTTAAAAAGAAGAGACTGTATCTGAATTAAATAAACACAGTGATCTTCTATGAATAAGGAAGAGAATAACAATAATAATGATAAGAAACAGTTACTTAATGTCTACACATCAAGCACCGTTAAGTGTTTTCACACATACTGTCTGATTTAATCCATATATTCTTTAATGTAGCAAAATATGACCCACATTTTTTAGAATTGAGAACATTACATGCCTGAGATCACACAACTTTAACGAGCAGAGCTAGAACTCAAACTCCATTTCAGGCAGTTCCATTTTAGACAGACTTAGTATATTTAAACTTGAAGATATACTGCAAAAGAGATGCGCTTTGAAAGCTGAATAGTTTGGTGGGAAGGGCTGTTTGTTTTTCTTTATTTATTTTAATCCAAGGAAAAACTACATACCAAGCCTCAGCATTCTAAAAGCATAATTCCATTGAAAAGTCTAGTTCCAGTTAGACTGCAACTCAGGTAATATGTATAGAAATGTTGTGTTTTCTAAAATGTTGTGTTGTGTTGTGTTGTGTTTGAAAGAAATAGGTTAAAATGGACTTTAGAGATCACACTTGGAAATGTATGTTTACTTTGTGGCAAATAGAGATACCAAAGAAATGGAAGACACCTTCGAGAGGGACTGTGGTTCACTTTGGCATTAATCCTGCGTAACAAATTGCTTCAAAACTTAGTACATAAAAATAATTTTCTTTTACTTACTATTTTCTGTAGGTCAGGAATCTGCAAGTTGCTTAGATAGATGATTTGTACTGAAAGTTTCTCATGAGGTTGCAGTCAAGTTGTCATCTGGGCTGCAATCTCAACTGAAAGCTTGACTGGAAAACAGCTCAGTTCTAAGCTCAATCAAGAGGCTGTTGGTAGGTAGACTTCAGTTTCTTGCTGGATGTTGGACTGAGGGCTTCAGTTCATCACTGGCCTTTGGCCAGAGACAAATTCAGCACCTCATCACATGGACCTTACTATAGCTCAGTTTTGGCATACAAGCTGGCATCCCTTAGAACAGGTGATGAGAGAGTGAAAGTGAGAGAGAGAGAGATACAGAGAGAGACAGAGAGAGACTTCACCTTTTATAATAAAAAGAGACATACCATATAACCTGCCATATTCTATTCTTGAAGGTAAGAGTATGAAATATTAATTTTTAAATCACCAGAAGCTCCCTATATATACTTTTGTATTAGATGAATAATAAACATCTAAGACTCTTATTTGTCTATTATATTCTTAACTATCTTTGTTGGCAGCCCTTTCCTTTTCTCTGCGATCAAGACACTTCTGCTTCAAAAGCTTAAACCATGTTTTCCTTGCTCAGGTATTTGAAAAAATCCTGTATTTACTATATAAGTATTCCTGTCCTATAAAAAAAGTGGTTAATTCACATCTTAGCTTTCTTATTTCTAGAATTAAAACATCCTAGGAAAAGTAAGAATTAGAGGATTGTGGCTCTGGAAAAGCCAAGGGATTATCTGCTTTCAATAAGATTGCTTAAACCATACCAGAAAGATATATTTAGACACTAGAGATTTTCTGATCTGTTTCATTTCATGGATGAAGATACTAAAGTGCAGAGATGTAACACAATTTACCCAATCTGTGGTAATAGTAGTTGACTAGATATTAGGATATTATGATCTGCATCTGTTTCACTTTTATCAGATTGTCATTTCATGTGCTTTTTAACTATTGATTTCTTTCCTCATCTTTCTCAAATCTAAATTATTTTAAATTTAATCTATTATTCCTATAATTCCTACTGTGTCATTTTTTGGTGAAGGCAATGGTGGTCTGGAAACAGTTTAATATTGAATAGAAATGATAGTACACCTACACTTTGCTTTGGAGGAGCATACATTCACAGTCTGGATTTCAACATGAGTGCCATATCTTAGGTAATCTTTGCTCTAAGGGAGAGGATAGTTGCTGAAAATGAAAGGTTAGCATGTTGGAAGGCTTTTAGCATTACTTCCCTCAGATTGAAATCTGAGAGCTACTTAGAAGGCTTTTAAGGAAGAAATAGTGACAGAGGCCAAAGTTCATTAGTCAGAATTTTAGGATGTAGTCAAAAAGTTGAGTAACTTAGAGATATTTTAAGAGGTGAGATCGCTCAGGCCAGGTTTCTTGACAAAAACGAGGCAAGCAGTATAAAATCTATTCAGGCTTGGGCTAGACAAGTTTTTACTTTGTTTTAATAGAAAGAATCTTCTTCCTCTTTTCTGCACCCTGTCCTCCCTCAATCTCCACATAAGGACTAAACTCTCACACCTCCCCCCACACCAGGGCATTATACTTTCCCTAGCTTGGCACTGACAAAGCTCTTGGTCTATTCCGTAATGATTAAGCCTTGAATTTAACATCTCTGTCATAGAGACCTTTATGTTTTGATTACTACTGGATCCCTTGTGCTAAGACGGTGCCTAGCTTATAACAGAAGCTCAATAATGAATGTTAAGTGGTGGAAAGCCTACAGAGGGTCATCTATGTAATGATCGAGGTCAGTAAGGCACTCACTGATAACCAACTTTTCCACAATTATCTCCCCTTCCTTTACTTTAAACAATTGCTATTTGTCTTAAATAACCCTGGCAGATGCCATTCTACTTAAAATCAAAAACAATTCCCTTTATGGCTGATAATTTGTTACATATCAAAGATAGTTCAAAGCATTTGGAAATAATCTGGGTCAAAGCTAGGAGTTACTGATTCAAATATTTCTGGAGACATAGACTAGTGTTTGAAGGGATTTTAAAGACTGCTTTGCTTTTCTCCATAATTTTGAAAAGAGCTAGCCTGAAGTACATAAAGTCTAGGTGATTTGTCCAATGATCCTCAGGTCATTAACAAAATAGTAAAGATCAGAATCTAGGCTTGTCGAAAGTTTGTTCATTGTTTTTGCCATTTAGCTTATTATACACTCCAACATTTCTGTTTGTTTGTGAAGCAAGTGAAAGAATCCTTAAATGTTGATAGGTTTATAGACAAGAGAGATGAAAACATGAAGAGTCAACAATTGTGGAGTAATTAAGCAAATAATGGCACTCAGAAAGGAAACATGTCATGCTTAAGACATTTTTCTATCTCAAGGTAAAGAAAAACTGAAATTTCAGGAGGTATCACTGATTGTTTCACGATTATAGTTACTAGGCTTCATTTCTTATGAATCAGTAGGCCCTGGATGTGTCTTGAAGTAGAAGAGATGATATCTGATACTTTTCTACAGAACCATGTAAAGCTTTTTCTACATAATGAGTAGGGGAAGCTGTATGGATTATTTGCATTAGAAAAAAATGCATCTTACAAAATGTATTTAGATTTGTCCTTGATGTGAGAATTATTATTTGTATGGAGTGTGTGTATGTGTCCATGTGCCTAAATGTATCTAGGTGACTTTCATCTAATTTTTTCCCACATGAAGACTGGAGAAATATGAGAAAGGCAAAGGCTTATGTTTTCACACTGGCAAAGATCTCACAGTGTACCAGATGTGGGCCCTCACTACCCTGAGGCAGAGCTGGTCTTCTGAGAAACATACACTGACCCTTCTTCATCTGAACCTTCAAAAACCACTTCAAAGTGTGTATTTCTGAAAATACACAGCACAGACTGTGGGAAATATGATGTCTGAAGGTGATACAGGAGTTAAGAATTACTTAGGCAGATAGTGAGGGTATGGAAATCCTCCGTAAGGTTTTCCTTTTAATGAAAAGCAGCCTCAAATCATTTTCTAACAAAGAGTAGCCTGTAAAGTTGAGCTGCAGACATAGACAAGCAAGTTGGGAGCTTGCACGGGTGAATGACGGCAGGAACTAAGGACTAGACATGTTCAAGACGGCGGCTCCACCTTCCCTTGTCTTTGTCAGCCACCTGTACAGTAAGGAGCAGACAAGATGGCACAGGCCTGGGAAAGTTCATTTGCATAATAAGATCAGGGTAGGGTGACCAGCCTTCCCTGCCCTATGCAAGCGTCACACTTCCTCAAACCAATCGGTGAGCCCTATGCAAATCAGACACCATCAACTCAAACCTGACCATAAAATCCAGCACATTCACCACCAGCCAGCCTTTTCCTCTTGCAAGTTCCCTCTCTCTCACTAGAGAGAGAGAGCTGTTTTTCTTTCTCTTTCTTTTGTCTATTAAACCCCTGCTCCTAAACTCGTGTGTGTCCGTGTCCTAAACTCTCCTGGCACCAGAAGAACCCTGATTATTTACCCAGACAACTGTAGCTGCTTCAAAGGTATTGTGCCCTTTTGAGGAAGTAGCAGGGTCAGAGAGTATATTTTTAAGACAGTGTAGCAAATCAATGCAATAGCGGATGCAGAAAGCTTTTAATTTTTCTTTCTTTTCCTTAGATTCCAGGAATTGCCTTATTCAGCATCCAGGTTATTTTCCACTCTACCTCTTGTGCCCTGAGCCTTAATCACCTCTAATCATTCTCCATCCTTTAGGAAAGTGGATTGTACAAGCACGCACAGTTCATTGTGTGGTGTTTAGTATAATTTGTAGATAGGGCCATCGATGGGTATACTTTTCTCTGCATGACACCTTTGGTGAGGTCAGCACAGTGGTGGCTAAATTGGATCAGGAGAATTTTCCCTGGATTCCCAGTTATGGAGCCTCCACAGAGAAAACAGTGGAATCAAGAGGGCGGCAAGCAGTGCAAAAATCATCTGCAAAGTGAACTGACTCAGGCACAGTTGTCTGGCAAACCCTCCTTTGCAATAATGCCTATGAGAAGGTGACTGATGAAAGAGATGAGGTTAATATATAGGGTTACATAATACACTCCAATTTTCACAATTGTTATGTGGGGAGAAAAGTAGAACACAAAACTGTATACATAGTATAATGACAATGTAAGTGAAATGTGCTGTCTCTCTGTTTATATGTATACATGTACACATACACACACTATATATAATATAAATAGGTAATTTTTCTATACATAAAATTATACATGTGATTATAATTATATGACATAAAATCATTTCATACACGTGTCTCATATGCCTCACATATGAGTTACATGTTTATATATGTCATATATATGTAATAGTATATGTATTACATATATGTATATATGACATATATATGTCATATATAATTATAATCACAAAAATACAAATAAGTATGTAAATACAATATACAAATAATAAAAAATTAAAACTTAGTACTTTAAAATTTTAAGTGGGGTTATATATCCAAAATTTAACATTAAAAAGTATTTTAATGTCACTGCTATCTAAATTTTCTATAATGGCATCTATTTATTTTGTATTTAGAAGAAAAAAATAATATTTTAAATACTGACTACCATAGTCTGTATTCACATAGCCACCTAGATAGTAGCATCTTTAGAGAAAACTTGACAATATCCGAAGACCTTATCCACTATAAATTCCCACTTGATGGTATTAAAACCAGCCTGAGGTACCTGACAATGTGAAAAGCCATTAAAATGTAGTAATTAAACCTAGCCTCATACTAGAGAATCATAAAGTTTATTTGGTTAATTCTTTTTAGCGTGGTTATTTCAGGAGAAACCAAATGATAATTAAAGAAATAGCTATTATTAATCCTCAATCCAGTTTCTACTCCACTGAGGTCTCTGCTCAACCCCAAGACCTTTGATCTGACAGCCTGTGATGCTGTGGCCCATCCTATAATACAGACAACCTGCCAATTCAAGTGGCCAGTTCTCCAAGTTACAGTGCCATGAAGGTTTCCTGTTTATAGCTCTTGCCTATTTTTCTTTCTTTATTAACTGTAATTCTCATTGGCACTTTCTCAGATATCATCTTATTTTCTCTGTAGTCCTAGTGCTGTTTATGCTGCCAGCTTTACAATGATTTCAGATACCAACTATATCATAAGCACCAAGAAGGTCGTGAGCTCCTTCTTGGCAGAAGTTCTGTTTCATCTATTTGGTCTTTGTAGAAATGCCATGCCTTCCAGGTAATTTCTTACTTCATTCCTCCAGGTAACCTCTTATTTCTCCAGGCACTTGATGTGTGGCTGTCACACAGAAAACACTACATCATGGCCTGTGTTATAGCTACTAATGCCACCCACTTTGAGATAACAAGCACTTGTGTGATGGATTGAAAAGAGCACTGATTTAAGAGGCAGATGACCTGATTTACATCTAGGCTACACAATCTATTAACTGAATGACTTTGAGGAAGTCATTTTGCCTAGATAACTTTGGTTTGATTGTTTTATATGCCTCCAGAATTTATTCTGGAAGTCCAATAAGGTAATGTACACAAAACCACTTGCTAAACTACAAAGTACTTAAAGGTATATGCAATAGGTTTGTGCCATTTTCTGTACTTGAAGTTTGAAGCATGATTGATTATGCTTTGGCCTCCAGAAAAAGGCATGGTACCTACTGAGTACTCTCATTAATATTTCAAGTTAAATCAATAATTAATCCATGAGAAATTCATGCAACATTGACCAAACAGAAAATTTTGAAAACAATTCTATCTTGGGAATCCTCTTTAAAGATGTGATTTTTTTCAACTTTCTTAAAAAATAATGCTTTGATGTGTCTCCTGTGCCTTACACCCATTTCTTCTTATTGCTGGCTTAGGGAAAGCCCACTGTATTCATGGACAGATTCTTCTGTCTCAGATAGATGTCTTCCATTTACAACCAGTCCTCATGCATCCTCATATTTCTTATTGATGGCTTTTAAAAAGCAAGCCAGCCCTTTATCCCAGCACAGCCACCATGGTTCTCCTTTTGGATCTTGTTCATCTGTTTACAAGGCAACAAAACAGACATAAACATCCTTGGCACAGCTCAGTGATGGAAAAATACGACAGTAATAATCTTGCTTTTCAGGCAAGTAGTGAATGGTATATCTATGTCCCTGAAGAGAGAACATTAGAAATGATTACAACATCCCAGCTGCCGTATGACCCACCTCGCATAAACGATGCTGACAAGAACTAGGAGAAAAATTTATTGTGCAGTTTTTGATTATTTTTCAAATGGTGATAACAGCTAAGATGATAATAGAGCAAGAATAGTAATAAAAATAATATCTATTCCCATGTCAGAATAAATTTTCATATTTCTCTATCTTACTGAATTCTTATAAAGATCCCTTGAGGTAAGCAGGGCATTGATTATTAGGCCAAGTAGTAGATGAGGAAACTGAGGTACCAAATAACTTGTTCATGCTCCCCTTCATGATTTGTGAAGTTTATGTAAAGATATATAGTGAGTCCTGTGGTCCAGCCCTATATTCCAAAGAAGGTTTCTGCCTTCAGGCAGCCTGTGCTTCAGTAAGTGGGAATTGATGCCCAAATAAACGAATAGCATGAAAGATATTCAGATAGTTGCTGGAAAGGAAGGTAGACAGAGGGGCTTCTCTGAGAGAGAGTGGTCAAGAAAGTTCTCTCTGAAGGGCAAGTCTTCAACATGAGATGGGAGAAGGAAAATATAGTCAATAGGAAAGATTTTGAAAAATAATTCCAGGAAAAGGAAATTATAAGCAAAAAGGCTGTGAGACAACTAAGAGCTTGATGCTCCATAGAAAGAAATAGAAATCTGTGTGGTTAGAATCTAGGAACAATGGAGAAAGACACACATCAAGCTGAAGTGCATAGGCAGGTGCCAGATTATGCAAGGTTTACAGGCCATGATAAGAGTTAGTATGGTAATTTATTGTTAACCATCTAGAAAACTGGCTAAATCCTATTTAATCATAATATGTTTTTATTAGATAATACTGTCTTTTGAATTTTTACAGTTAATTTTCTCATCCTGTGTATAATGGATTGAGGATAAAATTTATACGAACCTCAAAACAACTGAATAATCATTTCTCATTTTCTATTTTTCTGGAAAATATTATATAAGTTATAAAATATCTATTTCTTTAAAAGCTTGGTAGAAGGTATGTCAAAACTATTTAGGCCAAGAATTTTTATATTTGGTTAAGGAAGGAAAGTAGCTTTTTTAAATATAAAATTTCACCATCACTAAAAGTTATTAGCCAATTTGTCATTTTATAAGTTATTTTTGCTTGTAGTTTGTAAACTATTTTTTATTTTTTTCTGGGAAATTCATTGTCATATATTTTATTATATTTTACATTTTATTATACCTAACCTGTTTTTTAAAATTATGTTTTAATTACATCTTTTTTTATTATTTCTCTTGTCAAAAACTTAACTATTTAAGATTAAAAGAACTAAGAGATCTTTTCAAAGAAGCAGTTTATGACTTTCTTCCTATCTTTCTTAGTTTATTGTTGTTCTTTCCCTTGAGTGTACATGACGTAGCACTCACCATGTAAAAAAATATAGCTTCATGTCATCCTTTTAATGGCTGTATAATACTTTATTAAAATAATTTAGCATAGTTGTAATAATTTCTCTAATAGATTCTCATTTTTTCTTATTGTAAATTATTCTGAATACTTGTTCTACTACTTTATTAAGAAAAAATCTTGCAAGTTGATTTAGAAAATCAGAGTATATACATTTCAGCTTTTAATGCATGTTACCAAAAATTTATCTAGAAATACAGAGCAAATAACACTCTTCCCAATGTACAAAGAAGTGCTTAAGCTCCTATTTCTTCTCACATTTTCCAGGGTTCAGTGAATCTTTGGTTATCTCAAAACAAAACAAAATGTCCTGTTATTGTCATCCATCTTACCTAGTACAAAATGTAAATCCCTTCAAATACTTCCAATACTGTACAGGATCTGTCCTCTATCTCCCCACTCTCCACACCCATGCTGACTTTGTCTCTTCTGTTTCTCTCTTCTTTCACTGGGATTTACTCCAGCCACACTGGATCTCTCATTCCTCCTTACCCTAAGCAACCTTCTACCTAGGGTTTTTGTATGTACTGCTCCATCTAACTAGAATGTCCTTCCCAGGAAGCTAATGTGAATACATTAGCTTGTATTCACAATTTTCATGTCACTTTTTCTAAAAGGACTTCCCTGAAAACTCAATTTTTTTGAGGAACTCTACTTCCTAATCATATCCACACTGTGATGTTACAGCTGACCTAAAAATAGCAATTTGAACTCATGATTTGAAAAAAAATACATCTTTACTAATCCAATAAAATTGACAAAGAGCTATTATCTTATCCAAAGCTGATATATACCCTAAGAATCTAGACTTTTGTTTCTAATATAATTTTCAACTAAAAGAATACTGGGTTCCTGGGAAAAATGTCTCATTTCCATGTGTGAGGCAGGAATAGTAGAAGGGGTGCATGGTACATCTTGTGCAAAAAAAAAGAGGAAAGTTTTCAATCATCGTTTGATCATGTCAAAAGAACAAAGGTGTTAGCTTGAAGGAGGTTCCACAGAATAATGTTGTGATAATGTGAACATTAAAAAGATAAGAATGATTATATTGACTGAAATGTATTAAATCAATGAAAGGTAATTTGTTCCTAAGGATCCTCAAATGCAAGAAAAATAATATGCAAGATATAAAATTACCTCTCTATGTAACATAAAAATGTTGAATTTAATTGAATCTTTAGAATTCACTTTCAATTTATAGGAGATAAAAGGAAAAAGAGAACATCAAATGATACCACAAGGAAGTAATCACAAAAATCCAAAATGAGCAATTTACAGGTCAATTAGCAGGATGACATTGCATTAAAGACTGTTGAAGATTGAAAAAAAATCTTATTGTATATAGCAAAATGTAATGTACAGTTTGAGTTGGATTATGACTGGGAGAGGTGAGCAACAAAGGACATCTTTGGACAGAAGGAGGCATTTTATTAGTTATTAGGTTGTTGAAGAATTATTGCTATTGTTGCTAAGTTGATTCTATCATTTTAGCCATGTAAAAAGACTTATTTTTAGAAAAACAACCTGAAATATTTAGGGATGAATTGTTATTATGACTATAATTGGCTTAAAATTTATTTGAAAATATTTTGGCATAGGCAATAGTGAGTGTGTGGAAAGGGAAGATTGGTGCTCAATTTTGATCTTATATAGCAATGTGGTCAATTGATTTAATTTTTGACCACAGATAATGATACAACTTCACTTTTGGCTTTTGGTAAATATATCTTAACACTTAGTCGTTTGGCATTTTAGCTAAAATGTATATTTGTTGTACCTCAAGTTAGTTAGAATAATGAATCCTAGAAATATCTTTGTACTAGTAAGTTTCTTGGTGAAATTAATGGTGGTTACATACTATCTAAAACACTGATACAGTCTGTATTGTTGCCTGCATAGAGTGTAAGAATCTACTGAGTTCTTCGTTGTTCATGACTTACAACCACTCCCTAGGTTTGATTCCTAATTGATCTTGTGTTTAGTAGCTGGCTGTTGGTAACAATTGTGGTTAGCTGAAACTTGCCCCTAATGTGTTGTCACATTTACTCTAAGTTCACTTTTCTTAATAAGGGCCATTGGATCTCACAGAGAACCAGATCTGAGATTTCATCATGCCTAACAAACAGGTTATATGCCTACTTTGTGTCTCCGAGCTAATAAGAGCTAATAAAACGCTTATACGTGTGAGGCTGCATTTCCTCATAGTTGTGGGTTAAGAAACGTATGCTATTAGATTATGTATAGCTATTTACAAGTATTTATTTTTACCAGAAAGGTTGTGCTATTGTTCATGACTCAATTAGCCAGGTCAGTCAGCCTTCCTCAACAATTAATAAAAAATGTTGTCTGCCGGGCACGGTGGCTCACATCTGCAATGCCAGCACTTTGGTAGACCAAGGCAGGCAGATCACCTGAGGTCAGGAGTTCGAGACCAGACTGGCTAACATGGCAAAACCCCATCTCTACTAAAAATACAAAACTTAGCCAGGAGTGGTGGCACACTCCTGCAATCCCAGCTACTCAGGAGGCTGAGGCAGGAGAATCGCTTGAACCTGGGAGGCAGAGGTTGCAGTGAGCTGAAATTGCACCACTGCACTCCTGCCTGGGTGACAGAGCCAGACTGTCTCATAAAAATAAATTAAAAAGATGAAAAATAAAAAGTTTTCATGCATGCAAGCACACACACACACACACACACACACACAATCATCACCACATTATTACTTCTCTCTCTGTAGTAGTTCTTACCTCTTATATACGCTATAATTTGCACAAAAATTATAAAATATTGGGGTAAAACAAATGGAATTATGGCATAACATGGATACCCTCTTTTTAGCTGCAAGGATGACAATATTTGGTTATAAAAGTGGGTCAAGTGAGTATAATTTAAAAGAAATATCCATACTCGATACTATTACAGACATTAAGTACTACAAGTATAGGTTCAATAACATAAATACCCTATTTCTACAAAAAATGAAAATAAAAATACTAGCAGGGTGTGGTGGTGTACACCTGTAGTACCAGCTACTTGGGAGGATGAGGTGGGAAGATCATTTGAGCCCAGGAGTCAGGAGTTCAAGGATGCAGTGAGCTGTGATCATGCCACTCCACTTCAGTCTGGGTGGCAGAATAAGTGAGACACTCTCTCTCTCTCTCTCTCTCTCTCTCTCTCTCTCTCTCTCTCTCTCTCTCTCTCTCTATATATATATATATATATATATATATATATATAGTATTTAGTGTGTATACACACACCCTAAATAACATAAATACAAACCATACATTAATGTACAAAAATAAGTATGGTACCTTTCCCTACTTCCTTCTTCTTTCCTCCTTTCTCTTCCCCTTCCTCCTCTTCTGGGTTATGTTTTTTGAAAGATGTGCCAGAGTGCAGGTCATGAAGCTTGCCCAGCACTGAACTTTTTGTTCTGTGGCTGTTAAACTGTTCATACACAGGGGAGAACTAGCAAATATATACAAACTTTGATAATTATTTCATCTAGACTCCTCACTGTACAAACATGAAAAGGTGAATACTAGAATAAACTCTGTGATGTTGGGTTGAAATTAGGGGGAGTGCGGTGAACTTATATTTGGCAGACAGACAGACAACTAGATAAATAGATAGAAACAAATATATGTATGTGTTTATGTGTGTGTGTTTGATTTCTAAACACTATTCTCTACTAAAAAATAAAAGAAAAAAAAAAGAAAGGTCCTTGGAGATATGGCTGACTCCAAAACTGAGGCCACAAAAAATAGCAGATTAGCCTAGAAGAAATGGTACCAGATAGTAGGAAAGTACTCAGAAAATGATGGGCATATATCTAAAAGACAAAGGAGCCGTCTTGAAGGGGGCTCTTATTGTATTGACTAAAACAAAAATGAGCATTCAAAATAAAACCTCAAGTACATACATATGTAAAAACCTTATATGTATGAGTACTGCTAGAAACTCATATGTATGAGGTTTTATTATATTATATGAGTTTCACATAAGAACCCATCATTCTATTCTGATATCAATAATTGAATAAAAATGAATAAATGGAGAAGGGACAGGTCTACCTTACAGCATAAGTCCTAGTATCTTCTCATAAAATACTTATCACTTATTAATTAAGAATTTATTATACTTATTATTAATTAACTTTACAGTGGAGAAACAAGGCAGACACTATGTTAACCAAGTAATAAAAGTTAATATCCCTGTAATGGAACAAATTGACATCATGTGCTTTCTGATATAATGCAATGAAGAAAACATAGCATCACTTGTAATGAATTGCTGCCTCTCCCAATTTTTTGTTTATGTATAAGTTATGCATAAATTATGAGGAAACCCACTCAAATGTGAATTGAAGGAAATTCTACATAGTAACAGGCCTATACTCTTTAAAAACATCAACGTCATGAAAGACAAGGAAAGGCAGGCAATATTCAAGGTTAAAGGAGATTAAAAGGTTATGACAACTAAATGCAACACATGATTCAGTAGACTGTAAATATAATTCGGAGAAGTGGTAAACTTTGAACGGGGTCAGTTGAAAAGATGGTAACATGGGTTTGATAATTTTTTGATTTTGATGGTTGTACTCTCATGAAGAAAATGTCTCTCTTTTTTGCAAATATACATTGAAGCACTGAGGGCTAATAGTGTGTCATGCATATAGCTCACTCTCACATGGTAGAGAAAAAGTGCAATATACAGAGAAAACACTAAGGCAAATCTGGTAGATGTTAACAATTAGGGAAACTATGCAAAGGGTATATAGAGGCTCTTAGTTCTATTGCAAATTTTCTGTGAATTTGAAATTCTTTTAAAATAAATAGTTAAAGAGTACTGCTAGAACAATCTGTTTTATAACAATTGCAGAAGCAGTTGTCACTTTTTCTCTAATAATTTGGAGATCTCTAATGAAGCTAAAATGGAATTCTTATAAAAATCTTCCACTGTTACTGCTGTTTCAACCACAGAAATATCAATCATTGTAAGGTATTGAACATTTGTTATTATAAAAAGCCGTTATACCCTGAATCCTTACTCTAATGCCTTCCAAAACTATGTAAAACTCCACTCATCAATAAATCCCATATAAATAGAGGAGAAATTTCTCTGTTATTTTAAATCTAAATTAGATGCATTTAAATAGGTTAAATGTAGTATATAGAAGTATACCTAAGAAACAAAGAATTCATTAGCTAGCCATGTTTTCCTTTCTTGTCTGTTTCTTTAAAAATCAATAAAACTAAAGGAACACCAAAAAATTATGTTTGCTCACCTGCAGTTTGACTTCTCTAACCATCTCCAAATGATATATAAAAAACAAATAAAGTAGATTAAAATCTTCTCTTAGTCATTTGTCATCAATAGCGATATCTCCTTCTCTCAAAAACTCATAGTAAACTTCTTCTCAGAGCAAAACTGATAATGTCCAGATAATAAATTTTCTAAAGTTGTATCAAGTTATGTAGGTGCAAAGATGTGTGAAGAAAAAAAAATGTTTCAGCCTAGAATTGAGGCTGACTTTGGATTACCACTGTACTTGCTCTATAGCATCTGTCAAGGCTGTGCTGGCTGTATTTTCAAAATATGGATAAATCAAACTTAGGGTACCTTCCTAGGGCAAACTGTAAAATGTCAGCTCACTGTCTCTGAAGCTGTCTTTTACATTCAAGTTTATTACTCATGAGATTTCATGTTGCTGTTGTTAAGTGGTAGTGAACTGCAATACAAAGACTGCAAAGGAAAAGTATTTCTTTCTTTGAGATTCCACAGCAATTTTCACCCCCCATACACAGCTCTTTCTATTCTGTATTTTGTTAATGGTAAATATATCTATCACCTCAATTGGGATGAGCACTTCTTGAAGAAATGAATTACGTCTTATTTTTCTTAATATTTGCAGAATTTTGTACATATCTGGTACACATAGGCACTTAATAAACATTTGTAGAGATGAATGCAAGATACTCCTCTTTGGAGACAGACAAAACTTAAACACTAAATTTCGAGAGAATAGAATGCCCTCAAAAAAACAATAAATCATAAAAATGGCTTTATAACAAAGTAGATAGAGCTCTGACCTTTTATTTACATTTTTCTCTAGTGGGTTTTGTCCTTAATAAAAATTACCAGGTTAAATTAAACAGGAAATATGAGAAAGATGCTGAGAGGTTATGTGAGATGTCAAAGAAAGATGCTAAGTGGGTATGTCTGGTCTTTTTCCCTGAAAATGTTCATTAATCCTTTTATATTTAAATCCCAGGATGACAAATTAAAATTTATAAGGGGAAAGAATTAGAGACACATTGCCTGTAGGTAATCTACAAGTGCAACTAAATGTGTATCTACTCAAAATTCAAGATGACTATTCTTTGTTCTGCGTGTTTTTTTTGTTTTTGTTTTTGTTTTGTTTTGCCCCAAAGGCCAAGGCCTGTGAAGATACTGCTGCTTCATAGACAAATGTGCACACCCAAGGCTTTCTTTGCTGTTCTCTGTAGATAAGAAAGCTTTTTCTATTAAATAAAACCAATGCTGCTGGCAAATTTTACACTTGGGTCATTTGACTCAATTAGCTGAGAAAAAAACTAAAATTAATGTTTCTAGGAGCTTATCATTTTTAAACTATGAAGCCAGGTTTTTTTTTTTTTTTTCAGGGAATTATAACCAGTTATAAGAATTCTGGGGTAGCAATTTACATGAAATGAATCCATTTGGCAAGGTGAAGCTTTCCATTTACATCAGTTTGTCATCACATTTTTATATTCTAGTAGACAAATATTTAAGAACATGTGAAAAAGGCAAGGTCTTGGCTTAATCAACCATAGACTGTAGCATATATAAGACCAAAGAAAGACCAGAAACAATCAATTTCAGAGTTGCCATTGATTTTTGAAGAAATGGTTAATTTCAAATTTTTATTTCTTTTCATGAAACACATACTCTCATAAAAGACTTCATTATAGAATACTTAAAACTTTGTCAAATTAATTCCATTTTCTTAGTTAATTGTTTTTTTAAACCTCACATGTTAACCACTTAGCAAACTCCAACATGTTGATAGAAATAATTGGTGAAGGAAATCAATTATAAAAGTATTGTGGAAAAATCCTATGGATAATTTTTTCTAATTTCTTGTCTAGGCTTTTCTGTGGGTTTTCCACAATCCCTAGGGCTAATGTCCACAGCATGCCTCTCTTCTTAGTGGGGTGAATTCTCGAGCTCATCATTACCCTATCCAAGATTCTTGATTTTTCTTGCAACAACTTCATTTTATTTTCTGATTCATTATTTAGTGTCTTTCCTGAAATCTCAATATTAATTCTGGTGTTCTCAAGTTTTCCTTGGCTTGTGACCACATCCCTTCAGTCTCTGCCTCTGTGATGACTTTGCCTTTTGTTTTTTCTTTGTCTGTGCCTTCACCTTTTCTGTGTGTCTCAAATATTCCTTTGCCTCTGTGTTATGAGAAACTCATCACTGGATTTAGAGCAAACCAGATAATCCTAGATAAGCATCACCTCTAAATATCTTTAACTTAATCATCTTTTCCCATAAAAGGTGCTATTCACTCTTTTACCATATAGATAATATTCACAAAGTCTGGGTATTAGAATGAAGATATATCCTTTTGAGGACCACCTTTCATCCCACAAAACCTTGATACCAAAACTGGACAAAGCCATTATTATAATGAAAACTATAAACCAAGATCCCCATGAAATTAACTAAAAAATTCCAAAGAAAATTTTATAATTTGAATATAACAATATATAAAAAGTATATTATGATTAAAAGTAAGTAAGGTTTATCCTAGGAATTCAAGGCTGGTTGAAATATGAAAATCAATCAATACAACTTGCCATATGAATAGATTTTAAAACTTTATGATTGTCTTAATAAACACAGAAAAAGTATCTGACAAATCTCAACCTCTATTCCTGAGAAAACCACATAGCAAACCAGAAATGTTAGAAAAATTCCTCAACCTGATAAAGGGCACATACAAAAATATCAACACTCAACATCAATACTTCATAATGTAAAGTAAATACTTTCCCCCTAAGGTCAGAAACAAGACAAGGTTGTTCACTTTCCTTACTTCTGTTCAAGGATATACTGGAGGCTCAAGTCCATGCAATAAGGTAGGAAAAAGAAATGGAAGGAAACAAGAATGAAACCAAGGAAGTAAAACTCTCTTTATTCACACACAATATTATTTATCTATTTAGAAACCTGTTTATCTATCTATTATCTATCTATTCAAAGACCATATCTATCTATTTGGAATCTATTAAAAGGCTGCCAGAACCAATAAGTAAATTTGGAAAATTTTCAGAATACAAGGTAGCTACATAAAAATTCAATTGCATTTCTATATACTGGCAATAAGCAATCAGAACTTAAAAGAAAAACAATGTATAATAAATTCAAAATATTTGAAATATTTAGAAAAAAAACAAAATATGTGAAAATCCTGCATGCTGAAGATGATAAAACATTGCTGACAAAAATTAAGAAAATCTAAATAAATGAAGCTACCTTCTATATGAGTCAGAAGACTCAATAATGCTAAGATATTAAATATTCTCCAAATTGATCTGTAAAGTCAACATAGTCCTAATCAAGATTCTAGCAGACATTTTCTGTATGAATTGTGACACAATGATTCTAAAATTCATATGAAAATGCAAAGGTCCTAGAATATCCCTTAAAGACTTTAAAACAGAAGGACAAACTTGGAGGTCTAACATCACCTGATTTCAAGATTTTTAAGATTGTGTGATACTGGCATTAAGATAGACAAATAGATAAACAGAATGGAAAATTCAGAAACACACCTACACATATATATATACAACTGATTTTTTAAAATAACTATGTAAATTTAGAAGAGAAGAAAACTCTTCAACAAATGATACTAGAATAAACATTACATGCAAAAAAATGAACTTCAATCTATACCTGGAAAACTATATAAAAATTAAATAAGATGGGTCATAGATGTAAACATTAAAAGTAAAATCATAAAATTATAGAAGAAAACATAAGACAATATTCTGTGATGTGGATTAAGCAAAGAGTTGTTAGATAAGACACCAGCAGACAAGACGTAAAATAACAAACCTGTAAATTGGTTCTCTTTGAAAGAGATTCATAAAAGGATAAAAAGATGAGCTACAGATTGGGAGAATACACATGCAAAGCATATATCTGATTTTAAAAAATATCTCTTGTCAGGGATATATAAAGTTCACTCAAAACTCAATAATAAGAACACAAACAACCCAATTTGAAAAGGTTGCCAAGGATTTAACAGTCACTTTACCAAGGGTGATACATTCACGGCAATTAAGCATATGTACAAATGTTCATTAGCCAGGCATGATGGTTCATGCCTGTAATCTCAGCTATTTGGGAGGCTGAGGCAGGAGAATCACTTGAACCTGGGAGGTGGAGGTTGCAGTGAGCCGAGATCACGCCACTGCACTCCAGCCTGGGCAACAAAAGCGAAACTCCATCTCAATTTAAAAAAAAAAGGTTCAATATAATTACTTATAAGAAATGAAGATTGAAACTATAATGAATACAACTATACATCTATTAGAATGGATAGAACTGAAAAAAATACCATACCAAATTTGGAAATAAAAAGAGTAAAGGAATACTCTTATATGCTGCTGGTCAGCATGTAAAAGGGTAAAAACCCTTTGTAGGAATAATCATATGGCTACTATGCAATCCAGCCATTCTGCTCTTGGGTATTTACTCAAGAGGAAAAAAGCACATTATACAAAGATGTGTACATGAATGTTCATAGCAGCTTTATTAGTGATACCCAAAATATGGAAACAACCCAAGGGCCATAAACAAATGAATGTATAAACAAGATGTGGTAAATCTATGTAATGGAATATTATTCCACAACATAAAATAGAACTATTAATATATACTACAACATAAATAAATCCAAAGTAAGTATGCTGAGTGAAAGAAGCCTAGTAATCCCCCCACAAGAGTATATACTATATATACCGGGCAATTTATTGATATAAATATCTTGAAGATGCAATCTAATCTATAGTAAAAAACCTGTGATTGCCTAGGGATATGAGAAGCACTAAATGAAGAGACTGCAATAGAGCACTAAGAAATTTTTTGAATTTCTTAATTGAGATGCTATCTTAATTGAGATGCTGTTTCACAGGTGTATAGACACGTCAAAATGTACTCACTAAAGTGCACCTTTTAAATGGGAGTAGTTTGTTGTATGACAATTATGCTTCAATGTAACTGTTAAAAATGATAATTACATAGAGAGCTTTGCCATGATCAGCCCTTCTTCTTTCATTCACGTCTCCAAGCCAAACATGATCCAGAGTTAGACTTAAATTAGCAGATCAACATCAGTGAATAGTAAACTTTCCCTTTTTCAATCTTCTACTACACAAGTGATGAAGTCCTTGTCTGACCAGGAGAAATTTCATAATACAGCTTCTTTAAAAGCCAATTTTATTATTTTTAAAACCCAAAATATTTTATTACATTTCTGATGATAAACTATCCTCTATTTTATCAAACTATGATGATGATAGGTAGTATGTATACTTATATTTATTTATGTAAAGCTATATATTGATCTTGGCAAATAATATCATCAAGCTTATGTAAGTCCCTGAAAAAGTTACTCATTCATGACTTTCCAAAGTCTGAGAACCACTGTCCTAAAGCAATTACTCACTTTATTTGGCATTGTATATTATATATTCTTCACTGCCATGCCTCTTCTCCCAGAGAGGAAAAGAGGTGGGAGAGGGAGGGAGAGAGGAAGGCCAAAACATTATCTCTCTGGAGTAAGTGTAATAGAATGGAAAACAGAGGGAAGAGTAACTCCACTCAGTAGAAAACATGATCCACTCAATATTCTAGAAATTTCTGACCCACAAAATTAGCAACTCTTTATTTTATTTAATTTTTTTATGGTGGGGTCAAGTAGAAAGTAAAAGTTTTACATCCTCAAGAGAGATTTTAATGATTGACTATTTAGCCAAGGGAAGATTTATGTGCCAGGCCTTGCTTGAAGTCTCTATCTTCTTCTCTAACCTAGTAAACTGAATTGAACAAATAGAAACAAACTGCAATGTCTTCCTAAACTGGTGAATCTTTACTCAGGCCTCACTTCACCTTACCTCTCAAAAGCAAAAGTTACATCTATCACCATATTGTACCCTTCCAGATCTTACCACTAAGAAGGCCATGACAAAGGGCCTGAGAAATAAAATAGCATGAGAGTGGACATTTACTCCTCCAAACACAGTCCTCTCAGCTCCACCACCACTGCAGTCTGGAGAGCACTGAGTGCCTGATGTTTACTGAGGTTCCTAAGAGGGTAGGAGAGAAGAAAAGGGAATGTGAAACTAACCCAAGATTTTAGGAAACAAATTGGAAGTACTAAATGAAAATAGAGAGATATAACTCAGGTATGCTCTTCAGTGTATCCCTGGCCAGGTGTGTATTCCAACCAATTGGAACCCTGGGTTGGGAAAGTAAAGGGTAAGATGCCGTTTATTTTCATTTCTCTCTACCTCTGCTTCCTACACTTACTCTGGGACTCTAAGTTACCTCTTCTGCTAATCTCACCTTAGGCAGCCTCCACAAATGGACTGTTCCCTGGTTAAACTTGTCTCAGATATGGAAAAAAATGTTGTCATGTTAGTCAAAGGTTGCAATTCATCTTTCACGAGAAAAGTAAAGAAAGAGAAGCATTGATAGGCACATATTTTGGAACACGGATTTTTTTATCCTACCTTAACTCGGCCTGGCCACAGATGGGATGACTGGCACCAGTCATGAGGCACAGAACCAGACTCCTTTGCACTTGGGCTTACACAAATCTCTTTTGCTCCACTCTTTGGACATTTATTTCTCTCTCTTAATACTTTCCTTAGATGCCTCTCACTCCAGTGGTAAAATGAAGGCCTGGATAAGTAATAATTTCAGAAGGGGCAAGTTGCAGTGTTACTTCCTTGGCACATTGATACAAGTTTCTGATCCTAGAACATCCTCTTTCCATTTATGGTAAGAGAGCTTTTCCTTAACTATAAATAGGAAGTTGGGAGAGCCAAGTTAATTTATATTGCACAAACTGTTTTTATCTGATGCAGTTGAGTGCAGAGATACTTGGAATCCATGTTGATTATGTAAATTGCTTATGAATGCCTAGACAGAGTTTGTGGGCAAGCAATGTTTTCTCACGAAAAGGAAGGTTTTATAGTTTTGCTCTTTCTTTTTTCCTAGAACTACCTACAGAATCAACTGGGAACAGAGCCACACCCTTTTTTCCCCCAAACACAAAACCTTTGATTCTTTTCAGAATAAAATTTGGCAAAGCAAAGAGTGAAAAAGCTTGAGAAAAGCACAGCCAATCTAGTTTAAGGTAAGTGTAGCAAACATGAAAATCCCCAGCTTATTCCAAGAAGGGTTTCTTTCCATAGGCTATACCCTGCAAGGTCTGAACTGCCAAGTGTAGGTATTTGGATTTCATCTGTGAGAAATAAATAACTTTTTGAAGGGTTATAAATTGGAGACAGATATGAAAAATTTGGCGATTGAAGAAGATGAACCTGGCAACAGTATACAGATGGACCCTGGAGAGGGGGGAGTGGGTTAAAGTATTTCCACATTCCACAAAAGCCCTCTAGCTTTCCCCATTAATATGAATTCTTTAGCAGTTTGCCAGGTGCCACTTGCAGGAGGCCTATCATTGTCCTGCCCTCCCTATCCAGCATCTAAGTGTGCATCCTTCTGACAGCACACATCCCCATAGGGAATTAGGCAGAGAAAAATATATCCATCCACTTGGGTGGATATATTCACATTGTAATACACTCTATCTGAAAGTGAGCATTTTATAGTATATAAAATGTATATTTAGTTGCATTTCAATGACAAATGGCATCCAGGTTGTCAAATGATTTAATACAAGATGTCCTCATTAATTCATCTCTGTGTCTCTGTGTTCATAGCGCATCTACGCTCCTGGTGTGCTTTTGGCAGCATAATTTATTTAATGCAACTTTCCCAGGTGTCGATATTCCTCCTACAAAAACGAGCTTCTCAAAAGTGCTTCAAAAGCACTTTACTGTTATCACCTCAAATCCATATTCTCATTGAATAACATCTCTTTTTTTCTCAGTCACCTCCCTTAAATTTCCCATCTTCAACTCTGCATATTTGTTGAAGAAAGGTAACTTTTTTAGTGTGGGCTCTGGTACACATTGTGGATACATGCCTTAAGATACTGGCTTCATACTCTAAGTAGCATCAAAAATTGGTCTGTTTCCTCAAATCTCTCCTTGGTCAGCTAAAGTGCTAAAAGTAGTCACTAAAAGTTATTCCTAAGCATTGGAAACTGACTCAAGGCAATCTGATTGTGTCTAACTCTTGGGCTGTTTTTGGAGGCAATAAGAGCTACTGAACTATGTAATGCCCTGTGACAGTTAGCTCCATTCAGAACCTTGCAATCAGAATTACACTGAGAACCAATTATAGACCAAATTTTGCCACATGAACAATGTTTATTTAAAAAACAAAAACTCCTTTATTTGTAAGCAGGCACACACTATTTCCTTTTCATGTTCTGTAAATTTGCAGTTCCTCAATTTCTTTGTGATACTCTATCAGCTTGCCTGAAAGGTCCACACAACACACACATACTTCCAGAGGTAGGATTCTGTTACTCTTATCATCATCATGTAACTATCCCTTTTCACAAACCAATGGCAGGACCAAATAGTCTCCAGTTCCTTTCCTAACATAGAGACTACTCTTCTGACTGAATTTCTATGCTCTGTTTTTAAACAGTGGAAGTGATTCTATATTTTTTGGTCAACCACATACCTTGAATACCTTGCAATTTTACCAATTAACATCTGTTTTTATTATTTACCAACATAATTACCGAAGAACTAATTTATTTAATAAAAACGTTCCTACACTCACCAATATAACTTGCATAAAATGAGGTGTAGCTCAATATACCTTGGCATAGCTGCTTCTAGAATTTGGACTTTTTCATATATTGCTGGCTATCACCCCTGCCGTGTGGATTCTCAGTGAGGCTAACCGGTCCTGCAGCTGAAGCTTAAACTACTAACAGACATAATATCTCACTGTCTATGCCAGATTGTTTTTTTTATGTTTCAGTGTTTTATTTGTAAATGTTTATATATTTAGGGGATACAAATGCAGATTCTTACATGTATATATTAAATAGTGATGACATCTGGATGTTTAGTGTATCCAGCACACTAACAGTGAGCATTTTACCCAATAGGTAGTTTTTCAAACCTCATCTCTCTTCCACCCTCCCAACTTTTATAGTGTCCAATGTCTATTATTCCATTCTGTGTGTCCATGTATACCCAATATTTAGCTCTGACTTATAAATAAGAACATGAAATATTTGACTTTCTGTCTCTGAGTTATTTCACTTAGGACAATGGCCTCCATTTTGCAGCATCCATGTTTCTGCAAAAGACATGATTTTATTTAATTTTTTTTTAGACAAGTGGCTTAACTTTTTTAAACTTTGTGCCAATTCTTTTAACCCTTAAAGCTAGATAAAACCTTTACGTGCCCTGAACGTAGCTTTCCCTTTCCATTTCTCTTTTTTTTTCTTGTCTGGGGCAGCGGAACCACAGAAGTGATTAGTAAAAAAAAAAATACTTGTGTTGAAAGTGGCCTTAAAATGCTTGTAATCTTACACCTGAATGCAAATCTCCCCTCTTTACAAAAGTCCGTTATGAAAACTCAAGTATGAAATCAAAATTTTAAAAGGAGTAGAGAAGGAGGACCATTCTCTATACTGCTTTTCCATGCATATTTTTTAACATATTGTCCCCCCAACATTTTTTTTTTTTTTTTTTTTTAGCAAATGGTCATACCTCTGCTGTTTTCACATTTTTAGAAGATGTTTTTAGAACACATTTTAACTCAGTCTTACAGATAATGTTCATATTTTAGGGGCCCACATGTTTTATCAGTTTGTTCTTTTCTGAGGAAACAGTTGAGGAAGAACTTTGCTATTCTTCTAACCTAAATTATGTCTGTCATGAGGTTAGTGACTTTGGCAGGCAGAGGTAAGAAGTCTGAAGCCTGATTACTTGGTCTCAAAGTGAAGGAAATGGAGTCCTGAACCAAATAAATAGGTAGTGAACGTAAATTAAAAACATGAAAAAATTATTCTGAAAGGTGCAGGTTGAGTAGTAGTATTTTCCACCTCTGGCTGGTCTACCCTGTAGAAACTCTGCTCTTTATTATATATCTTTCTTAATAGTTTCTTATATATCTGTCTAGTGTTTCTTTACGTAAATGAAAATAAATGTGAATACATGTTCTTACTCCTCTCATATGCGTGTACATGAAAGGTAGCTCATTATATAAACTGTTTTGTAACTTGCTTTTTGTCCTTAACAGTATGTCTTGGGAATCTTTCCTTGCTAGTACAGAGAAAGTTGTCTCATTCTTGTTTTCTAAAAACTTCTATTTTAAGTTCAGGGGTATGTATATGTGCAGGTTCATTACACTGGTAAATTTGTATAAACATCATACAGGCTTATTGTACAGATTATTTAGTCACCCAGGTATTAAGCCTAGTATCCATTAGTTGTTTTTCCTGATACTTTACTTCCTCCCACCCTTCACCCTTCAATAGGTCCCAGTGTGTGTTGTTCCCGTTTATGTGTCCGTGTGTTCTCATCACTTAGCTCCCACTTGTAAGTGAGAACATGCAGTATTTGGTTTTTTGTTCCTGTGTTACTTTGCTAAGGATAATGGCCTCCAGCTCCATCTATGTTCCTGCAAAGGACATCTCATTCTTTTTTATGGCTGCATAGTATTCCATCTATAAGAAACTTAAACAAATTAACAGGGAAAACATCAACCTCATTAAAAAGTGGACAAAGGAGATGAACAGACACTTCAAAAAGACATACATCAACGAACAATCAAATGAAAAAAACCTCAACATCACTGATCATTAGAGAAATGCAAATCAAAATCATGAGATACCATCTTACACTAGTTAGAATGGTTATTATTAAAAAGTCAAAAAATAACAGATGCTGGCAAGGTTGTGGAGAAAAAGGAATGCATTATACACTGTTGGTGGGAGTGTAAATTAGTTAATCCATTGTGGAACAGAGTGTGGTGATTTCTCAAAGACCTAAACCTGAAATACCATTCAACCTAGCAATCCCATTACTGGGTATATACCTAAAGGAATATAAATTGTTCTATTAGAAAGACACATGCACACGTATGTCTGCTGCTGCATTATTCACAATAACAATGGTGTGGAATCAACTTAAATGCCCAACAAAGATAAGCTGGATAAAAAAAGTTGTACATATACACCATTTTAAAAAATAACTGAGTAGTATTTCATGGTATATGTATATCCCTTTTTTTATCCAGTGCTCTGTTGATGGACAAAAGTTGATTCCATATCTTTGCTATTGTTAATAGTGCTATGACAAACATAAAAATGCAGTTATCTTTTTGATATGATTTCTTTCCCTTTAGGTATATACCCAGTAGGGAAATTGCTGGATTGAATACTAGTTCTATTTTCAGTTATTTGAAAAATCTCCATATCGTATTTTTGTAGAGGTTGTACTAATTTACAGTCCTATAACAATGTAAAAGCATTCCTTTTTTTCCACATCTTTGCCAACATATGTTGCTTCTGACTTTTTAATATGGCCATTCTGACTGGTGTAAAATGGTATCTCGTTGTTTTAATTTGCATTTCTCTGATGATTAGTAATGTTGAACATTTTTTTTCTTGGCCATTTACATGTTTTCTTTTTAAAAATATCTGTTTATGTCCTTTGCCCACTTTTTAATGGGGTTATTTTTTGTTTCTTGTTGAGCTGTTTGAGTTCCTTGTAGATTCTGGTCAGATGCATAGGTTGCAAATACTTTTCCCATCCCGTAGCTTGTCATTTACTCTGTTGACTGCTTCTTTGCTGTGCAGAAGGCTTTTAGTTTAATTAAGTCCCACTTGTCTATTTTTGTTTCGGTTGTGTTCACTTTTGGGATCTTCATCATAAATTCTTTGCCTACGCCAATGTCCAGAAGTGTTTTTACTAAATTTTCTTCTAGGACTTTTATAGTTTTAAGTCTTACTTGTAGGTCTTTAATTCATGTTGTGTTGATTTCTGTATATGGTGAAAGGTATAAGTCCAGCTTCATTCTTATTCATATGGCTATATAATTTTCTCAGCACCATTGATTGAATAGGGTGCTTTTCTTTTGTGTATATTTTTGTTGACTTTGTTGAAGATTAGTTGATTGTAGGTATGTGGTTTTATTTCTATTGTTTTTTCTGTTCCATTGATCTATGTGTCTATTTTTATACCAGTACCATTCTGTTTTGATTATTATTGCCTTATGGTATAATTTGAAGTCAGGTAATATGGTGCCTCTGGTCTGGGTTTGTTCATTTTGTTTAAGACTACTTTATCTATTCATGCTCTTTTTAGGTTCTACATATGCATTTTAGAATTTGATAGAAATTGCATTGAATCTGTATATTGCTTTGGATAGCATGATCATTTTAACAATGATCATGATTCTTCTAATCAGTGAGCATGAGATGTTTCCCTGTTTGTTTGTGACATCTAAAATTTTTTCCATTAGTGTTTTGTAGTGCTCCTTATTGAGATGTTTTCCCACTCTTGGTTAAATATATTCCTAGGTTTTTGTTTGTTTGTTTGTTTGTTTTTTGTGTGTGTTTTTTTGGGGGGGACATTTTTCTGTATCTTTGTGAATGGGATTGCCTTCATGATTTAATCCCAGGCTAGAACATTATTGGTGTATAGAAATGCTACAAATTCCTGTTTCCTAATTTTGTGCCCTGAAACTTCACAAATTTATTTATCAAATCTAAGAGTATCATGGTGGAGTCTTTAGGATTTTCTAAATGTAACATCATAAAATCAGCAAACAGGGATAACTTCCTCTTTTTTTTCAATTTGGGTGACTTTTATTTTATTTTTTTCTTGCCTGATTGCCCTGGCAAAAACTTTCAGTACTATAGTCAATAGAAGTGGTGAAAGTGGGCATCTTGGACTTGGTCCAGTTTTTAGAGGGAATGCTTTCAAATGTTTTCCATTAAGAATGACGTTGACTGAGGATTTGTCATATATTGCCTTTATTATGTTGAAGTATCTTCTGTCTATGCCTAGTTTGTTAAGGATTTTTATTATAAACTAATGCTAAATTTTATCACATGCTTTCTCTGCATCTATTGAAATGACCTATGATTTGTGTCCTTAAATCTGCTTATGTGATATATCACACTTATTGATTTGTGTATGTTGAACCATCATTGAATCCCTGGGATAAGATCCACTTGATTATGGTGTACCATCTTTTTGATGTGCTGTTGGATTCGATTTGCTAGTATTTTGTTGAGGATCTTTGCATCTGTATTTATCACGAATAAGGTGACACTGGCCTTGTAGAATGAGATAGGGAGAGCTCCTTTCTCCTGGATTTTGTGAAAAAGTTTCAGGAGGACTGGTAGTAGTTCTTTCTGCATGTTTGGTAGAATTTCACTGTGAATCCTCCTGGTCCTGGGCTTCGTTGTTGTTGGGAGAGTTTTAAATTACTATTTCAACCTCACTTTTCATTACTGGTCTGTGTAAGAGTTCTCCTTTTTCTGGTTTAATCTTGGGAGGTTGTATGCTTCCAGGAATTTATTGGTTTCCTCTAGGTTTTCTGGTTTGTGATCATATAGTTATTTATAATAGTCTCTGATGATCTTTGTGCCTCTGTGTTATCAGCTATAATGTCTCCTTTTTCATTTATGATTGTGTTTATTTGGATCTCTCTTTTCTATGCTACTTACTTGAGAAGAAATCTGCTCTGTCTGGTCACAGGCCCAAGGCACAGTTTTGAGAGTTTAACACGGGGCTGCATTCCACCCTTGGGCCAACTTCAAGAAATTAGAAAATTAACTCAGGATATTAATGAGAAATGTATCAAGGAGATGGGTATCTTATAAAGCAAAAGCAGAAAATCTAAACCTAAAAAAACTATTGAAGGAAATGCAAAATGTATTTGAAAGCTTCAATAACAGAATAGATCAAGCAGAAGAAAGAATCTCAGAACTTGAAGATAAGTCTTTTGAAATAATCCAGTAAGACAAAGATAACGACAACAAAAAAGTATAAAAGGGAGTGCACAAAGCCTTTGAGATGTCTGGGACTACATAAAGTGACTGAAATTAGAAATTATTGGTATTCCTGATGGGAAAGAAAGATTATTTAAAAGCTTAGAAAACCTGTTTAAGAAAATAATTGATGAAAACTTTCCACATCTAGCAAGAGAGTCAGACATCTAGTTACAGGAGGCCCAGCAATCCTCAGGAATATACATTGCATAAAGTGCTTCATCATAGCATATTATATTCAGAATGTCTAAAGTCAAAGTGAAAAAAAAAATTAATTAGCAAAAGAAGAGTGACTAGTCACCTTTAAAGGAAACCCCATTAGAATAACAGCAGATATTTCAGCAAAAACGTTACAGGCCAGAGATTATGAAATCTCTGGTTCCTTTAGTCCTTCATGCTATGGGGGATAAACAATGTGTTCAAAGTAGCTATGGGCTGAGAAGTCCTTGTACATTGAGTTGAAATACACACACACACACGTGTGTGTATGTGTAATTCCCTGGCTAAGAGCTTAATGACAGTGCCTTTCTCCTTCCTCATCTTCTCTGTTTTATAAAGAGTTAAGAAAAGGGCTTCTAAACCTTGTTTACAGAGTTCACCTTTTCCCTCACTTGCTGCCAACTGAACTCCAGGGTGGCAAGTCAGCAATCCCATCAGTCTTCATTGAATCAGAAGGCTGATTATGTAATTAGAATGAACTAAACATTTGAGGAACCAAGTGACAGAAACTGGCGAAAGTGTCTTACAATAACTTTTACTCTGTATTACATGCAATGCCCAGACCATATTTGGAATTATTTTACTCTGCATTCAATCCTGTCTGAAGGTCAGACACCTCACTTCTCTGAACCTGAGATAATAGATCTGGTATTGCTCACTTGTGATTAGGGACAAACAACCCCAGTGTCCATTGCCTTCAGCAGTACATCATTCCAGCAAACGGCAAGGATGTTTTTGTACTTCCTATAGGATAAAGAGTAGAGAAACTATGTTAAAATTTCACAATCTTTATTCTCCTGTTATACCTCCACCTTTGGCAAAACCCTATTAAAACTTTTGTTTTTCTATCTCTTTTATTTTCTCATCAAAGACACAAGTATCCACTCAAATAGCTTAGGGAACTTACATTTTGAATGGCAGATAATTTCTAAAGGAAGAAGTTTTAAGCATAAATGCTTAAATGTTATTCATTCTCTCATAGTGCACTGTACACAATTTGAGGAGAATAAACAGCAACTTGATTCCAAAAATGGTCATAATTTATTGATCTTGTTGTTCTAGGAAGATGGAAAAGCACCCACATGGCAAAATCTCTAAAGTTTTGGCTCAAGTGAGCTTTCCCCAAACTTTCGCTATCACTCTCATGACAATGATGTTTGTGTCTCTCCTTAATTAAATCTGCATCACTTTCTATCTGGAATTTGATCTGCTTTTCCACCATCACTTACAGGGATTGTTTCCTTTAGATATAAGTGGTTTTCTCCCTTTCAGATATGTTTCTATTTTTTTTTTTTTTTTTTTTTTTTTTTGAGACGGAGTCTCGCTCTGTCACCCAGGCTGGAGTGCAGTGGCGCGATCTCGGCTCACTGCAAGCTCCGCCTCCCGGGTTCACGCCATTCTCCTGCCTCAGCCTCCCGAGTAGCTGGGACTACAGGCGCCCGCTACCACGCCCGGCTAATTTTTTGTATTTTTAGTAGAGACGGGGTTTCACCGTGTTAGCCAGGATGGTCTCGATCTCCTGACCTCGTGATCCGCCCGCCTCGGCCTCCCAAAGTGCTGGGATTACAGGCGTGAGCCACCGCGCCCGGCCGATATGTTTCTATTTTAAAGAGTCTATAAATTTTAGCATTGCCCTGAAACACAATACTGGGGCTTATGGCTTTTTAGTGTTGTCGTTGTGGTCAAGTGTTAAGCCTCTTAATGTTTTTTTGCCTAGTTTGAGCACATACAGATTGGGGCTTGCTGAATCCCCATTTGTATCATTCACTCCACAGTAGAAGTCTATGTCATCATTTCTCATGGTACTGGAGGCATACTCCTGGAATGATACTTGAAGTCCACTTTAGTCAAGAAATACTCAAATGGGTGATTACACCTAAAATGTAACAGAGTAGTACTAGTTTATTATATAACTTTCAACTGAATTCCTCCTAGGAGACAGCACCATGCATTCAACTCTGCTGCCTAAGGGAGAAGATCCCATTTCTTAGGATTCTTAATGACTCTGACTCCCCATGGGGGAACTTATTTTTAGTGTTCTATGGATATGTTCACTGGAAAAAAAATTTGTGCTAAGCCCAAACCTATAAATTGCATCTTATTACAGTCAAGTCAACATGACCAGCTACCACTATCCAATTCTGTCTAGCTTGATATGTATTTCATCTGACAACACTAGTTGTATCACTTCCCCTAACTAAATTTTATTTTTTATAAAGTAAGTTATAGAACTCTTGTTTTGGCCACATCTGGAAAAAAAAGCCATATGTACATTTCTGAAATTTCTCTATGATTGCTCACTCTGAAACAAATAACTCAGATTTTTGAACTTCCATTGACAAAATCTATAGGTTTCTTACCTATTTGTCTTTGCACTCATATGTAGATTCAAGAACCTAAAAACTGTGATTAGTGGAACAATATGTAGTACTTAGTAGGATCCACAAGTGTCTGCCTTGAAGACTGAATCAAGAAGCCCACCAAAGTCTTCACTTACTTGCCACAGTGACCCTTGACAAGTTCAGAAAAGTAGAGGGCCTTGTTTCTATATTGTCCACAAAATGTCCCTTCTGGAATCTGTTTCCTAACAGAGTCCAAGCTCAGACTTGAAACCCATTGGTTAGTATTTTTTTAATTATGTGCTAGTTCTTCATAAATATCTCAGAGCACACATTGTACTTGAAGAGATCTTTAACCCTCAACCATTGGTGGATGTGGTAGTCACTGAAGAAATCTTTACAATTAATGTAAATCCCCACCTGTGTCAACATACCACACATATTTCAAAAAGGCTCAATAGAATATGTGCCCGGTCAGGGACAATTTCAAACTAGTTTCTCACCTGGCAATCTGGGGTGTGAAGTTACGTCTCACGCAATGCCCTGCCAATGACAATAATTCCACCTGAGTGTACACTAGAGACTTCAAAGTTCATGTCAGCTACTACCTTTTCCACTGGTTGTTAAGGATTACCTACTTTGCCAATCACTAACTGTGTGATCTTGTTGTATCATATCTAGGGTTACCAGATTCGGGAAATAAAAATGCAGGGCACCCAGCTAAATTCGAATGCAGATAAGTACGCAAGATTTGAGACATATTTAAACTTAAAAAAATTTGAAATTCAAATGTAACTGGATGCCCTGTATTTCATCTGACAACACTAGTTCTATCACTTCCCCTAACTAAATTTTATTTTTCTCATCTCTAAAAACACTGCCTCATGTGAACTGCTGTACACATTAAATGCGTGCCTGGCTCAAAGCGTTTTGTAATCTATAATTAGTTACATGTTATCATTGTCATTATTGCAATTATTCACCTATCCAATCTTTATTTCCATTTGGCTTATGTTCAATCTACTTCCAAATGGATCATTTAAATATTTTAATATTAATATACTTATTTTTTAAAAGGGGCCCAATATTGCTCTTTGTTGCTTTTTAAGACAGAATTTTAAGATTGTGTTTTGGTGTCTATGGTCATGAGAACATTTTCCTTTCAGTTCCTCCTGGCATTGATGGATTGCCTACATCTGTTGTACAAACAATCATGGTGAAACAGTAGGAAATGTTGTTTCAACTTGACTTTACTCCCTGAAATACTCTAAGCATATGGTGAGGTGGCAAGAGTATGGTCCCAGGGTGGGAATTTTGAGAGACAGAGGGAGCCTATATTTTTACATCACTCAGTTGGATCTGTGGAGCCTTCATTAGCAAAATAGTCTCAGGAAAAAGTACCAAAATAGTCGAGTTCCTTCCCACCCCCAACCATACCTGAGCTAACCAAATATAGGAAGTCTTAAATGCTACAAATCAGATAAATACATTTTACTAAAAGTACATTTTTATGGCCAGGTGCAGTGGGTCACACCTATAATCCTAGTACTTTGGGAGGCCAAGGCGGACAGATTGCCTGAGGTTGGGAGTTTGAGACCAGCCTGACCAACATGGAGAACCCCATCTCTACTAAAAATACAAAATTAGCCGAGCATGGTGGCACATACCTGTAATCCCAGCTACTCAGGAGGCTGAGGCAGGAGAATCGCTTGAACCCAGGAGGCAGTGGTTGTGGTGAGCCGAGATTGCACCATTGCACTCCAGCCCTGGGCAACAAGAGCGAAATTCTGTCAGAAAAAAAAAAAACAGTTTTAAACATATTTTTAAATAAGAGTTTATGTTTTGGGAGAATAGAAAGAAACATAATAGGGAAAACAATCTAGAATGGTTGGCTTTAATCAAGGTACTAAGCAAAGTTCCACACTCTGGACATTTTTCAGATTTCAACCTAAAACAAAATGAAAGCCCTTCACATAATCATTGAAGGTCTAAATAGAAATAAGGAAACTTAATTATTAGTATTTGAGTCCTTTGTAGTTTAATAGGCCCTTAACATATAGAGCTTCCTTTGCAAAATTATGCAAATATGTCTGCTTCAAAGAAAATAGAAAGATCGGGCATCCTCTTAAGAGAGACACACTGTGACTTTGTCAAGTGTACAGCTCCTGGGACAATCTTGATTATCAATAACAGCAGTCCAACTTAAGCTATCTAGACACTGGAGTACCTCATAAAATCAGTACCTCTGTAAGAAGGTCAGTGTTATAACCTGGTTTCTGGGAGAACTAGTCCCAGGAACTCACTCACTGCTGCTACTCTCAGTGTCCTTCTCATATCTGATTTCTGCATGTTAGCCTCATTCTCTTCTATTGTAGACATCTTGTATTTCTTCAAATTGTAGAAACAAGGCTGCTAAAAGCACGAGAGTTCTTCTTGAGAGAAGACTGACTATGATAATTGTGTTTTAAAAATCCTATGGAAAAATTCTGGCCCTTTTTCAATCAACTGTGACTAGCAGAAAAGTCTTATATTTAGGCATCCATTTCTCTACTAGAAAATTGTAGTTGATGGTTACAATTTTATAACAGAAAAGACATCTTTAGGAGATATCTCACAAAGGCTGAGTGAGGAAAGAAATTGCCAGAAAGATATTTCTACTCATAGAAAATGGGAAGGAATACTGAGTTGGCAAACCAACAGGTATTCACTACAGAAAATTGACAAAAATTAATATCAGACACAAAAGTAAATTACAATTCCGGTATGTGCTAAGTTATAACACAGAAGCTTGGTTGGAAAGGGCCTTTTTGAGGAAGTGTCATTTAACTTGAAGCAGAGAGAAGAGTGGATAAAAAAAGTATTCCTGCCAAGGACACAGTGTGTGAGACGGCCTTAAGGGAAAAAAGTACTCAATGTTTTAAAAAACAGTGAAAACACAAGGGTCACTGTGGCTTAGGAATGTTGAAAACATATAGAACAACTGGAAGTCATGCCAGCATGGGAAAAAATGTGTTCACTGGAAGCCAAGTTAAGGATTTTGTATTTTTTTTCCTCAAGTGAAATGGGTTTTTATTAAAAATATTTATAGGACCCAATGGATGTTTTCATAAATTATATCTCACAGATGAGAATTTAGGGGCCATAGAAAGATAAAAGTAGAAGATAAGAATAAAAAGAAAAAAGTTTATAGGTGGGCTAAGGTGGGAGCTGAAGACTGAAATTATCTAGTTACTGCCTTTGCTATGTTGCTAGACCAATTTTTTCTTCCCTTTACCATGTTGAAAATCACCACATGGAAATCTATATTCAGCCAGACTGATGAAGCTTAACATTTCTTATATGTGCCCACCTGTTCCATGCTCACGAAAACAAATGTAAGTGTATTGTTAGGACACTAGATTGATCTGCTATCTAAGTAAGTAAAAAATAGTAAGTTTGGAAAGGCCTTTCTGTAATAATTTTTTAATAAAAATAACCATGTTAGAGGAAGTTTGAAATGCTTATGAGAATTCATCCATCCCATTGCCCAATTTTCAGTGAGACTTCACCCAACATCTGTAATAAAAGTCTGCCATATTAAAAGACATCAGAGAAGTCAATGATATGAATTAAATGAACAAGCAAATGGTGGAGATACTGTCTTCATTTTTTGTTATTAATGAGTTTGAAAATATAATTTGCTTGAGATAAGCTTAGGACATAGCTATAATGAAGAGCAGCAAAGAAATAAAAGTACTCCTGCATATATAGACTGAGCACACACCTGATATGGCATTGAATCTACATATTGCTTTTAAAATACACTGGAAAGGAAAAAACAGTCAAATATTACCAATTAATTTTTTTTTAAACATATTGACCTTCAACCAATTTGATGTAATCTTTTTTCCCCAATTTATTCACTGGACAGTTAATTTTCATCATGCATAAATATATTTATTTAATTATCACAATAAGTTCACCAATGAAATATTTTAGGGTACTATATTTTCATATCGTAAAATGTTATATGTTAATTAAACTAACTAAAAATATAAGGGATAGACTAAGGTATTCTGTTGTATTAAGACACCTAACAATTATTCAGTGACTTAAGAGATATACTAGTCTGTTTCTTAGTCATGTAATAGTCCAGGTTAGGTGTTCTTGGCAAGTGGGTTGTTCCCTTTTTGTCATGATTCAGAGACACAGGGGAACGGTGCCATTGCCATCTGCAGAAAATGACTTCATGATTGGCCATGCCCTGGTCATCTTAGCCAGTAGGGAGAGAAAAAAGAGTATGGCAAGATATCCAAAATCTGAAAGGCCACATGTCAATTCATTTACATAGCAACGCTTTGTTGCTAAGAGGGCTAAGATATGCAGTTTGCAATAACACAGCTGAATCTTAGTCCAACTCCATAATTTTGAAAGAACGTGGATTTTGGTGGACAACAGTCTTCATTATGTGGTTAGAAGAATAAAACTTCTAGAAGAATATAATTTAAATACCTTCAGAAAATTAACATTTAAGGCCAATCCTCACCTCTGTTGTGGGTTTATGGACCCCTATCACCTTAGCCAGCAGATGAACAAACAGTGACAGCTATGAGAGCAGGTGTTCCTTTATTGGAGTGGCTGTCAACTCAGACACTTAAGGGCTCTGTGATCTTGAGTGTTCTCATGACAATGTTTACCTCACAGGATTATGGCGTGAGTTTAATGATGTTAAATAATATAATAATGTAGAACAAATGCCTTGGGTTTAGAGCAAAGTGAGACCTCAACAGGTGAGATTTTCTGCCACTTTTTTCTATCTTCTGCCCAGAGTGGTTCCATCTTATGTTAGAACCAGATTTAGACAGATTCAGACAACATAGAGCTTCCCCTCTCAATCTCCAACAAATTTAGGCATTAGAATATGTTGGCATATTATGTAAGATTTATAATTATATTGGATGATATTTGGCATTATCTGTGGTCCTAAGGGAGCCACACACACTAGGGGAAGGATCACTTTGTCTTAGCCAGGTGCCTAGAAGACACCATGCAGGAGTCTCTGGACTCATAGTCTGGGGATTTCTTACCTCTGAGGAAAAATTCTTATCTTTATTTGTAGAGTACTCATATGAAATGGAAGGGGCATGACAACACAGAACAAATATAAATGAAAGAGTGGGCCTTGTGTAGTAAACTTCCTCCACCAGACAAATACAAAGAGAAAATGGATATGAGAGACCCACTAGCAGGTGTATTTGTCAGGGCTCTCCAGAGGCAACACCAGTAGTGGGGGCGGGGAGAGAGAGAGGAAGAGAGAGAAATTATCCGTAGGGCAGGCTGCTGACAGGCTGGAGATTGAACTAAGAATTGAAGTTACAGTCTTGAGCTAGAATTCCTTCTTTTGAAAATCTCAGTCTTTGCTCTTAAAGGCCTTCAGCTGATTGACTGAGACCCGTTCACATTATCAAGAGTAATCTACTTTACTCAAAGCCTACTGATTTAAATGTTATTAAAGCCAAAAAATAGTCACAATAAGAAGTAGACCATTGTTTGACCAAGCAACTAGGCACCATGGCTTAGTCAAGTTGCCACATAAAATTGACCATCACAATATGAATGGCCTTCTTACACACAGAAACCTAACACTTGGGTGTGCATGGCCCAGTCAGTGCTCTGGGATTCGATCCACCAGTTAGTTAGATACCTTCTCTTGGAAAACAGAAAGAAATGCTAGAAGAAAGTTTAACCCTCCCTCTTCCACCCAGGGAATAGTGTCTTTCATTTTCTTTTTAGACGGGAGTAGGTGATAGGGCTACTAAATAAAATTGATGAGGAAAGAGAATCAAATCTAATAAGGAAGGATAATCCTTATTAGGCATTGCAGAAAAATATGAAACTCAATTTTATAACTGGTACATCCTAAATAAATAACATATGTGTATTTTTATGGAGAGAAGGGTTAATATTTAATTTTAAACTTACTCTTGTCAAAAGGAAGCAAGAAGGAACTAGGTTACCAGTTCTGAAAACATGCTAAAATGAAAACAATGTAATACATCTTTTGTTGTATTTTTATAAGTTTGCTCTGAACAGAATTGCTAAATATTTTCTGATAAATCGTACAGGAAATTGGCACCCTTTAAATCTTCTGAGGATCCAAATAGTAATAGAATATATTAGAATGAAGCATGGTTGCAATTTATAGTAAGCATCAAAGACAGAATAAATTCGTTTTAAATGAGGGAAGTTTGTGAAATAATTAAACTACCTTTCTGAGTAGGAGCAAAATAATTTAAGTTCAGTTCTATAGACTAGCATATTCTTTTGTTCATGGGGGTTGAAATTTTATGGAGCTATAAACAACAAAGGGAACTGACAACCTGTAATGTGTCTAAAAGAGGGAGAACTGGATCTCTATATAAATTGTTAAAAATAAAAAGTAGTTCACACTTTTGTATACTTATTTTGCAATTATTTTGAAAGTATGGAATATGTTGGGCTCTGATATGTAAGAGAAAAGCTCAACCCTAAGAGCTTTTCTAAGAGCAGCTGGTCACAGACTCTGGCTGGGAAAATATTCTGCAAAATAATGAGTCACCTTTTGTCAACCCATGCAATTAAAATGTGTTTTCTGCTAAGATGCAATGGTTTTGATAATAAAACATTTTATTAAGGCACTTCATGGAAAAGCAGGTGTGAGGCTAAAGTAAGTGTTTCAAGCTTCTTTATTGTTTTTCCTCTGAAAGAATTTTAATAAATAGTGGTTGTTAAGAAAGCTATAAGAATATAATTCTAAAACCCAAACATACCAGAAGAAATCCAACACTGACTATATCTCTCATTTGCTCAAGAGTAATGTCCTTTCTTTCCCTTTTGCCACCAGCACTATGGCTAGTCCATATCCTACATATTTTGTATTCCCTTAATCATATTATCACTATTACAGAGATAAACACAGCAACTGTGCTTAGGGTTTGCACAGTGTTAGTTCCACTTGCCATTTCTGTCAAAGCAACAACATTTCATGTAATAAAAATCACATACATTCTCAATTCCAAGTTGAAAAACAATGCATTGCAGAGATAAATTTATATATGTGTATATATATACATATTTGTGCACATACACTCATATATTTTTCTATGCTAGTGATACCTGTGCTTTCAACAGCATTTACTCAAGTCTGAAGGAAGAGCATTCTCACTGAACCACCCCGCAAAAGTATGCCCCAATATACTCTCGGGCAATACACACACACACACGCACATGCATACACATACACGCAACTTATGTTTTTATATAATCTAACTAGTTAACTTCTTTTTATTATTTTATTTCTTTTGTCCCCTGATTTCTTATTTAACACTTTACTCTCTGGTTTGTTGATTTTTAATAGTATACTTTAAATCCTACCTATTGCCTATACAACAATCAATAAGTTTATTGTACTTTCTACTTCAGCACTCAGCCTCCAGCAATTCATCAGTTAGAGTTCATGCTTTTCTACCCCTGCTCTAGTTTCAATGGAGGTTTCTGTTCATGGGTTTCTGCTTCTAATAAGTTGTGATTTTCTGTATCCAGCCTGTCTGTCTCTCCAATTTTGGGGGCAGCAGTTTGTCCTATGACCTTACCACCCTTACAGATTTAAGAAGAGTTGATTTTTCAGTTTTTTCAACTTTTTACTTGTTAGGATTGAGCAGTCACTTCTAAGCTTCTTTCATGCTGGACTGGAGACTGTAAGTCCTGCTTTATGTTTCTACAGGGAAAAAAATAATCTTTATCAGCTGAAGTGTGCTAAAACATATTTTCTGATGTGTTACAGTAATTTTGTTTAGATTTATTTGTCTTCTGTTTATTCTGTGGATTTGGGGTGGTTTATAAAATTAATACTTATAATGGCATATTCTTCTGTCACGGTATGAAAGTCTAGAATCTTTAGTGATTTTCATTTTACTTTTTATGATTGAGGGAAAAACTGGTGTCCTCCAGTTTGTTTGTTTGTCCTTTTTTATCTTGCATAGCCCTACTATCTCCCCTTTTGCTTTTTCTCTTGCCACTTAATTGACAAAAGATGTTTCTCTCTCACTTTTGGTCTTTTTCTTCCCCAGGAGCTCTGGGGGGGCTGCCATGTCAGGTGACACACATTATTAAATTCTTTCCCTACCATATATGCTTTGACCTACCAAGATACATTTTTAGTGTTCAGATTTAGAATGGAACTACTCTTTCTGATTCTTGTTTTTAGATCAACGTTAGCCCAATCACAGCTTCCCTCTTGTTTCTTCCCTCCACTTTTCCTCAGATTGCTCTCGTTTGATCTCAAAGTCTTGTGCCATGGCAGGCTCATAAAAGAACTTCCCAGAGTTTGGTGTTTTCTTGTTTGTTTTCATTTGTCTTTCTTTCTTTTGTGATTACAGTTATTTATTTAAAAATTAAGCCATATTCTACCTTCAAGTATGTTGAATGCATTGCTTGGTGTAGTTTTGTTTCTTTCTTGTTTTTCTGTATTCATCTATAGGAAATATTGAAGACACAGACATAAGTTCCACTAGTTCTTCAGCTTCTCCTTTCACTCCTCTTTTCCATGAGAAACTAGAGTCCAAACACTGTCTGGAGGGGTACCCTTTAGAAGGCATTACCCAAATGCTGCCCAGTCTGAAGTTAACTCTATATAGGACACCACAGGCTAACTAGGTCCAAGGTAAATTTGCCTTAAAATTCTCCTTATTAGACTTTTTTTTTCAATTGTTACCTTAAAAATATATGCTCCTCCAAAAGTGAGGAAACAGATGGTTGAGTCTTTAGGAGGCAGACCTCCTGCCTTCAAGATGCCCAAAGTCCAAGTGTACATAACTCTAGTCACACTAGCCTAATGGATTTCTTGTGTACAATACACATTTAACGGTAATGAACATACATGCATCATGAAGTTTGAACCTAGAAGAAGCCTTAAAGATTATCTGGTATCATAAAAAATTAAGGACCTTGGCAAATAGAATAACTATTTAAGTTTGTTATGGATATTGTCTGAGTCATTCTGAGAAACCAGGTCTTCTGATTCCCAGTCCAGTGCTCTGTGTATTACGTGCTAACGCCCAGTTTATATGAGGAAATGCTTTGGCAGTACCAAGACCTACACAAACATTAGGGGTTAAATTTAGTTCTCTAAACTTAACAAAAAGTTCAGATTTTATATACTTTCCACAAGTCACTTTACTTTTAGGTATGCTCTGACCTAACAGGATACATTTTTAATGTTCAGATTTAGAGTGGAACTAATCTTTCTGATTCTTGTTTTCAGCTCCTTTAGCCCAATCACAGCTTCCGCCTTGTTTCTCTTTATTTGTGTCAAAACAAACAGTCAAAAGCAAATAATTTGATCTTTATATCTATCAGTAAATATATTATTTCAAAAAAGTATTATGATGTGTTGACAACAATTATCAACTTACATTTTCACCTATATAGATCCGGGTTCTCTGTGGACACAGGAATTAGATGGATACCCCTAAATTAGTTGTTTATTTAGATCCCTTTTAAATGGGATGTATTTTATCTTTCGAGGGTATACATCAAATTATTGCATTACGCAATCGAAGCCCAAGAGCACCTGCCTCACTATAAATATGATAATTATAAGGAATCCAAATTTTGATGTATTCCTAAAGAACTTCCCCATTTTTTAACCATGTAACTAATGAGTAACTTTATATATATGAAAGTGGGACAATAACTGGTCAAGATGAACTTTCATGATTTATTGTAGCTCTCAAATACATGAGCCTTTTTAATATAGTCTTCAAATCTGTGATGAAATAAACAGATTGATTTTACTGGAGACACTTACTTGTCACCACTCTCACCCATGAGTGTTACATACTTTGGTGCAAACTGCTTTGTTTTTGAAGGGAAGGGAATGAGATCCAGTCTTTATAAACTGATTTTCACATAAGTAACACTTTTTCATGTTGTCACCATTCAATTTTCCACCAGTACACTTCAAGTTTTCATAAACTGTCGAATGCAAATGTGACACTACCCCTAAATGAGTATGGCTTTCCTCATAGAGACTTTGACGCTAAAACAATGACAAGTCATAAACACTCACCACTGGCCTATTTCCATGGTAAAGTTTCTCATTGCAAACTCACCAACAACTGTTGACCTTCAGACCTAAAGACCATCAATTACCCAGCTTACAGAGGTGGAATATAGTTAACCAGCAGCATTGGGCTGTCACCCAGTTAACATCCTATCATGAGTTGAAAAGCAATTTGTCCAATATTTCAACTGCTGGGGAGAATTCTTTATTAGCTTTTGGATAGGTTTACCTTTCAATTGGATGATTTGAATAGCTACTGAGGTAGGAGAGATGCAGCCCTCCAATAATGATTTTGCATTTCACCTCATCATTAATGCTTTGGACCTCAAGGGAAGTCACTGTGCCTTTGATGACGGTCAAAGCATTTTATAACCTTAATAAAGGCTCATAGCCCTAGGAAGAGCAAGTGTGAGCAAGTGTGGGGGAGTGACTGAATAAAAATATAACTAAATTGCTGCTTTATGCTAGACCAGCTGGAGGATTTAAAACACAAATCAACACTTAGAAAGTACAATGACACCCTAAACTTTAGTGCTATTCAAAACTACACACATACACACACACACACATACACACACACACACACACACACACACAAATTGGCATTATTGCAAAAAATGAGAGAAACTACATTTTTCTCCTTTACGGCAAACCTTTTTGTCTGAAGTTTTTTATTAATCACTAAATATTTTACAAAGTTCTATGCAAAGATGAGATAATAAACGTCTTAATAGATTTGAATACAAAACAATTACCAATCCTGGGTGTTCTTAGTTATTGTAATTTTGTTTCTACATAGAGTTAACTCACCATATTTTGAAGTGTGACATGAATACAAGATAATAAGCAACAATGATTATGAGAACTACATCATCATTTAAATTTCCCAAAGGATAAGTCACTTTATCCCAAACATTACTAATAAATTACAGCTTTCAATGGATTATTTAAGGGTACTGCCTAGGGAAATCATCCCAACTTATAAATTCATTGAATTATTTTTCAGTTTCCTAGACTTCTACTTCCTTCCTTCAGGCATAGTTTACTGGCTATACCTATGTTCTCAGGAACTGAGATAGGAAATAAGGGCTGCTATGCCTGACACTGGGAGAGAATAACATTTCATCTGCTTTGACCTTCACAGAAACCTTTAGAGAAAGGCACTATTATTCCTATTCACAGACTCTGGATCAGAAGGTTAAATAATTTTGCAAGGTCACACTCCTGATGAGTATCAGAGCTGAATTCTGCTGAATTCTTCCTGGCTTTCAAATGCAGTAAACCATACTGTTTACTGGAGCAATAGAAGAGAGCAGGCCAGGAAGGTTGGAAAATAACCTAGACTAGGACAGTGGTTGGAATGCATGAACTGATTCTCGGACTGGTAGAACACCTGACTAGGGGGTTGGTTCCCACAATGAGTATTCGAGAACCTGATGTGACAAGTTTAACTGCAAGCAAGTAAGACTCTGGTTTGACTTAGCAACACAAAGTGGAAAACAAAATAGCCTTGTAAGGTGGCAAGGGCTGGACGACTACTAGGTTTCCCAAGAAATTATCCCATAAACTATAGGAACATTTCAATTCTTCAACCTTATATGTCTATATCCCTATGAATTCAAGCTATGTGAAGGCAGGGTGTGGATTTCTCTTCCACTTTAACCCAAGCATTCAGGAAATGCTTGATAAAAGGTAGTTCTCAATAAAGGAATAATAAAAGAAGGTAAGCAAAGTTCAAGAGAGGCAGAGGACAGAATTCAGAGTTGGAGTGCAGATACCCATCCTAAGCCCAAAGGCAGTGTTTCTGAGGATAGCCAACAACCAGGAAAACGAACACATTAGTGAGCCCAAGAATTCCATAATTTAAGAACAATCCTTATTGACTTTTAACTCCTGCACTCAGTTATCCCATGTCAATGTACTGACCTTTAGAACTAGACTGCCCTTGAGCTTGCCCAACTTGTAATACAGAGCAGAAAGTCATTTGATTGACTGAGGTTCATTCAATATACCTCTATTGTCTTTGCAACTTGTAGATATACTTATCATTAAACAAAACCTGGTGCAGGCCTTCCTGGGTCACTACAGCACCAATATGTACCATGTCTCAATCCAGGTCCCAAATGTCTTTACTTTCTTTAAAAATATTTATGTATTTATATTTTTTTCTCAAAATGTATTGCTGCTATACCACATATCATGCAATGAGAATATAATCATTGAATAACTATCATTGAGTACACCATTTGGCAGGGAAAATAGGAAACTATGCAAGAATCTATAGTGTCAAAAGTCTTTGATAGGGAAAAATATGGAATGCTAGAAAATCATATACTAGTGTTCCCAATTATTTTGCCTGAGGTCATTGTGTCCTCCTGACATCTCTTCCCTTTATTCAAGTCTTTTTGTTATTATATTAAAAATACATTTTCAATGAAATCCATCAAGATAGGGTGTGTACATCTCAGCATCAAGAAATGCCCTCCTTCTTGGATCAGCTTGTTTGCTTTCATGGACACTGTGAATCTTAAACTGATCTGTATTCCCTCTTTGCTTTTAGCATTGAGATGATTAAAGCTACATGTGCAACCTCTGCCTGCAGGTTATACGTACTAATTTCATCCTTTTCTAGTCTTGTTTTCTATTTATCTTTTTTCCTTCACTATTGATGTCATTCTCTTATTCTACGTTGCCTCAATGAATAGAATGAGATGGGATAGGAATAGATAAATACATCGTCTCCCAAATGCCTTTCTTATCTATTGATCATCTGGCCACTTTGTACATAGCTAACTTTCTTGTATATTTATTTTTCTTTCTGGGCAATTAGTCTGAGGGTAAAATTGAAATTTCTTTGCTGCATTATATTGAATGGTTCAGCACATTCTAAAATAATAAGATTCCCTTTTCCTAACTCTACAAATTAGCTGTTCTTAAATTTTTAGAAAGTGTGCAAAGTATTTTGAGGGCAGAGGTACTTTTTCTCTTCTTTGAGGAAATAATACTTTTAAAGCTACAAGTTATATATCAAAAACAAATAATATGATTTTTACATGGAAGGATTAGCAAAAAAAAAAAAAAAAGACTGCAGTTCATGGAAGACTATGGGAAAACAAGAAGAATGTCATAGAGGAGTGAAATTATACATTAACAGGAATGATGCTGTTACCTCTGGCTGGCAGAAACCAGGGAGATGAATGAGCAAGTTCAAAAACCCCAAGTTGGAACAATGATTAGCAAATATTTCCATGCATTTAAAGATAAATTTCCCCTTTATAATAAAATGTACCATTTGTTCTCTTTAAAAACAACAACAACAAAAAACACATAAAAACAGCATTGTCTCCTAAGAATCTATGTCTGAATATCAGTAACTCATAGCAGGTAGGAGGTTGTGTGTTATCAAGTGATGAAGACCAACAAATGGACCTTAGGTTTGAAAATCAGATCTATGTATTAGAAGAAAATGACCAGGCTCTAAAGCTTATGCCTCGTAATTTAAACCTATTCTTAAATAAGACAAAAAATAATAAGATTTCAATTTTCTTTCTATGCTTGCATTTGGCATAAACAAGCCTTAGCTATAATTTTTCATTAATTTTCAAATAAAATTTATAATTATTAGAAGTTTTATGAAGAATTTAAAAATAACTATTAATAGTTATTAAAGTCTACTTATAGAAATAAAAGAGTGAGAAAACGTCACAATGAAACAACTCACACAAGTAAAAATCTCATATAAGTATCCTTTGAATGAGAAAATTTTCAACTTTTTACATAATGCAAGTAAAAACAATGTCATGATTTTCATCTATGAAATAAAGATCTTTTTAAAAGATCATATACAAATTGACAAGGAATTGTTTATGAAACAGATGGGCCTTCTCATATATTGAATGAATAATAAATTGGTATTTTTAGGAAAGTTCGGTAATATGTGCCAAAATCATTAACAATGCTGATAGATTTTGTGTTTTTTTTGGTTTTTTTTTTGTAATTTTATTATTATTATACTTTAAGTTTTAGGGTACATGTGCACACTGTGCAGGTTTGTTACATATGTATACATGTGCCATGTTGGTGTGCTGCACCCATTAACTCGTCACTTAGCATTAGGTATATCTCCTAATGCTATCCCTCCCCCTCCCCCTACCCCACAACAGTCCCTGGAGTGTGATGTTCCCCTTCCCGTGTCCATGTGTTCTCATCGTTCAGTTCCTACCTATGAGTGAGAACATGCAGCGTTTGGTTTTTTGTCCTTGTGATAGTTTGCTGAGAATCATGGTTTCCAGTTTCATCCATGTCCCTACAAAGGACATGAACTCATCATTTTTTATGGCTGCATAGTATTCCATGGTGTATATGTGCCACATTTTCTTAATCCAGTCTATCGTTGTTGGACATTTGGGTTGGTTCCAAGTCTTTGCTGTTGTGAATAGTGCCGCAATAAACATATGTGTGCATGTGTCTTTATAGCAGCATGATTTATAATCCTTTGGGTATATACCCAGTAATGGGATGGCTAGGTCAAATGGTATTTCTAGTTCTAGATCCCTGAGGAATCGCCACACTGTCTTCCACAATGGTTGAACTAGTTTACAGTCCCACCAACAGTGTAAAAGTGTTCCTATTTCTCCACATCCTCTCCAGCACCTGTTGTTTCCTGACTTTTTAATGATTGCCATTCTAACTGGTGTGAGATGGTATCCCATTGTGGTTTTGATTTGCATTTCTCTGATGGCCAGTGATGATGAGCATTTTTTCATGTGTTTTTTGGCTGCATAAATGTCTTCTTTTGAGAAGTGTCTGTTCATATCCTTTGCCCACTTTTTGATGGGGTTGTTTGTTTTTTTTTTTCTTGTAAATTTGTTTGAGTTCATTGTAGATTCTGGATATTAGCCCTTTGTCAGATGAATAGGTTGTGAAAATTTTCTCCCATTTTGTAGGTTGCCTGTTCACTCTGATGGTAGTTTCTTTTGCTGTGCAGAAGCTCTTGAGTTTAATTAGATCCCATTTGTCAATTTTGGCTTTTGTTGCCATTGCTTTTGGTGTTTTAGACATGAAGTCCTCGCCCATGCCTATGTCCTGAATGGTATTGCCTAGGTTTTCTTCTAGGGTTTTTATGGTTTTAGGTCTAACATATAAGTCTTTAATCCATCTTGAATTACTTTTCGGATAAGGTGTAAGGAAGGGATCCAGTTTCAGCTTACTACATATGGCTAGCCAGTATTCCCAGCACCATTTATTAAATAGGGAATCCTTTCTCCATTGCTTGTTTTTCTCAGGTTTGTCAAAAATCAGATAGCTGTAGATATGCGGCATTATTTTTGAGGGCTCTGTTCTGTTCCATTGATCTATATCTCTGTTTTGGTACCAGTACCATGCTGTTTTGGTTACTGTAGCCTTGTAGTATAGTTTGAAGTCAGGTAGCATGATGCCTCCAGCTTTGTTCTTTTGGCTCAGGATTGACTTGGCGATGCGGGCTCTTTTTTGGTTCCATATGAACTTTAAAGTAGTTTTTTCCAATTCTGTGAAGAAAGTCATTGGTAGCTTCATGGGGATGTCATTGAATCTATAAATTACCTTGGGCAGTGTGGCCATTTTCATGATATTGATTCTTCCTACCCATGAGCATGGAATGTTCTTCCATTTGTTTGTATCCTCTTTTATTTCATTGAGCAGTGGTTTGTAGTTCTCCTTGAAGAGTTCCTTCACATCCCTTGTAAGTTGGATTCCTAGGTATTTTATTCTCTTTGAAGCAATTGTGAATGGGAGTTCACTCATGATTTGACTCTCTGTTTGTCTGTTATTGGTGTATAAGAATGCTTGTGATTTTTGTACATTGATTTTGTATCCTGAGTCTTTGCTGAATTTGCTTATCAGCTTAAGGAGATTTTGGGCTGAGACAACGGGTTTTTTTAGACATACAATCATGTCATCTGCAAACAAGGACAATTTGACTTCCTCTTTTCCTGATCGAATACCCTTTATTTCCTTCTCCGGCCTAATTGCCCTGGCCAGAACTTCCAACACTATGTTGAATAGGAGTGGTGAGAGAGGGCATCCCTTTGTTGTGCCAGTTTTCAAAGGGAATGCTTGCAGTTTTTGCTCATTCAGTATGATATTGGCTGTGGGTTTGTCATAGATAGCTCTTATTATTTTGAGATACATCCCATCAATACCTAATTTATTGAGAGTTTTTAGCATGAAGGGTTGTTGAATTTTGTCAAAGTCCTTTTCTGCATCTATTGAGATAATCATGTGGTTTTTGTCTTTGGTTCTATTTATATGCTGGTTTACATTTATTGATTTGTGTATGTTGAACCAGCCTTGCATTCCAGGGATGAAGCCCACTTGATCATGGTGGATGAGCTTTTGGATGTGCTGCTGGGTTCAGTTTGCCAGTATTTTATTGAGGATTTTTGCATCAATGTTCATCAAGGATATTGGTGTAAAATTCTCTTTTTTGGTTGTGTCTCTGCCCGGCTTTGGTAGCAGGATGATGCTGGCCTCATAAAATGAGTTAGGGAGGATTCCCTCTTTTTCTGTTGATTGGAATAGTTTCAGAAGGAATGGTACCAGCTCCTCCTTGTACCTCTGGTAGAATTTGGCTGTGAATCCATCTGGTCCTGGACTCTTTTTGGTTGGTAAGCTGTTGATTATTGCCACAATTTCAGAGCCTGTTATTGGTCTATTCAGAGATTCAACTTCTTCCTGGTTTAGTCTTGGGAGAGTGTATGTGTCGAGGAATTTATCCATTTCTTCTAGATTTTCTAGTTTGTTTGCGTAGAGGTGTTTGTAGTGTTCTCTGATGGTAGTTTGTATTTCTGTGGGATTGGTGGTGATATCCCCTTTATCATTTTTTATTGCAACTATTTGATTCTTCTCTCTTTTCTTCTTTATTAGTTTTTCTAGTGGTCTATCAATTTTGTTGATCTTTTCAAAAAACCAGCTCCTGAATTCATTAATTTTTTGAAGGTTTTTTTGTGTCTCTATTTCCTTCAGTTCTGCTCTGATTTTAGTTATTTCTTGCCTTGTGCTAGCTTTTGAATGTGTTTGCTCTTGCTTTTCTAGTTCTTTTAATTGTGATGTTAGGGTGTCAATTTTGGATATTTCCTGCTTTCTCTTGTGGGCATTTAGTGCTATAAATTTCCCTCTACACACTGCTTTGAATGTGTCCCAGAGATTCTGGTATGTTGTGTCTTTGTTCTCGTTGGTTTCAAAGAACATCTTTATTTCTGCCTCCATTTCGTTATGTACCCAGTAGTCATTCAGGAGCAGGTTGTTCAGTTTCCATGTAGTTGAGCAGTTTTGAGTGAGTTTCTTAATCCTGAGTTCTAGTTTGATTGCACTGTGGTCTGAGAGACAGTTTGTTATAATTTCTGTTCTTTTACATTTGCTGAGGAGTGCTTTACTTCCAGCTATGTGGTCAATTTTGGAATAGCTGTGGTGTGGTGCTGTAAAAATGTATATTCAGTTGATTTGGGATGGAGAGTCTGTAGATGTCTATTAGGTCCGCTTGGTACAGAGCTGAGTTCAATTCCTGGGTATCCTTGTTAACTTTCTGTCTCGTTGATCTGTCTAATGTTGACAGTGGGGTGTTAAAGTCTCCCATTATTATTGTGTGGGAGTCTAAGTCTCTTTGTAGGTCACTCAGGACTTGCTTTATGAATCTCGGTGCTCCTGTATTGGGTGCATATATATTTAGGATAGTTAGCTCTTCTTGTTGAATTGATCCCTTTACCATTATGTAATGGCCTTCTTTCTCTCTTTTGATCTTTGTTGGTTTAAAGTCTGTTTTATCAGAGACTAGGATTGCAACCCCTGCCTTTTTTTGTTTTCTGTTTGCTTGGTAGATCTTCCTCCATCCCTTTATTTTGAGCCTCTGTGTGTCTCTGCATGTGAGATGGGTTTCCTGAATACAGCACAGTGATGGGTCTTGACTCTTTATCCAATTTGCCAGTCTGTGTCTTTTAATTGGAGTATTTAGCCCATTTACATTTAAAGTTAATATTGTTATGTGTGAATTTGGTCCTGTCATTATGATGTTAGCTGGTTATTTTGCTCATTAGTTGATGCAGTTTCTTCCTAGCCTTGATGGTCTTTACATTTTGGCATGTTTTTGCAGTGGCTGGTACCGGTTGTTCCTTTCCATGTTTAGTGCTTCCTTCAGGAGCTCTTTTAGGGCAGGCCTGGTGGTGACAAAATCTCTCAGCATTTGCTTGTCTGTAAAGTATTTTATTTCTCCTTCACTTATGAAGCTTAGTTTGGCTGGATAGGAAATTCTGGGTTGAAAATTCTTTTCTTTAAGAATGTTGAATATTGGCCCCCACTCTCTTCTGGCTTGTAGAGTTTCTGCCGAGAGATCCGCTGTTAGTCTGATGGGCTTCCCTTTGTGGGTAACCTGACCTATCTCTCTGGCTGCCCTTAACATTTTTTCCTTCATTTCAACTTTGGTGAAGCTGACAATTATGTGTCTTGGAGTTGCTCTTCTCGAGGAGTATCTTTGTGGCATTCTCTGTATTTCCTGAATCTGAATGTTGGCCTGCCTTGCTAGATTGGGGAAGTTCTCCTGGATAATATCCTGCAGAGTGTTTTCCAACTTGGTTCCATTCTCCCCGTCACTTTCAGGTAAACCAATCAGACGTAGATTTGGTCTCTTCACATAGTCCCATATTTCTTGGAGGCTTTGTTCATTTCTTTTTATTCTTTTTTCTCTAAACTTCCCTTCTTGTTTCATTTCATTCATTTCATCTTCCATCACTGATGCCCTTTCTTCCAGTTCATCACATCCGCTCCTGAGGCTTCTGCATTCTTCACGTAGTTCTCGAGCCTTGGCTTTCAGCTCCATCAGCTCCTTTAAGGCCTTCTCTGCACTGGTTATTCTAGTTATCCGTTTGTCTAATTTTTTTTCAAAGTTTTTAACTTCTTTGCCATTGGTTTGAATTTCCTCCTGTAGCTCAGAGTAGTTTGATCATCTGAAGCCTTCTTCTCTCAACTTGTCAAAGTCATTCTCTGTCCAGCTTTGTTCCATTGCTGGTGAGGAGCTACGTTCCTTTGGAGGAGGAGAGGCACTCTGCTTTTTAGAGTTTCCAGTTTTTCTGCTCTGTTTTTTCCCCATCTTTGTGGTTTTATCTACTTTTGGTCTTTGATGATGGTGATGTACAGATGGGTTTTTGGTGTGGATGTCCTTTCTGTTTGTTAGTTTTCCTTCTAACAGACAGGACCCTCAGCTGCAGGTCTGTTGGAGTTTGCTAGAGGTCCACTCCAGACCCTGTTTGCCTGGGTATCAGCAGCGGTGGCTGCAGAACAGCGGTGGCTGTAGAACAGCGGTGGCTGTAGAACAGCAGTGGCTGTAGAACAGTGGTGGCTGTAGAACAGTGGTGGCTGTAGAACAGCAGATATTGGTGATCCGCAAATGCTGCTGCCTGATCATTCCTCTGGAAGTTTTGTCTCAGAGGAGTACCCGGCCGTGTGAGGTGTCAGTCTGCCCCTACTGGGGGGTGCCTCCCAGTCAGGCTGCTCGGGGGTCAGGGACACACTTGAGGAGGCAATCTGCCCATTCTCAGATCTCCAGCTGCATGCTGGGAGAACCACTGCTCTCTTCAAAGCTGTCAGATAGGGACATTTAAGTCTGCAGAGGTTACTGCTGTCTTTTTGTTTGTCTGTGCCCTGCCCCCAGAGGTGGAGCCTACAGAGGCAGGTAGGCCTCCTTGAGCTGTGGTGGGCTCCACCCAGTTCAAGCTTCCCGGCTGCTTTGTTTACCTAATCAAGCCTGGGCAATGGTAGGCACCCCTCCCCCAGCCTCGCTGCCACCTTGCAGTTTGATCTCAGACTGCTGTGCTAGCAATGAGCAAGACTCCGTGGGCGTAGGACCCTCCAAGCCAGGTGCAGTTTATAATCTCCTGGTGTGCCGTTTTTTAAGCCCATTGGAAAAGCACAGTATTAGGGTGGGAGTGACCCAATTTTCCAGGTGCCATCTGTCACCCCTTTCTTTGACTAGGAAAGGGAACTCCCTGACCCCTTGCACTTCCCGAGTGAGGCAATGCCTTGCCCTGCCTCGGCTCATGCCTGGTGCACTGCACCCACTGTCCTGCACCCACTGTCTGGCACTCCCTAGTGAGATGAACCCGGTACCTCAGATGGAAATGCAGAAATCACCCGTCTTCTGCGTAACTCACGCTGGGAGCTGTAGACCGGAGCTGTTCTTATTCGGCCATCTTGGCTCCACCCCAATGCTGATAGATTTTGAAACAAATATTTCACATCTAGGAAATTACCCTGAGAATAAAGGAGTGAGTTATAGATTGATATAATGTTTATCAAAGCATTAATTGTAGTAATAAAGCTAGTAATAAAGCATAAAATGCAAATGTGCAAGAATAAGAAATATTTTAATAAATTTCAGTACGCTATGTGGCAATTAAGTATATTTTACAAATAAAGGCCAAGCATAGTCATTCCTATCTGTAATCCCAGCATTTTTGGAGGCCAGACCAAGGTGGGAGGATTGCTTGAGGCCAGGAGTTCAAGACCAGCCTGGGCAATATAGTGAGACCCTATCTATCTCAAAAAAAAAAAAAAATAAAAAAAAAAAATAAAAAAATAAAAACCTTAGCTGGCTTGATGGCATGGACCTATAGTCATAGCCACTTGGAAGACTGAAGCTGGAGGATCACCTGAGCCCAGGAGCTTGAAACTGCAGCTTGAAACTGCAGTGAGCTATGATCTTACTTATGATGTTAACACTGCACTCCAGCCTGGGTGACAACAGAGAGGGACCCTGACTCAAAAAAATTTTAAAAAGCATATTCTGCAAACGAATAGGATATGTTTTAACATATCACAAAGGGGACAAATTACATCAACTGTATATATGACAGAATTATAATTCTAGAAAATGAACAAATAATCTATACATGCCATATAGGATAAAAAGGCTAAGTGAAAATTCATAAAGATATTAGATAAGATTTATTTGGTAAGATTCTGGGTGACTGTTTATAAATGTTCTTATTTGTGTTTTTCTCTAAACTAGATTGTAAGCCAGAGAGAGAGAGACAGAGAGAGAGACACCATTTTTAAAACCTTTAATTCTATGCACAGTGGGTGCTTAGTAACAGTTGCTTAAGGGAAAACAGAAATACAAACAGGCAAATGTAGTCATTAAAGATCTGCAAAGCCCAGCCTTCCAGAGAAGGCCGCAGACTGACAATTCTGGGGATAACATATGAGTGACCAAGGGAAGCAGCATGAATACTTTCTATTATGAAAGAACCATGAGATTTTGCATATTTAATGCAAGACTGTGAAAATGTCTGTTTTCATGACCTGATATGAAAGATCTGTACTCATAAAAACTCCTCAGAATTCAGTTTGCCTACTTTACTGAAAGACTAAAGCAATCTCTGCTGGGAACCCACCTTCGCTTTCAGAGTTTGTGTATCCTGAAGAGTCAACACTTTGTCCCATCAACTCAACATTTCCTATAGAACATATGCTTGTACTATTTATATATTTTAGTGTGTGAAAAACAAGGACATTATTTTCTGTAGGGTTATTAATATACCATCAGAGAATATTTTTGCTCTTCCTCTTTTGTGCATTTCTTCCTCTATACTTTTGTTCATTTGCTTATTCCTCTTAAGATAAAACCTTATTTTCTCCTCTGCTCACGGATGTCTAATATCTCCACTAAGGCCCAAGCTCATTCATCTTCTGTGAAAACTTCCTTGACTCAACAGTCAATGCATCTTTCCCTAAAGCATTTCAACCTCTAAAAAATTAAACAATTGCTCACACAGTAACTTTTTCCATAGCTTCTCAACTAATTTGGGGATACAAGAGGGCAGGAATCTTGAGGCACAATTGTCTCGTTTCTCTCTCCAGTGCCTAACACAATGCTGATCACACTCAATAAAGGCTAATTAAGTGATTTCCAAACATGTTAGAAGTAGTTCAATGTTCCTGAAGCAGGTTTTTATCAAAACAATTTAATGCATTGGATACCATAAGGTTTTTAAAGAGAATACCCGAAGGAATGTACGATAACTTGGACCAGATGGGTGTTCATTTCAAGATGGCAGGGGAACATTTCCAATGCTGAGCGACTGATTCTTCCCACCTCCTCCTGTGTAGACTCTGGCTTGTCACACCTTAATTATTTAACAGCCCCTGCTTGGCATGAAACCAGAAGAAACTGGCTCATTAATGTTCCATTCCAGCACACATTCTTTCCAAAAGACTTTAAGAAACTCATGAATATTTCATTGTCTCCATCAGTGCCAAAAAGATGGCACCATTATCTAGGAAACCAAATGCTACTTGCTAGGATTTTTTCCCTGAGCTACTTACACCCAAACAGGGTGCATTCCCTCAATGATCATTTCTGTGAGTCCACACATATTAACAGGTGATATAGATACAAAGCTGAATCTGAAACAGGGCAACTAATAAAAGAAAGCATTTAGGAGGTCTCTTATCTTTAAAGGCAGATACCTGCTTGAAACTGGGTATATATATATATATACTCAATCAAAACTCAGAAGAGATTAATAAAGTTTAATTGAACCTAATTTTTTAGTGGCACTTAATGAAAGTAAAAAAAAGAAAGAAAAAAATAGATATATCTGACCATAGAAGATGCCTTAATAGACTCTGTTTTTTTTTTCTTTTTCTTCCTTTTTTTTTTATGTAAAGATCATACTAAAAATCAAAAAAACTCTAGGAGTTTCAATCTTTAATGTAATGTTTCCCACCCTCTCCTTTCACACTCTTCCCTATATGCTCAAGAGCCATATGATTGGGGACATAAGGAGGAGCTGCTTTACTCAAATATATCCAAGCTGTGAGCCAATTTTGAAAATAGAATCTAAAAAAAAGGAAAAAAAAGAAAAGTGTATCATATTTCGAAGTACTATAGGTCCACAATGGCTAGTGAATTATAATATTATATAGAATTTTGGACATATTAATGATAAACCTTGCATCATTAAATGATAAATATTTTCTAAATACTTATTCCTTTGGAAATACACATTTTATACCTTAGAATTGCTGCAAAAAGCACAGGTATTATTTTCCCATTTTATAAGTGAAAAAAACTAACATATGGAGAAGTTAAATGGCTTGTCTACAAAATATCTATATGTATATATAACTATCTGTTGGTGAACCTAATCATAAAATGCACAATTAATCGGTCCAGATCTCTTTCATTGAAACCATGTCTGTATTTCTAAGGGGCAGTCTTCTCTTGGAAATTTAAAGATAATGTTTTCTAGGAGAGATTAACTCTCCAATTTAAGCATAGTTTCAAAGTATTTGGAAGTTGGGTATAAAACTTAGTTCAAAATTGGCTTGCAAAACTCCGAAATGTCTCCAGCTGACAACTAATTATCTTTTTCCATAATTTTAAAATAATTTTCAAAAATATCTGATTACTAAGAACATGCCATTCAGAGTACAGTACTAGGTGCAAGCTCGGCAGCTCCGTATCACTCATTTGAATTTCTCATTAGACTATGTTCCCTTCTGTTTCCAAAGGCATATTTTATTCCACCTTCATGAGAAGGAAAGGTCATTAACTGCAATTTGACAAAGAGACAATTAAAATGCGGATTGACCATTGCTAAGATAATCACAGTGGAGTTACCATGTTATAACTTCAGCTAGTAGCATGAGCTGCAATTTTTTAAACTAAATGTATTTTTGAGATAATCTTGAAACATTAAAATTTTTTGTAGTTTGAAGTGATTTTCATTCCTGATCCACTGCTTTTACTGGTATCAGTTTTCTACTGTGGTCACTTATAGACAGTTATGGATAACAAACAGCATCAATTTATTACAAGGGCACAGATAATATCCTTACCCTACTAACTCGTTTCTACCTACCCACTGAGCAACATTATTAAGATCTGCAGAATTTGAGCAAGTATATTGTTGTTCCCTGAATACCCTAAGATTGGATACAGAGCCAAGACCTTAAGTGCCAGCCCGGTAAGATGAAAAGGGTTTCTGGCAGCCTGAATGGGCTTCTCAAATGGAACTAGTCCTCAAATCTTCATGATCTATAAACCATCTAACAAATATAGGTTTGATGGATGTGTGTGTTAAACCGTCATTTAAATTTAGATGAAATAATTATCCTTCATTTCAAACATACCAAAGATCAAAGAACCCAGGGAAAAGAAGGTAGACACAAAAACAGACTAGGTGTATGCAGCCAAATATTTGAGAGACAAATGTCAAAAATGCATGTATTGAGCTTGAATAGTGCAAAATCCTTGGACTGGGAAGTAAAGAAACTGAATTCGAATCCCATCTGTCACGAAGTAGAAAGAAATATATCTTCTAGCCTACCTTCCTGGATTGCATCGGGATTAGATTTACCTAATTTGAAAGTTAAATAAGATAAAAGTGAAGGTGCACTTATTAGTAGTAGTTTATTAGCATTAATATGATTAATAAATGAAATAAAAATTTAAAAGGTCACATTAAAACTACAATTATAGGAATATGTAAGTATTTTATAACATGCAGTTTTATATCTGATACTATAGTAATTGCTAGTGGCAAACTAATATTAAAAATCTTTACAGAAGAATGTTCTGAAAACTCTCTAGTAAATTACATCAAAATTCTTGAAAATTGGATCCTGTTTCTCTTCTAATTTCTATTCTATTCCTATTTCTGAAATGTAATACCATGAATTTTCTTCAGAGTCTGATTTCTCATCAAGCAGTGACAATACCTATTGTGGTTGAATATCAATAAAATATTTATGACACTCTTATGTGCTCAGTGCCCATTTAGCCCTGGAGAAAACATAGAGATAGAAGACATCCCCTGACTTGAAGAACTTTACAATCTAACTTCACAGGAATGTAGGAAAAGTGTGGAAATTGTTCTGGGATTAGAAGTGGAGCTATAATGTGTGTAAGATGGGATTCTCTGTAATCACCAGTAGAGATGAAGAGCTGTCTGTCAATCGTTCACCCATTTCTTATCCTCTCATGTCTTAAAATCCTGCCTTCACCCTATATATTCCTCTAGTTACATTATTATCTTATTCTTCACCTTCATCCAAGATTCTTGGAAATCACTTACACAATTTTTCTTCTTTACTTTCAACTCAGGCTCCAGCCCACTGAAATCTGCAGCCACACTCACTACTCCTATAAAACTGCTGGTTTTGAAAATCATCAATGAGACTCCAATGGGTATGTTTCAACCCTTATCTTTTTTTATGTCTCTGCACAGTATTGCATGGTGAACTGCTTCCTCTTTGAAGCACCTGCTTTCTGTATTTTAGTGACAATACAGGCTCCTAAATTTCATTCTATATCCATGATCAACTCTTAGTAGCTTCCTTTAGTGACAACCCTTTTCAGACCATCTGTAAATGACAGAGTTCCTCAGGGGTAAGACCCATGGCTCCCTTTTCTTCTCACCGCATACTCAATTCCTGGGTAATGTCGTCTACTCCTGCAATTTCTAATAGACCTACATATTGGACTCTAGACATCCCAAAGGGGTGGCCGAGTCAAACTATTTTAAACTGAAAGCATCATTTTGTCTCTTAAGCCTACACTGATGGAAAAAAATGACTGATGCTAGGGTAACAGCTAACCTCTGATACACGTGGTTTAACACTTGGAAGTTTTTTTTCTCATGTACATCAATGCTCTCCCAGTGTAGCTTCATCCATCCTGTGGTCTTTTAGTATCTGTCACATGGTCAACTGAGTCAGAGCACACACATTAAACATCATGTAGCACATTCTAGTGATTAGGCTGCAACGGGTGGACATAACTTCTGGCCACACTCCAGCAACCAGAACTCAGTCACGTGGCTCCATTCTGATGCAATGAAGAAGGGGAAATATGTTTTTTCTGTCTGCCCAAAAGGTTCCTCCTTTTACACATACTTGGATATTGTATGGACTTTAAAGCCTGCCTTCCTCTGGAAAGTAGAAACCCTAAAGATCATTTTATGTTTCAAACAATCAAGTGGATTGTTTTTCGTATTGGTTTTATGGTTTATTTGTCAATATATTTATCTCAAAAATGTACTATGCTTCTGATTAATTTGCTTTATGTCTGTTCCAGGTACCAATAATTATACCCAAAGGTTTTTCTTTTGTTTTCTTTTTTTGAGGTTCAGTGATACATATGCAGGTTTGTTATACAGGTAAATTACATGCCACATGAGTTTGGGGGTACAGATTATTTTAACACCCAGGTAATAAGCATGGTACCTGGTAGGTAGTTTTTCGATCCTCAGCCTCCTCCGTCTCTCCACTCTCAAGTGGGCCGTGGTATTTGTTGTTTCCTTCTTTCTTTACATCCATATGTACTCAGTTTTTAGCTCTCACTTGTAAGTGAGAACATGTAGTATTTGGTTTCCTGTTTTTATGTTAGTTTACTTAGGATAATGGCCTCCAGTTACATCCATGTTGCTGCAAAAAAATGGTCTCGTTCCTTTCTGTGGCTCTTTAGTATTCCATGGTGTGTATGTCTATGTATATGTATATAGACATACAGATACATATGTCTATGTATCTATATATAGATATACACACCATGTGATTGAGATATATATATATATATATATTCACAAAAGCAAAGTCATCACCATTCTCAGTAGCAAAATCATTAAATCAGATATATATTTTTTCTTTATCCAGTATACCATCGATGGGCATTTACTTTGATTTGATGACTTTGTTATTGTGAATAGTGCTGCAATTAACATACATGTGCATGTGCCTTTATGGTAGAATAATTTTTATTCCTTTTTATAATCCTTAATTCTTCAGCAAACCCAGTAATGGGATTGTTGAGTCGAATAGTAATTCCGCTTTGAGTTCTTTGAGAAATCACCAACCTGCTTCCCACAATGGCTAAACTAATTTACATTCCCACCAGCAGTGTATAAACATTCCCTTTTCTCTGCAACCTTGCTAGCATCTGTTATCTTTTGACTTTTTAATTATGGCCATTCTGACTGCTGAAATGGTATCTCAATGTCGTTTGGATTTGCATTTCTTTAATAATTAGTGATGTTGAGCATTCTTTCATATGCTTGTTGGCTGTGTGTATATCTTTGTTTGAAAAGTGTCTATTCATGTTCATTGGCCACTTTTTAATGAGATTTTTTCTTGTTGATTTGTTTAAGTTCCCTATAGATTCTGGATATTAAACCTTTGTCAGACGTGCAGTTTGCAATTATTTTCTCCCATTCTGTAGTTTATCTGTTTACTCTGTTGATAGTTTCTTTTGCTGTGTGAAAGTTCTTTAGTGTAAATAGGTCCCATTTGTGAATTCTTGTTTTTGTTATGATTGTTTTTGCCATCTTTGTCATGAAATTTTTACCAGCCCCTATGTCCACAATGGTATTTCCTAGATTACCTTCCAGTGTTTTCATAGTGTTAGGTTGTACATTTAAATCTTTATTCCATCTTGAGTTCATTTTTGTATATGGTAAAAGAAAGGGGTACAGCTTCAGTCTTCTCCACATGGTCAACCAATTATCTCAGAACCATTTACTGAATGGGAGGTCCTTTCCCCATTGCTTATTGTTGTTGACTTTTTGGAAGATCAGATGATTGTAGGTGTGTGGCATTATTTCTGGGTTCTCTATTCTGTTCCATATGTCTATGTATCTGCTTTTGTAACAGTACCATGCTGTTTTGGCTACTGTAGCCTTATAGTGTAGTTTAGTTTAAAATCAGGAAACATGATGCCTCCAGCCTTGTTCTTTTTGCTTAGAATTGCCATGGCTATTCTAGCTCTTTTTTGGTTCCATATGAATTTTCAAATAGCTTTTCTAATGCTGTGAAGAATGTTTTTGATATTTCGATAGGAATAACAATGAATATGTAAATCGCTTTGAGCTGTATGACCATTTTAATGATATTGATTCTTCCTATCCATGAGTATGAAATGTTTTTCCACTTGTTTGTGTCATGTCTGATTTATATGAACAATGTTTTATAATTCTTATTGTAAAGATATATCACTGGTTAGCTATATTCCTTGGTATTTTATTCTTTTGTGGCTATTGTAAATGAGATTGCATTCTTGATTTGGTTCTCAACATGGATATTGTTGGTGTACAAGAATACTAGTGATTTTGTACATTGATTTTGTATCCTGAAACTTGCTGAAGTTGTTTATCAGATTAAGGAGCTTTTTGGCAGTTTTAGGTGTAGAATCATATTGTCTGCAAGTAAGGACAATTTGGCTTCCTCTCTTACTGCTTGAATGCCTTTTATTTCTTTCTCTTGCCTGATTGTTGTGGCCAGGACGCCCATGCTATGTTGAACGGTAGTGGCAAGAGAGAGCATCCTTGTTTTGGTTTTCAAGGGGAATGCTTCTAGCTTTTGTCCATTCAGTATGATGTTGGTTGTGGGTTTGCCATAGACAGCTGTTATTATTTTGAAGTATGTTCCTTCAGTGCCTAGTTTGTTGAGGGCTTTTAACATGAAGGGATGTTGAATTTTATCAAATGCCTTTTCTGCAGCTATTGAGATGATAATATGCTTTTGTTTGTAGTTCTGTTTATGTAATGAATCATATTTACTGACTTGCATATGTGGAATCAAACTTGCATCTCAGGAATAAGGCCTACTTGATTGTAGTGGATTAGCTTTGTGATGCACTGCTGGATTCAGTTTGCGACTTTTTTTTTAAACATAGTTCCAAGATTGGCTTTATATCTTTGATTTGTTGACTACATGTATTTCTCTTAGCATAATGGTGACCACCTTGAGGGTATATTAGCCTTGAGTGAGGATCACACGTCTTTAATTTTACCTTTGTTCTAAGACCCTCAATATTCACTTGAGAAATATAACTAATCCTTTGTTGCTAATACCATTTAAAACTCCATGTCTTATTATTTGGGGTCTATAAAAAGTCAAGTTCTTCAGCCCTGCAAGCCCCCAAATTACTGGTCTTTCTCTGTTCTCTCTCTGCTTGAAACATGGCCAAGTGTCTCCTGAGGTCTCCTCTGTATTGTACATTCTTGTTCAAGGCAGCCACAGACAACAAACATATACAAGGAAGGTTCTATCTAACAAACTCTACCTAAAGCTGCCAGTTCACTTGTGGCATATAGTTCACTTCTCACTTTATTGCAGGGAATAGTGTTTTTTTCTCCCCAATTTTTTTGCTACTGTATAACATGTATAGGCATTTTTTTCCCAAAATCTGATGCCACATTTCTTCCTGCTTGCTGCCTAATCACTAAAATTTGTCATATGTTTAAAGTTTTTTTTTATTTTTATTTTTTTAAAGTGTTATTCAAAGGTATCATCCCACTTTTATATTAGTCAGGATAACAATATATACTATTTAAAAAACAGTGGCATAGAAGTATTTTTAAAATGTCTCTTTCTCTGTCTTTCCCCAGTGCAAATAGAATCAAAAGTTCCTGATATAGAATAAGCAAATGATGGAAGAAGCCAAGTTTCCTGAGTGGCCACTAGGAAAACTCTGTCTTCTTTATCAAAACTATGAGGTGAGCAACACCAAGTCTTCAATTTTCCTATGCCATTGGGCTTTAAGATTTTTTAATATAAGCAGCTAGCATTAATTACCCTGACTAATAAATAGTACCTGTTAAAATCCTGCCTATTGCTTTAAACAATGCCACTATGAAACCGGTTACTTAAATCAGAAAAATAGGCACCAGTTTTCCCTTTTACCTTTTTTTTTTTTTTTCTTTGAGACGGTGTCTTGCTCTGTTGCCCAAGCTGGAGTGCAGTGGCGCGATCTCGGCTCACTGCAAGCTCCGCCTCCCAGGTTCACGCCATTCTCCTGCCTCAGCCTCCCGAGTAGCTGGGACTACAGGTGCCAGCCACCACGCCCAGCTAATTTTGTTTTTGTATTTTTAGTAGAGACGGGGATTCACCCTGTTAGCCAGGATGGTCTTGATCACCTGACCTCGTGATCTGCCCGCCTGGGCCTCCAAAAGTGCTAGGATTACAGGCGTGAGCCTCCGTGCCTGGCCGCTTTTACCATTTTTTATTCCCTTCACTTAATTACAGTGCCTCTGAAATGTTTGCATTTCTTTCACTACAAGTAAAATATCTGATTTCAGACTCCCAATACTCTTTTCAAAATTACAAAATCTCGAAGCAGCGTATCTTCCACCCCAATTCCTGATCCCCAATAATATATTTTTCATGCTGCAGCTTGAGTAATCTTTTAAGGGTCCAGCCTTGTCGGATCATTTTCCTGTTTAATCTTTCCATGGTGTCTATTGTAACAGCATGCGATCTTAATTATTTAGGTCAGTGTAAGGACCTTCCACGACCTGGCCCTTATTTTCCCCTTTACTTTACAATGTATTGAGTATGTTGGGATCCCCTGGAATTCTCTGAGCCTTAGCATATCCTCACCTTCTACCTAAAGCCTTCTTCATGACTTTATTGTTCCTACCATCTTCTTGTTTCATTTTATCCTTTGTTTCTTCTTGAATGTCTTCAATGACTCCCTAAAGTAGCTGCATTATATGTTTCATTATTTATCATCACAGAACACTGATCTCTTCTGTAACCACTGCTTTCTCATCAGTCTTTCCCTGAACCCTGTTCCTTATTGTTGGGAATTGGATTCTTAGTCACCATTGTCTTCTGAATATCTGGCACAGTGCCTGGGTCATAGTATGTTCAACACATACTGAGTAACTGAATAACTAACCCTCTCCTATTGTTTGAAGGTATGTGTCCTCCAAATTCTTATGTTGGAACTTCAGCCCCAAAGTGATTGTATTAGAAGGTGAAACATTTAAGAGATGATTAAGTCATAAGGGCTCTGACCTTCTGAGTGGGATTAATGTTCTTATAAAAGGGCTGGCGAGAACTAGCTATGCCTTTTTGCCCTTCTGCCATGTGAGGACACAGCAACAAGGAGCTGTCTAAAAAGCTGAGACGGAGCCTTCACCAGACACTGAATCTGCCGGCGACTTGATCTTGGATTTCCCAGCCTCAAGAACTGTGAAAATAAACTTCTGTTGCTTATAAATTACTCCGTCTGTGGTATGTTGTTATAGCAGCAGGGATGGACTAAGAAACTCTCTCTTTATATAAACAATTACTTGTGGAGAAGTCTGTATAATTACAGAGTAAAATCTTTAAAATCTCATGGGTTTATAAGTAGCCTTACCTGCTGTCTTAAATTCAAGATTCCCACATTTGCACCTCTTTAGTATATAGAATATAGACTATAAAAATAGTCTTGGCTATCTAAGGCTAGTGGCCAACTGTCTATTGCAGAGAAAGAGTGAGAAATTTAATATAAATATTCATTCTTACATATCCACTTCCTAGGCTAATTATCTATTTAAGAAACTTTGCCTTATTGCTACACACATACATTTATAAATAAAAGTACTTCTGCATTTTTCAAATATAAATTAGTTTTTTAAGACTTGCGTGCATACCTAAAAGCATATGCACCAGATATGTCCATATAAGCACAATTCCAATCAAAGAAAAAGACTGTACTTAAACCAACAGTAAGGCCTTAAATCAACTAGGAAATCCAATTCAATCATATTTCAGGGTTTATCATTTCAGTCATACAAACTTTATCCTGGACAAAAACTGATGTGGGATGTGTGTGTGTGTAGTTCTAAATATTGTAAGCAAATTTATTTAAATGAGCTCATCTGGAAATACTGAGTTCTATGTAATACATTTCTTTGTATTGAACACAATTGATTTCTGTGTGTCAAAACAATGAAAGTGGGTCATTAAAGCAATTATTGTTACTGTGTAATTTTACTACATAAATTACCAAATAAATAATATTATTGCAGAAAAACACAAGCTTACTATCTTTTTACTTATTTTCAAGTGAAAAGATGGAAGAGCTATTCCTATGTCCTGAAAAGTCCATATATTAGTTGAACATGCTGATATCTGATTCATGAAATCTCCATTGCTTCAGTACCATAGATGTGAAATGATTTTAAAGCATATTCACATTTGTCATCCTATGTTTTTATATTTAATAATTTTACTCTAATTTTACAGTTACTGAAACTGTTACATAGCTGTGCTGTTCTATATCTGGACATGCTGTGTATAACAGTATGTTATTTTTACAGGTACCGGACTTTATTCTCTAGATCTTTTCAGGGGCATGCATAGCTCTTAAAGCACCCATGCTCATATTCAAATCTTCTAATCTTTTCAATGGGACAGATTCAAAGATCAGTGGTTTTTATAAAAGAAAAGTCAAATATGATTATTACTGGTGGTTTATTTCAGGAATTTGGGAAAGGGCTTCTGTTTTACTCTAAGTATTTTCTTGCTGTACTTGAAAATGGCTCAATTCCCTTCAATTAGGGATCAATCTTTCTACTCCTATATATAATGTTGAAAATGTAAAGGTCCTTGAGTGTTGGAAACTAGTGATTTATAATGACTGCTATTTGAATAACTGTTATTGGTTTCTTTTGAGTTTTTAAGGAGAAAGAGAAGAGAAATTAGGTCATTGTACATGTGAAAAAACAGAAAGAGTAACAGGAGAAAAGAAATCAGGAAGGGATACCAAAGACAAGCTTCACAAATTCCATAACTTTGAAGTGAGAAGTCCACCGACTCCTGACTCTAGCTGATTCACAATCAGTAAAGGAAAAACTTCACATCTAGTGGTTTATTTTTTACTCCTCAAAATTCAACACATAGTTTGTCATTTTTGCAAGATCAGGTATCCTTTTGATACCACCTATAAATTCAATCATAGCATATTCATGTATCCTAACTCCTTCAGTAATGACTCAGAAAAATTGAAGTAATTCTTTGACCTGGTTTTATAATTTAACACTTTTTAACTTTATGTGCTTTTTGCTTCATAAAAAAAGATGCTTTGTTAATTTTTATCTGTCTTTAGAATCAAAGAGATTAGCAAGGTGAAAAGCAGAGCCAGGAGGACCACATTTTTACTGAGCACCAAGCATATATGCCAGGCTATGCATTTTACAATGCTCTAAAACTTTGCAAAGATATTTATAAAGTAGCTATTATTAGCTCCATTTTGAAAATCAACAACGAAAACAAAATAATGGTGAGAAAGTTTAATCTACTAGCCAAGGTCACACCATGAAGCTGCAGATCTCAATTTTGTGTGACTCAAAGCCCCTTGTGCTAGGAAGGCAGATGTCAGCAACCCTAGCTTAAAAAGAAGGTTTGCATCCCATAGACCTGGTGCTGATGCTGAATAGGAAGCCCAAAGAACAGAATAGAGCCAGAGCAGGAGGTATCTGAAATCTACTCTTAGTCTCCCATAGAGGCACAGTACACACTACAAACATAGCAAGGGATGGACCAATAAACAGAAACAGGTAAATTGAATCCTAATTCTACAAACAAGATCTCAGTTCTCTCAAATGTGTTGGGAACAGAGAACACACAAGATTTTAGCTCCTGCTGAGGGTGTGCAGGGAGTCCCTTTCTGGAATGATTTGCTATCTTCAGAAGAAGTACCTAGAGATGGAGTACCTGAGATAGAAATAACAACTCAGAGAGAATAAGACCACATCAAAGCATCACTCTGGATATTCTATGGATTTTTTTTGGCAGGTTATGTTTTGAGGAATAAAGCCTTCAAAAACTTTCTGGAATCATATTTGGTTCTTTATGACATCAAGGTCAAGGGTGGGCTTTGCACAGGTAAGTTAGAAGGCCTATCATAATGTCATTTCAGGGGAGGCCAACAGCCTCTTACATCTCCCTTGCTGGCTTTCAATAGGGCTTTAAATTCCCATTATGAAGAACCATGGCCTTTCTCAAGAGTCCATTGTTAAAATATATATTAATGTATAGTGAGTAAACTTGGATTATCTCTAAACACCTAAGTATAAATTGATTTGTAACCAAATTCATAAGGAGATGCCCCAAAGGAATAGAGTTAAGTTTTGGTTTGGGGAGAAGGATAAAATGTGTTGGCATTTGGTGCCTTGCCCAAGAGGGAGCACTGTGCTCAGAGTACTGAATGACTCAGTTGCCAGAACAGTGAAGGGAAAACCTCAAGAGAGAGAGGTGCTTGTTTCTGGAGGGCATGTGCAGGTGTTCTAAAGAGTCAAAATGAAAGAGGAGAGACTGCATAAAAAGACAAAATATATACAGCCTTCTATCTTTGTTTCATTTGCAGGTCTTTCTTCAAAGAATAAGCGTTTTTCAATTCCTTTATAACTTGACATAGCAAAAAGGCACACTGACAGAGAGAATTAGAAAAAAATTAGAAAATTCTTGTTGATTTAAAATGAATAATTCCTTCCTTCCTTCTTCCCTCTCTTTTCTTTTTTTTCTCTTTCTTTCTTTTCTTTCTTTCTTTCTTTTCTTCTTTTGCTTCTTTTTTTAAATAAACTCTGTTGACTACAGCCCACATCAGATTCTCAAGGGCAAAACATATAGAAGTATAATCTAAGCACCATAGTAGGTCTTAGCTAGACAACTCAAGTTCAAAGAGTATTTATCTTCTCCTAAGTACATTCTCAGAAAGAAAAATAAAACTCACATAGCATTTGTAATTGAGTACAAACAGCCTGGAGCTCCCAACTTAGCTAGCATTTACAGCATTTTGTTTGATCTAACATGATATACAAGTCAGCAGACTAGCTGTGAAGAGATCTCATGATCATAATTCCCAGGAATAAGGTGATTTCAAAACAGCTAGAGTAGCATCCCACGGACACCAGCTACCAAGGGGAACAATTAAGCCAGAATGGCATTCTATTCTGCTGCTACTTGCAGATTGCAAATCACAGCAGTTTACCCAGTAATTTCCCATCGATCAGCACTAGTGTCTTGCATACTAAAATATTCTTCACTGTAGTTTCCTCATCTGTCAGGTAAATTTTCAAACATAGGCTGCAAAGAAAGAACTGGGAACTGCTGATTCACAAAAAATGCAAAGTATTTGGGGTTTATTTGTGAACAGGATATTAACTACTCTTATTATTTTTTTCTTCTCTCAAAAAGGTTCCTGACCCTTGGAGATGAGAGTATAATTAAAACTGCAATTAGCAAGTAGATAATCAGGAGCGGTGAAAATACAAAAGAAGAAACTGAGAAGAGCTATTATGTTAAATCAGAATCTAAATATAGTTTTCTGTAGTCTAAAAATAAAGGAAGCATTCTATTAATTGTGGTCATTTTTCCACACATTTCTTCATGACAAAAATATGTAGAATAATCATAAGTTGTCCAATATTTATCACGTTCTGAAGGAGCAAAAAAATATGAGCATCACATATATAGAAATAAGTGAAAACCAACCAAGTAAGAAATGCAAAGTCTATTTATTCAGACCTTGCTATAGCAAGGGAGTAAGTCACTATTACTTGTGTTTTGGCAGAGACTCAAAGGCAGATAGGAGAGGGGGAAAGAAAGCTTTATAGTGAAACAAGGGGAAGGCTTCCAGTGTGCCCCAATGGAGCTATTGGCATGGGAAAGTGGTACGCAGGCCAAATACACGTGAGCCAACCTAGGTGATTGCTTGGAGCTACATATATGGTTCTCTGTGATTGGTCCTAAGTTAGAAGCAGGGACAAAAGTCGGGAAAGTTGTCAGTTATTAATCAAGGACTGGCCATTCAGAGCTGATTGTTATAGATATCATTGTTTAGCTTCCTGTGTTGTTGCTAGTGATAGCAATCTGGCTACCTGCAAGTCTGATTTATAGCAGGTTGGCTTTCTGGTTGTTTATTGTAGATAAAGGGTTGGTTTCCTGGGCAGATTCCTGCAGGCAATGAGTCAGAGTTCTAGTTTTGTATGTGGTCTGGTTATTATTCCATTTGTATGTTCAATCTCTCTCATATATTGAGATTACCAAACAAGAATACAATATTTTTAAGTTTTATAAAAAATTTATAGTTGATTTTATTATTTCAACAAGAAGCAAATGGTAATATATTAAGATGGACTCGGATCCTATAATACTTAGTAGAAAATGGACGTAACCTTTTAAGATATTCTCAAACATTACTCAAAAAATGTAGAAAACAAAATTAAATCAGTACTCTATAACTGTAGAAACAAAGATTGCACTTTTCATCGGAAAAACATTATCAGTAGTCCAGTATATAATGTGGGGTGCTGTCTTTAAAGGAATACATTCATCTCTGCTGTTTCCTCCTTTTCATATAATTCTTGTTTAATGCCTACTTGAATCTTCTTAAAGGTTTTCAATTCTTACCTTCTAGGTGGACTTGATTTTTTTTTTTATTTTAGTATATTTTATTTTCTCTCCAATAACAAAAAGCTATCTAAGACTAACATTGCTTTCTTGTATGGCTCTGAAGTGGCTCTGAATTTCAAAATAGAATTTCCCCAAATAGTTTGGCTACTGGCACATTAGCAGAAGCATGATGTTCCATCCCAAAGTGACCACATGGAAGGGGATCCCACACACTATTAATTTACTCTCTGAACAACATTACATGAGCATATGCCATGTGCAAGATACTGAACTAGCTGCTGGGGTTGCAGAGAAAATTTATATAGATTCTGGCTCAAAGAATTAAGAGTCTGATAGAGGAAGACAGACATTTATAATCAAATAGAAGTAAGTAATAATTAAAATCATTTTTTTTTGTAAAGTCATCCCAGTAGTGTTTGCGAGAATCAATGAGGTCCACAGACCAGAGAGGAGGGGACTGTAGTTCTCTGAGAGAGGGGGGTGACAGAACCTCAACAAAAACGGTTTAGGACAGATGATTTTTCAACTTGAGTTTTAAAATCTGACTAGTTTTTTGCCACTTGAATAAGACCAAGAAAGGCATTTAAGACAATGAAGCAGAGTAAGCAAAGGCATGGAGTCATAGAGTAGCTTAAAGCATTTAAATATAATGGCCTCAAAGAAGGTACACACTGAGGAGGGGTAAGGGTAAAAATGAGAGAAATAAGCAAGGACCACATCATGGAATGTATGAATGTCCTATTTAGCATTGTATACCTTATCTGGTAAGCGATGGGAGATCTTGGAGAATTTTAAGGAAGGTTATATTTTTTAAAATGGCTTTTTAGAAAGATGCATCCACTGTGGATACACATGCTCTTGTATATTTTTAAAATAATTTTGCTTCTTTGTAGCTCCTATAGTCACTAGGTGACAACTCCTCTGATGTTACAATAAGAATATTTGCAAATAAACTTCAAGACCAGAAAAAATTTGTATAGCAAAAATGAGATATCTAACATTTAGGGGGACAAAAATCACTCAGAACAGAACAGCAGAAAGCTGTCCCAGATAATGTAGAAAAGCAGTGAAAGAAGACAATTTAGAGATTATGTATTCCTATGTGTTATTTCATATGGACAGGATATTAAGCTAGGAATTGTGTTGAAAGCACCAAGATAGAAACGATAAAATGCACCAAAGTGAGCTTCCCAACACAATGCAAATTTCAAAAAAAAAAAAAAAAATCAAAGGAGTATAGAGAATAGAAGGATTTGGTTTGGAGATGGAAAGAATTTGAAGACACTTTCATGGAAGGAGGTGTTTCTTTGCTGAGAATTTCTTCTCCTAAGGGTAGAGGTAGAGAGTGTCTGCTTCTTACCTCAGGCTTGGAGAATGGAAATCCAATGTGACCTCTCTGAATATGTAATATGTGTCACCTGTAGGAGAAAAAGTGCAGTGAAATCATGCCAGACTGCAGACTGAAAATGCTAAAGACAAGAGACAAATAGTGGGGACAAATGAGGTATCTAACATTTAAGGGGAAAAAAGAGTTGGGGAAACTGGTGACCTACACTCTCAGCATTAACCAGGACAAAGATTGCATAAGCATTTCTTATAGCTCGACTGTGGGTTAAGCATGACAGAACAATAATGTGGCATTATCTTAGATCTTATCTAATAAGTTACTACAAAGGCTAGCAAGATAGAGCCCAGCAACATATTCAAGGTATTTCTGTCAGAATACAAAGAACCCATTAATAAAAAATGTATTGATAAATAAATCAGATAAGTAAAACAATTATCTACAATTTTTAGTCCAAATATGTCTCAAATATTGCATGAGAAATTATGTATTTTTTAAAAATTTGCTGTTTGGCCAGGCTTGGTGGTTCACATCTGTAATCCCAGCACTTTGGGACGCTGAGACTGGCAGATCTCTTGAGCCCAGGAGTTTGAGACCAACCCGGGCAATATGGAGAAATCTGTCTCTACTAAAAATACAAAAATTTGCTGGGTGTGGTGGCTTACCCTGTAGTCCCAGCTACTTGGGGGCAGCTAAGGCAGGAGAATCACTTGAGCCCAGGAGGTTGACTTTGCAGTGAGCCATAATTGCACCACTGCACTGCAGCCTGGGCAACAAAGTGAGGCCTTGTCTCAAACAAACAAATCTGCTGTTCATTCGAAATTCAAATTTAACTGGGCATCGTCTCTCTGCAAACTCACATCAGCATTGGACATTAGCGAGACTCAACATAAAATCAACATGTGACCGTATGCCCCAAGTACAAACAATTGACAAGGAAAGATGGTATTAAGTCTAAAAGAACCTGTGTCATGTCTTCCAAAAAGCAGAAGAGATCTATTTGCAGTAGGAAAGAATGAAGCTGAGACTCAATGGAACAAGTTGAGACAGGTAATTTGATTTCTTAGATTCACAAGACCTGAAGTTCAACCCCACCCCTGTCCTTCTCTTTTATCTAAGCCAAAAATATATTTTATTTGTTTATTTCTTTCAGCCAACTTAAATTGGGCTTCAATCACTTGTAGCAGTAATATTCTGTATTAGTATAGTCCTCTTCTGAGCTGTTATACTTGCAATATTCCATTAAATCCTCAAAGCAACCTTGTGATGATATAATATGTATCACTATTTTACAAATGAAGAAACTGAGGCAGACTGAGTAAGTAACCTATGAACATTTATGTTGGCAGTGGGAGAAAGAGCCAGAATTTAACTCAGTTTCCAGCATCAAAAGCCTAGTCTCCCAACTGCAATACCATACTGCCTTCTATTTTCCTTGCAGTAAGACAGTGCCCTATGTCAGCCAAAATGAGTCTTCCTGGCACCATTTGAGTATGTTGTGCTCAACCTTGTATTTTACACATGCTGTTTCTTTAGTCTTGTTGAGGAATCACTATAATGCTGAAAACAGAAAAATTTTGCTGAGTAGTTTTCAATGAGAAAATATTTAAAATTCACTGCTAGTTACATTAGCTGCAGCTATTATATTAAACTAAAAGTCATTTAGACCACACATTGATGATGGCAACAGGTGATACTCAATCTTCTCTACCTCAAGCCTTCCATTGTATGTTGCAAGCTTTTATATTTTTTTTTTTGACTAAAACATTCTACTCTAATGTTATGTGATATATTTGAGAGCACAAAGTAAATGGTGTGTTCTTAGGGAATATATTAACAAACACTTAGATGTGCACCATTCCAATCTGTTCGAAGCTTAGGTATAGTCAAACATTTCAAAATAGTTACCAGGCAATGTACCATAAGGAACCCTGGGAAGAATTCCACGTAGAGGACAGGAAGGGCAAGGACTGGGTGAGATGTGAAAGAAGGGGGTAACTCTGTGTATGCTAAAAGCATAAAGTAGGCTGATTTCAGCATAAATATCATTACTTGTGGATAAACACCTTTCTCAAATTCCCAGTCCACATTAGCTTTTCAATTATACACTATCTTGTTTGTTTTAGTTTTTGTTTTTTTTTTTTTTTTGAGATGGAATCTTGCTCTGTCGCCTAGGCTGGAGTGCAGTGGCTCGATCTCAGCTCACTGCAACCTCTGCCTCCTGGGTTTAAGTGATTCTCTCGCCTCAGCCTCCCAAGTAGCTGGGATTGCAGGCACCACCACCCTGCCCAGCTAATTTTTGTATTTTTAGTAGAGACGGGGTTTCACCATGTTGGCCAGGCTGGTCTCGAACTCCTGACCTCAGGTGATCTGCCCACCTCGGCCTCCCAAAGTGCTGGGATTACAGGCATGAGCCACCATACCCGCCCCAATTATATACTATCTTAACAAGCTGTAGTTCTCTTTTATAGCATTTACTTAAATAATTAACTGACCAATTACATATTTGTTTTCTGTGTCACCATTAGATCTGACTGCAAGTTCCATGCTCTTAGTCATTGTGTGTGTCTAATTGCAGAGCTTTATACTTGTTGAAGAAAAAGAGAAAGCAACAATGGTGGGGAGGTTGAGTCATGCAGGTGATGGCATAGGGAAGTGAATGAAGACTACTCCCCATGAGGTCTGGGGATATCAGTGGTGACACACTGATTTCAGTTGGATTATTTGCTTTGTCTCAGCATGAGCAGTCCACAACCTGTTCTTTCATTTTATCTCCAGCAGGACTTCTCACACTACCTAACCAATGGATAATTTCTATCAAATTGCTACTCTGCACTTCTCACTCAACTCCTATTATTGTTTGTAAAATCAAGATGGCATATACTTAAATCAGTTTATTAACACACATCATACAATGAGATGATGCTTTGATCTAGTATTTGATGACTCGTTGCCATTTACTTCTGGGTCCCATATCCAAGGAATTTCAGGACAAAAGCATATTATTTGCTCTTAATAGATATTGAACCTGGCTTTATATTACAACAATTTATTCATCTTTAAATGTTTGCTGTACGTATTACCCTTCCACAAACTATCCCTATCCTTTCTAACACTCGCTTCTCTTCTCATTTCCTGTAGCTACTCTAGTGAGCAACACTTCTTCAGTGTTCTTCATTCCATTGCATCTCTAAGCAAGCTCCTTTTTAAATATCTCTTCACTTGTTTCATTATTTATTCACATGCCTTTCTGGCTATTTTTCTCCCCAGTCGTTTCTTGTCTCTTTCCTATCTCTCTCTGCTTTTATTATAAAATCATTATTTTCAAACTTCATGTTTACCACATCCATATCCATGTTAATTTACAGTGCTCATGCTAAGTAAGAAGAAACAGGAGTTTAAATGATCAAGTGAAAAGTCAAATGCAGGAAGCTGAGTGCACACAAAATGAGCATACCAGAGTTCATGTAAACAAATATGAAAACAATAAGGATGAGGCTACATAGAGAAGAGAGCAAGTCAAGTAGTCAATTGTCCATGAAAACAGTCTACAACCACAGAGAAAGATGAATGGTAGAAAGTCTTATTAAAATAATCAGTAAAGATGTTTCCAGAAACAGAAAGAATCAGAAATACTAATGGCTCCAGAAAAGTCCACAGCAAGAATAGTTCCTGATGCTGAATGTTCTTCTGCCCCAGTCTCAACTGCAGTCCTCCTAGAATCCTAGTCAGCCAGCTTTGGATGAGACTATCTCATGTGCAAATCACCTTTAGCAGTAGATACAGCACACCTAAGAGGAGGAGGAGCATTCCATACAAGAAGGAATATTCCGTAACACTGAATAATAATCATATATTTTCCCACTTTATTAAATTAAGCTGCCACCTTAAGAAATAGGGAGAGGAATTACAATTTGGAACATGTCAACATTAGAAAAGCTAACCTCAAATAATCTTAGTCTTTTGAATATCCCTTCAAAAAGATCCTTTGGCCCCTAATCCCTTGTCTAAACCAAGCTGTGTTATCACTAAGAAATGGGCTCTTACAGAGAGAGCTTCCACCTCCAAAGCTCTAATTTGACTTGTTATTTCATCAGGACGCTATAATGATTTATATAAGGCACTGTGAAAATGCCATGTTAATTTAACCAAAGACTCTGATTAGTATTGGAGCTACGTTTTTCTTTTTTTAGATTTTACCCCACAATATTCCTCTTCTATTTCTAGTATAAGAATTCTTTATCAAATTTGGTTGATTCTGTTTATTTTTACTGTGAAATAAAAATATATTTCAGAAAAGTATACAAAATGTGTGAATGGTTCAATGAATAATCGCAAAGCAAACAACTGGATAATCATCATCCAGGGAAAAAAGCAGAGCACCAATACCTTCTGAACAATGTTTCTTCTTTATCACTACTCCCTTATTCTCTCTTAAAAAAAAGTTTGCGTACCCCTACCATACTAATTATTGTATTCTGTAATTTGATATATAAAATTAATAATCAGTACTATTTTGGATAAAATATTGTGTTGTTTTCATGTTGGGATATTATGAATTAATCTGTTGTGAGCATTCTAGTACCTGTCTCATGGGATATATGTTGTGGGGTGTAAACTCAGGAGAGTCTTTATAACTTTAATAAATAATATAGAACAGCTTTTAAAATAGGTGTGGCAATTAACACTCCCATTAGCAGGGTGTGAGAAAACCCAGTGCTTGTCTTCCTCTCCAATGAATTTTATCCAATTTAGTGTGTGTGTGGTAGTACTTAACTCTAAGTTTAATGTTAGTTTTTTATTTTAATTGGTCATTAGGATATTTTCACTCCTAAAATGCCCATTCCAGACTGGCACAATATTTATTGGGCTGTCTTTTCTTTGAGTTGTATCAGATTTTATATATTCTGAATTCATTCCCTTTACCAGTTGCATGTATTTCAATTATCTTTCACTCTGTTTACCTTTTTATTTCTTAAGAGAAAGTCTTAGAGTTAATGTGGCTACATTTCATCAATTTATAAAAAGTTTTTTTTTCTCTGCCCAAAAGTCATCACGGTACTTGACAATATTTTTTAATATAACTTCTTGAAGCTATATTTTTCAAATTTTAATATTTACTACAATACACCTGGCATTGACTTTTGTCTATATTGTGTGGTAGGGATCAAGGTTCATTTAAAAATATACATATCTAATTTTTTTTCTTTTTTTTTTATTATACTTTAAGTTCTAGGGTACATGTGCACAACGTGCAGGTTTGTTACATATGTATACATGTGCCATGTTGGTGTGCTGCACCCATTAACTCATCATTTACATTAGGTATATCTCCTAATGCTATCCCTCCCCCCTCCCCCCACTCCACAACAGGCCTTGGTGTGTGATGTTCCCCTTCCTGTGTCCATGTGTTCTCATTGTTCAATTCCCACCTATGAGTGAGAATATGCGGTGTTTGGTTTTTTGTCCTTGCGATAGTTTGCTGAGAATGATGGTTTCCAGCTTCATCCATGTCCCTACAAAGGACAGGAACTCATCATTTTTTATGGCTGCATAGTATTCCACTAGCAAAGTTAATTAACAGACTATTCTTTTCCCCAAGCTTGACAGTGCTAATTTGATTTTAATGTCCATGTGCAAGTATCTGCCACGAAACGAGTAAAATCTAATAAGTTAATTGCACACATGTATTATAATCTAAAATTAATACTTCTAGAAAAGCATGTATATTTATAAAAGACATGCACAAAAATATTTCAAAATAGCATTGCTTTTAATAGGCTTAAACTTAAAACAACCTGAGATCATAAGCTTAGAGTAAATAGTGAATGGGAAAGAGGATAAGAAGAACTTTGAGTTACTGATAATGTTCTTTTTCTTTACTGCATCATTTTTACATAATTCATTTTGTAAATATTCATCAATTAGAATATTGACAATGCTAAGTGTTACTTTTCTGAATCTATGTTATGTCTTGGTTTAAAAAGAAGTTTATTTTTAAAAATCAGTAAGATAGTGCTCATATACGTGTTTATTTTGGTATGACTTGCATCAGTTTTGAAATAAATAAAAATGCTTTGGTGGTATAGGTTAAAGGACACAGGGAAGTCTTCATCTCTGAATTGTTTCCTCATTTGTATAGTGAAGAAGACTGGAGCCTCAATAGTCCTGTCCAGCTCTTGTATTATAAAATTCCATTTACCTGGGTAACTAAAGCAGAATTGGAAACCTGCTTTGTGCCTGTCCCCACAAAACCTCTCATTTTTATTTGTTTCTTGTGCTATTTTTTGTCAGCTTCATTGTTGTCCTATCTCAATGAACATTTTCCATAATAGCTTTCATCTTGGAATAATCAAAACCTAGTTTGTTTTAAAAAAGACAAAACCACTTCAGTGTTTCTCAGTGGCATGTGTGACTGGCCATCTGGTTGCATTCACAACTAGGGCGAGATGAAGCTTTCTCGAGCTTATTAATTCAGTGCATGTCTTTCTTGGAGAAGTTGGATGGTCATATTTAATTCCCAGTTTCATGTCAACACTCACAGGGAACATTTGGCCCTTTTAAGTTAAAGCACATGCCCATCTCTTCACTATTTCTTAATGATGAGGCAGAGTTTGTTATGCCAGTAGATGTCTTTTAAGCACATCAAAAGAAAACATTTATACTGCAATCTTCTCTATTTATTACCATGATTTACAGCCACACATCCACCCAAATACCAGATTAATATCTGTCCTCATGCCCTTAGACCTGTTTTAGAAGTGCAATAACTTTCTAACTACATCATGGCCTCCAATTTCTCCTTGATTTAATCTATCTTGTATTACGCTAGTACGTTAATCTTCCCAAAGCGCAACCTTCAAAATCCTTCAGTGTCTTCAAATGTTTTAGTTTATATCAGAGCTCTTAAAACTTTAGTGAGGAAAAAAAGTTGCTATGGAATAGGCACTGCCTTAAAAGGCAGATCCCGTGTCCCCCACTTGAGATGTTGATTCAGTCAGGTAAGAATGAGGTCCAGAAATCTGCCCTTGTTTCCCTGTCCAATTTAGGAAAACTGAGGATTACTCCAGGTATTTACACAGGCGTCTCTCTGCCCTCTGTGAATAGGGAGATTACTATTTACAAGTGAACTTTGTGCTTTGGCCAGGCATTCTAGAACACTGAATTTTTGGCTGCCAAGAAGTCAGCTCAGCAGATTCTTCTAGAAAACTTCAGAACTTTCCCTTAGCTACTGCAGTAAAACGAACTAACTTGAAACATAGCCAAGAAAAAAAAAAAAAAAAAACTAAAAATCAACAAGAAATGTGACAACATGGGCTATTTCACAGGCCTGTTTCCCAGAGGTAAGAATAGGAGACTGAATAATTTCTCAAAAAGTGACAGCTAACTGGGGCTCCTCAGTGACCCCTTCAGGAAGAATCAAGAGTTGATTTGGTGCCACTGAAGGGACTAAGAAACCCTTATGGTCCTGCAGCAGTCATTGCAGCTCTTGGAATAATGGAAGGAAGCTCCATTAGGGATCAGCAGTGAGACATTTGGAAAACAATGTTTTATTGTTTTGAGATTTCTAGTTTCTCATTTCTTCACCCAAGAAAATCACCCATGAAGAGATATATACATTATCATCTCACATGGAAAGGGAAAGAACATATGGGAAAGACATTTGAATTTTACTTTAAGCCCAAAGAGAAGGGGAAACTAGATTTCCCATGAAGAAATGTGGTGAGAATTGAAATAAACAAGATGTATCATGTGATTCTGCCCATACCATCTATTCCCATTTCCTCTGCCTCATCCACTTAATTCTTTTCTTCTGCAACCAAATAACATGTAATTCATTTTTACATGCCAGCTCTTTCATTCTTCATGTATTCCAGGCTCCTTACTCTGCCTGGAATTTTGAACTGAGTGTGTACTCATCCTTCACATCCCAGTTCAAGCTTCCATTCTCAATCTAGTCCTCTGAAGCCTGCTAGACATAACCAGTCATTTTTTTCTCCATTACCATCTGTTAGCATTTTATCATTTATGCATACTTATTGTGCTGAATATAACCCTATACTATGATGATTTGTTTTACCCACTAGACTGATTCTTAAGGATACAGTCTGAGCCTTATAATCTGTATATTCCTCATTAACTGTATAATCTGTATATTCCCTCTGTGAAAGTAGAGCATGTCTATTTGTTAAATTAAAGAGAATTGAAATAACTAAGAGGTACAAGTTCATCACAAAACACCCAAACACTAGCCATGCTTTCAGTTTTTAGCTAAAGAATAACCTTTGGGAGATATAAATAATGTATCCTCTACAATGGCTAAGACAGGGGACATACAGTAAGTTTTCAAAAACAAATATTGACTGACTATATAATTCATTGATTAGCATATAAAATGACATTGTGAGTTTAATTAAATTGACCAGATAATAAAAACATAAATGATCAATTCATACCATTAATGAATACGAATGTTTTGATTTTCTGTGCCAATAGACTAATAGATGCATTAGTCCAAAAAGGCAAAATTATTAAAGTTTTCATCTTAAGATAATAATAGCTTACTTATATTGACTACTTGGAATAGATGAGGCACCATGCTAAACATTTCATATGCATCATCTCATTTAATATTTATAATAAGCTGATGATAAATATTCTGTTACAATCTTCATTTTGGGGAAACTGTGGTTTAGAATGGTTGCATAACTCACACAAGATCATGCAGCTGAAGAGAACACTGTTACCGTATGCAACCCTCAAATGTTACTAAAAACTATACACAAAACAATTATCAAACAGCAAAATTATTGAGAAGAAAGGTAAGATCCAATGTAAATTATATAAATATTTTTCATATAAAATAAAAATTGTATTATTAAAATTTTCTTTGATGACTCTTAGTTTAAAAGAAAACATTCTTTTGCATGTTTTAAATCATTAAAAATTAATTCTGTGGATTTTTTTCAAATATGTATTTGCATTTAAAAGCCAAATGTCAAAGACTGTTAAATGGCCAGTTTTAAGAGGTATCTCTACTGGAACTGATATTCTAATAACAAAATATACTTTATCTTGTATTGGAAGACTCATAAAAAGCCCTTCTGGCTGGTACAATATGACCACATTCAAGGAACTAAAATAAGTTGTTTCTGTACATATCCTCCCAAAGAAAACAGATAAAAGTATGGTGTTCTTCTAAGCCCTTGGGCTTCAATAGATTTTCACAAGCTAAAGGAAATGGGAAGGTGTTACCAAAATAAAAACGTACTATGTCATTTTTTATGGCATTTACCAAGTAAGAGCCCCAAGTCAGAGATTATAAATTATCTGAGTTCTGTTAATATGAACATTCATCTCACATGTCAAACTTACAGCCTTGAAGTTGGATTCCTATAACTGCACTTCCTAGTAACTGACCCCTCCATTCCCCCCTACATTTTCATGAAGAATTCTGGTCTGGTTGTTACCCATTGACTGGAATGATAACACATTCACTTAATTCCTCACTATGGATTACCAGGAAATTTCACAGTATCACAGAATTAGGCAACTTCCTATTAATCCATATCAGAGAACTTAATATTGAAGTAAAAGTCTTATACTGGCAACATTAGCAAAACAATTAATAAATCTAATTAAAAGAAAGTATCTCATCAACCTGGTCAATCTGTTTCATCCTATACAAATTTTTAGAATAATTATTTGATAGTGTTTCTGTTGACACAGTTGCAAAGATTTTTTTGATAAAATTTTTATTTTGATATAATTTTAAACTTAGAAAAAAAAATGTAAGGATAGTACAAGAAGCTCCTGTGCTCTTTATGGGGATTCATCAACTGTTTTACATTTCACCACATTTACTTTTTTGTTTGTTTAAATATAGGTGGAGCATCTAGGTACTCTGTCTGAGTAAAGATAATGCTCACTCCTTAATCTTTCTTTTCAAGTCTGTCTCTGGGGAAGTACAGTGGCTGTGTGGGTTTCATCTAACTCCTGCATGCTGACAACCCCCAGGCAAGCACAGTCATGCAAGACCTCTCCACTCAGTCTCTCATTTATAACACTTGGCATCTGACTTTCCACTCCTAGGTAAGCTAAGCACCTCACATTTATCATTTCCAAAACGGAATATAATATCTCTCTCTACTTGTTAATCCAAGCCACATCTGTATACCCTATCTTTATTAATAGTGTCAGAGGCTTTCAAACCAAAGGGACTCCATCTTAAGTAAGGGCTAGAAAAATGAGGCTGGGGCTTACTGGGTTGCATTCTCAGAAAGTTAGGCATTCCTACCCTCTAGATGTTTATGGTTAAGGGAACAAATTAATAATATTTACTAAACAGACACAGTCTTGGGAGTGTCCAAATATCCTGCTATCTGGAGAACAAAGGGCTTCCTAATTTTGCTTTAAAGATAATAATATTGATTCTTGCAAAATATAGTCATTCAGAAAATTAATCCTTTATCACAAACCCTTGTAGCAGAGCACATCTCCCCATATATACAAGCGTTGTACCTAGGATGGATGTATTCCTCCTCTTACTTTCGGGAACTTCCTACTCTGTCTATGCGGTAGCTTTCACTACTTTACTCTCTTAATAAACTTAGTTTTACTTTGCACTGCGGACTCCCTGAATTCTTTCTTGCACAAGATCCAAGAACCCTCTCTTGGAGTCTGGATCAGGACCCCTGTCCTGTAACAATAGTGTCAGTAATTAAAAGAGTTAATTCAATTTATAACCATCAATATGGTCATTCTTGACATCTGTGTCTCTTTTATACCTCACGTTTCTGAGAACCTAAATTTCATCCTCTTAGATTTACATTTTTCTTTCCATCCCTGCTTTTACTGTCTTAGATAAAACTCCCTCCATTTCTCACAGACTTAAAATTAAGACTCTCTCATGCATTCGCCTTATATATTGTCTTTTTTACCTAAAATCCTTTCTCAACAATGTTATCACAGTGATCTTTCTAAAATTTCAGAATATATGTCATCATGTTACTCCTCAGTTTTCTAAAGTTTCTATGGCTGACTATTGCCTAAAGGATTAAATCCAAAGTCCTGAGACTGCTACATGGTGCCTTTCAAAATCCGGCACTTGTTTCCTTTCCAAATGGATACACTTATATTCCTCTCTCACATCCATGAATGCTAACAACTAGATAAATAAAATCATGCACCATTAATTGATCATAAAATTACATTGAAGCACACTCAAATTCAGCTTCCGTTAAAACTAAAAGGCAGAAAACCCATTCTCACAATACTTTCCCTCCTAGGAAACTTCAATTTATCATATGAATTGGGGCTCAAGTATCACCTCCTTTATACAGTGTTTTCTAAATTTACCTGATGCCATTATTTAACTCCTCCTCCATACAGTCAATGTACCTTACCTATGTCTGTCTTTGTTTCTTGTCACATTATAATGCTCTTATTTATTATGTGGCTGTTGTTCCATTAAACTGTGAGCTGCTCAGTGGCACTCTGTCCTCAAATTCTAGCTCACTGCTTGCCCAGAAGAATCGCTTAAGACATATTTTACAAATACTACCAGTAATACGAAGAGCTAACCATCACTGAACCGTTAGTGTTTTTCAGGAACCACAAGCATTATCTCATTTCATCCTCCCAAAAACTTTCCAGGAATAGACCATCATGTGCTACTATTAACCCCATTGTAAAAACAAGAAAAATGAAGATAAGTCATTTTTTTTCTGATCTTACACAGATAATAGCATTATCATCAAAACTCAATCATAGATGTACTGATCCAGTGCTGTGGCTGTTAAGCCCTTCAATATAATAAGATGATTAATATAAATCAGTCCTTCTTGTACTTCAAGGGAAATTTCTTTTCTTCCCAAACAGCAATATCCTTGACATATCTCTCTATCTACCCATGAAATAAAGGTCTGTGTTTCAAAGAATATCTCTCAGATTTCTAAATATTTTACTCCCAATAGCTTTATCACTCCTTCAACTTTTTACTTGCCCTGGTTTACCCAGTCAAGATAGAAATTTTGAAGCTTAGGGTTGTTCCAATTGTAAATAGTTGCCGTTCAGATCCTGATTTTGAATCTGATGATTCATTCAGGTCTTTAAACTATTCAACTCAATGTTTCAATTATTACTAAAAACAATGAACTGAATGGCTCTTCAAAACACTCATCTACTTTTTGCCACACCATGGGAGCAATTCTTCTCCTAAGAAAGACTTAAGAGGAAAATCTGCAAGGGGTAAAGGGGTTTTGCTGTTAGCACTAATTTTAAGGTCATGGTCTGCACACAGAATTTGGAGAAGGAGGAGTTGAATTCAGCAAGATCCAGTAGTAAGAAATTAACTGTTGATAATCCCATCCTAAATAATTGCTTAACTTAGTTTCATCACTAGTTCTCCCAAAACCAGTTTGTATATGTAGACACAACTTAAATGTGTTTGGTTTCTCAAATTTCTCTCTATCCTTGTAGACTTTGAAGTGAGTTACAAGCTTAAGGCCATCTACATTGGGAGTTCTCATATTAGGGAACCCAGGTAAAAGCAAGTAGAGTAGTATTTCTAGTACCCCTCTACCCATGGTTTTGCTTTGTGCAGTTTCAGTTACCTATGGTCAATCACAGTCCAAAAATATTAAACAGAAAATTCTGGAAATAAACAATTTGTAAGTTTTAAATTGTGTATTGTTCTGAGTGGTGTGATAACATTTCATACTGCCCTGCTTTGTCCCACCAAGGACATAAATCTTCTCTCTGTCCAGTGCATCCACACTATACACTCTACCTGTCTGTCAGTCACTTAGTAGCCATCTAAGTTATCAGATCAGCTGTTGCAATATTTGTGCTCAAGGAAACTTTATTTCACTTAATAATGGCACCAAAACACAAGAGAAGTGACACTGATGATACAGATATACCAAGGAGAGCCATGAAGTGCTTTATTTAAGTGAAAATGTGGAAGTCCTTGGCTTAATAAGGTCAGAAAAAACATTTTGTGAGGTTGCTAAGATCTACAGTAAGAACAAATCTTCTAGCCATGAAATTGTTGAAGAAAAAATAAATTTGTGTTAGTTTTACTGTCACACCTTAAACTGAAAAAGTTACAGCCACAGGCCGGGCGCGGTGGCTCACGCCTGTAATCCCAGCACTTTGGGAGGCCGAGGCGGGTGGATCATGAGGTCAGGAGATCGAGACCATCCTGGCTAACAAGGTGAAACCCCGTCTCTACTAAAAATACAAAAAATTACCCGGGCGCGGTGGCGGGCGCCTGTAGTCCCAGCTACTCGGGAGGCTGAGGCAGGAGAATGGCGTGAACCCGGGAAGCGGAGCTTGCAGTGAACCGAGATTGCGCCACTGCAGTCCGCAGTCCGGCCTGGGCGACAGAGCGAGACTCTGTCTCAAAAAAAAAAAAAAAAAAAAAAAAAAAGTTACAGCCACAGTGTCTGATAGGCGCTTAGTGAAGATGGAAAAGGCATTACATTTGCGGATGAAAAACGTGAATAGAAAAATGTGTTCTGATTGATGGCGTTGTGTTGCATCAGGATGCATTGTGCCTATACAATGACTTCAGGAAGGGATTCCCTGAACTGAGTGACACCAAACCATTTACTGCAAATAAGGGATGGTTACACATATTCAAGAATAACTTTGGACAGAAAAATATAAAAATTAATGGAGAGATTGCATCTGCCAATGAGAAGCTGCTGCCACATTTCTGGCAGAATTGAAGAATTTGATTAAGGAGAAAGAATACCATACAAAGTATGTCTTCACCTGTGCTTAAACCAGGCTGTTGTGGAAGGCGATATCCAATAGAACCTATAGTTGTTTAAAAAGAAAAAATAAAAGTGCAAACGAGGCACCAGTGCATAAACTATGGAACGCCCCAACTAACTCTGGTATTATGTGGCAACACTATGAAGATATAATAAAGCCTGGAGTAGTGTACAGAACAAAGAACCCACAAGCCCTCAAAAACAAAAACAAAAATTATCTGCCTTGTGTCCTCGCAGTATAATCAGAAAACGTGGGTAAAAGCCATCTTGTTTATGTTCCACCAATGTTTCATCTCAGAAGTTAAAAATAAAATACTTGGAAGGGGGAAAAATTGGAATTTAAAGTCCTATTAATAATAGACAATGCACCTGGCCATCTTCAATCTGTTTGCTATGAAAATAAAAATGTCAAGGTTGTATTTTTATCTTTAAATACAATCACATTACTTTAGCTCCTTCACCAGGGCAACATTCAATTTCTCAAGGCCACTTATGCCCTCTCCCCACCCCCACCCTATCTATTTGACTGGATTTGATCAGCAATTGGTGCAGATTCTGATCTGGCATAAGGTAGTGCTGGAAATCATTCACTGTTGCTGATGCAATATGATTCATTAAAGTGACAATGGATAAAATAAAACCAGAAATTGTGAGTGCCTGCTGGAAGAACTTACAAAGTTGTGAATAACTTTAAAGGCTTCCCAGGAATCAAGGAAGAAGTTAGAAAAGGCATTCATGCAGCAAGACAAGTTGGTAGAGAAGGATTTGTCAAAATGTCTGAGGAGGGCCGTGCGCGGTGGCTCACGCTTGTAATCCCAGCACTTTGGGAGGCCGAGGCGGGTGGATCACGAGGTCAGGAGATCGAGACCATCCTGGCTAACACGGTGAAACCCCGTCTCTACTGAAAATACAAAAAAATTAGCCGGGCGTGATGGCGGGCGCCTGTAGTCCCAGCTACTCGGGAGGCTGAAGCAGGAGAATGGCGTGAACCCGGGAGGCGGAGCTTGCAGTGAGCCGAGATTGCGCCACTGCACTCCCGCCTGGGCCACAGAGCGAGACTCCGTCTCAAAAAAAAAAAAAAAAAATGTCTGAGGAAGAACTGGAAGAACGTATTGAAGGCCATCAAAAACAGTTAACAAATAAGTAATAAGGAGAACTTGTGGAGTCATCTGCAAAGGAAGAGGAAGATAAAGAAGAAAGACTGAGGGAGAACCAGTAAAGTGAACATTACAAAAATTTTGCCAAAGTGGTTCAAATTGCACTGACATTAAAGGACAAAATTTTGGAATACAATCTTCCAATGGCACACAGCAATAAAGTCAACTGTATGATCACCAAATGATTGCAATTTATGAAGCAGCACTTTGACAAGTTAAAAAGAGAGAACAATGCTCAGTTACAGTGTTCTTCCAAAAGGTTTTGGCAAAAAGCTTTCAACTACCATGGATCCCCAACCATAAACACTGTCTGCTCCTGACATCCAATTATCTACATAGCTATGGCCTGATGATCCAGGATCACCTAAAGCAGACAATTCTCCTGACATATCATCAGAAGGTCACTATAAATGCTTCTCAACCTAAGATAGGTTTACTTCTGAATAAACCCATTGCCAATTGAAAGTATCATGAGTTGAAAATGGATTAACAGGTCTAACTTACTGGCTTAGCCTAGACTACCTTAAACATGCTCAGAACATTTGCATAAGACTACAAAACCATCTGACAACACAGCACTCTGTAGAGTTTTGGTTGCCTCATGATGGCATGGTTGACTAGGACCTGTGTCTCACTGCTGCTGTTCTGTATTATGGAGTTTTATACTGCTTTCTACTGAATGGTATAGCTTTTGCACTATGTTAAAGTCAAACAATCATAAAGCATATTATCATATGTTTGGCGACCATCTGTAGTAGCCTAACACTATGTCACAAAGCCTACGTAATTCACCTCCTTGATCATGTAGGCATTTTATCATCTCATATTATCGCAAGAATAAGGGCGACTACAGTATGAGAAGATATTTTGAGAGAGGGAGAGAAAGACCCCATTTATATCACTTTAATTACAGCATATTGTTATGATTGTTCCATGTTATTATCCATTATTTTTGTCAATATTTTTTCTGTGCCTAATTTATAAATTAAACTTTATCAAAGGTATGTATGGATAGAAAAAAAATAACGTATACAGGGTTCACTATTATCCATGGTTTCAAGCATCCACTGAGGGTCTTGGATCGTATCCTCTGCAGATAAGACTGGAAGGCTGTATGATTTGTGGGTTAACACTTCTTTTGCCACACCCAGATTTGTAAACTTAAATAATATAGTAAGTAAGGGAAATGTTACTAAATTCAACATTTATCCTGACATTGGTTTGACTCTCTGAACAAAATCATAAAAACAGAAAGATCACTTGAAAATGTGTCCAGTTCATAATCAGATGAAAATGTCAGCTCTGATAAATATATGTGGTATATCTTCTTTCTTCAGAGACTCCTCAATGTCTCCCAGAAAGTTATGATTTCTTTCTCTAACTCCTTGAGAAATTAAATCCACCTACCATGTGATTTGGAGAAACGGATGAATGTTAGTTATAGTTCCTTGAAAACAACACAAGGCTAACAAAAATGGAAAGAATACAAGTTCTTAGAGAGCTTAAATTGGGGCCTAGGAAGTTAGAGCTGGAAGGGGCCTTGAGCATAAGCTAACACACATTTTATGGATAAGTTGAGAACCAGGAAAGAGAAAGGACTTGTGAGTCCCATAGCTTGTTAGAGACAGAGCTGGGTGCCAAGCCTGCGGCTTCACTCTGAAACTCTGGACTGTCACTCACCACATTCCCTGAGACTGGACATGAGGATGAGGTGACCAAAGTGGATAATGCCATCTCTGCTGTTCCTGAACCTTCTGAAGAGAAATTTATGCAAATATGTGGAAGGGAAGTAGATATGGGCTTTCCCTAATACTTTTTCTTTATCACACTAACTTCTATTATATTTAGAGCTAAGGATATAATGCTAAATTAAATATGACTTGTAATTTAGAAATAAACTGTTTATTTCAAATATGACAAAGGGCTTTTAGTGTCAGCTCTAATATTCTCCTTCACTGTCTTCATTGATCAGAAGTCCATTTATGAAAAGAAAATAATGTTAAATGTCAAGAAGAACTTATTTCTGTGGGTACTGGGATTAAAGAGTAATCTTATTTAGTTTCCTATTGCTGAAATTACCACAAAAATAGTGGCTTAAAAAATGCAACTTGTTACCTTACAGTTCTGGAGGTAAAAAGTCCAAAATGGATGGGCAGGGTCATATTACTTCTGGAAGCTCTAAAGGAGAATTCATTTTCTTGCCTATTCCAGCTTCTATAGGCTGCCTGCTTTCCTCGACTCACGGCCTCTTCCTCCTTCTTCAAAGCTAGCAGTGCAGCACCTTCAAATCTCCCTGTCTCTCTCTTTCCTTCTCTCTGATCTGTGCCTCTATAATCACATTTCATTCTCTCACTGTCCTCTGCCTTATTTTTATTTATTTATTTATTTTTGAGCAGTCTGGCTCTGTTGCCCAGGCTGGAGTGCAGTGACACGATCTCCGCTCACTGCAACCTCCGCCTCCCAGGTTCAAGCAATTCTCCTGTCTCACCTCCTGAGTAGCTGGGATTACAGGCGCGCACCACGACGACTGGCTAATTTTTGTATTTTTAGTAGAGATAGGGTTTCACCACATTGGTCAGGCTGGTCTTGAACTCCTGACTTCAGGTGATCCACCCTCATCGGCCTCCCAAAGTGCTGGGATTACAGGCGTGAGCCACCGTGCCCGGCCTCTGCCTTACTCTTACAAGTGCCTCTGTGATTACATTGGGCCCACCTGGATAACCCAGGATACGATCCCTATTTCATGATCCTTAACTTAATCACATGTGCAAAATTCCCTTTGCCATGAAAAGTCACATCATATTTATGGGTTCTGGAGATGAGGATATGGACATCTTTGGGAGCCATTTATTCCACCTACCACAAACCACCTTTTATCAAACTTTTCTGATTTATTCCAAACATTCTAAATCTCTCTTCAATCTACCACCCATTGACCCCCTCAAAGCATTTCTTAATGTCTCTACAGCGTGCACGAATATTCTACTTACTATTATATCGATTAACATCCTCGACTCCTTCACCTGTGAACTTTAAACATTATTAATGTTTTTCTCCCCATTCTCCCTCGTTTTTATGCAACTATTAAATATGAATGGAGCCAAAACATTGCCCCTGGCACTGTTCGTGTTCTAACAAGAGAGTGATGAACAACACAGATGAGGACCCTGCCTCGGGTAGCGTTCATAACGATGAGAAGATTAAAATAAACTTGCAGATGAATATATAAGCAACATAATTAGAATTATTTTTTTCTAAATGCTGGGAGAAAAATAGGCAGAGTGCCACAATAGAGAGTAAAAGAGAGAAGGATGACAAGATTAGCAGTGCAGTTCCTTCTGAGGGGTATAATTCAGGCTGAGCCCTGAAGTGAGAGAACAAGGTAGAGTAATACCGAACCCGATTGAGGAAGCACTGTTGATAAAGATGCCCTAAGTCATTTCCTACAATATTTCTAATAGAACCACGAACAAACCAGTGCTGCCTAGTGGCTTAAGTACTGATTGAGAACTTAGGAAAAAATAATAGACATAATAATAGGCCTCAGTTTCACCATCCTAAATATTAGCATATTGAATTATAAAATCAGATATTCTATAAATGTTTGACGAATATGTATGCAACTTAATTTTATGTAGTTTTAGATGCGTTGTCCTTTGGGATATCGAAAGGCGAAGGCATTTGGCACTAACGTGCTGCTTTATTTAGTTGTGCCTGTATGCGTGTGTCTGCTAAATGTGCAGCCATTAGAGTGTTTCATTCCAGGAATCATCAAATAGACCAATTGACTGAAAAATAATTACAAGTTTATTATGGCCATCTAAGTCTACATCATTATCATGTCTGAAATGAGGCTTCTGATTCTTTTGTGCTCCTAATAGAGGTGCATGCACGGCCAGAGTTTATTGCTCTGACTCAGACATGCTGTCCACAAGCTACGTTCATCCTATCGCCACCTCTCAATGCTGGGAAATTGTCTAACACTGCTGACCTCAATATGGTTTGGATTGTACTCAATATCCAGAAAAACAATATAGATCATTCTTACTTGATCATAACAAGGCAGCTCAGCTCTATTTTATAATGGTCATAAGTAAAAATAAATAACCAATTTTGCCTGAATGAAATAAAATCAATACTTCTCTTTTGCAATATGCTTCTGAGGAAGAAAATCCACAAATTTGTCTTATTTCTAAAGGTCCGGTGGCAAATCACTCAAAAGTATAAAGTTTTTTTTTTTTCAAGTCACTGTGAAATGAGCCAAAACATGTCATCCAGATTTCGCATGTGCCCAAAAAGTTTATAGTGGCTCAACTTAAAGTAATTTTTATGGATGATTACAATGAATATATATATATATATATATATATATATATATATATATATATATCTATCTATATATATCTATCTCCTCATGCCCCTTAGAAGAACACAATCTAATTTTCTTGTGACAAAGCAGAACATAAAATGAGGTTTATCTGTGTTCCCACAATATCTATTAGGTGCTGTGGAGATGGAAATCAGGTAAACTACCTGTTTATTCAGTAAGACGTTATCACTGATAGGATCCTGGCACGATAAATGCAGTTTCGGCAGCACAACTATAAAAGATATTCTTGATCTTTGTTTTGTTCTGTTTGTTTTTCCTTCTTAAAACCCCCAGTTAAGAGTAGTAGTTATTAGGTGACAGTATGAACTTTCTTCTTACAGATATTCATCAATTTTTTCTGATTCCTTAGCAAATGTTTAATCAAGGTTCTTAGGCAAGTGAAAAACATAAATATAGTTGAGGAATTAGCTTTATAAAAGTCATAGGCTGTTAGAAGTTGAAAACATATCTGTTCCACCCAATGATTTGGCAAAACTAAAAGTAAATAAAAATAAATGCAATTTCAAATATTTTCATGTTTCACACATTTTTTCAATTAAAAAATTTAAGGAAGTTTGTATATGTTATATAATAAGCAAAGAAAGGTACATGGACAATAGTATGTACCTTTTACTTCTTTTGTTTGTTTGCTTCATTTTGTTTATATTTCTTATTTGCTGATTAGGCAAGTTGAATATTATGGGAATAAATGTACAAAGGCAGAAGCAATTTTTCTTTTCAAATGCATTATGAGGCCGTGGACTATGATTTGTAATAGACAAGAATGCTCCTTCTTCTAATTAGTCCTGGTGAAACAGCAGAACCAGCTACTTCCCAATTCTACCTACAGGATATCATGAAGTCCACTGTTCAGAAATATCATTAGCACTTAAATATCATTTAGGTGGCTTTTAATTAACATAAAAACAGCATAACATTCCTGATACTTTTGAAGCCTTGTTTTTCTCATATTAAAAATAGTTGCATCCATACTTTTGAAGCATGGGTGCGACTATTTTTAAGAAAACCTCTACGTATATAATTGCGGAAAGAGAAGTACAACAGTGTCTAATTCTAAACTATAAAATAAAAACTAAACATCCCCACCATAAAGAGGAGGGCACTCTTCCTCATGTCCCTCTTCTGCCCTTCTTCTATCCAAAGGATATCATAATAAGTCTGATATCCTCCCTCCTTTTATGTACCCATTCATCAATTCACACCAGCTTTAGAGTAGGGTAAAATATAAGACACCCTCTGTTGCAACTTTTTGAAAAGGCATTTTGAAAGCAAATACGGAACACATTTCCCCTGGGTACGGTAAAAAGCACTAAATTGGAGGTTGGAATCCTGAATTTTAATCCTGGCTCTCTCCTTAACTCTAGTAATATTGGCCAATTTATGAATTTCCTTTTGCCTCAATTTACTTATATAACAGAAAGGGATTAGACCAGATATTCTCCAAGCCTCTTTTCAGAATAAATTCCAGATTTCAGTTCTCCTAAGAAGCAATTTTCTTCTTTTCTTCAGCATGGGACTCATTTCATATAAATACCTCAAGTTGCAAAACCCTTCATCGCTTGCCAGCTGAGTGTATAACTGACCTCCATTTTACACCGCCTGTGTCTGTATGGCTGACTGAATTGACTATTTGCAAATCAGGCTCCTAGCAATTCATCTTATATTTGCAAGTTGGCCACAATTCAGTGGTTAAGACAACTGGAGCAGCCTGACCATAAAATGGCCACTCCCTGGCTCCACTCCGGCACAAAAGCAGTCTTTTGTTGTCTGATGCAGCTGAGCCTCATCCTTACAGTATTGAGCTCTGAAATTTAGCATTCTTAGACTTATTTCTGAGTAAATGACAGAATACATACCATCACCACTGAGATGCTGCCCAGTTGTACAGGTAAACCCCAAAGGTAGACAGGGAACAGCCCCACTGTAGCCCAAGTGATGAACCATCTTGAGGAGCCCTACCTGCAAATTGCTCCACCTACACTGAAGCAAATGCACACCTCCTCTCCCAGAAAAGCCAAATCAATGTAAGAAATGCAAAGATGACAAGATTGTTGGCTGAAAAGAATCATTTAAAAAAAGAAAGAAAAACTTCAATCATATTTTCAATGCTTCAGTATTCATAATACATTTCTTCTTAATAAAAGCAGGTATTTATTTTAGGGAAGGGTTAGGGGGTAGATTAACACCATTGGCTCATGACTCAATGAAATCATTCATGTTTATTCTAACCTCATTGTACATTTTTTTGGAGCTGTATGGTGTTAAATGTCCTTTTATAACAAGTGACTCCTGTAGATAGAAATAGTTGTACTGCTGACATCCATTTAGGATAGCCATCCTACCCAGTCCAGATACTACTAGATGTGGACTATATTTTGAAAAGCACTTTCACAACTTTGACTTTTGGCATTGAAAGAGCAACTTTTTAGTTGAAGGTTGCCTGAAAAAGCACATCCCACGTTGCTGAAGTCACCGACTATGCCTCCTTTCTGTGTCACCTTGTTGGACTTTACCCATTTTCTGTCATGGGGTGTTGCGATCTAAATTATTGATGTTAAATATTTTCTACCCTTTTGTAGGCTGCATTTTTATATGCTTTAGCTTATTTGAATCTTATGACATCTCTATTTTTAAAAATTGAGCAATATCTCAAGATCACACAACTGTCAAACATGGCTTTGCAGTCCTGATTCCAAGCCTGGTACTTTTTCCACTAAACACAGAAGTAAAACTCAGATAGCCCACAGAGCTTTATTGGGCAATCAGATTCAATGTTAAGACTTTAAAACACAGTAGTAAGGAAACAAAAAAAAAAAAAAAAAAGAACACAGAACACAGAAGCCACTCAGAGATAAGAGCTCTGGCTCCTAGTGGTAGCTGAGATGAATAGGACGACATTTCACCAGGCATAGAGTTTCTCTTACCAAACTCTAGTTTTTAAGTTTTTTTAAACCCCTGACATGAAGATTTCCAATCAGCTCTTTAAAGCAATTCGCATTCTTTATGGAATACTCAGCTTTAGAGAATTATAAAATGACCTCTTCCCCTCTAAATTAATTCCCTCTCAGAGGATGACTGGGGACCTCTGACACCTAACTGCTTTACTAATAAAAGATCAGTGAAACACGCTTGTAGCCTTAGATTTTAGTATTTGCACAAAGCCAGTTTTTACTCTTCAAGAAAATCAAAAATATCTGTGTTACCTACCAACAGCAGGCTAATAGATAGCTATGAAACATATGATATTCGAGCTGGCACTCCATCTCTGAAACAAGTTACTTAAAACTGAAGTATGCACATAGCCTATGTTAGGCCACCGAAAGGCACATAGCAAAACCTGGTTACAGCTTGAAATATGTTGTCTGAATCCCTGGCATCATTCATTTTAAGGAAAAAGAATGACAAGCAAATGAACCTAACCAAAATAAATTGCTGTGTGCATTCATTGGAGCTCACGTGTTTGTTTTTTTTTTTTTTTCATTTTATTTTTTTAAAAGGAAAACAAAGTATTCTCACCATGTGAAAACAAACCCAAGTCTGAATGGAAGCATGTCAGTCTTTACTTCTGTAAGAGCAAGTGTGATTTGAAATATAGTCAAGATTTTTTCATTGAACATACTAAACAGAACAGTAAACTTTGGTAATGGAAGTGTCTGTCTTATTTAGATGACTGAATTTTGCATTTGAAGAGACGGATTTGTGTTCTTCTTTTCTAAATATCAGAAATAAAACTAAGAAGTGTACATTGCCTCAGGAGATATTCAGTATGACTTGGGTCACACAAGGTCATACTTCCAAATACTTCAGATCTTTGGAGAATTCACTGAGCTTCATGCATCATTTGTTTCTCTGGTTTGGCTACATTTTTAGGTCAGGAATCCTAACACTGTTATATTGATCTGATAATTTGGTGCTACAGGCATAATTTTTAACTCACACGCATAGCAATTCCTAAGGATGTGTCCATATAACACACAAATGGCTGATAGAGGGGTTCAAATATATCCATCAAAATTTGCCTTTTTAATTCATTAGGTAAATATCTTAAGTGACTTCTTTGGAAATTACCTTGACTAGTTTTTTTTTTTCTTTTTTTTTTTTTTTGGCTTTGTGGAAATATAGTCTTAGTTTTTACGAAGACTTGCTTCAAATCCTAGAAAATGGAATTGTCAACTGGCAGAAAGGGCTTTACACTGTCATTGGTCTGTTTCTGAAGTGCTGAGTTCACTTTGGTGGGATGGTATAAATAACTGGATTTTAAGTTTTAATATCTAAAATCTAGAGTTCCAAAAAAATGCACCAGGAGTTTTGCAACATTTCAATTTATATTTCAAAAAGATATATTTGAACTTTGTGTAAAGGTAACAAGAACATTGCATTTGCAATTTCTGTTTTGTTCTTATGAAAAATTCATTTTCTCTATCACTTATTCCTCTCCAACCTTCTTTCCTTCCTTGGAAGGACAATATTCAGACCTTTAAATTCTAAATTAGAAACAAATTCTTCAATGCCTTCTAGGGCCTTGAAGTATTTTCTATTAGCATTCTTGATGGTGCTAGCCCTCTAATCTTCATGGAAATGCTGTAGCGACTGTTGAAAGCTGGCACCCAAGGGTGGTGTTTAAACTGGTGATCAGTATGGCTTCTTTCCACATCATGAATATATGACCCCATGACTTCTCATTCCCCATTAATTGGCCCATCCATTCAGCAAAAGCATAGAAGGCAACACATAACCCTAAAGTGAGCAGGACATGGATGCATATGTATACACTGACAAGGGGAAAATACATAGGTAGCAGACATTATTTAGTTCTCACCCCTACTATTGTTGTGCTTACCTCTGGCCAGACTTGTAGTCTCCCACCATTAAAGGAGAGAAAAATTTTGTTATGTTCATAGCCCATGCAGAGGAAAATACTTTTATGTACCTTAAAGTTTAAACCAGTGAGCTGGGATTGTAGAAGCAGGTGTTGGAGAAGTTAGCTCGGAACAGAAGTGATCCTCCCCACAATGGAGAAGAGTAGATGGAGGTTGTTTGAAAAAGGTAAGAGCTTGAGTGACATAGGGTTTTGTGAGTGATAGACTCTGCACCCCTTATCCAAGGCCAGAACTCTGATGGGCACGTCCAAGTAGCTAAAGCTGTCGGTCAGTAAAACAAAATTTTGCCTTAGAGCAAAACCAGACTGGTAATTATGTGACTTTTTACCTGAACTCATGCTGTCATCACTGGCTAGTTCTCCCTCAAATCTCCCCTGTACCTATACCACCCTTCAAAGCCTGACTCAAGCCTCACATTTTCTCTGAGCATTCCTGATGGTGCTGGACCTCTAATCTTGATGGAAATACTATAGCGAGTGTGGAAGGCTGGGGCGTGAGGGTGGTACATAAACTGGTGGTCAGTATAGCTTCTTTCCACATCATGAATATACAATCTCATGACTTCTAATTTCCCATTCACTGGCCCATCCATTCAACAAAAGCATTAAGCATTTTATGTATATTAAGTTCTATGTTACATGCTAGGAACGTAAAAACTTTTAAGTTACAACGAACTCAAAAGAGAGGTGCTTAATTGTATTTGGAATTTCTTTTAATGGTGGGAGGCTAATTACATAAAATAATTAAGATTTGAAGCTCCAAAAAGGACCTGGGATAACTCAGTTGGTTAATTCACTAGGGAAGCAAAGTACCATTTTAGACACAGAGAGCACTGAAAACAAAAGCAAGGAGACAGGAGACAGGTTGGCACAATAGTGTCAGATGCAAGTAGCAAGGATGGCTGGAGAGAAGGAAGCATTGTGAAGGGTCAGAGTGGAAGTATGAGAAATATGATTAGAGAGAGATATGGAGGACCAGAGAGTTCCCTTTAATCAGTGTTGGACATCAGACCTTGTCCTGCAGGCAGGGAGGTGTCTGATGGTCTTGAAGTATTTTAATAATGAGAACATGAGCAATAGGGCTGGTTGGTTTCATAAAATGTACTACTATTTTATGTTACATGTGTGGAATCTGCAGTTCAGAATTATGGCAATTGGCCAACAGTAACACACTTCCTAAGTAGAAATGGCACTCTAACCCAACATTTAAGCCCTTGGTAATCCAGACTCCAAACTCAGTGCTTTCTCTTCTGAAAGATAAAACCTTTACAAAACTATACCCTTGGCATCCTGCTTTCCATATCCACAAGTGCTCACAGATGTCTCTAAAAACCGTAACAATCAAAAGGGAAACAAAATCCATATGCAGTTTTTTAAATGGCATTTAGTTTGGATGACATGGAGGCAATTATGTCTAATTTTCCACCTCCATCCGGCTCATCATATGTGCCGAGCCAGGAGCCTCTTATTTTGGCCCACCTTCATTTTATGTTTCTAAGCCCTTTCAGGGGACAGCATCTGTGCCCACAAGCCCCAGCCAAGGCCTGTGCTGGAAGCTCCACAATGCAACAGCAAAGGTCACACATGAGCTATAGGAGCCAGGAAGAAGGCTGTGGTTGGAGATTTTCCATTTGAGCCAATCCAACTGCTTTAGGTCAAACAATAAAAAATGTAATCCCCAAAAACAGGACAATAAAGGAGTAAATGATCTTCTTATTAGCTTCCATAGGAGTCAGGAGGAAGTCTGTGATTAGAGATTTCCTACCTAATTGAGTGAATCCTGCTGCTTTAGTTAAAACAATAAAATATAAAATCCTTCAAAGCAAGGCAGTAAAGAAACAAATGATCTTCTCATATATGACTAAATATTTGATGTTTTTTAAATTGCTTTTTGGTTTATTTGTTTTCCCACATCATGTTGTAGTGACAAAAAGGGCTGAAACATTTTCACTGACATGCAGATCACCCAATGCTATCCTTGACCCACCAGAAAGAAAGATATTTCCCATTTTCCCCTTTTCTCCATACTCCAGTCTATTTCCATGTCATTCTCAAAGTAACACACACTATGATGTCACCTGCCCTCTTGAAGTCAACAATTCATACTGTTATATTAGTTCCTTCTTGGCTAGTCTTATGTTTCCTACTTATGACCTGGCTATTTAAGAGAAAAGAAGTGAATGAACTCAGTGTTCCCAGAGTTCATCTCCAGCCTTCAGATTATTCTACCTTTAACATCCAGTCACTATCATTGCCCGCCACTGTATGTCCAGTTACCGCAGGATAGAACTCCTACTAAATAACAGAGTTTTTGTGTGGTTATCTGTCTCTGGTGTCTCTGCTTGGCCTCCCTTGTTGGCTCACTCTTGCCTTCCTTCTCCACATTGCTGTGACTCTCCCCTGTCCCCTCACTCTAAGCTCCTCCCTTTAATCTACTCAGATCAGGAAACAACAGACTGAAAACTTAACCACATACTCCACTTTTTATTTTACCCAAAACAGCAAACATAAGACTGAAATTTTAGCAATACTTTCTAAAGCTTTGAGGGTGGAATAAGGGAAATACAATGCAAGAAAAAGAAACCAATTGGGCATCTGTGTATATAGTTCCCAAGTCTATTCGCCATGGTTTTCCCTACCAAAGGTTTCCTCCTGGACTTTTCCTTGCTTATCTTCCTGCTCAACACCACATAATTTGATATTTTATGCATGTATGAGAGGTTGGGATGGGGGAGTAATTTATCCTTGATAGATGGAAGTATGTTTGACCATCTCTTCCTCCACTCTGAATATAGGTCCTCAAACCTCTTTTAGTTCCAGTAAGGTGGTAAATCTCCCTTACTTCACTATACTTTCTTTAGCCCACTCCAAGGTTATGCTACAGCTGAGTCCACTGACCTGTCACCCTGCTACAGTGATGACAGCTTTTTATAGAATTATGAAACGCATATTAGTCTCTCATTTTCTAGACCAACTCCATTCCAGAGAACCAGTGCAGATCCAAAAGATCCATTAGAATAGTTTTTTTCCAAATAAACTCACAAATGAATAGAGAAACACACCTACAGGAAACCTTTCAATAACATCTTGCCCTTGCAACACTGCTTGGATTGCAACTTGTCTCCAGGAATATGTAATTCTGCATTAATATTCTTTGGAGTTTTGCCTTTTCAGCCTATTTCCTGGTCTAAGTCTGCAATTTATCCCTGTTGTTAATAAAGTAGGATTATATTCACTTGTTAGGTTTACAATAATTATACAATTATTTTGTAGACAGTAATATTTAGTGTACTTCTGCCCAAGGATACTCTAACACTAATTATCTTTTTATTCAGGATATTCACAAAAAGACCTCCTTAATAATTTTAGTGGATTCCCCATAACTCATCTAGAAATATAAAATAATTCAACAAAGATCAAGACCTTGTTACTCATCAGTACTGTAACATACCAAACACAAAGATAAATATGGCATTATCTCAGTTGTTTTTATAAGAAAAGTAGACATGGAGAACACAAATACCAATCAAGATAAAAACAAAGCTCAATGGAAACTCTGCAGGAAGAGAATGTGAACTTCGAGAGAGAATAAGGCTTAACAATGGAGATTACATTTTGACTGGTTATTTAAAAATGAACAGGATTTGGACAGGAAAGGCTTAGGGAGAAAGGCCAGTAGTAGAGGTAACAGGAGTAGAGGGAGAGCCTGTAGCTTTATTGTCAACATTTAGCTTTTCACATGGCATTAGCCAGCATCTGAGATTAACTGAGAAACAAATGTTGTGCTCACCCCAAACAAAAGATGTGTCCTGTGTCACAGGTTCTGGAATTGCCACTCTAAAAATAATGAGATATTTTACAAAACATGTGCCTACCATGTCATGAAAAGCCAGGCCAGCAGTCATCCCAGTGTTAGCTGATCCTTTCCAGCTCTGGCTAAAGTGCGTATCTGATGACCTCATTAGTTTTCTCATGGGTGGAAAGTAGCACAGACAGATGTCCTGGACCATGTGACTGGGCAAAGATAAATAGCCAGGATGCAGCTGTGTAGACAGCTGTCCAAACCAATTAAAAAATAGATCTATTCATTCCCTTCAGTTCCTTGAAAGACTCTGGGATTATCACAATTTATACACCAGTCCCAAATATGTTTCTGACATAATAATACAACTTAGCACTTCCCTGGCACTGCAATTTTTCAAAGGCAGGGAAACAAAATTTTGCCTTAGAGCAAAACCAGACTGGTAATTATGTGACTTTTTACCTGAACTCATGCTTTTAACTAGTTCAAATATAAGTTCAAATGTATAGTCTTTAAGGTAGATAAGTAGGAATTTCTAGGTATGTTGATACACAAATGGATTGAAGTATTACCCCAATTGATTAACTAAGTCTCTAAACAACATTTCAGAATCTGTGATTCATGATTTCATGACTTCAGTTGAAGAGATGCAGCCACGGAGACCCAGAAACAAATCATTCAACCTAGGCTATGTATTCTGTGCAATAGAGGAGATGAGACAGATTCAAATTTTGGGCATTATACACCTACCTGTGTCCTCACAATCCTAACTATTAACCGAGTTAACACAAAAACAAAACAGCCTATTGTCCATTCTTCCATCAATGCATATTCATCCAGTGGAATTCTAGTCAGCAATGAAAATGAACAATTTACTGTTTCAACCAGACCTCAGATGAGATCAATGAGGTGTGAAGACACTCATTATGTATTAAGCTGCAGTGAGATCAGTTTGCACTGCCTGCTGAGGCCCGTCCCCTTATCTTGCTATCATATTCCAGGTGGGAACTCATACCTTTACAATAATGACCATAAGCACTATGCTCTCCTTGTCACTTGCAATTTTTTATTGCTATTTTCTCTATGCTAAGAGTAATATTTCCCCTACATTCTTTTGTTTTCTGACATATAAAAATGTTGTTTTTTGAGAGAATGAGGTGTCTTATATCCAAATTATTTGGTGTTCTCTATGTATATAATCAGTCACCTGAGAGTAACAATTTGGTTTCATCCTTTCTAAAACCAAATATTTTTGCCCATTCAGTAGACTGTCTGTTTACTTTGTTGATAGTTTCTTTTGTGTGCAGGAGCTCTTTAGTTTAATTAGGTCCTATTTGTCAATTCTTGTTTTTGTTGCAATTGCTTTTGGAGACATTGTCATGAAATCTTTGCCAAGGGCTATGTGCAGAATGGTATGTCCTAGATTTTGTTCTAGGGTTTTTATAGTTTTAAGTCTTACATTTAAGTTTTTAATTTATCTTGAGTTGGTTTTTGTATATTGGGAAAGAAGGAGTCCAGTTTCAATTTTCTGCATATTACTAGCTAGTTATCCAAGCACCATTTATTGAATAAGGCGTCCTTTTCCCATAGTGTACTTTTGCTGACTTTGTGAAACATCAGATGGTTGTAGATGTGTCACGTTCTTTCTGAGCTCTCTACTCTGTTTCATTGGTCTATGTGCCTCTTTTTGTACCAGTACTATGCTGTTTCCATTACTGTAGCCTAGTCATATAGTTTGAAGTCGGGTAGTGTGATGTCTCCAGCATTGTTCTTTTTGCTTAGGATTGCTTTAGTTATTCAGGCTCTTTTTTTGGTTCCACATGACTTTTAAAATAGTTTTTCTAGCTCTGTGAAAAATGACATTTGTAGTTTGACAGATATGGCATTGAATCTGTAAATTGCTTTGAGCAGTATGGCCATTTTAACAATATTGATTTTTCTCATCCATGAGCATAAAAATATTTGCAAACTATGAATCTGACAAAGGTCTAATATCCAGAATCTATAAGGAACTTAAACAAATCAACAAGTAATAACCAACCCCATTTAAAGAATAGGTGATGGACATAAACTTCTCAAAAGAAGACGTACATGTGGCTAAGAAGCATATGAAAAATTCTCAACATCACTAATCAGTAGAGAAATGTATATCAAAATCACAATGAGATACCACCTCATACCAGTCAGAATGGCTATTATTAAAAAGTCAGAAAATAACAGATATTTGCAAGATTGTAGAGAAAAAGGAATGCTTCTACATTGTTAGTGGGAATGTAAATTAGTTTAGCCACTGTGGCAAGTAGTTTAGAGATTTCTCAGAGAATTTAAAACAGAACTATCATTCAACTCAGCAATTCCATTACTGGGTGTATACCCAGAGGAATATAAATCATTCTATACTAAAGACACATGCACTCATACGTTCATCACGGCACTATTCACAATAACAAAGATGTGGAATCAACCTAGTTGCCCATCAATGGTGGAATGAATGAAGAAATGTGAAACATACACACCATGAAATACTACACAATCATAAAAAAGAATAAAATTATGTCTGGAGCAGCAACATGGATGCAGCTGGAGGCCATTAACCTAGGAAAGTTAACTCAGGAACAGAAAACCACATACCACGCGTTCTCACTTGTAAGTGGGAGCTAAACACTGAATACACATGGATAAAAAAGGGGAACAATAGACACTGGGGTCTACTTGAGGGTGGAGGGTGGGAGGAGGGTAAGGACTGAAAAACTACCCATTGGATACTATGCTCACTACCTGGGTGAGGAAATCATTTGTATACCAAACTCCAGTGACACACAATTTACCTATATAACAAACCTGCACATGTAACTTTTGAACCTAAAATAAAAGTTGAAAAACAAACAAAAAAACCTAAATGAATAAAATAAAAAATAAAAGCCAACAAAAAGTAACACAGTCTATATTTGCAAGATTCTCGTCGGCACATATTGCAAACTGACGACAACAACAACATTCTGATTTTGAAGCAGACATTCTTATAAATGGCAATTTGCTAAGGCAAAGCAAAATAGTAATTTGGCCTTGAAAATAAAATAATAAGAAAACCTTAATAACTGTGTAAATACTTAAGAGTACCATGAAACAGATTTTTTTATTTTATAAACTTAGCAAAGATAAAGCATTAATCACGTGAGTGTAGGAATAACAAATAAAGAAGTCTTCATACCTTTATTATAAGTATTATGGAGTGGTGGAATACCACTGCTTTAAACTAAGAAGATCTGGACTTCATTTCCAGATTCACCGTTAACTAGACTGTGACCATACTGAAACTATCTTATTTTTTCAGGGATATCGACCATATAATACCTATGATCCTTTCCTACTCAACAATTCTATTCATTTATCAATACTCATAAAAAGCTATAGTATTTTGATTTAACTTAAAGAAGTTGATATGGTTTGGCTATGTCCCCACCCAAATCTCATCTTGAATTGTAGTTCCCATAATACCTATGTGTCATGGGAAGGACCCAGTGGGAGGTAATTGAATCATGAGGATAATTTCCTCCATGCTGTTCTCATGATAGTGAGGTATCAGGAGAACTGATGGTTTTATAAGCTTCCGGCATTTCCCCTGCTTGCACTTCTCCCTCCTGCCACCATGTGAAGAAATACATGTTTGCTTCTCCTTTTGCCATGATTGTGCATTTCCTGATGCCTCTCCAGCCCTGCAGATCTGTGAGTCAATTAAACCTCTTTTTTTTAATAAATTATCCAGTCTCCAGTATATCTTCATGGCAGCATAAGAATGGACTAACACAGAAGTATTTTATAAGATTTATATAGCCTAATTAAAGGTGATAATTTCTGTGATAATAATACCCTACACTAGTATTACCTTTCAAAATGCCTTTTCAACCATGGCCTTCCCTGACCCTAACCTTAACCCTGGACAGTAGGTATAATGGGGGATTTTCAGATAATGTAATTGAAACTCGAAGTTGGAAAATGATTTATCAAAGGTCCCACAGCAATGTATAAACACAGCAGAACTTGTACATAAGTCCTAGATTGGGTTTCTGTTCACAGTGGTGCTCATTTGAAATACAAAGATGTGGAATGACATTCAGCTTGGTGTTATGAGGTGGTTGTCAGTAGCTTAAAAGACATAAAAAGATAATGTGAAAACATTTGCACTTGAAGAACTTATAACTTTTTAGAGTCCTGGGAATGGGAAAGCAGTGATCAATAAGAAATCATAGGACTAGCATGTGGCAGTTTAGGTGCCATCGGCTGATATACCATGTATGGAAAAATGAGGATAGGTCACTGGCTCTGGATGATTAAAAATGCATGGTCGCTGCTGTGGCTCACGCTTGTAATCCCGGCACTTTGGGAGGCTGAGGCGGGCAGATCACAGGGTCAGGAGATAGAGACCATACCGGCCAATGTGGTAAAACCCCATCTCTCCTAAAAATACAAAAATTAGCTGGGTGTGGTGGTACGTGCCTATAATCCCAGCTACTCAGGAGGCTGAGGCAGGAGAACTGCTTGAACCCAAGGAGGTGGAGATTACAGCGAGCCAAGACCATGCCACTGCACTCCAGCCTGGCGACAGAGTGAGACTCCATCTTAAAAAAAAAAAAAATGCATGTGGATGTACTTTGCTTACGAATTAGATTGTAAGTCATGATGCGCTGCACTTCGAGAATGAATTAGACTGTAGCCCGGCAAAAAAAAAAAAAAAAAAAAAAAAAAAAAAAATTGCGTCCAGAAGACAGAGTGAATGACCATTTAAATGGAAATTCTAGATCTTAAAATTATTCTAACTCCTGGATACAGAGATGAGGAGCAGCATGCCAGGTGCTAAAGATGGCCCTGTGACTTGGTGGATTCCATTGTGACTGCAAAGGAGGTAGCTCCTGTTGCCAAATAGAGACATTATGTAGTTCCTTGAATAAACCTATTCAGATGGCCTGAGCTCATGCCTTCAGGGTATTCCCAGGGATCCACATATGTATATGTAGGCTCAATATTGTACAACCTCAGTGGTAGCAACAAATAGTGCCTGTGAGATAAACAGGAGGCCAAACACACACTCTCACAATCCATTCTGAATTATCCACTCCTCTACTTCCAGTTCTGAATACACTTTCTCACACTTCACCTCTTTCCAACAGAGGCACCATCCATTTTCTTTCTCAGTTAGTATTTTCTGCTATAATATGAAGTAATTTCAATGGAAGTCTGTGGTAGACTGAAGAATGGCCCACGAGGATGTTTCTCCACAGATACCATAATCCCTGAAACCTGACAATGTTACTTTACACAGTGAAAGTGACTTTGCCAATGTGAAAAATCTTGAGATGGGGAGATTATCCTGGATTATCCAGATGGGCCATAAATGCAACCACAAGTGTCCTTATGAGGCACAGGGAGATTCGACACAGAAGAAAGCAGTGTAACTACTGAGGCAAGATGCTGTGCGGTTGGCTTTGAAGATTAAGAAAGGTGTCATGAGCCAAGTGATGCAAGGAATGCCTGCTGCTCTAGAAGCTGGAAAAGGCAAGAAAACCAGTTCCATCCGAGAGCCTCCAGAGAAAGCCCAGCTCTGCTGGCATATTGATTTTGGCCCAGTGTAACTGATTTCAGAACTCAGAACTGTAAAGAATAACTGTGTGCTATTTTAAATCACCATGTTCTTGGTAATTTGTTGAAGTAGCAATAGGGAATTAATAGGTGCAATGTCTGAATAATTAGAAAAGATAATCTGTTAGGGAGCTGTATATATATATGAGTGTGTGTGTATATGTGTGTATGTGTATATATGTGTGTATATATGTGTGTATATGTGTGTGTGTGTGTATATACATATATATACACATATGTATATATGTGTGTATGTGTTTATACATATATACGTGTATATATGTGTGTATGTGTATATATGTGTGTGTATATATATGTGTGTGTACACATACGCACATATATATGCATATATATTTATATGTATATGTATATTTAACATACCTCAATATTAAACAGATAATGTTTTGGATTTTTGACTCTCTGAAGGTCACTCTCATCACTCTTAACCTTCATTAGGCTTAGTTCATCTTTTATTCATGCCGGTAACCAAATTTGTGATGATCAATCCATTCTAGATTTGTATATCCTAAATATTTTTCAAGAACTACCTCCTGAAGGTCTCTATTAAATAATAACACTGCAAGTTTTGGGCCCTCCATCCTTGAGGGCAGAAACTGTGCTTCGATCTTGATTTGTTTCCCCTGGAAGGTGCACTGTAGACTGTAGTACATGGAAGTGTTTAATAAATATTTGTTGAATCTCTCAACAATTTATTGATTGATTAACGATTCTGAATAACCGTTGAGCCAAACTAACCATGACATGGCTAAAATAAATGAGTTGATTTTTCATTTGCAGTAAAAAGACCCTCTTTAACTAGCTTGAGAGCAGATAAAGGAAGTAATTAGTGCCAGAAAGAAAGAGAGAGAGAGAGAGAAGGAAGGAAGGAAAGAAAGAAAGAAAGAAAGAAAGAAAGAAAGAAAGAAAGAAAGAAAGAAAGAAAGAAAGAAAGAAAGAGAAAGAAAGAAAGAGAAAGGAAGAAAAAAGACGGACGTGCAAATCTACACAAAATCCTTTGAATTCTATGATGTAAAATAAAAACCTTTTTGGGGGAATGGCCCTGAATGGGTAATTTTGAAAAGCTACTGATGTCAAAGACTAATTGCTAATCTCAGAGTGAGATAACAGTGGCTATCAGTGATAGAAGGCCATTCAGTAATAGCTCTTCTAGAAAAACCAGTTATGTTTGGAGAGTAAATTGAGTGTGAACAGCAATCTAAATCAACACCAGCTTAGGAAAAAAAAAATAACATGAAGAATATAACAACAATCTCATTTTTAAAAGACCCATTCTTTTAGATTTAGGAGAAATTACTATGACAAAATGTGACAAAAACCAACTTACACAATGAACAAAATGAGTCATATTTCTACTTGGTGTGACTCTGTTATATAGTTATATGACCATTGCCAGCAGACTAAATACAATTTTTAGTTTGCTTTCAAGCATATAGTTTTCCATTGTTTGTTCAGCTTAGTACTTTGAACAAGCCCTACTTTGGGGAACCTTTTCTAACATATAAATTACTTATAATTTTACACAATTATGTAGAATGGTTAAGTTAAGAAACTCATTCAATATTTTGTAAGCTATTTAGCCTAAAGGAAATTTGCCAGCCTTGATGATTTAAGAATTCTCACTGGGGAAAATGTGAAACATAAAGTTTCTATTTCAATTGAGTAGGGTTTATTTTGAAAATGAACCAGGTTTTGACAGATGAGAACAAACAATTGTTAGGCATTTTCATATGAGGGCATCTTTTTACAGCAAGCTTGGCCTTGCTGCTGTAAAAATCTTCTTCCTGGGCTGAGCATGGTGGCTCACACCTGTAATTCCAGCACTTTAGGAGGCCAATGTGGGTGGATCATGAGGTCAAGAGATCAAAACCATCCTTGCCAACATGGTGAATCCCTGTCTCTACTAAAAATACAAAAATTGTCTGGGTGTGGTGGTGCATATCTGTAATCCCAGCTACTCTAGAGGCTGAAGCAGGAAAATAGCTTGAACCTGGGAGGCGGATGTTGTAGTGAGCCGAGATCACACTACTGCACTGCAGCCTGGCAACAGAGCGAGACAAAAGAAAAATCTTCTTCCTGACTTGTTGAGTATTAACCCAAGCGTGGAAAACAAAAGAAAAAGAAAGCTCCAAAATTCATGAGATTTTTGCAAAATCAACCACTGACTCTTGTTTCTGCTTTCATTGTATTGACTTCTAATTTGTTTCCCTCTGACCTTCTCTGGTGCTTTGAGTTTGTAGTTTTAGTTGGCAGACAACTCAAGCTCACAGTTCCCCTCCTTGTTTTGGCTCTACTTCTTCTCCCTTTTGGCAAAGGATGTTTACTCCTAGCTCATATAATAGCTTCTTTTGACAAAATTCATTTTGACTCTTAACTATAAGCATTTTGGCAGGATCAAAATTAATAAACTATGAATCAGGTTGCAAAAATGTAGTTTCTAATTAAGTTCTGTATCTAAACTCATCCATCTCTTTCATCTTCACTCTCATCTTAAAGTTATCTCCATTTTACAATTTATAGTTTGCTTTCATTTGGATAGTTATTTGACCTTTCAGGATTTCCCTCATCCTCTTAAGACTTTTCCATTCTTCTCCCTCTTCTAAGAATAAGGCCATCTTCTAACAAGGAGAAACTTCTACAGCTCAGAGGTTAGAGGAAGACTCAAATCATTGACTCTCAGGGGAATCACACTAAAGGGATCCTGGACTCTCCTTCAGACTCTTGTGTGAACTTGGTGCCATCTGAGCCACCCCATCCATATTACCCTTAACTGATATCACTGAGATATGGCTGGCTCCACCTGGCCTTTGAGCATGATATTATATAGGCTGTTGCTAAAGTCAATGACCAGTCTTTCATTTCCAACTTAATAATTGCCTCAACTTTAGTTAGCTAAAGATAGCCTTGTGTATACCAAGTTACTAAATATGGACCTTCTTAGTAGTATAAAATCTCCCCTGGCTATGCCTGAGAAACTAAAAATCAGAATCAGGCATGATGTCCTTGTTTCTTACTAAACTATCGGCATTTTTTCACCTTTTTTTTTTTTTTTTTTTTTTTTGAGACAGGGTCTCACTTTGTCACCCAGGCTGGAGTGCAGTGGTGCAAACCCAGCTCACTGCAGCCTCAACCTTCCTGGTTTCAAGCGATCCTTCTTCCTCAGTAGCTGGGACTACAGGGGTGTGCCACCACGCACTACGTCCACCTAATTTTTGCATTTTTTGTAGAGACAGTCTTGCTATTTTGCCCAGGTTGGTCTTGAACTGCAGACCTCAAGTGATCCGCCCACCTTGGCCTCCCAAAGTGCTGAGATTACAGGCGCGAGCCACCGCACCTGGCCGGTCTCTGGTCTCTTATACATCACTTCCTCTTTCTCCTGGCATCTCCTCCCACAACAGGAAAGATTGCCCTTCCCCTGTGTGAAATGATCTCCACTTATTTATGATTAATTATTTTGTCCTTCCTATGCATTGGCTATGGTATGGTAACTACTCTTGATCGGTAAAAGCTAAGTATTGAATTCCCAGGAAATAAAAGCCTGCCTGCAAAACTATTGTTTTATTAGGAAATCTAAGATGTTTTGTTGGAAATTTATATCTGAGCAATGGCATATTTTACCTAGTGATATCTATCCTCCCTTTCCCTGAAGCACTAAGTCTAGTGGAAAGGCTATAAAGGGAAAGTGATAATTCAGTGATATGGTTTAAAATCCTTTCTAACTAGATAAGTTCACCTTGATTTTTAGCCATCTCATAAATTTCTATTTTTGTATGTAAAAAATATGTCTTGTGGTACCCTTTTTATTCTTAACAGTTTTCATCAGACTTCTAAGAAGAGTGGTCACTGCAAGTGTCTTTGTTTTCTAAGTGTCTCGCATAAAAAAGAGGTTAGAGTGAAATCTACAGATTATATGTTATAAGAGGAAGGAGGACAAAAAAGAGGCAATTAAAGGCTACTGGCTTGGAAATGGGGGCAATTGGAAAGAAGAGCTATCCAAATGGCGATTCATCAGGGGCCATGTTGCAGGGCATGGCAAGCAAAGTGCTCTTCCATTTCTCCTACCAACTGTTCAATAAAATCCGTGTATTTCACTTATGCATCTGATGGGAGTAAATTCTACCAGTGCAATGTGAAGACTTGCTGAGTCTATCAATTGCTGGGTGTCACTGGTTATTCAACCAGGACACAGATAACATCTATTACAAATATTTTCTGTCCTGAAAAATCTATGAATATTATTATACTTCTAGCATGTCTTAAATGCATACCAGGTCTGGGGATCTATTAGCCAATTAAAAATGCTGAGTGAGATAAATTGATTAGTGTTTGAAATCACTTTTTAAACTATGAATACTTTTTTGAAAGAAAATATTACAAAGCTCATCCATACAAGAGGAGTTGTCAGGGTGTGGAGCTGTAGTATCTTTATGCTGTCCCAATTATTCACAGCAGAAAAGGATCAAAATGAAAAGAAAATTTTATCCTTAAAACACAATGCTTTTACTTCTATTGCAGGAATTGAGAAAAATTAGCTATAGCAGATACTACATACAAACTAAGAAATCCCGGGCCTAGGCCTGACTTACCTCCTCTCCTAACTTCTTCAGAAGCCATTTCTTCTAAATCCCTATGGTCAATGCCAGACTCTCTCTGAATTTCTAGCAAATTCTTTGCATAAAAGACAAAGTATTAAATATTTCTTTTTGGTTGAGCACCTCACTGAACAAGTCTTTAACCACCTAAGTGCACAATTTTCCAACTACCTTTTCAAAAGTGATGTGCAGAAGTAATCCGACTAGAAGGTGAAACCTTAGCTCTTTCATTGATGTAAAATTGATCGCTTCCTTTGTTCCCACTGATATTTTTCTTTTTTAAAAAAGGCAAATCAATTTAAGTGCTGAATTGACAGACTAGAGACAAGCATGCATATAGACATTTATTTGCTAAAAAAGGATACAAAGTAGATATAAAGAAAAAGCAAATTTTCCTCTGGAAGATATTAAAGTGTCTGCAGCAAATTGGTACCTACACCCAGGTGTTCCTAGTTCCCAGTGCTGGGTCAAGTCACATTACCTAGAAAGTAGAAATGTAGACCCTGATACACAGGGTTGAGCCCCTTGGAGGACACATCAATAATTTGTTCTTGATTTCTGCATCATTCTAAGCTCCTAGCATGGATTGATCAAAGTTACAAAATTAAGACCAACTTATTACACCTCATATTGACAATATTCCAGTAAATATTGCCAATAGTGAAGTGAAGAATTAGATCTCCGGATAGCTGAACAAATTCTGATGTCAGCACAGGAACAGGGCAGTCATGGAGAACACAGTTCAAAAACAATTCAAATTATTTTGTTTAGGTTCTGTTTATATGAAAAATTACTTGAAATACATGCTTGAAACAAATCACATGCTCATCTGTTCCTTTTTTGACACACACACCAAAAGCTAACTATTTGAAAAATATAATGGATGAAATCAAATAAGATGAACTTTATTAGAAATAAATGCAAATTTGTATCCTTAAGTTAAAGGACAAACCAGCCAAGAGTACAAATTATAAACTATTAGGTTGGCACAAACATAATTGCAGTTTCTCCAATAGTTCACATGAAGTTCATATGAAGAAGACTTAGGAGTTTCAATTCAAAGGATGCTTTATGGAATTCAGCGGCTGTTTAAAAGGGTAAAGTTGGTTAAAGCAGTTTGCTAGAATTACAGTACTCAGAAGAGCATTCCCAGAAGCAGTCTGTACTGTCATTCAGGCCCCAACCAAGATGGTATGTTCACATCTGGTTGCTGTATTAAAAAGGATACCTACCTTCCAGAAAATTAATCCAGAGATGAGGGTGATAAGAATGTGTATTCTAGAGAAGAGAAGACTTAATGCAACTATGGAGTTGTCTTCAAATAATAGTAAAAATAGCCCACATTTGTTGAATGCTAACTCTGTTCCAGGCATAGCACTAAACACTATTTATACATGTAATCTTATTTACTAATAGCATTAACAACCTTCTTCTTCTACTAATAGTAGCAGCCACAAAGCTAGAACTTGATACTAATATTAATCTGCAATTTTCAAAAGAGAAAATTGAAGAAAAGAGACATAAGTAATTTTCTTAGGGTGCAAAGGACCACCATGACACCATGAGACAGAGAGATTAAAGTTGTTCTACTTAGCTCAAAAGAATAAAACAAAGGCTAAGTTTAGAAACTACAGGGAAGCAGAATGTAGATATATTAAAGGAAAATGGCTTTAAGATTTGGATCTGTCTAAAGCATAGTGTGCTGTCTCTGTGAGGTTGTTCAAGAGCAGTTGAATGGCCGTTAAATGGAGATGTGATGGAGAGAAGGTCTGAGTCTGTTATAGATTTAACAGTTCTCTAATCTCTGCCCACATGGTAGTTTTCTGAGTCTAAAAGAATCACTAGCATTTTGAAGTAATATGAATCAATCTATTGCACAAAATGTGGGTTTTGGCTTCAATACAATAGATTTCCTGATACCTTTTTTTCCAAGTTTGTTAAAGAGAGAGGAAGAGATGTGAATATTATAGGTACTGGATTATGCCACATAAGACCTGGCATCCAATGACCATATAGGACACAAACCATAATCTCTTTCTAACAATCTTTAATCCTAGCCTACCATGAGAACACAATCCTTCTTGAAGAGCATTTTGCACTCATAACTCCTGCTATAATACATACTGCCCTGCCTCAGTAAAATAGAATGACGTACGTTTCTAGCATTGTGTTAGCTTGAAAGGGTAGTTAACAGGTTCCAGACCTGGGGCCAATTTGTTTCCAGAGTTCAATAAAAGCTTTCAAGGGGGAAACACACACCACACACACACACACACACACACACACACACACACAAACTCACACATGTGTGCAGACACACACACATTGTCTGCATTTAAACAGTTGCCATTTCTCTCAGAATTTTAGCTGCCCCAGTCCTCTTATGAAATGTGATTCATTTTATTAACAATATTTTTAGCACCACAGCCTCTAGCTGCCACAGGCCACAGGTCAATATATTTTAATAAGATGTTCCAATTTTATCTAAGGTAAGTTCTTCCAAGCAAAGCGAGACTCTCTTTTTGGTCAACTATCTATAAGAAGTTAAATAAAAGACTGTTTATAGTCTGGCTGAAAGTGAATGTAGGATAAGATTTTCAGGAAGCCCATAAAACTCTCAGTTTCAACTACAGTAACTTCGTCAAGGTACAAGGGGCCACCTTATGAATGGAAAATTGCATTGGGCCTTCATGGCTAAACAGAATAGAAAAAAGACCAATAGTAAGAGTTACAGGTGAAAAGGCAAGTGAGGTAGCCGGCCAGGGAACGAGTGAGTCAGTCCTCCCCTGGCATTTGCTCTGCATCTTCCGGGCCTGATGCCCACCAGACCACCGTGGGTGTGGGCCCATCCATGGCCTATCTGCAGCCTCGCTTCTCTTTCCTCTTTCAACTTCTCTTTTTCTCTCATTTTAAAATTCTGCCTTATTTCTCCATTAGTTCCAAAGCATAGAATATCAGGGTTAAGGTCAATGGAGAAAAGTAGGAAATATTTGTTATTTCTCTCGTTTTTGCAAAAAAGAAAATTCTTGCTAAGAATTATATATAGCATTAGTTTAGGTAATGAGATTGCAACAATTAATAAAATTATTTTTTCTTGTGCATCAAAAGCTCAGAGTGTATGTGAAATAAAGATGCAAATGGAAATTATAAAATAATTCAGTAAGTGTAATGTTTGTGATAATTGGGAATTACAGAAGAAATAAGGATACTTCAACCTGATTAGGGAATAAGCTCAGGGAAGAACCCTTAAAGCTCTTCATAAAGATTGAATCTTATTTTAAAAAACATATGTTTATTATTTTCACTTTAAATAGATTGTGAGTATATGGAAAAAAAATACATAGGGTACAAATCAGAAGAGCTTAAAACTTAAGCTTTATTCTACTTTTGACTTACAACTTCCCAGTTTCCCTTCCAGGAGTTAACTAGATTTTGCATGTCCTTCCAGATATATTCCATGCATTTAAAAAAAAAAGAAAGAAAAGAAAATCTATAATGAGATATCATCTCACATCAGTCAGAATGGCTATTTTTAAAAGTAAAAAAAAAAAAAGTTGGTGAGGTTGTGAAGAAAATGGAACGCATTATATACACTGTTGGTGGAAACTGAAATTAGTTCAGCCACTGTGGAAAGCAGTTTGGAGAGTTCTCAAAGAACTTAAAACAGAACTACCATTCTACCTAGCCATCCCTTTACTGGGTGTGTACTCAAAGGAAAATAAATCGTTCTATCAAAAGTCTCACACACTAGTGTGTTCATTACAGCACTATTTGCAATACGAAAAACATGAAATCAACCTGGATGCCCATCAACAGTGGACGTGCTAAAGCAAATGTGGTACATATACACCATGGGTACCACACAGCTACAGAAAAGAAGGAATTCATTTTAATTGCCACAACAATGGATGCAGCTAGAGGATATTATCTAAACAAGTTAACATAGAAACAGAAAAGCAAATATCACATATTCTCACTTATAAGTGGGAGCTAAATATTGGGTACATAGAGAAACAAAGATGAGAACAATAGACACTGAGTACTACTAAAAGGGGAAAGAGGGAGGGGGCAAGGGTTGAAAAACTATTGGTTACTATGCACACTACCAGGGTGATGGGATTATTCACATACCAAACCTCAGCAACACACAATTTACTCATGTAAAGAAACTGCACCTGTACTCCCTGAACCAAAAATAAAACTCAGAAAAATTAGAAATAAAAATAAATGTCCATTATCTAGCATATATATATATATATATATATATATATATATACACATACATTTTTTTCTCCCCAAGTGGAAGCATACTTGAGACTATTATTATCCAGAATAAATATGTGAGTCACACATGTAATTTTAAATTGTCTAGAAGCCACAGAAAAGATTAAAAAGGAACAAGTTAAATCAATTTTAATAATGTACTTTGATAATTTAACTCAGTTATTATATTCACACTACCTGCAAAGTGGTATAGTGTTTTCTGAAAGGGAGTTCCAGATAGCTGTAAATGCATATGGCAAACTCTAGGGAAACCACTAACAAAAGTGAGGGGAAAAAAGTATACCTGATATGCTAAAAAAGGAGAGAAAATAGAATCATATAAAATGCTCAATTAAAACCACACACATAAGGCAGAAAAAGAGCAGAAGACAAAAACAGGAACAAAGAACAAAGACAACAAAGATAAAATATATGAAATATTTATATAACTAATCACTTTGAACATTAATGGTCTGAATACATCAATTAAAACTCAGAAATTATCAGCATGAACTAAAAAATAAAGACTCAACTATATATTGTCTAGAAGAAACACACATTAAATATAAAGACACATGTAGATTAAATGTAAATGAATGGAGAAAGACATCCTACGTCAACAGTAATCAAAACAATGTGGGAGCAGCTATATTAATTTCACACAGAGCAGACTGCAAAAAAGAGAAGTTATCAGAAATAAAGAATGGTATTACATAATAAGAAAGGAATCAATTCTCCAAGAAAACATAACAATCTTTAACATGTATATACTTAATAAGTGGGTGTCAAAATATGTGAAGCAAAAACTGATGGAACTGAAAGAAGAAATAGAATGAATCTACTATTATAGTTGGAGACATCAACATCCTTCTATTAGAAATGAACACAAGCATCAGGCAGAAAATCTGTAGAGACACAGTTGAATTTAACAACACCATCAATCAACTGGGATAAAATTGAGATCTGTATACTATTTCATATAATGACAGCTGAATTCAAATTCTTCTCAAGTTCACATGGAACACTGACAAAGATAGACCACATTCTGGGTCATAAAGCACACCTTAATAAACTTAAAAGAACATCGTGGCTACTAGCAGACCACTATGGAATTAAACTAGAAATTAAAAACAGAAAAATAACTGGAAAATTCCCCAAATTCATGGAAATTAAGCAACATATGTGTAAATAACACTTGGGTCAAAGAACTCTCAAGAGAACTTTAAAAATATTTTTGAACTAAGTAAAAAGGAAAACATAGCTTATCAAGATTTCTGGAATGCAGCAAAACCAATGCTCAGAAGTAAATTTGAAAGAAATAGCTATTCCTTAAAAGGAACAGAATTGAATATACATATTAGAAAAGAAGAAAGAGCTAAGATTAATAATCTACAGTCTCATTTTAGAAAATAAGAGAAAAAAGCAAATTAAATAAAGAGTAAGCAGAAAAAAAATAAAAATTAGAGCAGAAATCAGCGAAATTGAAAACAGGAAATCAACAGAGAAAAGCGATGAAATAAAAAGCTGGTTTTTTAAAATGATAGACAAAATTAATAAGCATCTAATTGGGCTAATTAAGAAAAAAAAAGGGAGAGGGCACAAATTGTTAATAGCAGAAATAAAAGAGTGAAATCACTACAGAACCCATGCACATTAAAAGGATAATCAAGGGTCTTAGTTCATTCAGATTGCGGTAACAAAATACCGTAAACTGGGTGGCTTATAAACAATAGAAATTTATTTCTCAAAGTTTTGGAGGCTGGGAAGTACAAGATGGAGGCATCAGGAGATTTGATGTCTAGTAAGGGTGGCCCAACTTCCTGATATACTGGAATGGGTGAATGAGCTCCCTTAGATCTTTTTTTATGATAGCAATAATCCCATTAATGGGAGTTCTCTCATCATAACCTAATCACTTCACAAAGCCTTCACCTCCTAATACCACTGCCTAGCACATTTTGATCTTAACATATGAATTTGGAGGAGACACAAATATTCAGACCGTAGTATTGAGAAACACTGTGAGCAAATCTATGTTCACAAATTTAAAAATCTAGATGAAATGGATCAATTCCTTAAAAGTCACAATCTGCTAAAACTTACACAGGAGTCAAAAACTATCTGAATATGTCTATATCTACTAAAGAAAACACGAGGCCCAGATGGGTTCCCTTGTAAATTCTACCAAACACTTAAGGAAGAAATTATACTAATTCTCTGCCATCTCTTTCAGAAGATAGAAGGAGACAAAATACTTTTTTAACTCATTCCATGAGGCCAGTATCACCCAAATATCAAAACCAGACAAAGACATTACAATAACAGAGAACTATAGACCAGCATCTCTAATAAACAATAGATACAGAAAATGCTCAACAAAATATTAGCAAATAAAATTCAACAATGTATAGAATGAAACCAAAACAAGTGGCATTTATCCCAGATAAATCCATCACAACAGGCTAAATAAAAAAAATTCATAATAATGCTAATAGATAAAGAAAAGCAATTAGGTTTTTCTTTTTCTTTTTCTTTTTTTTCCAAATTGGCAGATTAGAGACTTTTAGCATGCCTCAGCCATTTGGAAATAACAAGTGGCTATACTCTGTGAGCTTTACTTCAAGAAGGAAAATGGGAATGTACTGCAATCAAGAAGGACACCTCATGATCCCAGGGAGGAGAATGCTGGCAAACAGCCCCTGTGATGCCGTCTTGCTGATAAAACAGTGAAGCTCCTGTACGTGAGAGAAGCAGAGAGCCTCCCTCTGTGATTCGCCTTTCCACTGGGAACCTGAGCAACCCAGGCCAAGGGAGAGAACTTTGTTTCTCCCAAGCTCTGGAACTAACTTGAGGAGAGGCTTAGAAATGCTCTGATGGAAAGACACTGGAAAAGCTGCTGACATTTTTGCAGACCCAGTACCAAAAGCAGGACATCATTTTTAATCTGGGCATATACAAAGTCAGCCATCCTTTGGCAACCTTTCAGCAGGGCCATTCAGGCATTTTAGTATCATGCAAAAGATTGGAACACCTGCTCTGGAGCGAAGATAAGGGCCTCCACAGCCAGAACTGTGGAAAGCACTTCAACAGTAGTTGCTGTAATTGCGCGCTACCCAGGAGGAGATCTGCTGCAGCTACAGTTTCTCTTGGACAGTGAGACTTGCAACCAGGGCCACCTTGGCAACCTATAATCCATCTGAGTGTGCCATTGCTGTTTGCCCCAGCCTGCTCCCCTGAGGTTGTAGTGCAGCAGGACCCTCTCTGCTCCACCTCCGGGTGGAAGTGCAGGTGTTTAGAGCACCTGCTTGCCTGGACCAACAGCCTGAGCTGCCCCACCCTTCATGGACGTAGATCACAGTGCAGTGGGGGCCTCTCTTCTGCATGCGCAGGCAGATCTCCAGGCATCTGGAGCACCTTCTCACCTGGATTAGGAGTTTAGGCCATCTCCCATCCCTGTGCAGAAAACTTGTGGTTGAGAGGGTTTCCTGGCTCCACACCTAGGCACACTCAGGGTGCTTGGTGCCTACCCACTGGATTTTCTCTTGGCGCTGGTGCTTTTTCCTGCCATTGGTGGACCTGTAGGCAGAACTGCCAGGTCTGGCTCCATCCATCTTGGTCTCCATCTCCTCCCGGGGCTGAGCAGGGAGCTCAAATCACCGTGCACTCTAAGATCAGCTCATTGGCCGGGCGCGATGGCTCACGCCTGTAATCCCAGCACTTTGGGAGGCCGAGGCGGGCAGATCACGAGGTCAGGAGTTTGAGACCAGCCTGCCCAATATGGTGAAACCCCGTCTCTACTGAAAATACAAAAATTAGCTAGGCGTGGTGGCGCATGCCTCTAATCCCAGCTACTCGGGAGGCTGAGGCAGGAGAATCGCTTGAACCAGGGAGGCGGAGGTTGCAGGGAGCCGAGAGATGGTGCTGCTGCACTCCAGCTTGCGCGACAGAGCGAGACTCCGGGGGGGCAGGGGGGACACACAGCTCATTGCCTCAGGCAACAAAGAGCTTCTCCCAATAAACATGGATCAAATATGTACCCAGCCACTTTGGCGCAGCCAGCCGGCTCTTACCCATAAGTGCCATCTACTGGCTTGTAGGTTGAACTGCATAACCCTATATAAAACCTGCCAAAAGAAATGCATGGGTTTATGGAAGCTAACCCAAAAGATCCTACCCAGTATGCTCTACAATTACACCCCCTAAAAAGGGGGGCAAAGGGAAAAGAAAATAATGGGAAAGAAAGAAAAAAATTCTACCTGGAGAAAAATGATTACAAAAATTAAAAGTGCAAGTGTATCCAGATGACAAAGATTCGGCACGAGAATTCCGGCACCATGAAAAATATGAATGAGATACCATCACCAAAGGATTGCACTAGCTCTCCAGCAACAGTTCCTAACCAAAATGGAAACTCAGGAATGACAGATAAAGAATTCAAAGCACGGATTTCAAGGAAGCTCAACAAGCTCAAAAACAAGGTTGAAAATCAACACAAGGAAAATGCTAAAGCAACGCAGAAAATGCAGGAAGAGATAAAATCTTATAAAGAAATCAATCAGAGCTTCCAGAGTTGAAAAACTCACTTAAGGAATTTCAAAATACAATTGAAATACTTTGTTTATAAGTCAAGAAATATGGGATTATGTAAAGTAACCAAACCTATCAATTATTGGCATTCCTGAGAAAGAGGGAGAAAAAGTAAACAACCTGGAAAACATATTTGAGAGAATAATTCAAGAAAATTTCCCTGAACATGCTAGAGAGGTGGACGTATAGATACAAGAAATTCAGAGAACACCTGTGAGATACTACTCAAAACAAAGAGAACCAAGGCATATTGTCACCAGACTCTTCAAGGTCAACACTAAAGAGAAAATCTTAAAGGCAGCTAGAGAAAAAGGTCAGATCATGTACAAAGCCTCATTAGGTTGACAGTGGACTTCACAGCAGAAATCTTAATAGCCAGGAGAAATTGAGGGATTATTTTCAACATTCTTAAAGAAAAGGAATTCTAATCAATAATTTCATATCCTGCCAAACTAAGCTTCATAAGTGAATGAGAAATAAAATATTTTCCAGACAATCAAGCACTAAGGGAAAATTCATTACCACTAGACTAGCATTAAAGAGATCCTTAAGAGAGTTTTAAATATATAAACTAAAGAACAATACCTGTTACCACAAAAGCACACTTAAGTGCATGGCCCAAAGACCCTATAAGGGAACCATATAACAGAAACTACAAAGCAACCAGCCAACAACTTCACAATTGAATCAAAGCCTCATATATCAACTTTGAATGTAAATAGTCTAAGTGCCCCCCTTAAAAGGTACAGAGTGGCAAGTTGAATGAAAAAAACAAGACCCATCTGTCTATAGTCTTCAAGAGACCCATCTCACACATGACACCTATAGGTTCAAGATAAAGGGATGGAGAAGGATTTACAACATAAACAGAAAACAAAACAAACAAACAAAAAAAGAAGGCATCACTATTTTTATTTCAGATTAAATAGACTTTAAACCAACAACAGTAAAAAGAGACAAAGAAGGGCATTACATGCTGATAAAGGAATCAATTCAACAGTAAGACTTAAATACCATAAAGATATATGCACCCAAAATAAGAGTACCCAGATTCACAAAACTGGACCTTCCAGAGTTATGAAAATACTTAGCCACACAATAATAGTGGAGGGCTTCATTCCACTGTCAGCATTAGACAGATCATCACGGCAGAAAACTAATAAAAATATTTTAAACTTAAATTTGACACTTGACCAATAGGACTTAATGGACATCTACAGAATTCTCCATCCATCAACCACAGAATATACATTTTTCTCATCTGCACACAGAACATACTCCAAGATTGACCACATGCTTGGTCATAGGGCAAGCCTCAATAAATTCCAAAATATCAGAACCATAGCAATCACACTTTCAGACCACAGTGGAATAAAAACAGAAATAAATACCAAGAAGATCCCTCAAAACCACACAATTACATGGAAATTAAATGACTTGCTCCTGAAGGACTTTTAGGTAAACAGTGAAATTAAGGCAAAAGGAAAAAAAAACTGAAATGAATGAAGACAGAGACAGAACATACCAAAATCTCTGGGATGCAGCAAAAGCAGTGTTAAGAGGAAGGCTCATAGCATTCAACACCTACCACAAAAGTTAGAAAGATCTCTAATTAATGATCTAACATCACACCTAGAGAAACTAGAAAAACAAGAACAAACTAAGCCCAAAGCTAGCAGAAGAAAATAAATAAAATTAGAGCATAAATAGGCAAGATTGAGACCCAATATTCCATACAAAAAAATCAACAGCCTAAATGTTGGTTTTTTGAAAAAATGAACAAGATTAACTGACCACTAATTAGATTCACAAAGAACAAAAGGGAAGATACATATAAGTGGAATAAAAAATGACACAGGTGGCATTATAGCTGATCCCAGAGAAATATAAAATACCCTGAGAGAAAATTATAAACAGCTCTGTGCACACAAACTAGAAAATCTAGAGGAAATGAATAAATTCCTGGAAGCAAATAATCTTCCACTTTTGAATCAGAAAGAAATTGAAATCCCAAAGAGGCCAATATAGAGTTCTAAATTTGAATCAATAATAAAAAGTCTACCCATCAAAAAAGAAAGAAAGAAAGAAATGCCCTAGGCCAGATAGATTCACAGCCAAATTCTACCAAACATACAAGAAGAGCTGTTACCAATCCTACTGAAACTATTCCAAAAAATCAAGGAGGAGGGACTCCTTGCTAATTCATTATATAAACCAAAATCCACTCTGATACCAAAATGTGGCAAAGACACAACAGAAAAAAGAAAACTCTAGGCCAATATCCCTGATGTACATAGACCCAAAAATCCTCAGTAAAATACTAGAAAATTGAAATCAATAGCACATCAAAGAGTTAAGTCACCACCATCAAGGATGCTTCATTCATGGGATGCAAAGCTGGTTCATCAAACACAAATCAATAAATGTGATTCAGCCCATAAACAGAATTTAAAACAAAACAATATCATCATCTCAATAGATGTGAAAAAAGCTTTTGGTAAAATCCAACAACTGTTCATGATTAAAACACACACACACACAAACACACACACACAAACTCAAGAAAGTAGGCATTGAAGGAACATACCTCAAAACAACAAAAGCCATCTATGACAAACCCATAGCCAACATAATACTGAATGGGCAAAAACTAGAAGCGTTTCTCTTAAGACCTGGAAAAAGACACCACTCCTATTCAACACAGTACTGAAAGTGCTAGCCAGAGGAATCAGGCAAAAGAAAGAACAGTTATCCAAATAGGAAAAGAAGTCAAACTAGCTCTCTGGGGATGATGGGATTCTATACTTAGAAAACCCTAACAACTCCACAAAAAGCTCCTGGAACTGATAAATGACCAGTAAAGTTTCAGGACACAAAATCAATGTACAAAAGTCAGTAGCATATCTATACACCAAGAACATTCAAGCTGAGAGCCAAATTGTATTACTTTGTACCAATGCACATAGATATCATTACTGTAATATACAATAATTCGTGTCTCCTTATAGGACATACTTCCTCTCCTTTCTCAGTTTTTAAAGGTTGTCTTAGTTGCTCTTGATTTTCTTTTTACCCTAATATGTGGATTCTGTGTCTTGCGCTACAAAAAAAAATGTTGCTTGAATATTTATTAAATTTTTAATTAAATTAAAAGATTAATTTGAGGAAAAAAAACTAAAGCAACCCCATTTATGATAGGCACACACACACACCTAGGAATATATTTAAACAAAGAGGTGTAGAGCTCTAAAAAGAGAACTACAAAACACTGTCAAAACAAATCATAGATGACACAAACAAATGGAAAAACATTCCATGCTCATGGATTTGATGAATCAATATTGTTAAAATAGCCATGCTGCTCTTAGCAATCTACAGATTTAACACTATTCTTATCAAATAACCAGTGTCATTTTTCATAGAACTAGAAAAAAAGCAATTCTAAATTAATATGGAATAAAAAAAAAATCCAAATAGCCAAAGTAATCCCAAGCAAAAATAACAAAGTCATCAGAAGCATCACATTATCCAACTTTGAACTATACTACAAGGCTACGTAGTAATCAAAACAGCATGGTATTAGTACAGAAACAGACACATAGATCAATGGAACAGAACAGAGAACCCAGAAATAAAGTTGCACATCTACAGCTATCAGATCTTTGACAGTCGACAAAAATAAGCAATGGGGAAAGGACTTCCTTATCAATAAATGGTGCTGGGATAGCTAGCTACCCATATGTAGAAGAGTGAAACTGGACCTCTACCTTGCACCTTATATAAGAATTAACTCAATTTGGATTAAAGGTTTAAATATAAGATCTCAAACTGTAAGAATCCTAGAAGAAAACCTAGGAAACAGCATTCTCAACATTGGCCTTGGGAAAGAGATTATGACTAAGATCTCAAAAGCAATTGTGACAAAAGCAAAAATTGACAAGTGGAACCTAATAAAACTAAACGTCTTCTGCAAAGCAAAAGACACTATCAATAGAGTAAACAGACAACAAATAGAGTTGGAGAAAATATTCACAAAGTATGCATCCAACAAAGGCCTAATATTCAGAATCTATAAGGAACATAAACAATTGAACAAGCAAAAAACATAATCCCATTTAAAAATGGGAAAGGGATGTGAAAAGACACTCCTCAAAAGAAGACATCTAAGCACCCAACAGACATATGAAATAAATGCTCCACATCACTACTCATCAAAGAAATTCATATCAAAACCAAAAAGTAACAGATGTTGGTGACATTGCAAAGAAAAGAGAATTCTTATACACTTTTGATGGGAATGTAAATTACTTCAGCCACTGTGAAAAGCAGTTTGGAGATTTCTCAAAGAACTTAGAAACAAATTGTTCTACCAAAAAGACTCATGCACTAGCACATCCATCAAAACACTACTCATAATAGCAAAGACATGAAATCAACTTAAATACCCATCAATGTTGGATTGGCTAAAGAAAATGTGGTACATATATACCATGGAATACTATGCAGCCATAAAGAAGGATGAAATCATGTCCATTGCAGCAACATGGATGCAGTAGGCAGCCATTTTCCATAGCGAATTAACACACAAACAGAAAACCAAATACCATGTGTTCTCACTTATAAGTGGGAGCTAATCATTGAGTACTCATGGACATAAAAATAGCAGCAGTAGACACTGGGGACAACTAGAGTGGGGGGAGGGGAAAATGGTTTAAAAACTAACTATTGGATACTACTCTCTTACCTGGGTGATGGGATCATACATACCTCAAACCTCAACATCACACAATATACACATGTAACAAACCTGCATATGTACCCCCGAATCTAAAATAAAGGCTGGAAATAAACAAGAACACGTCTAAATAAACTTCAGAATAATTCAATGAACACTTTACTGTTGCGCAAAAAAATAAATAAATTTGACAAAATACAACTCTTCTTCATAGTAAAACTCTCAGTAAACTAGAAATAGAGGGAAACTTCCTCAACTTACGAAAGAAAATCTACAAACACCCTACAGCTAACAACACACTTAATGAGACACTAGAAGCCTTTCTAGTGAGATCAGGAAGAAGGCAAGGATATCTCCTCTCACCTGCTTTTTAACATTATACTGAAAGTTCTACCTAATGCAATAAGATAAGAAAGGGAAATATAAATACGCTGATTGGGAAGAAAGAAATAAAACTTTGCAGATGACATCACTGCTTATGTGGAAAATCTAAAAGAAGCAATAAGAAAAACCTACTATAACAAATACTTGATTATGTCAAGGTTGTACAATACAAGATTAATATACAGAAGCCAATCACTTTTCTATATACCAGTAATAAACAAGTTAAATTTGGAATTAAAAACATAATGTGATTTAAATTAGCACTCCACAAAATAAAACTCTCAGGTGTAAGTCTTAAAAAATGTGTACAAGAACTATATAAGGAAAGCTGCAAAACTCTGATCACAGAAATCAAGTAAGTAAATAAATGGAGAAATAATTTATGTTAATGGATAGGAAGATTCAATTTTGTGAGGATACCAGTTCTTTCCAATTTATTCTGTAGATTCAATGCATCCCCAATTCAAACTTCAGCAACTATTTTGTGGATATTGATAAAACAGATTCTAAAGTTATATGAACAGGTAAAAGATCCACAATAGCCAACACTATATTGAAGGAGAAAAACAAAGTGAATGGACTGACACTACCCAAATTTAAGATTTATCATAAAGCTACAGTAATCAAGACAGTATGATGTTAGTGAAACAATAGACAAATCAATGGAACAGAATACAGAATCTGGAAATAGACCCATATAATCAGCTGATCTTTATCAAAGAGGCAAAGGTAATACAACAAAGCATAGACAGTTTTTTCAATAAATTGTGCTTAAACATCTGAACATTCATGTATAAAAAAATCAATCTAGACAGATCTTACAAACATTTATGAAAATTAACTCAAATTGATCACAGACCTAAATGTAAAATGCAAAACTGTAAAACTCCTAGAAGAAAACATAGGAGAAAATTTAGATGGCCTTGGGTTTGGTGATGAAGTTTAGGTATGATGGCGTTGACACACTTATAAAAGAAAAAATAATAAGCTAGAATTCATTAAAATAAAAAATTTCTGTTTTGTTAAATACACCATCAAGAGAATGAAAAAATGGGCCACAGATTGAGAGAGAAATATTTGCAAAAGACATATCTAATAAAGCACTTTTACCCAAAATAAAGAAAAAACACTGAAAACTCAATAGTAAGAAGACAAAAAAGACCAAAGAGCTTAACAAATATCTCACCATAAAAAACATACAGAAGGCAAATAAGTGAAAAGGTGAAATGAAAAGGTGCTTCATAGCTTGTCACCAGGGAAATACAAATTAAAACTCTGATAAGGCAGCACTGTACACCTATCAGAATGACCAAAATCCAGAACACTGACATGCTGGAAAGAATGTGATGCAACAGGATTCATTGTTGGTAGAAATAAAAAATGGTACACTTTGGTAGGCAGTTTGGCCGTTTCTTATAAAACTAAACATGGCCTTACTATACGATCCAGCAATCATGGTTTTGATATTCATCCAAAGGAGTTGAAAATATATACCCACACAAACAAACCTGTACCTAGATGATTATAGTAGCTTTATTCATAATATCCAGTGCTTGGATGCAACCAAGATGTCCTCCAGGAAGTGAATGGATATACAAACTGTGATAACATAATTCAGTGTTGAAAAGAGATGAGCTATCAAGCCATGAAAAGACATGGAGTAAACTTAAATGCATATTACTATGTAAAAGAAGCCAATCTAATAGGGATGCACACTGTATGATTCCAAATATATGACATTCTAAAAAAGTTAAAACTATGGAAACAGTAAAAATATCAGTGGTTGCCAGGAAAAATATCAGTGGTTGCCAGGATTGGAAGGGAAGGAGAGAGAGAGGGCCGAATTAGCAGAGCACAGAGGATTTTTAGGGCAGTGAAACACTCTGTATAATACTATAACAGTTAATACACGTCATTATACGTATGTCCAACCCCATAAAATGTACAATACCAAGAGTGAACTCTAATGTAAACTATGCTTTTTTGTTGCTAATGATATGCCATGTAGTTTCATCGGGAACAAATGTGTCACTCTGGTACAGGATACTGACAATGGGGAGGCTATGTATATATGGGGGCAGGGAGTATATGGGAAATCTCTACCTTTTTAAAAATTTTACTGTGAAACTGAAACTGCTCTAAAAATATTTCTATTTTTAAAATACAGAATAATTGTGCTTAATTGAGGTGGAGGAGGTGAAGATTTTACGTCAGAGTACAGAAATAAGTAAAAGCTCAGAGTGAGGGCAAAATAGATATATAGAAAGATAGATATAGATATAGATAGATAGATAGATGATAGATTTATAGATAGATTTATAGATAGATAGATAACAGATGACTAGACAGATATATGGGAAACTACAGTGAGTTCCATGTTCCTATAATAGTTTAGGACAAGAGTTAAGAGAAATAAGACTATATAGATGGGCTGGCAACAGACTGTGGAGATCATTACAAGCTGCATTAAGTAAGCTGTACTTTATTATGGAAGAGATCAAATGTTTGATTTTTCAGCAGAAGAAAATGGACCAATTTACGCTTTAGAAAAATTGCTTCAGTGAAAGAGGACATTGGATTTGAAGAACCAGTCCTATAGACATGTAGACAAATTGATAAGTGGCTGCAGCAGTCCAACTGAGAGATGGCAAGCTTGAATTATTACACAATTAGAGAAGACAAAGTGGACTAGAAAGATATTTGGGAGAAAAACTCTATATCAATTGTTGATTGATAAAAAGGCAAATTCATTAAGGTGAAAAATAGTGAGTACATTTGGACTTGTTGGATTTAGAATATTTGGTGAATGTACCTAATATGCAATCAAATATGTGAACCTAAAGCTTAAAGTAGAGCTCTCTAGTAGAGGTGGTAATTGAGATTCAGCATATTGCTATTAATTGATACAAAGAGACATGAAATAATCTATGAAGAGGACACACATAGAGAAGAGGAACGAGCTGAGGGCAGATCTGCGAGGGATGTGACACTGAGGAGAAAGGATCATCACAGAGAATGAAGCTTTCAGAAGTAGGCAACAGAGCTATGCAGGAGAATAGTAAAAAAAGGAATTTTTATGAAATTGAAAGTGATGAACAAGATGAAATATAGCAGAGGAGGTCCAGTAATATATGAACTAAAAATGCTTCCTGCATTTGGCACTTAGTATCTTTGATGAGAACCTCATAGAATGAGTCCAGAAGTGGGGTTAATAATAGATTCCAGTAATTGGTGAAGAGAATGAGAGACAGAAAATGAATGTAGTTGGAATAGAGTGAGAGATTAGAGAGTGTGTCTGGATTGAACGGGAAGTCAATATAGTTAGAGAAGTTGAAGACATGAGAGACTCAGTCATGAAACCAAATGCACAGGTGGAAAGGTTGCTGTTGAGCACCTCATTCTCTGATTTTAGAGAAGAGCTGTACTTCTGATCTTTGGATGCATATGAAAGTATGTCTGTAAGTATTGGGCAGGAAGACCACTCTTAGTAGCAACATTTCTGAAATAATTAAAGACAAGATTCTCACTGACAGGAACAGGGTAGAAGTTAAAGAAAGGGTTTCAGGAGATTGAGAACACTTTAAAAATCCTTGTTCCTTGTTAAAGAGAATGTTCAGAGAAAGAAAAAGCAAGGGTGAATGTTAGCAAGCATCCACCTATTTCTTTAAAATAATGAATGGTTCATTTATTTTTTTTAAAAAAAGTGTGTGTGTGTGAGAGAGAGAAAGAGAGAGAGAGAAGCTAAGTGCCCAAACAGTGGTAGGCATCATGAAAATAAAATAAAATAAAAACAAGAAAAACCCTCAAGTTGTTTACTATCTTACTATCATGTTAGAAAGGACATGCATGCAGCCATGAAATAGTAATTAACTCAAAAGAGAAACCAGTGAGTGGTTTTGACATTAACTGCAGAAGAACTTGGAATGTAATACAGGCTTTGTGGGGCAACGAAATCTGACTCCATGTGACTTCGGGCATTGCAATGCAAATAAAGTTCAGTAGACACCAAAGCAGGAGGAGGGTGTGGGGTAGAAGGCACATCATTAGCAAAGCTACAGAAATTGAAATGGTGTATGGCCAACACACAAAGTCATACTTAAAACCACTTGACCCCCAAATACAAGCTATAATAATTTGCAATTGACATTTTGGGTAGCATATAATATGTTAGCTTGTATTCTTAGTGAAACGGCACACTGTTCAATACTCTAATTATAAACGAGTGGTAAATCAGGCTCTGATATATGCAGTCAGAAGAGAAAATCAGTTCCAGGCTACCTCATGCCATCTCCCCACTTCACTGAGCCAATGCCTCACATCCAAACTGTAGTTTCAGGGACTGACTATTTGCAGACAACCAATCAGCTATTCCTGAGAAACAGTGTCTTTGGATCAGCCATCAGATGGAAATGAAGGAAATTTAGAGGATTACCCGAGATATGGGACTTTGAGTACATCAATAGGTTTGCATTTTTATCTCAGTTTTGCTATGCTTGTGGTATTAGAACTTTGGTTTGCTTTTGCTCCCTTTAAACATAAAAACTAAAATTTTCCCTGGTGTTTCAAGGTGAGTGTTTCTTCCAAATATGAGCTAGTTACCAAAGATTTTATTTGCCTTTCTCAACATCCCTGCGAATAAAACACTAATATGGTTTGGCTGTGTCCCCACTTAAATCTCATCTTGAACTGTAGTTCCCATAATCCCCATGTACCATGGGAGGAACCAGGTGGAGATAATTGAATTATGGGGCAGTTTCCCCCATCCTGTGGTTGTGATAGTGAGTTAGTTCTCACAAGATCTGATGGTATTACAAGGGGCTTTTCCCTATCTTCATTTTACACTTTTCCTTGCTGCTGCCATGTGAAGAAGGACATGTTTGTTTCCCCTTCCATCATGATAGTAAGTTTCCTGAAGCCTCTCCTGCCATGCTGAAATGTGAGTCAATTAAACCTCTTTCTTTTATAAATTACCCACTCTCAGGTATGTCTTCATTAGCAGCATGAGAACAGACTAATACAGACCTAAGTGTTTTAATGAGGATTTAGGTTAAGCTTGTTCAGCAGGCTCTCCTCAGGAGGGTGCTTATTCCTATTTCTCAAGTGAAATGTACATATTCATGCAATCCTAGGGCCCTCACATGAAGAATTCAGAGTCAGAGTGTCCAGAGTGGGTTTCCATTAAAAAAAAACAGTAAAGCATAAATAAATTCAAATAATTGAAATAAAAAATAAATTTCCATTGAAATAAGATATATATATCGGTGTCTTAGTTTGAGTTCCCCAGAAGTAGGCACAAATTCAAGAATTGAAGTGTGAGTATTGTATTTTGAGGGTGAAGGGAATGCTGGTATGGAGGTGGGGAATTGGGACAGGGAAGGGAAGCATAGCAAAGGAAAGGTAAACAATAAAAGGCAAATGAGAAAGCCAACTACCACTATAGAAGACTAGAGATTAAGCCAGCAGGGAAATTGTAGGAGTCAGGGTAGGGCACACGACTCAGAATCGTTTCACCCAACCAGTGCAGAACTGGAGATTTCTGTGACAAGAGAAAGTGTTAAAGTAAAAAGCACAGGTGCTAGCAGTTGGAAGTTGATTGGTGTGCATTGAAAAGTTAGGGCTAGAGAATCCTGGTGGGAAATTGATAGTGTCTTCCCTCCAAAGACTGAATGCTTTTGTGAGGTTCTACATGCCATAACAGAATTATCAGAATTGTTTTCCAAATCAAAATTTCTTAGAATCCAAACTTGTTTACCTTTTTCTGTAACAACCCTTTTCTTTTCAAAACCTGAGTATAAGTACTGTAGGAGCTAAACTGGTTTTACAACAGCACGAGGAATCACATCAAACAAATTGTATGTTATAGTTAGTAGTTAAAACTGTTTAGTTTTTCCAGAAAAAGGAATTTACTCAACAACTTATCATGGTGAAATTTTCTGTCTCTCTCTTTATAGTACATCATCATTTCTTAACTCCTACTATATGTAGAATAATCTGGTTGTCAGCATAGATACAAAAACCTGAAAACATAATTGCTGGCTGGGTAGTTTCTGCAAGAGAAGAAAATTCTTGACAGCATACAAAACACACAAAAAAGATAACATGTAAATAGAAGTAAATAAATCAATTAATTATAACACATATATTGAGTGTCCTTTCTCTGATAAATCTCACGTAAAATGCTATGCAACTAAGCCAAAGTCTTGCCCCTCCACCTTCAATTCACAATATACTTGGAAGAAATAATAATGATGAAACAGTAGAGAATTCTACGGGGGAGTACTTAAAACTTCATCCACCGGGTAGCCATAAACTGGTGATTTCAGAATAGATAGACATGGATGTTAGCTATGAAGAAAATGCTTTATGGAAGAAGAATGGAACGGACATTCCCAGTTAGTGTAATCAGAACAGAGAAACACAGTGTGAAGAATGAGTAATTACATGAATTTGTTCTTCTTTTCCTCAAATTGAGTATTTTTGTTTTTTTATACATTGAGCCAACACTTTTTTTGTAACAAAGATCAAAGACTTCATTTAGGCATTAGTTACAATTCCACATTATTATAGATAAACACAAAAAAGAGAGTTTGTTGAAAACACCAAAAATAAACATCTCATACCTAAACATGCTAATTTGAATGCATTTTGCAAACTTAGTGACACATTTGTCTCCAGAGAATCAACCTGAAGCTATCTTTCCATGGGATTCAAGGATTTTGTTTTGTTCTCATGGCAAAAGGGCCAGAGCTACAAAAAGAAACAAACAAAAAACACCCAAGAAAGTCTCCATTACACATCCGAATGTGTAGTGTGTACTAACTCATAATTGTTGAACACCTGCTATGATAGACCACTGTTTTAACCTCCTTCTTGTCCAGACATTAGTCTTAAAAAGTAAAATGTAGAGAAACAGGCAAGAATAAAATCGAGTCAGTGACCAAATTAAACCCCTCAGCCATGGGAAAGCTGCTGGAATTATTAATAAGGAGAAAAGCTTAGGAACATTTAGAAATGTATTATTTATTAAGGAACTGTCAGTGGGACTCATAAAAGGCAGGCTGTGAGTGAAAAATACGCTTGTTTGGGTTGAGTATATTACTGCAGACAGGCTGCAGATAAGCTGGAAACAAAGGGGAACATTAATCTGACTCTCAGGAAAGCATTTGTTATGGCAGCAACTATTGCAGTGGTTTTAAGCAAATGAATCACAATATGTGGTGAAAGTAAGTAGGAGTAATTAAAGAACAAGGGTTGTACATTGTCTCAACAATGGTGTTGAATTCAGTCATTTCAACTTGAAGCCAGCTAGAGGCAAAGCAGCAATCCCAGACCACCTGACTTGCCTCTTGGTAAACAAGAAAATGGATGGAACAACCAAATCCATGAGGATTGTGGGTGGGGGAAAGCCCTTGATTGAGCAATTGAATAGTGTAGCTTATTCATTAACAAGAAGTATGAGCAGTCTCAATGGGTAAGAGCCTCTCCCCATGCCCAAAAATGACTAGATTGTGAACCTGCTAGCCAGAATCCATCATAATAGGGGAGAATTGTGTATCTCGAGCCACAAAAAGAAGACTGTTAAGTATTTGCTTATTCCACACATAAGCCGAAGAAAGTTAAAGCCATAGGCAATAGTGCAATAAACTCAGACATTAGTACAAGATCTGACTCTGGGTTCTGCTACTTATTAGCTATATAACTTGGTCTTATGGGTTGTACTCTAAATTTTTATCTACTATCCTGTCTCTTCACTACCTCCCCTCTAACTCCCCTCTTTGATCATCAGCAGCTCTCATCTAGATTATTGTAGTAGTCTCCCAACCAGTCTATTCCTTCCTAACCTTTACCTTTTAGAGCCTATTTGTCCATACAGTAGCCAAAAAGAAACTGATCATACCTATCTTTCATGGTTTTCCATCTGCTCACTTTTCCTCATCTACATGCATGAGATAATGGCACCACTCTAGAAAGGGAGCCAAAGTCCTTGAGTCCCTGCTTGGAAGAGTGTCAGCAGGCAAATTCTTCTCCTTCTCTATAGCACACTGAGACATTAGGTAATGACAGTTTTTCACTGAGTTAAGTCATGAGATTTGGGGGTGGGGAGTGTTTTGATGCTGCAGAATAGTTTGAATTAATCCAAAAATTAGTATCAAAACTGAGGTACCAATGAAACAAAATTCTAAAGCATATGATATTGCTTAGAAGTTAGCATCAGTTGGTAGGAAAGAGATACAGCAGATTTTTCAGGGGAGATTCTGGTTAAATGCAAAATATTTGCTAAAGCAGGTCACGTGATTACTGAGTTTCAGAGATTGAAAAATATAATAGTAGCTAAATGTTCACCAATCTTATTTAACCTTATGAGTGCACAAGAACATTGCATTTCAAACTTCCCTTGCATCTAAGTAAGATTATATGACAGGACACTCAACAGTGGAATGAGGGAAGAAAGAGAATTTGCATATGGATTTTTCTGGTCTTTCTTCACCAACTATTTAGGTAATAGAGGAATCCACTTTCCAGAACCACATCTAGAGAACAGCTAGATTTGCAAAGCTTTCTCTATAAATCCCACTGCCAAGCACTCATTTATCTAGTTCAGCTTTGCTAGTCTGGGGTAATATTCTTTTCACTTCCCATTGCTTGCCTATCTCATTCTCTAAATGGTTAAAATATGTGAAAACTAGAATTCTAAGCATGGCTACTTATCTGGGAAAATCCCATATCTATCTGTTCATTTGTTGATTATTTATTTATTTGCTTAACAATATTTGATTGCTAATATATAAAAATCAAAATTTATCCTCAAAATTTACAGTCAAGTAGAGTTACAATCTAATATCAGTTAAGAAGAATATCCCTAGATTAAAATATCTACTACCTGCCTCAGTCTTCCAGCCCTATACCTTCTGTCCTAATATCTGCAGTGTCTGAATAGAAGAAAGTTAAAGGGAATATACAGAAATTACCCTGATGCTACAGAAAAGCAGAAAAGAGAACAAAATAGTCAAGTTATCTTAAATTTACAGCTTCAAATTTCTGTGCTATGGACAAAAAGTTGAGGAGGCAAAAGTGTCTTCACAAATTCTTTCAAGTGGGCAGGGGTATTTTGATTACTGAGTTAAACAACAAGCAAGAAGTCAGTTATAATTATCCACCGACCCCACCTATCCCCCAGGAAAACCTCTAATTGTTTTACAGTCAACAAATTTCAGACAATAGATTAACTCCTGGGCCTCAGTCGTTTATTGCTAGTAAATGTGTTCTTTATTTCTGTTCTTAGTGTAGATGTTATGAAGTTTCTGTTCCCATTTCTTTTCTTTGTACACTTTAAATTCTCATTCTGATCTATTTTATTGACTCCATTAGCTTCAACAGAGCTGCATGCAGAGACCTCACAGACATAGCTTTTTAGCTCACACAATTCTCCTTATCACGATTCCCACTTATGCAATTCCAAGTTAGCTATCCCAATCTTGACAGTCTGATAGAGACTCCATAGAACTCTGTGTACCAATAACAAAGCACATCTTTTTTTACTCCCAAATAGATCATTGCTTTTATTATTTCTGTCTTTGATACTGAGAATCTAATTCTCTCCATCAGCCAGGCTTGAAATCTTAGAAGCACATTGTAGTACTTTCTTTTCTTGAGTACATTCCCAATAAAGTGGCCTTTCTAAAACACCATATAACTTCCTCTTGAATTTTTCTGAATAGTTTGATCTACAGCAAGAATTATCTTATCTTTATCATTATCATATAACGTATATTTAATCACCTACATGCCAGAAATTGTACTAAGAACTTTATATTAAATCTTCAAGGCAATTCTAAGGGTTGGTTACTATTCTTATACCCATATTATAGATGAAAAAATTCTACAGCTAGGAGAATTAAACAAGTTTTTCAAGATAAGACACCTAGTAAAGTGTTAGGAAAATTTTATTCTTGTAAAGCAGGATATAAAAAGAAAACAGGCATTGAGATCAGATGTATTTATGCATACCTTGATTTTGCTCTATATTTCCTTAGTGTAGCTATTTAATATTTCTTAGCTTTGGTCACCTCATCTACCAAATGAAGATAACAATAGAATTGTAATGAGAATTAAGCACAGACAAAGCACCTGAAGCAATGAAAGCAGTTTTTACATGTAAATTCTCTTTTCTCTAGTAGAAAAAGTCAAATTGGCCAATTAAGCCTGTTTTGGTCAACTAATCTGAATATGAGAATTTCTGGGATCTCTAAACCTTATTTAAGAAGCCAGTATACATGAATGCAGCTTTTGGCCTCCTGTCTTAGTATTCAGATTTAAATCTTGGCATTTAAAAATGTTAAATTAATGACCGATCAATTCCAAATAAATTACCATCTTTAGAGGTGACGCTAATCAATGGAGGACATGGCATGGTTGGTTTGAGAAAGGCCTCATTTGACATTGAGGAAGATGGGATAATGATGGCTTAGTATTTGTGATTTCTACTCCAGGTCATTAAAACAGCAAACTTAATAGCTCTAATTAAGCCTTTTGATGCTATTACTACTACCAAGCTGATGATGGTAATCATGTTATTATGAATATTATATTAATAATAAAAGTGAGTCTTTTAGAAATAAAGTACTGATAACAATAACAACTTAATAGTATCTATATTCTTCAGGTATCATCAGAGAAGGTACAGTATCAAGCATGAACTATGTGAGGGGACAGAGTAGCACACTAGTCACAGAAGGAGAGGTAGGCTTTAAATGTAAGGTAACTGGCTGGGAACAGAAAACAAAAGAGCAGGGTGGGAGTTACCTAAGAATATCTAAAGATAGATGTTCCTCAGTGGTTAGAATTATGAAATGAGTCTGCATAGGAGACGCAACCCTATGGTACCTCAGGGATATGCAGGTAAATTTACCCATATCCAGGCAGAGTATCTGCACAATAATATCATGACACCAGAAAATGAAGCATAGAGTTGAGGATCTTATGCCATAAGATCCAGAAATAGGATTGAATACATAAGCAAAGATTCCAAGTAGCAAAGGACAAGTCTCTCAGCAGTCAATGGAATTCTCTCCTTGCCTTTCTCTTCATTATATAGTTCATTAAGGATTGACAGAAGACATTTTAGTATGACTTTAAGAACTGACCAAGCTAACACAACAGATGTCAGATTGTATATTCAAATGATATATATATAATGGCTGGAACCTAGGCAAAAATAAACCAGGATAAATGTAACATAGAAAGTGTAAATTTTATCATTTTAAAAAGAGTAGATATCAATACTACAGGAATTATTACATTATAAAAATAAGAATTAAATACACTTGTCAGGGATCAGAGTTTTCTAAAACTCGACCCATGCATGCATTAAAATAATCAGCCTAAAAGCTTGATTTGTATTTGATTAGAATTAAAAGACACTATATGTCACAATGGTATTTGATGACAACCCCTGAAATGAAAATATCTTGACTTAAATACTGTGCTGGCCATTAGTAGTCTCATCAACACACAGAATAGGAAGAGTAGATTTGCATTCTAGTGATCATGAGTCAAGTGAACATAGAACTTTTAAGAGACAAGTCAGGTTGAGAGAAATGCCATATATGAAACTTACTAAATTTAATTCTGAAAAAAAGTTCAAACTTTATAAAAGTGTACAGTTGGTAATGTCTGGCTCAACAGTCTTAAGAGAAAGATATGGGACTTTCTAATTGTGCAAGCTCACTATGAGTCAATGCTGAAGGTGGTGCATTCCATGAAGTTCTGCAATTGCCAGATAATATCTAAGTAAACATGGTTCTTTCTGGCTAACACATTTAAAATGTAAAATTCTAAAATGAGCTCATGCATAAAAAGACCAACTGTATTAATGAGGCAGTCCAGAAAGCTGAACAACAAATACTTGAAGAACATGAAGATGAATAGATAGCTCTCAGAAGACCCAATATATTCAAATAAGTTTACATGTTTACTTCTTTATTTGTCTATTTTTTTCTCTAAGAACAGAAATAGAATGCAAGAGAGAAAATTATGAGGCAGTTCATTTTGGTTTCAAAATGTAAAGGGACTACTTATCATTTAGAATTGTACAAAAATAGTATAGGTTTTTTCATAAGCTATCAGTTGACAGCACTGAAAATATTCAAGGCCATCTGTAATTGGTCCTAAAGGAAAGAAGTTGAGCTCTAAGTTAACTAGTCTTTGGAAATTTGTGATTCTGTTCATGGCATGTAGAACTTAGAGACTGGTGATATTTTTGTGTGGTCTCTAAACTGTTGCCCATTAGCCAGTTCATCCTCACCTGTCCTCTAAGCTAATCACAAATTTGCATCCAGATTATATAAATGTCAAGGTCACAGAAAAATATGAACGCAGCCAAAATTAGCTATGCTTTCTAAAATGTTTGTTCCACCCATAAAAGCTTTGCTTAATTATACAAATAAAGACTTTTGTTTGTTCATCATAAAAAAAAATCTATTCAATACTCTTTTTCTTTTTCTTGCTATTATTTATCCTCACTCCCAGATCGACTTTGCCTAAATTAACTGGCCACTGCAAATCAAGATAAGAAAAGCAAGATTACTTTCAGTACAAAATTGTATAGACAGACACTGAATTCAGTCTGCTTCTTGGGTCCTTTCTCTGGCTCAAAGTTAAGATGCTCTTGTAATGTTCCATTTAGGAGCTTAATGTTTTTCCGATAAAGTGATTATAAAGTTTATATGTTTAATTAATTTGCAGCTAAATAATTGTAGGCCCTGCTCTTCTCAGTGAAGGAGGAAAACTAACAACAATAGAGGGAAGTTTTTCTTTTCAAACATGAGACAAGAAAGAGACCAAAAAGTTTATTGATTCTAATTTCATCATGTTATAGCTAAGGAAACTCAGCCCAAATGAGTTACATATCTTGGCTCAAGTGCTAACATTAGCCAATGAAAGTGCCAGGACTAAAACTCCTAATTCCTAATCCATTGTTCTTTGTACACAGTGTAATTTGCAAAACACCTTTATTTGTTACTTCATTTGACTCTCAAAAATGTCTTTGGAAGTTACCTAGTAAGAAAACTGAAACTTAAACTCACAGATTTAAAATATAGTTCAAGTTATATTTAAAATATAAGTTTAAATCAGCTGGCTCCTCAATTTTATCTTTAGCCCTTACCTGTCCCTGGATACCAAACTCATATATCCACCTGCCCTCCTGACATATCTAATTAAATATCTACTTTGTATCTCAAACTTAACATGCCAAAATAAAATCTCGATCTCCTTATCCATCCTCTGTTCTTACCCAGCGGAACCATGGGCTTTCAAATCTTATTAGATGGTACCAGTGTTTAGACCAAAAATCTAAGCATTATCCTTGAGTCTTCTTTTTTTATTATCCCCAATATCTCAATCCTTAAGCACATCTGTTGACTACCAGTAATACATATCTCAAACCTATTCAATCCTTTCAGCTCCATGACTACTAGTCCAAGCCACCTTGATTTCTTGCCCAGGTTATCACTGTATTTTTCTGCCTGGTCACTCTGCTTTCACTATTGCCCATCTGCAATTTATTCTTCACAAAGCAGTCATGAAAGTATTTGTGAAATGCTAATCATATTTTGATAGACCTCTGCTGTAAATTGTTTGTGGATTTGTACCTGTACAAAACAAAACATAAACTTATATAGTGTGACATGATCCCGTTCTTGTTTTCCAAATTGATTATATACTTCCCTCTAGCCACTGGCTTTGTTTTGTTTTATTTTGTTTTGTTTTTTGACAAGTTCAACTTGAGCCCTTAGGTCCTTTACATTAGCTCTTTCCCCATCTAGAATGCTCTTTTCCTATTTTTCAACTATCCAACCTAAAGTAACCACCTAGCGATCCTCTAGCACAAAGACCATTCACAGTAACCAGGTACGGGAATACCAAAAGGAAAATTTAAGTAGTTAATACTTAAAAATTCAGCCAATAATAAAATCCATTGAATAGCTACTCCTATAAAGATGATATGCTAGATCCTGAAGGTCCCAATCTGATATAATAGGCATGAGGAAATCCTGATCAAGTGATACAAAGAAACCGTATATAAAGAATATTTTAAAAGCTGTGACTGCTAAATCTCAATTAAGATGTACCTACATGTGTAAAGTAAGATCTCAGAAAAAAAAATAACACCGCTAATTTCACGCCAAGCTCCAAGCAAAGCATTTTATATGTATAACTCATTGAATCATTACACTAGACTTGTGAGTTAGGTAAAATGTACAAATGAAGACACTGAGATACAGGAGAGGTTAGAAAACTGTCCTTTCAAATTTAGAGTTTGGATATCTTCAAGCTTACCAAGTAGTGACTAATTACTTCATAGAGAGATTATACAAACATACACTTCTATCCCAAGGGCAGTCTATAACATTCCCCTCTGTCTCACATCCTTGCCAACCCTTGACATTGTCATAAATTTTAACTTTTGCCAAAATGCTGAATGTGAAATGAAAGCTTTTATGGCTTAGTTTGAATTTGCCTGATTAATAATGAGCTTGAGAATTACTTCATGTTTTTTGGCCATTAATGTTTCCTTTTCTGTGAAATATATGTTTGCTTTAGTTTTAAGTTGTGTATGTAGTTACTTATTTGACTCATAGGAGTTCTTTATATACTCTAGATTCAAATTTTTTGTTGATTTTATATGTGGCAAATATTTACTTTAATTGTATAGCTTGTATTTTCACTTTAAAATATGTATCTTGTTGAATTAAAAATTTAAATTATAACAACTGAATTCATTTTAAAATTCCTACGTAGTTTATACTTTAAAAAAATTATTCTGTTCTCAAATGCAATAAATGCATTTTTCTGATAGTTTTCAAGTTTTGCATTTCACATGTAACTCTTCAATCTTAGGTTTAATTATTGCACATGGCATGAGGTAAGCACCTAAATTTGTATTTTCCCTAATGAAAAACCAATTGCCTCATCACTTTTTATTAAAGAGCCCGTTCTTTTCCCTGATTGATCTGTATTCCACCTCTGTCATATAGCAAGAGTGTGTATGTGCAAGAGCCTGTTTCTGAATTCAATTTTATGTTTCATTGGGTTACTTGTCCATCCAGGTGAATTTCATCCTCTCTTAAATTATGACAGAATATAGAGGCAGTACAACATCATGCTTAAAAGAGTGGTCTCTGGGACCACATTACTTTTGTTTGATTTCTAGTTCCATCATTGCTAGCTGTGTGACCCAGAGCAAGTTGCGTAAGTTGCCTAACCTCTGTTGTCTCCCTTTTTCTTCCTTGTAAAATGGTGATAATAACTATACCCATTCCAAAGGCTATTTATGTGTATTAAGTCAATACACATTTAAAACAAACAAACATAACAGTGTCAGGGGTGCAATAATGTTTAGTATAACTTAATATTGCCTTATTTTTTAAAACTAAATCCATTTCTTTCAGACTCAAGATAGCTGGGCAAAAGAAGTAAAATCTGTTATTACATAGGCAAATAAAAACCACTTTCATTTTGTCCTATTTCCATTTTCAAAATGTAATTAATATCATTATCTTGTTAGGTCATACCTGCTGTCCTCAAACCTGCTGTCATTTCTCCATGAAGAATTGTCTTTGAGGAGCGATTTGGCCCCTGGCCCTGGCCTGCTGCCAGCCTTCTGCTTATTTCCTTGGACCCGCTGTGTGATGTATTGTTTCCAGATTCAGTATTGTTTAATGTTCATACCCCAAACGCTAATTGAGGTTTCCAGGAGCTTATTCCTCCAAGTCAACCCTGTGCCAGTGCTGGGTCCAATCTGTCCAAGGCCCCATGGGAAACCATCCATCCAAATCCAGGGATGCATGAGCTTGGCTGTCTGGATGGGAAACTAGATCTCCCGTATGGTCCACTTGGCCTTTAAATCTTTGGCCTTGAAAAGTCCAAGACTTAGGAGACTTAGAAGATAAGACTTTTAGGAGAAGGTCCATCTGTGAATGAAAGCAAAAACAAAAACAAAAACACTCCAAATGGTTGTTTTGTCCCAGTTAACAATAGGGGCAGAGATGTTAAAAGAAATAGTAAGCAACCATTTCCTTCAGGTTGCAATATGTTCCATGTGCTGCACCTGAGGCATAATAAACAATAAATATGTATTGAGTGAATGAATGATAATAATAATGATAGTATTACATTTTACCTCCACGAGTTTCCTTTTCCAAAAGGTTTTCTCACACATCTCATTTTAAATTTATAAACATGGAAAATAATGCTCATTATACACTCTCCATATTAACTTCATTTTTGCCTTTTGAAAAGTGAAGAAAGAAAAAATATATAGATTTTAGCAAAGTTACACAACTACGTGTCTCCTGCCTTGATTATTCATTTAGTGATTATTCAATGTCTGTCTTCCAGGAACAGTAAGCTACTAGAAATGCAAAGATATTTAAAATAAGGTTCTTGATCCCTTTCTTCCTTGCCCATTCACCTCGTTTCACATCGTAGCTGTGAAATAGGTATGTAAATATATAAGTATAAAACAAACTTGTAAATGCTATTACAGAAATATGTACAATGCACTGAGAAGACCAATATGATAAAGGGACAAATTCTATTTAGAAGGGCTAAGAAAAGTCTTAAAAAAATCAATAGAACTTCCAAGATAAATAAATGAAGTACATTAAAGATAGAGAAAAGCATACAGGAGCAAGGTGGTTTTGTCTTCAGGAACGGAATATGGGCTTCTATTGGGTTTTTTTTTTAATGAGGATAAATGCAGGGTGGGCTTAAAGGAGTTGAAAAATTTAAAAGAAATAAGTAACTGTTCCAAATAACATCAATAATGGTCATGAACAATAAATAAGAAGTGAAAATATAGAGTAAATTTTATAATACAGATATTAGGTACTATATTTCTCATTTTATGACATATAGTGGACCATTGGTTTCCCTCCAGCATCTATTCTCTCTTCCTCTATCCTTGTAGATCCATGATTTTATTCAAGTATCAATCCTATCCATACACCTCAGGGTGAACCCATCCACAAATCTGGGGTTGAGTCTGATTGGTCTAGAGATAATTCCTCTCCCTTCACAGTAATTGATTCAAATTTTTATAGGTAATCCAACTGAGATCAATAATAAAAGATCAATATTTGTTGAAAAATAATCATCCTGATTAATAAATCTAACATTGTTTTCCTTGGATGCCATCTTATTCTGGGAATTAATCTCTCCTCTAAAGCCTGAGGATGGTGCCAACACTGTGTAGAGGAGAGAATTAGAAAATTTAGGTAAAGAGATTCACAGATGAATTAAGTCAATTCTTGAAGTCTGACTTTTTGCTGTACTTTCTCTTATGTAAGCCAAAAACGTTTTTTATGGCTTTAGCTAGTTTGAGTTTAGTCTCCATTACTTGCAACATAAAGCATCCTGAAAATGTCTTTTTTATATTTTTTTAAATTATACTTTAAATTCTGGGATACATGTGCAGAACGTGCAGGTTTGTTACATAGGTATACACATGCCATGGTGGTTCCCTGTACCCATCAACCCATCATCTGCATTAGGTATTTCTCCTAATGCTATCCCTCCCCCAGCCCCTCACACCCCAACATGCCCTGATATGCGATGTTCCCCTCCCTGTGTCCATGTGTTCTCATTGTTCAACTCCCACTTATGAGTGAGAACATGCAGTGTTTGGTTTTCTGTCCTTGTGTTAGTTTGCTGAGAATGATGGTTTCCAGCTTCATCCATGTCTCTGCAAAGGACATGAACTGATCCTTTTTTATGGCTGCATAGTATTCCATGGTATATATGTGCAGCATTTTCTTTATCCAGTCTACCATGGATGGACATTTGGGTTGGTTCCAAGTCTTTGCTATTGTGAACAGTGCCACAATAAACATACGTGTGCATGTGTCTTTATAGGAGAATGATTTCTAATTCTTGGGGTATATACCCAGTAATGGGATTGCTGGGTCAAATAGTATTTCTAGTTCTAGATCCTTGAGGAATCGCCACACTGTCTTCCACAATGGTTGAACTAATTTACATTCCCACCAACAGTGTAAAAGCATTCCTATTTCTGCACATCCTCTCCAGCATCTGTTGTTTCCTGACTTTTTAATGATTGCCATTTTAACTGGTGTGAGATGGTATTTCATTGTGGTTTTGATTTGCATTTCTCTAGTGACCAGTGATGATCAGCATTTTTTCATAAGTTTGATACTCTCTACATTATTGAAGATAATTATGCTAAAGGGAAAAAACATTTTCTGCTTCTAGGAAAAAAAATCTGATAATTATGTAGCCATATCGTTATTTATCAATGTGGACAACTCAATATATTTCTGCAAGCCAACCAATCAGTGACAGCACTTTTCTTCCAAAAGTTAGGCAATCAGAAGTAGGTTAACACTTATGAACATGCTTCTGAATGTTAACTAATGAAGTCTCACTTGATCAGGCATACATCTGTAGTTAAAAACAACTCACTCTCACCTCTGAAAGTCTGGCAGACTCTGAATTCCTCCCTTCCTAAAAATCTTACACATAAAATTTATGTTTAAGATCAAAGTCCTGCTCTGCTCTAAAAGCATATGTTTGACCAGCATAGGCTTTTTCACTTAAATAAGCAATATATTATTTTTCTTCTTTGTGTTTTGTGTTTGGGGTATTGATTGGTGGTCTCATCCTTTGTTAGTTACCTGGAGATTAGAACATACTGAGAGTATATCATTTTTGGACATATTACTAATGTTTTATATGCCGTGTAAGAATGTCTGGTCAATGTTTGGACATTGTCTTCTGACAACTCCTTCTTCATAAAAAGGGCTCTGACAATCAAACATTTACTTTGTCCAAAGATGCAATGTGAACAAAGTGATACTTGCAGATATTGCTCACTCAGTTCTCAGAATATTTATTGGGTTAAACAAATGATCTTGTAACATAAGATTAAGTCTTTTCATTTAAAAATGAGACTATAATTTACTAATGCTTGAGTGTGTTTTGAAATGCTTTCACTGATATTTAAGCAGATTTACTACTGCGGACATACTCTCTATTGAAAAAAATTATCTGAGGTATACATTAGTAAAAAAATATGTTATATAAAGAATCACCTTCTATCTCATTTGATTCATAGGCTGGATTGTTTTGTTTTTAATTCTTTAATATCTGGTTAACTTATAAAGATACTCTATTTCTGCTGTTGTATCTTTAAAATGCAAGAATTTTATGTCTTCCATATAACCAAGATATTACTACAATCAGTATAAATCTGTATATTGATGAGTAGCCCTCAGTTGCCTATACAAACAATTGATCTTTATGTATATCAGTCAATAAATCTCTTGTTCATGTAGCAAAGCAGGCAGAGATAATACTGCAATCTACAAAATGTGATTTAGGAGTTGTCCTGACCAAAAACATCTTCCTCAACCACACCTGAATAATGCTGGATAGAGTTTAAAATACATTATGCCAGCTGGTCACAGTGGCTCATGGCTGTAATCCCAGCACTTTGGGAGGCCGAGGCGGGTGGATGGTTTGAGCCCGGGAGCATCCTGGACAACATTGCAAAACCCTGCCTCTACAAAAAGTACAAAAATCAGCCAGGTGTGGTGGCGCATGCCTGTAGTCTCATCTACTCAGGAGGCTGAAGTGGGAGGATCAACTAAGACCGGGAAGTTGAGGCTGCAGTGAGCTGTGATCATGACATTGCACTCCAGCCTAGACAAAACAGTGAGACCCTCTCTTAAAATAAATAAAAATAAATAAATAAACACAAAGACAACACATCAAGCTACAAGAATTTACAATTAAATTAGTGAATAAGATTAATTTCACCTGTTTTAGGAAGACCAATGGGCTTCACTAAAACAAGAGTTATCTAATGGGAGAGGAGGGGGGTCTTCTTATATTGCTGTAAGAGGAGAATAATAATAAAGTGTCTTAAAGTCAATTCTACATAGCAGGTAATCCTCAAAGCAAGTCAGCATAGCAAATATGCAGTCAGCCCTTGTCCATCATTAGTTACCTGTGAGAGTCAGGCAAATGGAAAATTGACTTGCCTGAGGTTAGTGGCAGCTCACCTGCCCAGTGTGAAAATTAGTATGTTAGAATTCCAATAAAATAAAGATTCTCCAGCTTTCTCTCACTTTAAAATATACTTCAGTAAGGATTATTGGCAAATAAAGCACTTTATTATCTATGGAGAAAGACAGGCCATTTGATTGAAGTTCACTTTCACCAAGAAGCTTTAGTACTCAGCTCTGCATGACCAACTTCAAATAGGGAAAATGATGTAAAAATTATTTGGATTATTCAAGTAAATGTTGACATAAGACATAATAGACAGGGTTAAGAGACACAGGGATATAACAAAAAAATACATCTGTAGTTTATGTGATGGTGTTTAAAGAGATAGATATGTTAGTTTTCAGAAATTTACACTGTCTCAGTTTGAACTACAAAATTGTACCAGATCCTATTCATTTGCACACTAATAAAAATGACCATTTTTCAATAAGGTTAAGGTATATAAGTGGAATTCAAAATAATTTTAGGTACTTTTTTCATGTAATTATTGACAGTCATGCAACCCATCATCTAAGTGAATTTCTTTACAAAGTAGCTATTTGAATTGGCTCTTGAAACTCAAATTTGAACTTCCTTTTAGTTGAAAATTTAGAAAACGCAAAAAAAAAAAAAAAAAATTCCCTACATTTCCTTGCTTTACTTTCAACTAGGATTTGGATGTGATTCAGGTTCCCCTAATTTGATACACTTGGATATCAGCTGAAAAGGCAGATGTGTGGAGGAGGCTAATTCCTCTGCTGTAGCATTTGGTGAGGGGCATCTTTGCAACAGCCAGTCTCTGTGTCCCAGTGCCTCACCAACAACTTGGTGATTAAGAGGGCCAGCTGTGGTGGTAGAAATAGTGTCAGTGGTTGCAGCAGTATCTCATTGACTTCTGGAATCCTTGCTGAGGTAATGAGGCCTGGAAATCAACTATCCAAAGACAGTAATAATTTTCGGAGCGCTCAACTACATCTAGTAAACCTCTTTCTGTTTGAAATGCCTAAAGTGGTGTCTTATTTCCTAACTGAAGCTGGATTGAGACACCTTAGCTCACAAGTTACTTCTGCTTTTTCAATTATTTGTGGTTTTAAAGATAAAACAAATTTAAAAACCTAACAAAAGCTAGATTATACCTCTACTAAAAAAATGTTTAAAATCAGAGCTTCCTCCTATCCTAGACTCCTATCATACTATCTTTCATATTGCATTAGAAATATCCATGGACATATTTATCATATCACTGTATTGTGACTCCTGAAGGAGAACAATTTTCAAATTTGTTTTTAACTTTCTAAAACTTTCTTCACATGAAATTGCTAATTCTTTTTCTACTTTCCCTCTGGGTGTATACAATTGTAGAGGTTTCATAGACACTCCTTGCATGCTCTACGAGCTGATGCAAACAAGGCAAAGAACATCTTAATTCAGAGCAGAATTCCCAACCAGAGGCACATTTGCCTCTCAGGGCATATTTGACAATACCTGGAAACATTTTTGATCGCTACAATTGGGGTTGAGGATACTCCTGGCAACTAGAAGGCGAGGGTTGGAAATCCCGCTAAATATTCTACATTGCACAGAACAATCACCCATAGCAATGAACTATCTGGCCCAAAATATAAATAGTGCCAAGGTCTGGGGAACCCTGAATGAAAGTAGTATACATAAATAATTTGCATTAAGTAAATAAGGGCACATTGGTAAAATACAGAAAAGAAAAAAGCTGACTGGGCAAATCTATCTAAGCCTTATGTTGAAAAGAACTAGAAAATACTTCATAAATAAATATGAATACATTTTCTTATTTATTGAGATTAAAATAAATTTAACCATTCTGAAGCATTTTGAAGCATTTAACCATTTTGAACCATTTTGAAGCATTTAACAATTTAGTAGGACATTCACAATGTTATATAGCCATGACCTGTATTTTAATTTCCAAACATTTTCATTATCCCAAAAGAAAAAAAAAAAACTGTACCCATTAAACAGTAACTCTCCATTTCCCTCTGCCTCCAGCCTTGGCAAACACCACTCTAATTCCTGTATCTATGAATTTGCCTTCTCTGTTTTCTATAATGGAATCACACAATATGTGACCCTTTGTATCTTTCACTTAGCAAAATATTTTGGAGATTTATTCATGTAATAGTACATATGAGTATTAACTCTTTTTTATAACTGAATAATATGCTATTTTATATGTATACAAAACTTTGTTTATTCATTCACTTATTTATGAATATTTCAGTTGTTTTCATGTTTTGGCTATTGTGAACAATGATACTCCAAATGTGAGTGTACAAGGCTTTGTTCAAGCATCAGCTTTAATTATTTGGGGTTTATATCTGGAAGTGAAACTACTAGATCATATGATAATTCTATGTTTAACTCTTTGAGGACCTGCCAAACTGTTTTCTACATTGGCTAAAACATTTTATATTTCTACCAGCAACATGTGAGTGTTCTAATTTCTCTACCTTGCCAACAATTGTTATTTCCCATTTTTTTTAGTGCCATCCTATTGGGTGTGAAATTGTATCTCATTGTAGTTTGTTTTGCATTTTACTAATGACTACTGTTGTTAAGCATTTTTTAATGGGTTTGTTGGCCATTTGTATATGTTCTTCACAGAATGCCTATTCAAATTCTTTGCCCATTTTTGAATTGGGTTATTTGTCTTTTTCTTGTTAGTTGTAACAGTTCTGTAATTTTCTACATGTTAGACCCTATGTCATTTGTTGGTATTTTCTCCCATCCTGTAGATTATATTTTCACTTTCTTGTTAATCTTTTTTAATACACAGAAGTTTTTAATTCTGATATGTCCAATTTTCCCGTTTCTGTTGTCATTGTTGCTCATGGTAACAATGATACTTTGGGTGTTATATTTAAGAATCCAATGCCAAATCTAAGGTCATAAAAGTTGACTTCTATGTTTTCTTTTAGTAGCTTTATAGCTTTAGCTTCTATATTTGGGTTGTTAATCCATTTTTCAGTTAATTTTGTGTACTGTGTGAGATATGCGTTCAATTTTATTCTTTTATGTGTGGATACCAGTTGTCCCAGCATTATTTGTTAAAGAAATGTTCTTTGTGCAATGAATGGTCTTAAAACACTTGCCAAAAGTCAACTGACCATAGACGTATGGATTTCTGAACATTCCATTTTATTCTACTGATAGATATTTCTATTTTTATGCCAGTACCACATTGTTTTTATTACTATAGTAGTAAATTGTGAAATTTGGAAGACTGAGTGATCGAACTTTGTTTTTTTTTTTTTCCTTTTCAATATTGTGTTGGCTCATTGTGGTCTTTTGCAGTTCCACATAAATTTGAGGATCAGCTTTTGAATTTCTAAGAAAAAATGCTGTTGACATTAAATAAATCTGTAAATTGTTTTGGTTAATAGTGTCCTAACAATATTATATCTTAATATCAAATCTTCCAATTAACGAGTACTGCATGTATTTTCATTTATTTAGTCCTTTTTTAAAACATTTTGACATAAAAATCTTTCTTTAAAACATTTCTTGACACATTTCTTTCAGCAATGTTTTATAATGTTCATTGTATAAGCCTTTTCTCTCCTTGCTCAAATTTATTTCTAGCTATTATATTATTTCTGGTGATACTGTAAATGGCATTGTCTGAAACAAACAATGAACAAAAATCAAGTTAGATTTTTGTTAGAACACAAGACCACATCTATGAGACCCAATAAAAACAACATAAATTAGAATTAGACCTACAAGACTCTAGTTAATTGGAATTTTTAAGTACAGATTTTAGAATAATATTTATTCTATGCTTAAGGAGATAAAAGACAAGATTACTAATTTCAGCTCATGAATAAAAATATTTTTAAAGGTTAAAACATATTTGAAAGAAACAAGAAATAGGTCGCTATTAGAACAAAACCTTTGTTCATGTGTTTGGCTTACTCTCCATTATTATAAGAATAGATAATATTTTGGGGCACTTATTGTTAGATACTATTATAAATGAGTTACATGTTACAACACATTTAATATTTCTAGAAACCTGATGAAATTAGTATTTTTTAGATGAGAAAACAGAGGCAAAAATTACAAAGAACTTGACTATTTTCACAAAGCTGATAGGTGTTAAAGTCAGTGCTTAAACCCCAGCATCAGAATTCTGGGGTTCTAGAAGTAAAAGTATTCTTTTAACATTAACACACCAGTTCCTTACAGAATACGTATGTTCCTTTGTCAAATTTGGAGTCTGAGAATTATTTTTTTTTTCTAAGAAAGCAATTTCACTTAACAAAAATGCCCTACACTAACTTTATATCAGATTCCTGTAAGTAAGTTTCATTCCACACCCACAAAAAGAAAAACAAAATATGCAGTGCAAACTCATGCAGGACAAATAATTTAAGCAGAAGGGATTCAAAGTAATAGAAAAGTTACATATAACCTTGGCGATCATGGATGGAAATGATTTAGACATTCAGAGAAAGAGAAGAAGGGTCTCACAGACGGAAGGAATAGCTCTTGATATATTCAAGGATGATGCCTAGTTTCTTGTGCCTGGAGCATAGAATGCATGAAATATTGGGAGAGAAGTTTGGAAAGGAATGGAGGGTAAAGAGTCACAGAAAAAAAAAAGAAAATAAAAAAGATTCTGTGACAGCAAACTGAAATTGTGAGCAGTTTGGACTAATCTTAATAGTTCTTTTATACGAATATTTCAGTAAAATAAAATTATCAAGGGCTTTGAACAGGGCAAGATCATGATCAGGCAATGATTTAGAAGATGGCAACAATCTACAGCACAGATTGAGCAAGCAGACCAGTCTGGAAGCAATTTCTATGGTTGGGAAAAAAAGAAAATTAGAGACTCTTCTAAGGCAATGGCTAAGAAAATAGAACAGATTTTAAATATGGTGTAGATATAGCTCAAGCAAAACAAATTGGAAACAATCTATTAAATCAGGATTTTAAAATGCAAAAGAATGAGGCCTTTGTTATGTGGCTGGAATTATGTAGGCAATTGCTTGAAACATCTTTTCATTATAGAGTTGCCATAAATTTAAGTGTATTTACATCAAGAAAATGTTTTCACTGTCTTGACTTCTTTGTTCATATTGTTTTAACTCTAGGCTTATTGTTGACTCATTGCAAGTTGATTTGTAACAGAGAAAAAAAATAACTTGAGCTTCTTTTTTATTGATCATCTGTACAACAATCAAATCTATGAGTCCAGAAAAGTCATTAATTTCTTTGGAGCTCAGTTTCTCTTAACATTAACGGAGATTGGACTAGCCTAATCTCAAGAATCAGTTCCCTTTACAAAGTTATCTGTACAAATTACCAAATATATAGCATGCTTATTTACATCCTACATAGAAATAATTTCTTCCAATGTTTGTTGTAAATAAGGCGCAAGACCTTCTTGCAGTATCCGTATGCTAGCATGATTTTTTAAGAATATCAACAGTCCTGTGACTTTGCTCTCTGCTTGCATAAAAAAGTTGTTCACCTTTCTTGCTCTTTGTACTGTACTCTTTCACCTCTAGTGAATCAGAAAGAAGGAAGTTAAGATGTCTGGACTGCTTAAAAAAAACTCATCCCTGAGAGAGCCACTCTGTGTTTTGCTGAGGTTGTTGATTCAAAAGCTGGGTGGAGGGACTGTCAGATTAGAGGACTAGCCAATAATGCACTGTGACTGGGATGCAGGAAAGGAACAATGGCACATTTAGGACTAGCCAATACTGCATTATGACTGGGATGCAGGAAAGGAACAATGGCACATTTATCTTCAGGGCTGCAAACATGTTGCCTCTCAGCTGCCGGAGGTTATTCAAGAGACACCATCTGTATTAGACTGTTTTCTCACTGCTGTGAAGAATACCTGAGACTGGGTGATTTATAAGCAAAAGAGGTTTGACTCACAGTTCTGCATGACTGGGAAGGCCTCAGGAAACTTACAGTCATGGCAGAAGGGGAAGGGGAAGCAAGGCAAATCTTACATGGCAGAAGGAGAGAGAGAGAGAGTGCAGGGGAAATTGCCCCTTTTAAGCCATCAGATCTCATGAGAACTCCCTCACTATCATGAGAACAGTATGGGGGAAACTGACCCCATGATCCAATCACCTCCCAGCGGGTCTCTCCCTCAACATGTGAGGATTACAATTCAAGAGGAGATTTGGTGGTGACACAGAGCCAAACCATATCACCATCTGTAGAAGAAGTAGCAGTTAACAGTATCCACTGACTGTGTCTGGAGGCCTTGGCTGGCACCACACAAACCAAACAGAAGATGGCTACTGGCAATGGTTTAATTATGTGACCTAGTTGCCCTCCAGACCTCCCAAGTCCTTGAGATGATATTGACTATAAACAAACACTAATACACCCTGTGTGGACATGCAAAGCTGTCCTTTAGACTTCTGCTAGTTCTGTCGAGGTTCAGAGTCTCAGGATGTCTTTTGCCTTCGAGTGTATCCTTCCAAGCCTGCTTTCTCTGTTCCCCACAGCACTGACCCACCTGTGAATCACCAAGCCAGGTCTTGCTCACAAACACATACACTATCGAAACCAAAAACAATTTAAAAAAAAACATAATGAAAGCATCTAAAACTGTGATGACTGTTATTGAATAAATGGAGGTAGAAAATACTAGGTGGGGAATATTCACTATTTCAGCAACACAACCACCTTGAACTTGCTGAGAAAATGCTCCTGTGCTTAAATGTTCTGCCAGTCCCCCCGTCAGAGGTTCCTGGCTGATTATGTGTCTCCAGAGAGGCCAAAGCCTCTTGCCATTTTGCAAGATACATTTGCCCCCTTCTTCCTGCTCTGTCTCCTGATCTCTTCTTTTCCACTTCAGCTAAGGAGGGAGCCTCCAATTTTCTCTCATTGGTCTCAAGTAGCTTAGTTTTATTTGGTCATTTTAATTGCTTGAGTTTTTGTTAAAATTCATTCTCTCAAAGCACTGGATCAAAAGTCTAACTACATGGATTTTTAATGAATAATACAGTTTCCCAGGCTTCATTCCCACTCCCCTTCACCATGTACTCCACAGAAATTCTAGTTCAGTTTATGGGAGTAGTATTCAGGAATCTGAATTTTCAATAGTCATATAGAACTGATGTATGGGACCTGTGGGCCACACACTGAGAAACTGCGCTTTAGAGTCTCATTTTTCTCCCTGAGAAGAATATAAGGAATTTCATTAAAAATCGCTGCCTTTTAGAAGAAAACAAAGTGAAAAAAGTTTCTTGAGATTGCTCTGGGCAACAATTTTTTTGATATGGCCCCCAAAGTACAGGCAGCAAAAGCAAAAATAGACAAATGAGATTGTACCAAATTTAAAAGCTTCTTTCTGTACAGCAAAGGAAACAACCAGCAGAGTTGTTTCCTGCAAAATGGGAAAAAACCTGCAAAATGTGAAAAAATATTGACTATTTATACATCTGATGAGGAGGTAATATCCAAAAATATGTAAAAACTCAACTCAATAGCAAAAAAATAATGACAATAACCCAGTTTAAAAATAAACAAAGGAACCTGCATAGACATTTCTCAAAAGAAGACGTACAAATAGCTACCAGGCATATTTTTTAGAAGTTGACATTACTAGTCATCATGGAAATGTAAATCAAAACCACAATGTTACCTTCCAGTCATTAAAATGACTATCATCAAAAATACAGAAGGTAAGTGTTGACAAGGATGTGTTAAAAAAGGAAACCCTTGTATGCTGTTGGTGGAGATGTAAATTGATACAGTCATTTTGGAAAACGGTATGGAGGTTCACAAAAAGATTTAAAATAGACATCTCATATGATCCAACAATTCCACTTCTGGATATATATCTAAAGGAAATACAATCAGTATCTCAAAAATATATATGCATTCCTATGTTCATTGAAATGTTATTTAAAATAACCAAGATATGGAATCAATCTGTGTTAAACAACAAATAAATGGATAAAGAAATGTAATATACACACACACACATACACACACTCATGTGTTACTTAACAATGTGGATAAATTCTGAGAAATATGTCCTCAGGCAATTTCACTGTCGTGCAAACATTGCAGGATATACTTACACAAACCTAGATGGCATAGCCTACCACATATCTAGGACATATGGCATGACCTATTGCTCCTAGGCTATAAATCTGTCCAACATGTTACCATACAGAATACTGTAGGCAATTGTAACACAATGGTAATTATTTGTATATCCAAACATATCTAAACCTGGAAAAGGTATATTAAAAATACTGTATCAAAATCTCATAATCTTCGGGGACCACCATTGCATATGTGGTCCATTATTGATAGAAATGTCTCAAGGAGCACATAATTGTGTGTGTGTGTGAGCGCGTGTGCTCATCCTCCTGTAGACTAGGTTGGACTCATTCACTTGGTAGCAGAATTCCAAGAACAGGAATATGGCAAACACCATGAAAAGGTGCATGTCAAGTCTCTAGGCATCATGCCTACTTCCATCCCACTGTCCAAAGCAAGTATTATGACCAAGCTCAAAGTCAGTGTAAAACGAAGGACCTGAACAAATTGAGGCCAATAGCCCTCAATCTACTATAGAAGGGATATTAAAAATAAAAAAAATTTGGATGATATTTTCTCACTGCATCAACCATAAAGTTACCATATGTCTAGATTTTTTCAAGATGTTCTGGTTTTATAAATTCTATTTTTAATGAGTATGGTTTATTAAATGCATTGCTAATATACATTAATCTTACGTATTTATTTGTAGATACATTTAAAAATAGTATTTTTTCAGTTTAATTATTTATATTCAGATTGAAGAACGTTACTACTGTCATTATTCACTCTTCAAAACTGTGTTTCTAACCTACCACCTGATAGACATTAACATGGCACTTCATTATGGAAGGCTGTGTCATTACAAGGGTATTTCTCAATCCAAAACTGATAAGGATGGCTAATCCAATTAGCAACTAATGTCTTTAAGATACAAAAGCCATAATCCTTTTCAGCAGCACATGGGCTCTCAAGCTTAGGGTTATAATAACTGCTATTGAAAAAGTATCTTTCTGACTTTTCCTCTTAAAAAAGGCCCTTACTAAGTCAAAACTTATTTATTATTATTATTGTTTTTTTTTTTTTTGCTGTAACTCCTACTCATTTAACTATGTAAAGTCAAAATTCATTTTCCCTTAACCTTATTCTGCCATGTTTCAGTGAATTCAGAAGACAAGCACAAGTGGACCACAGAAGGCTTTGTGTGCCTTTAACCTGGAAGAACAGACACCACAGCAAAATCTCCTTATCAGAAACTAGTCTATCCAGGACCCTTCTGAAAATTAGGAAATCATTTAAAGAAAGAGACATAAGGAGAACCTTTGGTCATGCCACTTTCTTGTCCCTGGATAAGATCAGATGATATTCTTGTCTAATCAAAATGCTGTTAGGTGGATTAACTTCTCTTGCCCAAACCCAAGAGAAGGATTTGGCCTGCATGGAAGCAAAACATGTGGGCTCTCCAGAACAGCAGTCATAAAATCCCCAAATAGGGAAGAAATGTCTCAAGAGAAAGTAAGAGACTGCCTTTCATTTTGAAGAATGATCCATTTGGTGCCCTCACCTTCCTTGGGGTGGTTTACTTTATTCCAAGAATGTGAGAAGGCTCTGACATGGGCACTGCTAATGTCTCTTTAGGATCAAGGTGGGTTTTGTCCTGGCCACAGAAATCCTTTTCTCATGATTAAATATAGCTAAATCTATTTTTAAATATTAGTTTAATGTTACTATGTCTTAATGACAAACCTTGGCTTGTTCCTAAAATACATTATTAGATATGGAAATTTTACCTAGTGATTTTGGAACAGAAATTCAGCATAACCAATTCCTCATTCTAAAATTTGGTCACTTTTAAATACCTTTTTCTCTTGCATAAAGAGAGCTTTCCATTTGAAGGCTGGGAATAAGTGTCTATGGATGAATTGAATTTTAGAACTAACAAGAATGCTAATAAGATATATGCATTGTGTTGCAACAGATTTGTATTTTATTGGGCAATATATCAATAAACTTCTTCATTTCTTAGTGTGTTGGATGAAATAAAAAGAAGAGAAAAGAAAAGCAGTATATAAAAGCGTAATGAATGCAAAGACCTTCAAAGTGTCACTTAGACTAAAAGAAAAAGCTCATTCTACTGATGGAATATGCAGGAGTAAAGCTATTAGCACTTAAAATTCTCTGGCCTGGTGATCATCTGTACTTGCATAGCTCTTTCTCATTTTCCTGATCAGTCTTTGCTATTTTTGTTTATCACTGAATCATATTTAGTTTCTTTCCTTTGCAGTTGATCATAGCAAAGGGGCTTCTGTTTAATCCCCCACAATACCCATTGCCCTGGAAGAGAACTTTAATATTCTACACTATTTACTTTTACTTTGTTATATATATAATCATTTGTTATACGGACTTAACTTTATAGACAGTTAGTTTTAGGATTCAGGCACTTTTCTCAAAATTATATCAAAGCACCATATTTTAAAAAATTTTACCCCAATGCTTTAAAGAAATATTTCTATTTTAAATTAATGACCTTAAAAATAGCATACCTCAAGAGGGAAAAACAAGTACTTAAACTGTACAATCTTCCATTGAGATTTTTTTCCCCAGAGGAGTGGTAGAATTCAGAATACACTCATCAAATGTCAACTTCAGAGAAATGACAAAAAAATAAAATTTCTCCCCAATAAAATGACACTAATTATACATTCTTAGGCAAAAAAGAGAAATAGAAATCCTCTGTATGTCTCAAGGTACACAATCAGAATTACACAGAGATGGTCACACCCTACACACACACACACACACAAACACAAACACACACACTTGATTCTAAATAATACTGGTGATTGATGTCTGGAGGTGAAAGAAAATGGTGAGAAGGAGGTTTCTCATATCAAGATGGACATTAGAAAGCACACAGTGGCCCCATTTAGAGAGGAGATTAATACTTTTAATATGCTATTTTAATATTTTAATAGTCATATTTTAACATGCTATTCCAAAAAAAAATTTTACTCACCCTCATTCTCTCTTTCCTTAGTCATAATAATGAGAAAGGAGAAAATAATTCAGTCTGTGAGTGAGATGGTATTTCACACGTTAGTGTTTCACATAGATGGAATGCCCAACAGCAGGAAACTGTCTATCACCGAGCTGGACTCTGAGGCCCTCCCATCACCTGTGCCTTTGAGGCTGACTGCAGACACTTGAGGGATGCATAAATTACCCCATAAGTTGGTAGGGAAGGGAAAAGACCTCAAGGGTAGAAGCTTAGGGAGCCATCACTCAGATACAGAAATCCCATCATTACAGTATGCTCTCATTAGCCCTGGACAAACCCCAGCAGGGTTGGCCTTCTAGATTCTCTGAGCAATCAGAAATCTAAAAAGTCCTTCCCCTCTTATATAAACCACTCAGACTGGTCCTGGGAAGGGAGGATGCAAGTGCATGACTGTCATTAATCTTGTTATTTTTAGCTCTTGCAGAAATTGATGCAAAGGGACTAATACCACAGAAATTCAATGTTTGTAAGTAAAGTTTGGGGTTCCAGTGAGTTTTCTTCTGCAACTTACCTTAGGATTTTTGGAAAGAGTCTGTAAGGACTATGAAAGCTTTTAGTATATAAACAATTAAAATTTTTAGAAAGACCTCGTTTCAGAGTCTGAAGACATGTTTCTTTTTATAACTATCCCTTAATGGGATAGTTATAGTTGTATAACTATGAGCAAATTGTTTCTATTGCTCATCAGTAAAATGGGGAAAATAATATCATATCTATATATTATCACATAATATAAAGAAAAAGCCCTCTGAAAAGTGCACATGTAAGTTATATTTATCTGTTAAAGGTAAAGTACTGATCCAAACATTAAAGAGATTCAGAAGTGTAAGATCCCATCCCAAACCCTCAGGTCAAAATAAACAGGTAAAGAATTTATTGGAAAAGGAGATAATAGAAATATAAAATGAGAAGTAAAAGATCAAGGATGGAATTGACCCTCTGAATCTAAGAGACACCTAAATAGGTCACTGATTCTTAAACTTGCCTTTAGGCTCAAATACTAATAATGCATTTTTATGGGTTGAACTGTGACCTCCCAAAAAACTTATATGTTGGCATCCTATCCCTCAGTACCTCAGAATTTGTATTTGGACATAGGGCTATCAGAGTTCTTATAGGAGGAAATTAAGACACAGTCACGCACAAAGGCCATCTGAAAAAAATAAAACAAACAGAAGGTGGCCATCTTCAAGCCAAGGAGAAAGGTCCCTACAGTAACCAATTCAGCTAACACGTTGGTCTTAGTCTTCAAAATTGTAAGAAAATCAATTTTTGTGGTTTAAGTCACCCAATATGTGGTACTTTGTATCTCAACCCTAACAAAGTAATATGGCATTCAAAATAATTTCTATCCATTAATTTAACAAATATTTATTGAGCATTTATCATCCGTAGGTATGGAGTTAATGTTAAAAAATTCAGCAAATACAGATCCTGTCAGGCCTCTGAGCCCAAGTCAAGCCATCACATCCCCTGTGACTTGCACGTATATACCCAGATGGCCTGAAGTAACTGAAGAATCACAAAAGAAGTGAAAATGCCCTGCCCCGCCTTAACTGATGACATTCCACCACAAAAGAAGTGAAAATGGCTGGTCCTTGCCTTAAGTGATGACATTACCTTGTGAAAGTCCTTTCCCTGGCTCATCCTGGCTCAAAAAGCTCCCCCACTGAGCACCTTGCAACCCCCCACTCCTACCCACCCGAGAACAAATCCCCTTTGACTGTAATTTTCCTTTATCTACCCAAATCCTATAAAACATCCCCACTCTTATCTCCCTTCACTGACTCTCTTTTCAGACTCAGCCCACCTGCACCCAGGTGATTAAAAGCTTTATTGCTCACACAAAGCCTGTTTGGTGGTCTCTTCACACAGATGCAAGTGAAATTTGGTGCCATGACTAGGATCGGGGGACCTCCCTTGGCAGATCAATCCCCTGTCCTCCTGCTCTTTGCTCCATGAAAAAGATCCACCTACAAGCTCGGGTCCTCAGACCCACCAGCCCAAGGAACATCTCACCAATTTTAAATAGGGTAAGTGGCCTATTCTTACTGTCTTCTCCAACCTCTCTCACTATCCCTCAACCACTTTCTCCTTTCAATCTTGGCACCACCCTTCAATCTCTCCCTTCTCTTAATTTCAATTCCTTTCATTTTCTGGTAGAGACAAAGGAGACAGGTTTTATCTGTGGACCCAAAACTCCAGCGCCGGTCATGGACTCAGGAAGGCAGCCTTCTCTTGGTGTTTAATCATTGCAGGGATACCTCTCTGATTATTCATCTACGTTTCAGAGGTGTCTGACCATACAGGGATGCCTGCCTTGGTCCTTCACCCTTAGCGGCAAGTCCCGCTTTTCTGGGGGGAGGGGCAAAAACCCTGACCCCTTCTCTCCCTGTCTCTACCCCTTCTCTGCTTTTCTGGAGGGAAAGAACCCCCCAGCCCCTTATTTCTGTGCCCCAACCTCTTATCTCTGTGCCCCAACCCCTTATTTCCACTCCTCAACACCTTTCCCACTTTTCTGGAGGGTAAGAACCCCCAAACCCCTTCTCTCTGTGTCTCTACTCTCTCTCTGGGCTTGCCTCCTTCACTATGGGCAAGCTTCCACCCTCCACTCCTCCATCTTCTCCCTTAGCCTGTGTTCTCAAGAACTTAAAACCTCTTCAACTCACACTGACCTAAAACCTAAATGCCTTATTTTCTTCTACAATGCCACTTGACCCCAATACAAACTAGACAGTGGTTCCAAATAGCCAAAAAGTTGCATTTTCGATTTTTCCATCCTACAAGATCTAGATAATTCTCATCATAAAATGGGCAAACGGTCTGAGGTGCCTGACATCCAGGCATTCTTTTACACATTGTTCCCTTCCTAGTCTCTGTTCCCAATGCGACTCGTCCCAAATCCTCCTTCCTTCCCTCCCGCCTATCCCCTCAGTCTCAACCCCAAGCGTCGCTGAGTCTTTCTAATCTTCTTTTTCTACAGACCCATCTGACCTCTCCCCTCCTTGCCAGGCTGAGCCAGGTCTCAATTATTCCTCAGCCTCGGCTCCCCCACCCTATAATCCTGTTATCACCTCCCCTCCTCACACCTGGTCCAGCTTACAGTTTCATTCCTTGACTAGCTTTCCCCCACCTGCCCAGAAATTTCCTCTTAAAAAGGTGGCTGGAGCTAAAGGCATAGTCAAGGTTAATTCTCCTTTTTCTTTATCCAACCTCTCCCAAAATCAGTTAGTGTTTAGGCTCTTTTCATCAAATATGAAAAACCCAGCCCAGTTCATGGCTCATTTGGCAGCAACCCTGAGACGCTTTACAGCCCTAGACCCTGAAAGGTCAGAAGGCCGTCTTATTCTCAATATGCATTTTATTTTATTACCTAATCTGTTCCCGACATGAAATAAAGCTCCAAAAATTAAATTCCGGCCCTCAAACCCCACAACAGGACTTAATTAACCTCACCTTCAAGGTGTACAATAATAGAGGCAGCCAAGTAGCAATGTATTTCTGAGTTGCAATTCCTTGCCTCCACTGTGAGAGAAACCCCAGCTACATCTCCAGCACACAAGAACTCCAAACACCTGAACCGCAGCTGCCAGGGGTTCCTCCAGAACCTCCTCCCCCTGGAGCTTGCTACAAGTGCCAGAAATCTGGCCACTGGGCCAAGGAATGCCCACAGCCCGGGATTTCTCCTAAGCTGTGTCCCATCTGTGCAGGACCCCACTGAAAATCGGACTGTTCAACTCACCTGGCAGCCACTTCCAGAGCCCCTGGAACTCTGGCCCAAGGCTCTCTGACTGACTCCTTCCCAGATCTTCTCGGTTTAGCAGCTGAAGACTGACACTGCCCGATCGCCTCAGAGGCCTACAGGGCCATCACAGATGCTCTAGGTAACTCTCAAAGTGGAAGGTAAGTCCGTCCCCTTGTTAACCAATACGGAGGCTACCCACTCCACATTACCTTCTTTTCAAGGGCCTGTTTCCCTTGCCTCCATACCTATTGTGGGTATTGACGGCCAGGCTTCTAAACCTCTTAAAACTCCCCAACTCTGGTGCCAACTTAGGCAATACCTTTTAAGCACTTCTTTTTAGTTATCCCCACCTGCCCTGTTCCCCTATCAGGCCGAGACACTTTAACTAAATTATCTGCTTCTCTGACTATTCCTGGGGTACAGCCTCACCTCATTGCCACCTTTTCCCCCAGTTCAAAGCCTTCTTCACATCCTCCCCTTGTATCTCCCCACCTTAGCCCACAAGTATAAGATACCTCTACTCCCTCCTTGGCGACCGATCATGCACCCCTTTCCATCTCATTAAAAGCTAATCACCCTTACCCTGCTCAATGCTAATATCCCATCCCACAGCACGCTTTAAAAGGATTAAATTCTGTTATCACTCACCTGTTATAGTATGGCCTTTTAAAGGCTATAAACTCTCCTTACAATTCCCCCCAATTTACCTGTCCTAAAACCAGAAAAGACTTACAGGTTAGTTCAGTATCTGCGCCTTATCAACCAAATTGTTTTCAGCCTTTCTGTCCAAACAGCTTGACCTTACTGTTTTAGCCTAGCCCTCATGTCTGCGTGCAGCAGCTGCTGCTGCTTTAATACTTTTGGGGGCCCTAAAAATCACGAACTATGCTCAACTCACTCTCTACATTTCTCATAACTTCCAAAATCTATTTTCTTCCTCATATCTGACACATATACTTTCTGCTCCCCCACTTCTTCAGCTATACTCACTCTTTATTAAGTCTCCCACAATTACCATTGTTCCTGGCACGGACTTCAATCTGGCCTCCCACATTATTCTGGATACCACACCTGACACTCATGACTTTATCTCTCTGATCCACCTGACACTCACCCCATTTCCCCATATTTCCTTCTTTCCTGTTCCTCACCCTGATCACATTTAGTTTATTGATGGCAGTTCCACCAGGCCTAATCGCCACTCACCAGCAAAGGCAGGCTATGCTATAGTATCTTCCACATCTATCATTGAGGCTACCACTCTGCCCCCAGCCCCACTACCTCTCAGCAAGCCGAACTAGTTGCCTTAATTCAAGCCCTCACTCTTGCAAAAGGATTACGTGTCAATATTTATAGTGACTCTAAATACGCCTTTCATATTCTGCGCCAGCATGCTGTTATATAGGCTGAAAGAGGTTTCCTCACTATGCAAGGGTCCTCCATCATTAATGCCTTTTTAATAAAAGCTCTGCTCAAGGCCGCTTTACTTCCAAAGGAAGATGGAGTCATTCACTGCAAAGGCCATCAAAAGGCATCAGATCCCATTGCTCTAGACAATGCTTATGCTGATAAGGTGGCTAGACAAGCAGCTAGCTTTCCAACTTGTGTCCCTCACACCAGTTTTTCTCCTTCACATCGGTCACTCCCACCTACTCCCCTGCTGAAACTTCCACCTATCAATCTCTTCCCACACAAGGCAAATGGTTCTTAGACCAAGGAAAATATCTCCTTCCAGCCTCACAGGCCCATTCTATTCTGTCGTCATTTCATAACCTCTTCCATGTAGGTTAAAAGCTGCTAGCCCCTCTCTTAGAACCTCTCATTTCCTTTCCATCATGGAAACCTATCCTCAAGGAGACCACTTCTCAGTGTTCCATCTGCTATTCTACTACCCCTCAGGGATTGTTCAGGCCCCCTCCCTTCCCTACACATCAAACTCGGGGATTTGCCCCTGCCCAGGACTGGCAAATTGACTTTACTCACATGCCCCAAAACTAAAATATCTGTTCGTCTGGGTAGACACTTTCACTGGATGGGTAGAGGCCTTTCCCACAGAGTCTGAGAAGGCCACCGCAGTCATTTCTTCCCTTCTGTCAGACACAATTCCTCGGTTTGGCCTTCCCACCTCTATACAATCTGATAACGGACCAGCCTTTACTAGTCAAATCACCCAAGCAGTTTCTCAGGCTCTTGGTATTCAGTGGAACCTTCATATCCCTTACCGTCCTCAATCTTCAGGAAAGGTAGAATGGACTAATGGTCTTTTAAAGACACACCTCACCAAGCTCAGCCTCCAACTTAAAAAGGATTGGACAGTACTTTTACCTCTTGCCCTTTTCAGAATTAGATCCTATCCTCGAGATGCTACAGGGTACAGTCCATTTGAACTTTTATATGGACGCCCTTTCTTGGTTGGCCCCAACCTCATCCCAGACACCAGCCCTCTAGGCGACTATCTTCCAGTCCTCCAACAGGCTAGACAGGAAATTCGCCAGGCTGCTAATCTTCTCTTTCCTACTCCAGATCCCCAGCCACATGAAGACACCCTAGCTGGACGATCAGTTCTTGTTAAGAATCTGACCCCTCAAACTCTACAACCTCGATGGACTGGACCCTACTTAGTTATCTGTAGTACCCCAACTGCTGTCTGCCTGCAGGATCCTCCCCACTGGGTTCACCATTCCAGAATAAAGCTGTGTCCATTGGACAGCCAGCCTAATCTCTCCTCTTCCTCCTGGAAGTCTCAAGTACTCTCCCCTACTTCCCTTAAACTCACTCATATTCATGAAAAACAGTAATAACCCTTATGAGCCTAACACATTCCTTCATTCTATTAGGTCTGTTCGTCCTTACCCTACTTTTTGTAACAGGGCTTTACGAAGTCACCCCCACCACTTAGGCCGAGCCCCAAAAAGCTAGTCATCCCTGCTATCTTCTGTCTGGTCATACTCCTATTCTCCATTCTCAACTACTTATAAATGCTTTACTCTTGTTTACTCTGCCCAGATGGCCTGAAGTAACTGAAGAATCACAAAAGAAGTGAAAATGCCCTGCCCCGCCTTAACTGATGACATTCCACCACAAAAGAAGTGAAAACAGCCGGTCCTTGCCTTAAGTGATGACATTACCTTGTGAAAGTCCTTTTCCTGGCTTATCCTGGCTCAAAATGCTCCCCCACTGAGCACCTTGTGACCCCCACTCCTGCCCACCAGAGAACAAATCCCCTTTGACTGTAATTTTCCTTTATCTACCCAAATCCTATAAAACAGCCCCACCCTTATCTCCCTTTGCTGACTCTCTTTTCAGACTCAGTCTGCCTGAACCCAGGTGATTAAAAGGTTTATTGCTCACACAAAGCCTGTTTGGTAGTCTCTTCACAGGGACGCAAGTGAAAGATCCAGTTTCTGCCCTCATTTTTAATATGCTTTTATATTTTAATAAAATGTTAAATAATTTTATAATATTTTAAATAATTTTTATAAGTTTATAATCTAATGGTGGAGACAAACATTATCCTATCATACACAGAAATGTAAAATTGCAATTGTGGTGTCTGGTGCTATGATGGTGTAAAACAGAAAGACGTACCTAGGAAGGTCAAGGAAAGCCTTCAGATGAAGAAACCCTTAGTCACAGACATGAGCTAGGAATTTTTTGGGCAGCAAGGGGAGAATGCTAAACAGGCTTCTGGCTTCCTCCCTGACCTCCACTTGAGTCTTTTCCCAAAAGTTCCCAGAACGATCCATTGAAAGCATGTGGCAGAGACATTTTATAAGTTCAGTAAACTGCTACATTTTCCTTCTGATCACACAGGAAAACTATTCTGCAGCTTTCATTGAATTTCACTGGGACCATCAGATTAGTTTTTTTCATGGAATGTGAGAAGAGATGTACACAAGAGTTGCCCGAAGTGTGGGGATAACAGAAAAATGAACTCAAACTACTTGTTACTGGTCTATGGTAATATAAAAACATATTTGCACCAGCATTTCTCTCCTCCATGTCATTAAGAGCACTGGTTTGACTATTTAAAAAAATTATTTACCAACAGTTTTGGTTTTTTAGAAAAATTAATTAAGATTTTACAGAGAGTTCCCATGTACCCCATACTCATTTTCCCTATGTTTAACATCTTATGATCATATGGTACTTTTGATACAATTAATTAATCAATATTGATACATTATTATTACTGAAAGTCTGTAATTTTATAAGCTAAGGAAATTTCAGATTTCCTTATTTTTTGTTTTAATGTCCTTTTTATTTGTTCCAGGATCCCATGAAGGATATCACTTTGTATTTATTAAATAGTCATGCTTCCTAAAGCTCCTCTTGCTGTGAGAGTTTCTCAGACTTTCCTCAAGATGACCTGGACAGTTTTGAGGAGTGCTGGTGAATATTTTGTAGAAAGTCTCTCTATTTTGATTTTCTAATGTTTTACTCATTATTAGACTGTGATTGTGTTTTTGGGAGAAAGATCACAGAGGTAAAGTACCATTTTTAACACATTGTATGAAGAGTGCATGCTGACAACGTGGTTTCTCTGTTGAAGCTTACCTCAATCACTTGGCTTTGATCATTTTGTAAGGTTTCTCCACTGTAAACTTATTCTTTTCCCCTTTTCTACATTGGAGTCTTTGGAAGAAATCACTATGTGCAGCCCACATTAAACAGAGGAGGGTTGTGTGCTGCTTCCTTCAGGGTAGAGTATCTACATAAATCAATTAGAATACTTTGCATGGGAGATAAGTCTCTTCTTCCACATATATTTACTCAAGCATTTATTTATATTACCATGGACTCACAGATGTCTATTTTATACTTTGAATTACAATCTAACAATATTTTTATTATGTGTGTATTCATTATTTTATTAATTATTTATGTATCGCTTTATTTTATCACTGAAAAAGGGGTGTTGTCATCTTTAATTACAATACTGGGTTTCTCTGTTCTCCTTTCAGTTCTATGAGTTTCGACCTCATGTATTTTGACATGTGTGTTAGGTGCATATCCATTTAGAATTCTTATGTCTTCTTGGAGAATTTATCCCTTTACCATCATGCAGTGCTTCTTTTTTCTCTAATAATTTTTTCCCAAACATCTTTTTGATTTTAAATTAATATAGCTATTCCAGATTCATTTTGATTAATGTCAGCATGGTATATCTTTATCTATTCCTTTACATTTAACCTATCTATGTCTTTGTATTTAAAGTGGGCTTCTTGCAGACCACATATAGCTGAGTTTTATTTTCTTATCTCTGTCTTTTAATTAGTGTATTTAGACATTTCATGTTTAATGTCATCATCTATATAGTTTGATTAATATCTATTGCATATGTGACTATTTTCTATTTGTTGCTTTTACTCTTTCTCTATCTTCTTTAGTTTTAATTTAGTATTTCATATTACTCTATTTTATTTTCTCTCTTATCGTATCAATTACAATTCTTTTTTGTTTATTTTAGTGGTTGCCCTAGAGCTTCTGATACACATTTTCAACTAATAAGTTCTCCCTCAAATAACACTGTGCCACTTTATATAAAGTACATACCTTATAGAAGAGTACTCCAATTCTTCTGTCCTTCTCAGAGACAGTCTGTGTCTTGCACCCTTTTCAGCTCTAATACACTGTTACTATACTGGAGCCTTTTTGGTGTACTGGTAAGGATGGTAGTGGGGGGGGAGAAAGAATGTTCTATAATCTTATGATTGAACAGTCGTTTAGTGGCCTTCTATGCTGTATACAAGCTATGAGTTTCCAACTGTTTCTCCTGTTGTATAGCTTTTGTATTTCCCCACTTTGGTGAGACAGGAAGGCTAGAGGGAGCTGGATTCTAATGAGTGCCTTTCTCCAAGCTGACCTAAGACTCTGGTAAAATCTTCTTCCCTGCAGAGTAAGTCTTCATTATGGAGAACACTCTGGACTTATTTCACAGTAGTTACTCTCCTCACATCATCACCCTTTCCCTCAAACCGTGAGGAAATATTACTTCGATATTCATTCCGAAAACATGTTGAAGTTTCCAGGGGTAAAGCCACAAAATTGTGGGAGTTCCCCTAAGACTGTGACTCTTCCAAACCCCATATGTTCTCACTTCCACACTAGTTCACACTCAGCTCCCAGCAATTTGACAAAATTACCATATTGGTGCTCTTACTAGTTTATGGCTCCAGTGGCTTCCATTTCAGGTATGCAGATCTTAGCTGTGACTCCTCAGATATACCTGCCTTTCCAGATTTTGGGGTGCCAGTTTGCTTTTCAACCCCAGTTCTCTGATCGGCCAAAAAAAAAGTTGTTGATTTTTAAATTGCTCAAGTACATTTTTGGTGTAAAGAAGGGGATGATGAATTCCAAGCTCTTTATATTTCAGACTGACTTTTTTGAAACACAACTTTCTTGAGAAGGGAAGCAATATTTAGATTTATATTCTGGTGCAAGCTCCTTATATTGCTACAGACAGTCATTGATATACACAGCTTCCAGGCTTGTCCCATAAAATCTATTGAACAGGATGTAGAAATAAACTAATATAATGTAATATATATATATATAACAATGCAAATAAATATAAAGAATCCTTATCTGTTTGCTGTATATATTATTTGCTAATTTTCCCAGAAATACATTGATGATTAAAACATAAGTCAGAAATATTTAATTTGGGGGAAGATTGACTGGGGGAGAAGGAGAAGCAATGGTAAATAATGTAAAGGTCTGGAACAATGGACACTCATAAGGAGTGACAGTGGCCAGAAGAAACAAGAAGAAAGACCATTGCACATAACCTTCACTACTTCTAAAATATATCACATTCCCCCTTTAAGGGCTGACACTGTGAGGTTCCCGTGCTAACAGAACACTCTACATGAAGATAGCTTTCCATGAACTAAAGATTTCATTCATTCATTCATGCTTTCTTTCTTTCATTCATAGTGTTGTCCAGGGAAGTTTCTGGATAAACTACTAAACTATTAATTCTTACAGTTTAAAATTTCTTTGAAATAACTATGTTACTTTGTTCACAATTAAATATAAAACCATGCAGCCAGCTTATCTTTGTAAATGAATGTCTTTGAATCCAAGGAGAGACTAAAGGCAGTAGCCAAAGCAAACTTCCTGCTCCAGCTTTCTGGCAGGCCAGCTCTTCATGAACCACAGCCAGTTTTTCCAAACCTCCCCATCTATTCAGCACTATTTCTCCTCTTTTTACTTCATCTTCTCCTGATGATCTGGTTTTTCATAATCCATGAGCTAGCTACTTCCATCCCTACTATAGCTACTTAAGTATTCATGTCACTAACCTGACCAGAATCCATTCCCTCCTTCATTCGAATTATTTTATTATAAATAATTTACTCCAAGTCTCATCTCCTATCTAAGACCTCTAGGTATGTCCCAGCCCATAATAATAGCAAACAATAATTGGTCACATACTCTGCGCTGAAAATTACATGTTTTAATAGATTTAATTTTCACAGTAGCACTAATAGTTATTATTATCTATATTTGACAGATAAGAAAACTGAGACAGAGGGAGGTTAAGATAGAGGCCATACAATGCCATCTCCATCAAGCTACCAATGACTCTCTTCACAGAATTGGAAAAAACTACTTTAAAGTTCATATGGAAACAAAAAAGAGCCCACATTGCCAAGACAATCCTAAGCAAAAAGAACAAAGCTAGAGGCATCACACTACCTGACTTCATACTATACTACAAGGCTACAGTAACCAAAACAGCATGGTACTGGTACCAAAACAGATATATAGACCAATGGAACAGAACAGAGGCCTCAGAAATAACACCACACATCTACAACCATCTGATCTTTGACAAACCTGACAAAAACAAGAAATGGGGAAAAGATTCCCTATTTAATAAATGGTGCTGGGAAAACTGGCTAGCCATATGTAGAAAACTGAAATTGGATCCCTTCCTTACACCTTATTCAAAAGTTAATTCAAGATGGAATAAAGACTTAAATGTTTGACCTAAAATTGTAAAAAACCCTAGAAGAAAACCTAGCCAATACCATTCAGGACATAGGCATGGGCAAAGGCTTCATAACTAAAACACCAAAAGCAATGGCAACAAAAGCTAAAATAGACAAATGGGATCTAATTAAACTAAAGAGCTTCTGCACAGCAAAAGAAGCTACCATCAGAGTGAACAAGCAACCTACAGAATGGGAGAAAATGTTTGCAATCTACTCATCTGACAAAGGGCTAATATCCAGAATCCACAAAGAACTTAAACAAATTTACAAGAAAAAAACAACCCCATCAAAACGTGGGCAAAGGTTATGAACAGACACTCTGAAAAGAAAACATTTATGCAGCCAACAGACACATGAAAAAATGTTCATCACTGGCCATCAGAGAAATGCAAATCAAAAGCTTAATGAGATACCATCTCATGCCAGTTAGAATGGCAATATTAAAAAGTCAGGAAACAACAGATGCTGGAGAGGATGTGGAGAAATAGGAACGCTTTTACATTGTTGGTGGGAGTCTACATTAGTTCAACCATTGTGGAAGACAGTGTGGCGATTCCTCAAGGATCTAGGACTAGAAATACCATTTGACCCAGCGATCCCATTATTGGGTATATACCCAAAGGGTTATAGATCATGCTACTATAAAGACACATGTACATGTATGTTTATTGCAGCACTATTCACAATGGCAAAGACTTGGAACCAACCCAAATGTCCATCAATGATAGACTGGATTAAGAAAATGTGGCACATATACACCATGGAATACTATGCAGCCATAAAAAAGGATGAGTTCATGTCCTTTGCAGGGACATGGATGAAGCTGGAAACCATCATTCTCAGCAAACTATCACAAGGACAGAAAACCAAACACTGCATGTTGTCAGTCATAGGTAGGAATTGAACAATGAGAACACTTGGACGCAGGGCAGGGAACATCACACACTAGGGCCTGTCGTGGGGTGGGGGGCTGGGGGAGAGATAGCATTAGGAGAAATACCTAATGTAAATGATGAGTTGATGGGTGCAGCAAACCAACATGTCACATGTATACCTATGTAACAAACCTGCACGTCGTGTACATGTACCCTAGAACTTAAAGGATAATAATAATAATTAATGATAATAATAATAATAATGAAAGAGTGAGGCCATAGAGTTAGTGGATGGTGCAACCAGGGTTTAAAATCTGGATAGTCTAGTTGCAGGGTGCCTGCATTTAGCCCCTGTCTAATACTGGCTGTCACCATACTGATTTCTTATTTCATCTTTACTGTCAGTAATATATTTAATTATTTAAGTGTTATTGGACTCATGTATAAGTGTCTCACCTCATAAAACATAGTCAGTGCCAAGACTGAGACAGTGTTTTATAATTTCTGTATCTTTTAGAATATGTAATACAGAACAAAGCACAGAGTAACTACTAAATAAATACATTTTGAATGATTAATTATTCTTGTCCTGATCTATTGAACTTCTGATCATTTAAGCAAGTAATCAAACAAACAACATGATTTATATGTTGTAATATTATTTTCTGTATGAACCTAAAATAGATGTTTTTGCATATTTTCTAGGCATCAGAAAAGTATCACTTGGACAACAGAGCAACAACGATCACAATAAAAACACATCAGCATCCATAATTACAGCTAAAAAAGAAAATATACAGAAGGTTCCAGTATTCCTCCTCTTGCCTCTGAAGGGCCATTGTTGAGTACAGTCAGAGATCCCTCTTATTCCTCAAACGCAATTTTATTCTTCCCTTCATATATGCCACATGTGACTCAACTGAGTGAGTCATGCTTAGGTGTTTTGTTAAGACATCAGACATCAGACTCACAGAGACTCAGGACAGCGTCCAGCCATGAGTTACAACTTCTGCTCTGTGTGCGAATTTGGCCACAGAGATTGGAAACCTCAGGACCCTTAGACTTCCGTTTTCCCACTTAAAAATAGAGTTCATAAGCTACCCTACCTAGCTCATGGGCCAGCAATGAGGAATGTAAGAACATGTGTGTTTAAATATGTTGGAAATTGTTTAAAGCATTAAACAATGCCAAGAAATAGCTGAAGGAGTGAAGACACATTTCTTCTTAAGTGTGAAGCTCTAAAATAACCACAGAGACCCACACTGCACAGTCTGTCTTTATGTTATCAGGTGGTCTCCAACACAGAGGTCCCTATCTGTAACTAGCAGAGAACTTGTTACCTCCTGATCAAAAAGAGAGGACCTCATTTAAGAGGTTTTTTTTTGTAAGTTTATTTGTTTTTCTTGAAAATGAAAATTAAATGCAGACATATAAATGGAGAAATATTGCAAAAAAATACTTTCCCCAAACTCTGAGCTCTTCTTTCTTTGCCTCAAACCTTTATGAAATGTATAACAACTGTTTTTGTATATGTGAGTCACAAAATCTATGAAGGAAGCCCATAAAATCAGCACATTCTAGCTCCCTAACAAAAGTCCTCTAATCCCCAAATCCCAAAATCATTATTTTGCATAACAAATGAAGTCAATAGAGTTTTAATTATGTAAACTAGTGACTTGGAAGATGCTGACTTTCCTGGAATCTAATTCATTAGCTAATAAAACTTATCTAAATATGCACATATCCAGCATTTTCAGGAGGAGGAGGTGTTTAAATTTCAATTTAATAGGAAATGTAAATGTTGAAGCATACCTGATGTTATTATTAGTTTTCAGAAATGTCTGTTTTGAGATAATGCTGATCAGGCTCAGATGAAGAAATTTTTTATGGTCTAGAAATAGTAAGAGTTTCAAGGATAATTTCTACCCCACCTCTGCATTTTCTAAACCATATTGTCTGTAACACAGTGATTGACATGGCCATGAAAATAAAGCCTGGCTTTCATGCTGTAGGACAAAAAGGAATTGAACGCTCCAAAAGATTTTTAAATTTCATCTTTTGTTTGATAATTGCTGAAAGCTGTCTTTGTATGTGAATATCAAGGCCAAGTGGACATTTATTAAGGTTATTCAGGCCAATAAAATCAATATTGTGAGAAATAATGAATCAGTCAATGGTGTTGTGTCCTGTCTTTTGAACCTGAATTATTTGAATAACTGCTCCAATTCTCCACCTAGTAGCTGTTAGAACTTAGTCTAGTGAGACAGCAAAAGGGGGATGAAGGAGACTATTGGAGGATGAGATGTTACCTGAAAATGAAAATAGACAATATCATATTGTTTAATATTATTTTTGTATCCTGGTAGTTCTATATATATATATATATAAAATGTAATATATGGTATATATAATTATATTTTATATATCATATATTATATAACATAATATATATTTTATATAATATAGACATGCATATATATGTATAAATATATATATATATATATATATTTTTTTTTTGAGATGGAGTTTCACTCTTGTTGCCCAGGTTGGAGTGCAATGGCACGATCTCGGCTCACCACAACCTCAGCCCCCCAGGTTCAAGCGATTGTCCTGTCTCAGCCTCCCAAGTAGCTGGGATTACAGGCATGCACCACCACACCCGGCTAATTTTGTGTTTTTAGTAGAGGTGGGGTTTCACCACATTGGCCAGGCTGGTCTCAAAAGCCTGACCTTGTGATCCGCCTGCCTCCGCCTCCCAAAGTTCTGGGATTACAGGCATGAGCCACTGCTCCCAGCCACACATATATATTTTTACTATATATATATATATGATTAGGTTTCTGTGGAAAACTCTCTATAAAGAACTCTCTTGTCCTGATGGCTTCTTTTTTCAGAAAGTATTACCCAAGATTGTAAGATTCCTGTGTGGCCAAAACACTGGATTCTCAAAATGGCAGGCAATGGCTTCCCTGTGCCAGCCACCGTAGAAAGTAAGCCATACAAGCCAAGTTTCTCTACACACAAATGTAAAGGCCACAATTTAAGAATTTCATTGAGTACTCACATATATGCTTCGAATGATTTGTACATCTTTATTTTCAGATGTAAATATATTAGAATATGTTACTGGAGTTTATGCACAGTGGAGATCGGCATGGGTTGAAAGAAAGGAGTGCTTCCCTACAACATTCCCCATTAGTTTGTGGCTGAGCCCCACTAGCCAAGAAATTTAGGTCTCTTCATTACATGTGAGCATTTCAAAGTTTTCCACAGAGGAGTTCTTTATGTATACCTCTTCTTCTGGTTCCTTTCCTAGCCTTGCAGTGGTACAGTGAGTTTTGGTTGAAAAAAGTGAAGCAATTTTCTATCTGGAGCCCCTCACTCACGTACCCTATTCTCCTCATTATGACAATAAAAGAGGTTGTATTGAAGGCCACATATTTTCTAGGCTGAAGATGCTGTAGAAACCGTTCTCCTGGGGAAATGTCAGAAAACTTTTCACTGAAGATTATCACTAACTTTTACGCCTTCAGCAAAGGAAATGTTTACCCACCCACTACATACTTCCCATATTAAATTCAAGGCACCTTCACACTGAGAAGGAAAGGGAAGTAGTATAGAACATTTCTTTTTCAGTGATGCACTTTTATTCTTACTTTCTCGTAAAACAGACCTTGGGAATCGGGTAGGGAGACATTTAGAGTGTATTAATCTTAATAAGTCTTTCAATTTTCATTGAAAATAGCATACATATACAAAAAGTACACACATCACATTTAATTTTCAAGAGGTATTGATGGGATGTACCTCAAAATAATAAGAGCTATTTATGATGAACCCGCAGCCAATATCATACTGAATAGGCAAAAACTGGAAGCATTCCCTTTGAAAACTGGCACAAGACAGGGATGCCTTCTCTCACCACTCCTATTCAACATAGTGTTGGAAGTTCTGGCCAGGGCAATCAGGCAGGAGAAAGAAATAAAAGGTATTCTATTAGGAAAAGAGGGAGTCAAATTGTCCCTGTTTGCAGATGACATGATTGTACATTAAGAAAACCCCATTGTCTCAGCCCAAAATCTCCTTAAGCTGATAAGCAACTTCAGCAAAGTCTCAGGATACAAAATCAATGTGCAAAAATCACAAGCATTCTTATACACCAATAACAGACAAACAGAGAGCCAAATCATGGTGAACTCCCATTCACAATTGCTTCAAAGAGAACCACTGCTCAATGAAATAAAAGAGGACACAAATGGAAGAACATTCCATGCCCATGGATAGGAAGAATCAATATCATGAAAATGGCCATACTGCCCAAGGTAATTTATAGATTCAATGCCATCCCCATCAAGCTACCAATGACTTTCTTCACAGAATTGGAAAAAACTACTTTAAAGTTCCTATGGAAACAAAAAAGAGCCCACATTGCCAAGACAATCCTAAGCCAAAAGAACAAAGCTGGAGGCATCACGGTACCTGACTTCAAAGTATACTACAAGGTGACAGTAACCAAAACAGCATGGTACTGGTACCAAAACAGAGATATAGACCAATGGAACAGAACAGAGCCCTCAGAAATAATACCACACATCTACAACCATCTGATCTTTGACAAACCTGACAAAAACAAGAAATGGGGAAAAGATTCTCTATTTAATAAATGGTGCTGGGAAAACTGGCTAGCCATATGTAGAAAGCTGAAACTGGACCCCTTCCTTACACCTTATACAAAAATTAACTCAAGCTAGATTAAAGACTTAAATGTAGAACCCAAAACTACAAAACCCTAGAAGAAAACCTAAGCAATACCATTCAGGACATAGGCACGGGCAAGAACTTCATGTCTAAAACACGAAAAGCAATGGCAACAAAAGCCAAAATTGACAAATGGGATCTAATTAAACTAAAGAGCTTCTGCACAGCAAAAGAAACTACCATCAGAGTAAACAGGCAACCTACAGAATGGGAAAAAAGTTTTGCAATCTGCTCATCTGACAAAGGGCTAATATCCAGAATCTACAAAGAACTCAAACAAATTTACATGAAAAAAACAAACAACCCTATCAAAAAGTGGGTGAAGGATATGAACAGATACTCCTCAAAAGAAGACATTTATGCAGCCAACAGATGCATGAAAAAGTGCTCATCATCACTGGCCATCAGAGAAATGCAAATCAAAACTACAATGAGGTAACATCTCACACCAGTTAGAATGGCATTCATTAAAAAGTCAGGAAACAACAGGTGCTGGAGGGGATGTGGAGAAATAGGAACACTTTTACACTGTTGGTGGGACTGTAAACTGGTTTAACCATTGTGGAAGACAATGTGGCGATTCCTCAAGTATCTAGAACTAGAAATACCATTTGACCCAGCCATCCCATTACTGGGTATATACCCAAAGGATTATAAATCATGCTGCTATAAAGACACATGCACACATATGTTTATTGTGGCACTATTCACAATAGCAAAGACTTGGAACCAACCCAAATGTCCATCAGTGATAGATTAAGAAAATGTGACACATATACACCATGGAATACTAGCAGCCATAAAAAAGGATGAGTTCATGTCCTTTGTAGGGACATGAATGAAGCTGGAAACCATCATTCTCAGCAAATTATCGCAAGGACAAAAAACCAAACACTGCATGTTCTCACTCATAGATGGGAATTGAACAATGAGAACACTTGGACACAGGAAGGGGAACGTCACACACCAGGGCCTGACGTGGGGTAGGGGGAGTGGGGAGGGATAGCATTAGGAGATATATCTAATGTAAATGATGAGTTAATGGGTGCAGCACACCAACATGGCAGATGTATACATATGTAAAAAACCTGCACGTTGTGCACGTGTACCCTAGAACTTAAAGTATAATAAATAAAAAGAAAATACACAAATCATATTCAATGAAATTTCCAAAATGTGAACACAGTCATGTAATTAACACCCAGATCAGGAAACAAAATATCAACAGACTCCAGAAGGTGTACCTCCTAAGTCCCTTCTGGTTGCTAACTATCTTCTACTCCAACTAAAGGAGACCACTCATTTCTAATGGTATAGATTAATTTTTCCTCTTTTTGAGATTTATAAAAATGAATTCAACTTTGTCTGATCATTTATGTCTGGCTTCTTTCACTCAATAATATGTCTGAGAGGTAATCCACACTGTTGCATGTACTTGGAGTTTATTCATTTTGGTTGCTGTATGGTATTTCATTGTAGGAGTATATGACAATATACTTATCCATCCTATGCTTCATATCAATAATGTTATTGGTAATACTTTCTTGTGTGTGTGTGTGTTTTTTTGTTTGTTTGTTTTTTGTTTTTTTTTGAGATGGAGTCTCACTCTGTCGCCCAGGCTGGAGTGCAGTGGTGCAATCTTGGCTCACTGCAACCTCTGCCTCCTGAGTTCAAGTGATTCTCCTGCGTCAGCCTCCTGAGTAGCTGGGACTCTTAGGCGTGTGCCACCACACCTGGCTAATTTTTTTGTATTTTTAATAGAGATGGAGTTTCACTGTGTTAGCCGGTATGGACTCAATCTCCTGACCTCATGATCCGCCCACCTCAGCCTCCCAAAGTGCTGGATTAGACTTAAGCCACTGTGCCTGGCCATTGGTAATACTTAAATTACCTGTCTTTTGTTGGACATAAGCACTCATTTCTTTGGGGTTTATTTCTCAGGTAGATTTGCTCGATCATAGGATATGCAATGTGCAGCTTTAGTAGATATTATATAATGTTTCCTGAAGCAATTGTACCAATTTAAATTCTTACTAGCAAAGCAAGAGAGACCCAGTCACTCCATACTCATGCCAACAATTTGGTATTATCTCTCTTTTTTTAAAAAAAAAAATAGTTATGTTGAGTTTTTGTGTATGGCATTATGGTTTTAATTTGCATTTCCTCAAAATTAATTTTTGTGCTTTTGTCCATTTGGATATCCATTTTCCCTAGGTCCCTGTTCAAGCTTTTTGTCCATTTCTCCATTGGTTTGATTTTTAAATTAATTGGTAGAAATTATTTATTTATACATTCTGGCTATGAATCTTTTTTTTGACATATGCTTTATGATTATCTTCTCTCCTTCCTATGGAGTGTCTTTTCACTCTTGATGTCTTTTGAAAGTAGTTGTTTTTAATTTCTATGATTAGTAATTTTTTGTATTCTATTAAAAGAAATTTTGCCTACTACAAGGTCACAATGATGGTTTTGTAAATTTTTTTCTTCTAAAAACTTCATTGTTATTCTGTATTTATATCTGTAATCTGTCTCAAATTGAGCTTGTGAGGATATTGTGATCCACTCTGCTGAGGCTCATATTGATCCTGAGGGCATTGTAAAAACATTTTCATGTGAATTATGCTAATATTGATTACAGGTTCTTCTTTCCAGATTGAATTCCATGAACTCAATTGAATTCTATGATGAATTTTCCACAGAGCAAACCATTTTCAATCTTTTTTTTAATTTTAATTTTTAAAAACTCATGTCAATTTGGAATAAGTACGATTAAATTTTAAAATAACACCATAATTTACAGATATTTTTTCCTATGTTGTTACTTTTGCATTTGTCATTTTCATTATACCTAATTTCTCTTAATCAAATTTTTACAAATCTAAATTTTGACAAGAATATGTTTTGTTTCTGTGTTTTTTAGTAATAAATGTATGTGTGGATAGTTTTAATTATTGTCATTTTATATAGTATTTGTTTTGGAATTGGATAAATACTGTTTTGTTTATTAGCATAAGAAATATGGAATTTTTTTTTCTGCAAATAAAAGAAACAGAAAAGAATGGGGTATGGTTAAAAAGTAATGCCAAGGCAGGCAGATCACCTGAGGTTGGGAGTTCGAGATCAGCCTAACATGGAGAAACTCTGTCTCTACTAAAAATACAAAATTCGCTGGGCGTGGTGGCGCATGCCTGTAATCCCAGCTACACGTGAGGCTGAAGCAGGAGAATCACTTGAACTCGGGAGGTGGAGGTTGTGGTGAGCCGAGATCGTGCCACTGCACTCCAGCCTGGGCAACAAGAGCGAAACTCCATCTTAATAATAATAATAATAATAATAATAATACATTAAAAAGTTAAAGATATAGTCCCACACACCCACATTTGCACACATGTAATGCACAAGTACAAATTGTCTTTGAGACAATAAAGATTAAAAATGTTGGGATAAGCATCCTGCTTCATTGCTACACAAAGCAACTCAGTCTTCTATATATGTGCTTTTAAAAGAGATTTTATTGTCTGTCCTAACTATATTGATTGTATATGACATGGTAAGCATAATTTCAATTTAAGAGCATTAGTTTTCCAATCCCTTAATAAAACAATGGTATATACAACATTTGATAAATGTAATTAACACTTAAAATAGGGTTAACTCTGGCATCTTTAAGATATCTATTTTAGTGTCTGAATATTTTCTTTTTCTGAAAGAATATTCTCAACTGGGTAAGAAATTGCCTATTGAAGTGCACAAAGTTTCACCAGTGAATTAAATAGAATTAATTTACAACAGCTTTAGATTGTTAATTAACAATCTAAAAGCCCATTTGAAGAGCCATAGGAACAGGGAAGATGGGTGAGAGATCCTGAGGCAGGTGGTCTCCTGAAGGGGATCTGAGAACAGAGGCATGAGTCAGAGACTGGCCCCCAAAACACAGAAAAAGGAGTCTGAATGCAAACATGGGTGGTCAAGGGGAACTTTGCTTAAACATGATTTTGCTTGGAAGCTGGTCCTGAGGGAAGCAATTGTATCCTACACTTTTGATTATGTATCCCACTGTATCTCAAACTTAAATTTTTGACTGACAACATGAATGCATCAGAATTTTTCTTATATCATTGAAATTTCTCCTTCAATAATTATACTGTATGAATATACAGATACATCAACTATCAGTTAAATGTGTCTTTATCAGCTAAGAAATATTTTCAGATTATGTCTGCTATAATTGGATTAATACATTCCCATTTCAGTATAATGTGTTTATAAGTTTATACTAAGTTTATTTAAAAAAATAGTATGGCAAGCCTTTCCTTCCTAACAGACCATATAGATGCTGCTTCTGATTCTGAGAGTTGCTTCTGCTCCCACATAATGAATGTAAAAGGAAGTGGTTACATAGATTTATGGTGTGATTTCATGGCATTATGGTGAATACTCATAACTGCAGGACCTTGTAGAAAACAAAACCTGATATTTAACTCAAGTAGTCTGGACCCTATCCTCTGTGGGAAAACATATATTTCCTTGTAGCTTAAGGCCATCTTAGAAGAATAGATATACATGACATGAAAGTTTTAACATTTTGTGAGTGTGTGTGGAGAATTTATCTTTTCTAGTCATTCTTGGCATCATTTTTCACAATGGAAAAGCACTATCCTCATTATGCGATACGGTTTCTAGCTATAAAAATGAGAAATGTTATTTTTTTTAGTTCAGAAATGTTTGATTTAAAAAAAAGATACAAACAACTTGCTGTCAAGTTTTGGTTTTCAGATACAAATTATGCATTTTACAACTTTACCCAAATAAATGTTATCTTTCCCAGGAGGTCACTGTTCAGAAATGAATAAAGAAGAGTTATTGATACCATAAAATTACTTGATCCTGTTTGGAAAAGTAAAGAGAGAAAAAGTCTTTAACATATCCAAATAGGCTTCTTACGGTCTTTGTTTTCTACCTCAAAGCTAATCACTGTGATTTACAGAAATAGCACACACAGTACATATAAGATGCATTCTCAATAGAACACTTTTTTTTCCTTGGGGTTTTCATTTCTGTTCTGTTTTATCATTGTATAAGCAGATTCCAGTAACATCGTGCTAATTGATCTCATACTTTTTCTTTTTTGAATTGTGGTAAGCACAGATAACATGAGACCTATGCTCTTAATTTTTTAATTCTAAATGCTATTTTTCTATTTTTTTTTAATTTTGATATATTTAGGGAGTGCAAGTACAGTTTTGTTACATGGATATATTGCACAGTGGTGAAGTCTGAGCTTTTAGTGTACTCATCACCCAGATAGTGTACGTGTGCCCAATAGTTAACTTCTCATTCGTCACCTCCACCCACCCTCCCATCTTTTAGAGTGTCCAATATCTATTATTCCATGTTGTATGTCCATGTGTACACATTGTTTAGCTCCCAGTTAAAAGTGAGAACATGAGGTATTTGACTTCCTGTTCCTGAGTTATTTCACTTACTATCCACTTACATTTTTAAGTGTGTGGTCAAGTTTCGTTAACTATGAGCACAATGTTGCCTCCTACTCTTGAAAGATCTCTTGAGAAGACTGCTAAGTCCACCAATCCAATCTTAATCCTTTCATAAAGAGGTTGCAAGCTGGTAGTGTTTAGAAAAGATCTACCCAACAGATGCATTACATTTGCACCACATGGATTTAAAAACAAAACTAAACTGTCAACAGTTAAAATTACACATGAACAAAGACAAAGGCAGCTTTCTGAATTCTCTTAACCAATAGAACTCTCTCTATGCTGGACCGAAATTCTGCTAAGGCTAAATCAGCCTCTATTTCTCACCCTCTTCTTTTAAATCATTTATATGACATTCCTAATTTCTGCAGAGATTTGAGTTTTCTGCTCCCAAGACACAAAGAGCATTAGCCATACTATTCATCTCATCTATGTGCAACATTTAATCCTGCATTCACGAATGCCACTAGTCCTCTTGGAATGACTTCCTTTTTGCCTAGTGTTGGTCTGTCCACTTCAAGTCCCACTTCACCAAGAAACTTCCCCAGGCAACCATGGCTAATTTGGATTTCTCTTTTCTGTGAACTCAGGTAATACCACACAAATTAGTACTTGATCAGGCTGTTTTGCAAAGAGCCAAGGACAATGTCCCAGTTAGATCTTTGATCAATGCCACCCTTGTTAATTCACAAGTTAAGAGACAGGGTGAGCCATGAGTAAATCTCCTCCTTTGATTAAAAATGTTTTATTGATTTAGATCCTCTTTCTGTTTTCTTTTCCCTCAGAAAAATACTGTCTCCATCCTCCATCATTTTTTTCCTGATAATTCAGAGGAGTATCTGGGCCAAACAGGAAAACAATACATCTCTCCTTCAATTTCAGAGGAGGCTGCTGTTGGAAACCTGCAATTTGCTTAAGGACAGGGATTGTATCTTTCCTGCTAGGTATCAAACACATGTCCAGGAACACCGAGCCTCAGTAATCAATAAAAGTATTCAAAAGAACAAATGAAGAAATGAAGACTAGTCTAAATGGAGAAATGGGCTAAATTTAGTTGAGTCACTTAAGTAAGACTGGCTTTTGCAGGAAGCAGAGCATCTGTGATTTAATAGGAAATGGTAACCGATCAGAAATAACTACTCCACCATTTATCAGTGTCTCAAAAGTCATTCCTCAGAACCATTCTTAAGAATCATAATACCATCCAAATATCTTAATGAGAGGTAGTTCTTTAAGTTGTTAATAGCTTTTCTTTTCATAGTATTTCCTTAACGGCAGTGACTTCTAACTGCACCAGCTAGTGGGTTGCAGAGAATTTATCCCACCACAGACATGTAGGAAGATGAGGGAGAATGGATGCCAAGTTCTGGGATGTTGGTAGAACCAACAGAAATGAATGTTATTCTGCCATGAAAGCTCACAAAATCACACACACAAAAGAGAAGGAGACATTAGAGCATATTTGTCTTCATCTACTCCTTCATGAGAACACATAAGCCTAATCATCTCCCACAATAAGCAACTACCCCAGGACCAGGTCTCTAATTAGTAGCCAACCTAGGAAAGTTGGCTCTGTATCTATTGTTCTCTCCCAAATATTTCCATCAGAAAATTGCATTTTTTCTTCACTTATTAAATCATTTTTTTTACAAAACTGATCCATGACTTGACAGTCATTTTCCCAGTGTTATTTTACAGCAGGCGTTTGCACCAATGCCTGGCTAAGGAATGAACTTCCTTATCCTTCTAGTGGGTACAATCTTCCAGGCTCAGCTATCTTGAGAAGGAAGGCCTGGCACTGGGAAACAGGTGGGGGCTGTTACAGACACTGAAATGTGAAACAGGAGGCAGGCTGAGCAGTGTTGCAGGGAGACTGCACCAATTCAAAACCTGATTATCTGGTCATTTTTTCTCTGGCATCTGCTCCTGAACTCCATTCATCATGAACTGTAAAAAAAATAAATAAATAAAATTTAAAAATCTAGTATTTGTGCACTCACCTTAACATTAGAAAGACCCAGCCTGGAGGAGAATGTGTAAGCATATTTGGAAAAAAAAAAAGTGTGCAAGTGAGAAAAAAAAAAATACATGGAGCATTGTAAATCTATTTAAAAACAAAATCTAAATGTCATACTATATATCATCCTATAATGGAGCTCCTGCTGTGCCCTTCACTGTCTCCTTCTTGCTTTGGCTCCAGGCTAGGCTGCATCAGCCACGAGATAATATCTGTATATATTTTTTGACCAGCAGCACCCAACAGAAGGTTCTGGGGCTTATTGCCCAATTTGAATTTTAGAATAAAGGAAGAGAGGATCTTTGGTAAAGTGCAAATTAAGTCAGCATCCTAATTGGCAGTGACAGCCTCTCAGGTCTCTATCCCTCTCATATCTTTTTGTTTTTTTCCATGGGCTGTTGTCTTCTTCAACTTTCTATGGTGGTCAGTGTCTACAGACCCTCTCCTTTCTGTTCCCTCTAAGATCTGCTTTTTGCAAAGCATTAGGAATTCATTTGCACTAAGGTGTGGATATCTAAGGGCAGCTTTTGGTGGATAAAATGTCCACCAGAACAATGTAAGGAGGTTTTCACTAATGAAATTTCAAGAATAAGTTATCAAATGACATGTATACTAGAAGAGACTTGGGGAAGTCCGGGCAAGGGCTTAAGAGGCAAGCTCCTTCCCTGGGAAAATGTCTTCCAAAATTTGGCCACTAATTATTGAACCAGACAGTTCTTTTTAAGGGGGAATGGAGCTGGAATTAAGGTCAGGAGACATGACTGCGTCTCCACGATTATTAAACACTTTGATCACCATCCTTCTTACCTCTTAGATGTAGTTCTACAAACAAGAACGGAAGTACGAATAAAGTTCAAAAGTCATCGCACGATTGTCTCATTCGAATCTGAAAGTAGATAAGCAATCCTCGCAAATGCTAGGTTAAGAAGTGGCAGGATAACTATAAAGCCTTGTGCTGCTTATATCTGTTGACACAACCTTTATTTTTAGCTCTGGCCCTTGTTTAATAAAAAGAGGTTGAGATTTAGGATTGGCAAAAGCAGAAACTTTCTGAGAAGGAAGAAGGTGAAAGCAAGCACCAATAATAGATAAATAAGATCAGCACAGGCCTGCCAATTGTAGTCCCAGACCTCTAACAAGACCCCATATAGCAGACAACCCTTTAATAGGAGGTGTCCTGTTTTCACTGTGCCTCAAGACAGGGAGCAGAGGTGAGAAGTTCATTGCATACTGTTTTCTTAGCTCCCTGCTTTCCACGGGGCTGCCATTTCCTCCCTTCAGCCTCTCAAATGTAAGTCTGTGTTTAGAGCGTCATAGCAGGCAGTCAGCTCAGTCTTAATATTCTTTATTAAAGATCAAATAAAAACACAAAAAGGAGACGCAGCCTGAAGAACTTCCTCATGGCAGGGGGCCCATCTCTTGGAAAAATGACTGTCCATTTGCTTTGTCTTGTGTCCTCCCCATTAGAGGTTCCCGGAGTGCTCCTTGGCAACATCTGTAATCACACACCCTCAGCAGAACCCTGTGAGAGTGATTTTTCTTTAATGAAAAAGATCAGAGCCTCTGGGGAAGAGAGGAGAGGAGAAGGAGAGGCTTTAGTGTGTATGCTAGGTTGGAGGAACAGACAGAAAGAATGTAATACTCTTACACTTCATGTCATATACACTTAAGTGGAATAAGTTACTCCATTAAACTTTTTATTCTGTACTTTCAGGGATGGTTTACTGAAAATACTAGTTCAATATACGTCCATTCTGGTGAATATTCTATATTAGCACACTAGTAAGCAGAACTTCCAAATAATTTATATAAAGGATGAAGCTCCTCCCAGTGATGACATTGTGAAAGGGCCATTGCAGACATATCTGTCTTCTGTCTTCATTATATGCTTATAACATTTAGTACTAGGGATCTTAGATAGCTCATCAGTGCTAAATAATAGTCATGTGGTCATTGAACGTAAGCGATCATTTCTTCCCTCCAAAGTCTCCTCCCCAGCTCTAGGCTGGGTACATTACATGGCTCATCTCTTTTATCCCTGTACCTGAGCCCTGTTCATTCATTCATTTATTCAATGCTTACTTATGAACAGTCCTTGTGTATGCAATTTGAAAAAATCAGAAATAATTGCTAACTTCATACAGTTTGTATTTGAGTCAGGGAGACAACCAATTAACAAATAAATGGGCATAAATAAGTATACAGTATATATTTCGTGAACCTTAGACAAGGAAAAAGAAGTAGTGTTGCCAAGAAAAAGAGAAATAGAGATAACTACCATGGATTGGGCATCAGATGAAGCCTCTCTAGAGGATGGGAAAGAGCCAGGAGAAATGTACTCTAGAGAAAAAGCAGATGCAGGAAGATTCTAAGTCTGGCTTTTGTCTGACCAAATATTTTTATGGTCTCTTAGCCCTCCCTACTTTGTTTCTGCTCCTCTCCTCATGGCCAAAAAGGCTTGGAGTTAGCTCTGGACCAGCAGTTTGTAAAGGCCTTGCTTCTTACCTGCAAAATTATTTGTTAATCATGCTATGTCTGTCTACTTACCTGCTGTGTTTCCCTGCGGTCAGTCTACCTCACCGTTGTGAGTCACCTTCCAGCCACCCTCTTAATGCTGTTTTCATTACTTCTCTTTGTCATTAATTCAAATCCTCTTTCTTTGTCTTTCTTTCTTTCTTTTCCCTTTCTTTCCTTCTTTCTTTCTTTCTTTCTTTCTTTCTTTCTTTCTTTCTTTTCTTCTTTCTTTCTTTCTTTTCTTTCTTTCTTTCCTTTTTAATAGAGACAGGCTCTTGCTATGCTGCCTAGCCTGGTCTTAAATTCCTGGCCTCAAGCAATCCACTTGCCTTCGTCTCCCAAAGTGCTGGATCAAATCCCTTTTCTAAAATTGTGCTTATTGATTGCAGTAACTCATCAGATCTAATACAAGGAGCATTTCCTCTAATACCAACTGCTATCCTCTGTCTTGGACTGTGGTCCATATCAACAGTCAGATCTTGCTTTGTTTTCATCTCACTAGAAAAACATTCCCTTTAACTGAGGACCAGCATTGGAACCTCCCTTGGCCAAGTCCTTCATGATTGACCTCCTAGCCATCTGTACCCTGACTCCAGCAATGGGAACTAGATAGTGTCCAATTATGCCTGCTGATGCAACAACTAGTATTATTTCCATAAATCAAGTCAGAGACATAAATCGGGTGTTTATAAGAATGGGATCTGAAGTTAGGCTGCTGGCTTTGAATCTTGGGTCTCACTGGCTGTGAGACCTTGGGAAAAACACAACCTATTTCTGCCTCAAGATTTTCAAATATAAAATGGAGGCAACCTACATAACTCACAGGGTTTTTGGAGGATAAGGAAGGAAGTACATGTAAAGTACTTAAAATGGTATCTGGTACACGGTACAAATCCCCAGAAAATATCATCTAGAGCTACAAAGGGAAATCAATCAGTAACTTGTTATGAGCTGTAGCATATAAACTAAGAGGTTTTGGTCTAAGAAGCATAGAAAATAAAACTGTAAATACTAAAAATTTAGATATGAGATTAGAGTGGGTCCAGGTCATGACTGAGCCACCAGAATACTGAATTCTGTGTCATAATTTTCCTTAAATTTATTCTAATCTGAAAAATGAATCATATTACTGTGTATGTGTATGTAGAGCTGAGTGTGTGAATTTGGGCCAGTTATCCCCAACTTCTGCAAAGGAAGACAGTCAGGGGCCCAATAAACAGATCATTTTCCTCTTTGGGTTCCACTGACGCTCTGCCCCTCCCTCATTGTCAACTCAAGGGTTAGAATGGGATGACCCTTCCTATGCTTCAGTGATTATTAATTTCTACACATTCAACAATGTCAAATTTCTGTGCTTATGTCTTTTAATACTTCAAGCTTCCCAAAGGGACCCCACTTATACCCTAAAGATGTGTGATACAGACATATAAGAATGTAAATAGCAGCGTATGATACTCATACACAGCTGCATGTTAATTGGCTATGTAGACAACAAATGGATGATACTGTGACATGTGAAGACTTCATGCAAAGACAAGGTCATGGAAATCAGATAGAGGTTTGAGAGCCATAAGTTTAGACTGTTCATTTTCCCAGATGTTTGCAGCCAGTTTGAAATGTAGCTTGCACAGAAACATGACTCTGCTAACTCCAGCCAGCTACACACTCCTGCCATTAGTAATAAATGACCTTGGTAGTCTTGAAAATGAATAGCATCCAGTGTTATAAGGTGGCTCTGTTCCAGATGATGTTTGTTTACATGCAGCAATTAGAGTCCAGCTGCTATAGGGAGACAGTCATATAGGGAGACAGCTGGATTTCAGGAAAAGTACATGTAAAGCACTTAAAATGGTATTGGATTTATACGAACTGAAGGAGTTGGACTTTGCAAAGATGTGTCCAAAAGCCTGCATGAAATCATGAACCTCCTTGGGCTCATCCTGACACTCCAATCATGTTGCCCTGAACAGTGGCAAAATCTATTCATTCAACAAAAAAGGACCTGCACTGGGACCGCCATGAGGAAAAAGATAAAATGTCCAAGCCCTCAAGGCAACCATCATGAACTCACACTCAGATTGTAGACCCAAACCTCTCTTTCTGAGCAGTTTCAATTCCAATACTTCAATTCAGTAAGGAATTGGTGCAGTATGAGGCCAGGGGAGTACAGGGCAGGTAAGAATGGCAAAAAGTAAGAAAAGGGAGACCTAAGAGAGAACCAGCAGAAGCTTAGCTGGGAAGTAAAATACAACTCCAGATAAAAATAAAGAAATAAAATGTTACTCCAAAGCTGCATTTCTGAATCCGAGGGGGGTGGTGCTCTATCATCGAGAATGTGGCAGATACATTTCTGCTTTCAGAGTTTTTTTTCTCATATTTCCCCCTTATCTATTCCTCCATACAACAGTTTCAAGCCCTGGCATGTTGTCCTGAGGGACAGGAATGAATTTGCAGTGGAGGGGATTTGTCATTGAGTAGAAGGCAGAATCTGTTGGGAAGATACTTTCCTCTGTCTTTCATTTCCAAAACAAACAAACAATAAAAAACTCCACTTAATTGAAAAGATAAACCTAAGTATCCTGGGCAGAGGTCACTTTAGACCTGGACAGTTTGCAGACAGTCTTAAATGCCAATCAATTAATTTATTTTAAAATGAAACTTGTCAGTATTAAGGATTGGTAAATTTCACACAACAATCTGCTTCTGAAATCTCTTACAGACATCAGCACTCAGGCAACACTGGGCCCACATCCCTCTCATGAGGGGACTGGCTCACCCCGCACTGGCTAAGACAATGTTCCTTTCATAAGAATTATGGATGGTCTCTGCCTACCCACTTCACTCAGCCATTTACTTCTTTGGCCTTGAGTGCAATTTGACTTGGTGATTAATAAAATTGGACCTGAGGAGGAAAGCGTAACTTCTGAGCAGAACTGAAGATAAAGGAGCCTGGGTTCTTGGTGAAACAGGTGCCTTCTCCCTATTCTCTGGCAGTGTCCTGGGGAATGGGGGAGGACTTTGAAGTCTCTGACGTGCACATCTCAGACCCCACACCACAAAAAATGTCCACATCTATTTTAAGACACCAAAAGAGTGGTAATCCAAGATTTAAGGATCTAAGCCAACAGCCATCACTACGATTCCAAGCATGGACATAAAGGCCTATGACCAGAGGTGTCTCTCTGGAACAAACATGGAACCTTGGCATGACCCTTGACAAGGCTGTGGGGCATGAACCTCAAATGACCTGAAGCAAAATTTCTCATCAACCTCAGCAAGTCAAACTCTCATGTTTGGTAATTACATGATTTAAGAAAATAAAAGTCATATTTCTTGCAAACTGAATTTATGAAGTTAGAATTGTACCCACTACATTGATGAAACTGAGAGGAAAGGGTTTTGTTTTCTCTAAGTTAGGAATCAATGACTCAGGTATTAATGACATCCAAAATGACATTTTTTCCTGATAGCTAGAATTACTTACAAATTTATTTTTTTTAAAAAAGAAACAAAATTAATTAATTCAAATAAGCAGTTGTTTTTCAAATAGCTAATTGGGAGGTTCATTTAATAGCACCTCTCAGTTTTTGTTGTTTTTTCAGAGACAGAATCTCACTCTGTCACCCAGGTTGGAGTGCAGTGGCCTGATCATAGCTCATTGCAGTCTCGAACTCCTAGGCTCAAATAATCTTCCTGCCTCAGCCTCTGCAGTAGCTGGAACTACAAGTGTGTGCCACCATGCCCGGCTATTTATTTATTTATTTTTTATTTTTGTAGAGACAGGGTCTAATTATTTTGTTTTGGCTGGCCTCAAGGACTCTTCCTTCCTCAGCCTCCCAAAGTGCTAGTATTATAGGCCAGCACCACTGCACTGACTTGTTTAGTCTTTGGAGCTGAAAGAAGTGCCTTATTTTATTGACAGTCTTGTTGGTGTCTTGTTGGTGATACTTGATTGGATGCCATTGTCTTGTTGGCCTTACAATCAGATAGCACCAGAAGCAAGGGAGCTCAGGGGGCTCTTCAGACTGCCTGACAACTTCCGGAGTGTCTTATATACTTGAGAGGATCAGACCTACTGTATTGGATTACACTTAGCAGGCCCCAGTACAGCCTTTGAAACTCCATCTTTTTTTCTGATAGTGTGACCTATTAAAGTCTCCTGATGGCGTAAGTGCATCAGCTGTGTGTATGCACAAAGTAGATAACATTGCAAATAAGAGTGCTATGCTATCTGGCTTTATCACATTTAGCATCCCTTTTGAAGTTAAAGAAAAGATTATCCTGTAAATGCTTGGCAAGCCACAGTTAATCCTCATCTTCATGAGGGAACGTGAAAGGACACCCTTAACACTCAGTATCGGCTCGTGGTTTTGTGTTATAAATGTGAGGGTTGAATTTGATGCTACAGTGGTGAAACCCATCATGTCACTATTTTAGATGATGCTCCACCAGCCATAACAACAAGGCATTTATTTTTTCATAAAATGTCTGCATTGGTCTTTTTTATATCAAATCCAATAAAGATTTCAGTGTTGTTTCAGCTTTCAGAAACTAGGAACTTAAAAACCATAGTTTATGGCAATAGATCTTAAACAGAGATAATAATTTTGCTGGTGTGTTTTTTGGTTGTAGGGTGTGTTTCCCAGTGGCTATCTTTGTCGTTGTACAGTAAGCCATAATGTTTTCCTTCCCAAGAGCCTGAGGACGTTTTAGTGATTCCATGTTTAGGAAAAACATGGGGCAATTTTGCCTGAAAGACAAAAAAGAACTCATTAGTAGGTCCTTCTGGTCCTGATTATTATGTCAGAATCAGAAGAGAGTGGGACTAAAGAAGACTTCTCATATGATTTATAGACCTTGTAGAACTTCACTGTTAATCCCTTAAATCATAAAATAAGTTAGTCTAATTTTAATCAAAATATTTCTGATTCTTTGATGTAAAGAGCTTGCATTATTTCAAGTAAGGGTGGGTTAAGGACTTTCTTGCTAATTCTAAACTAAGCTTCTAGAAGTATCTACTTAAAATGATTGTAGATATGTGTATGTGTATGTATCTATATATATAGGTATATCAAAAATGTGAAATAACTTATAATTGAATCATTTAAAATTGTACTTTTTAAATAGCTGTTTTAAATGTACCTGGAATTTACTTCGTAGGTGACTGAGTGATGACTTAGAGAAGCCAACGTCATTGAAAGAATAGTTTATTACTTGCAGTACCCAAAAAGAGAAGGCATACCATCCTGTGGGGCCACATGGGCAAGCACCAGGGTTATCAGGAGAAAAGAGTGAGGGGAAGGCATGGATGAGAGCCTTTAATTCTACAGTGGCAGGAAGTTGTTAGGTGGAAATATCTCCTGTTGGGCAGGAAGCAAAACACAGGTATTGGGGTTTGTGGCTGGAAGATTTTTAATACGGTTTCTCTGCACCTGTGAAAATACAAGATGGTATGAATGTAAACTACTTTGTCTGTTAACTTGGCCTATGATTTCCAAGATGCCAAATCATCAGCTGCAGAATATTAAGAATTATTCTTACAACACTGTAGACTAACACTTATCAACTGAAATGTCTTTGGTAGATACTTACCAAAAACAGTCTTTTAACTCTTTGAAATTATATTTATGAAATATTCTCATCAATTATTTTGTAGTAGGAAAAAATAGAAATATATATATGCTGGTGGGAAGCAATTTATCTTTTAAAAATATTTCATTCCAGGCTAACCACAAACTATTCAGCAACACTTAAAAGATTGCTTTTTTTCTCTTCCGTTAAAGTTGAGAAGAGGCTCTGATTAAATGTGCACTAAAATTGCTGTTTGTCAGCACTGTGAACACAAAAAAGTGTGTGTGTGTGTGTGTGTGTGTGTTTAAATGGTTCAATTAGTATTCTGTGGTAATCTGCTCATCACATAGAAACAGCATCTAAGCAGAGGGCTTGACATTCAGAATCAATACTGTGCTGAACATTTAAGTGTCACAGCAAATATCAATAGGCCCAAAGTCGTTCATGTGCTGGGCAAAGTCTAATTGGCAATGCAACCAGAATGACCAATTTACTTACAAATACTTCCTGCTGGAGTTCTTCCCCTCATTCATATCCAATTGTGGGCATATCACAGGGTTGGCAAATGCAGGAGCCCACACTGGCTCAGCATGACTGCTCTCTCTGAGTGCAGTAGCTCACCCTACATCACACAGGACTTAAACCCAGGCTGTCACACTATGAATCGGGTACTTTTGGGCCAAGTGCACAGGCCTTCTCTGTTCTCTAATTTTATGTTTATATTTGAGATGTAATTTTTTAAAAGACTGTAAACAAATAATATTAAAACTAATTGAACATGAAAAACCTAGTAGTCTCTGAACAAAATCCACATTATGACTAAATTAAATGAAGAAGTGGGCTGTAACATATAGCTACAAGCTGAGTAGACATTGTGAAAAGTACCTTGTAACTTCAAGTGATGAGAAGCAGGGTGATGTACTGGAAACGAAAGGGGACCAGAATATGGAGACATAAAACCCTGCCACTCATTCTTCCCTTGTTATATTTAACATCACCACTTACCCTCTCTGAGCTTCAGTTTCTTGTTTGGTAAGAGAAGAAAATATTGCATGTCTTATTTACTGTGTACTGATCAAATGAAACAATTAGAAAAAGTAACATATTATTTAGCATTGTCTGTTTCTACCAGCTCATTTTTCTAAAGTTTAGATTTATACTTTTTAGGCTTTTTCAGAAACAAAATACTTGAATTTAGCCAAATAGCTTGTTATAAATTGAAGAACAACTCTTTATATCAACCTCTTGTTTTAAGTATATTACCTATATAAATATTACCTTAAAAATAGTTCATGTAAGCACCAGTCTATTACTAACTTTGTTGAACAAAAAAATCCTTCATCCTGTAGGTTTCATTTCTCAAAGCACTGCTCAAAATTCAGGTGTTGAAAGGAGTCATGAACATATCACCCAGGTGACAGGCATCTCAGGAACAAAGTTTGGTGGTCCCAGGAGACCAAGACATATGAATCAGGCATTCCCCAGCCTAGACCCTGAGTCAATACAAAGCTAGTTCATTAGTACTGGAGGACTGCGGGGGTCATAAGCCAAGAGGATCATTATTAAAATCCATTTATTCAAGATTGCTTTTGTATTATTCAATAAATACCACTGTGTATAGAACAAGTTTCAAAAAAAAATAGAGAATATAAAGATGATTAAGGGATAGTCCCTTATGAAAAAGTATATAGGAAACAAAACTCTCTGTGAAAAGTTCCCTAGGCTTTCCTCAACAAAGTCTTCAACCTGGGCATATCCCACAATACTACTCTTCTTTCTTTCTGTGTGTAGTGGTTTAAATAGATTTCCCCCCAAAATTCATGTCTATGCAGAACTAGTGAATGTGACCTTATTTGGAAATAGGGTCCTTGCAAATGTCGTCAAGTTAAGATGTGCTCATACTGGACTAGGGTGAGCCCTAAAACAAATATAATGGATGGCCTTGTAAGAAGAGGGCAATTTGGAAACAGAGCAACCAAGGAGAAAAAGCCATATGAAGAGAGAAGCTGAGACTGGAATTATGCAACCATGAGAACAAGCATGCCAATGATTGCTAGCATCCACTGGAAGCTAGGAAGAGAAAATTATTCTTTCCTAGACCCTTCAGAGGGATCGTGGCTTTGCTGACATCTTGGTTTCTAGCTTCTATAACCTTAAAAAATAAATAATTTTCTGTTGTTTTAAGCTACTCAGTTTGTGGTGTTCTGTTATGACAGCCCAAGGAAACTAATACACTAGGGGAATTAAGACCTACTATTTCTCTTTAGAGCAAATGTCATTTAGATAGCCAGGGAAATTGATTTAACAGATATCAATCTAGAATAAAATAGGATTGAATGCCAAAAGGATTAGGAAGGAATAGAAAGATCAAGGAGACAAGAAAATTACAGAATTGAATACTTGATTAAAGCTAATTTATTTGGGTTAATTATACTAAGCTTAATCTAACTCACTTTACTGACGAAAATCTTGAAGAAATGTCACTCAAACAGTGACAATATTAACATCTCCTCTAAGCAGCCTCTTCCCTGAAGCAATCAGTTGCTGCTGCTGACCCTGCCTTGTTTCTCTGTCTTTGTCTTTCCAGTGTTTCCACCATGGGACCTGCCAGCATTTCAAAAGCCCATCCCCAATTCCACAGCCGTCCCTGACAAGATAGAAAGCAGCATCAGCTTTGTCATTTGCTACAACTTATAAAAGAGAAAGAGATCATGATTGTCTAATATGTCAAGTGTTACAGTAATTACTTTTACATACATAGATTCATCATTCATTCATCTCTCACTCGTATTTGTCCTGACTATTTTTATTAAGGATTTCTTAAGTGCCTGGCATTAAATCAAATTTTCAGGATTCCAGGTTGGACAAGAGAGTAATGGTCTCTGCCCTCTTTTCCACTTACATTCATCTTTTTTTCCCTTATACTGGGAGTTAGAACTTGGTCCATTTGCTGAGTTCCTGTGTGGCCTCTGAGCCTCACCTGACCAAGGATCTAATATTCAGGCACAAACACCTGTCTGAAATTTAAGCCCCATACAGCACCTTTGCAGACCAGACCCACTTAGATTTGCTTAGTTTACTGGATTGGGCTTCTTCTCTGACAACTCACATCCCTTTAGCATTTGTCCTGTTTTCCTTAGGGCCTGATCTCCCCTGTGGCACAAAATCAAGCCTAAAATCTAGCAATGGCTGAGGATCCTTGGCTAGCATTTAGTATCTTTCTTTTCTTAGAGTAGAGTGTCTCCCTAATATGCTGCTTCCCCCCAAATCATTCATTTTGTCTGCCAAGTAGACTTTAAATATTCATTTGGTATTTACTATGTGCCAGACACCATTCTAAAGATATGAGTCTAACCATGATAGGTACAGTTTCTTCTGTCATGGAACTTAGTTCTACAGAAAGCAATAGACCAAGAAAAGGGGGGAAAACCTAAAAAATCGACCAAAGAACCCCAAGTAGTATACAATAAATAAAACAACTGTCAGGACTAAGGCATCCTATTAAAACAAAAATGAAAAGAAGGAGCCGAAACAAAAATAAAAGAAGAGGTTGGGGAAGATCTATCCAAGGAGATGTCATTTAAACTGATGATAACAAAAGGAATAAATGAAACTAGCCCATAATTATGGATAAAATTACACAAGTCCAGGTCTGTACAAAGACCCCGTGGCATTGCGAACCATGCTGTATTCCAAGAACTGAGAAAAGACACATAGATAGGGCATAGTTTGTGAATAGAAGGAGTGATTTTATTAGCTTTCTATTGCTACTGTCACATAATACCACAAACTTAGTTGCCTAAAACAACACAAGTTACAGTTCTGGAGGTCAGATGTTTGAAATGAGTTTCCCTAGGCTAAAATCAAGGTTGCCAAGGAGTCCATGCCCCTACCTTTTCTGGCAGCCTGTTTTTGGTTATGGTCCCCCTTTCTAGCAATCGCATCATTCCAACCTCTGCTTCTGTCATCACCTCTCCTTCCCTGACTCTGACCTTCCTGCCTCCTTCTTCTGAGGACCCCTGGGATTTCATTCAGCCCACACACATAATTCAAGCTAATCTTATCTCAGCATTCTTAACTCACCTCTGCAAAGTTCTCTTTGCCAGGTAAGGTAACATATTTACAGGTTTAAAGAATTAGAATGTCAATATTTGGTGGGGAAGTGGGGAACATTATTCTGTTGACCTCAGTGACATAAGGCAATATTGGAGATATGTAAAAGTTCAAGGCAGAAAACTTAAGTCATGGTAAGTAATTTGGATTTTGTGAAAATGGGAAGCTATGAAAGGTTTTAAGAACATAAGTTGTTTCCTAACACATGTTTTTTAAAAGATTATTTATACAACTATGTGGAGAAAAGATTCAAGATGGGAAAGGAGGCTAACTGGAATCAAAGAGAAAGAAATTTATCCCTTTAAATTGGATAAGAGATGGCAGGTGTTTGGACTAAAATGGTGACAGTGGAGATGAAGAGTAATAGGAAAACTCACTTAAATCAACTGAACTTGATAGTAGAGTCTATATGAGCAGAGTGAAGAAAAATTCAAGAATCAAGGCTAAATCTCAGGGGTTTTGTTTTGTTTTGTTTTTTATTTATTATTATTTTTTTGAGATGGAGTCTCACTCTGTCACCCAGGCTGGAGTTCAGTGAGCGATCTTGGCTCATTGCAACCTCCGCCTCCAGGGTTCAAGCCATTCTCCTGCCTCAGCCTCCCGAGTAGCTGGGATTACAGGTGCGTGCCACCATGCCCAGCTAATTTTTGGATTTGTAGTACAGACAGGGCTTCATCATGTTGGCGAGGCTGCTCTTGAACTCCTGACCTCAGGTGACCCACCCACCTTAGCCTCCCAAGGTGCTGGGATTACAGGCTTGAACCACCATGCCTGGCCAATCTCTGGTTTTTAAATATGTATTTTATAATGGGGAGAGGAGGAGAAAGGAGGGTACAGGAGGGGAGGGGAGGGGTGGGGAGGGGAGGGGCAGGGAGCGGAGGGGAGGGTAGGCAAGGGGAGGAAGAGGAAGAGAAAGAACTCTGAACTCCCAGGCACCAATTATTGGCCTCTGACCGTCACAGGTGCAGCTGCTGTCACTACGCTTGGCCTCTGATTGTCATCTTTACACTTGAAATGATTCTTGCAGTCCTCCTGAATTACATTCTCACCCTCCTGGGATATGATAGAAAGCACTGTTTACCCATTTACTCTCTAATTCTAGTTTTTATTTACCTGTTTTATATTGTCACTCTTAATGATTCCCACTCTTCATTTCATATAAATTTTTTTAATGTTCCTCAGCTAATGACTTCCAAATGAAGCTACATCCCGTCTAATATTCAACCATTAAAATGATAGTGTCTTCTTAAGAGAAAAGCCCCAGGCTTCCATATAGTCCCAAGACTTTCAGGAAAAGGAAAATGTGTCAGTGCTAGAATCTGATAAACTCAGAAGAGACTTTGAAAAATCCAGTCTAATGTCCTTTACCTTATATGTGGGGAAACCAAAGCCTCAAACTCCATTCACTGACAGATGCAGAGCAGGTACAAACAACTCAGACAACAAAAGCCTTCACATGACAAGGACACTTTTTCCTGAACCATGTTATTTCTAGACAGATAAAAATAATAATCTGATGCCAACATGTTCTTGCCTCCGTAGAGACAATAATGATGAGATATGTTATGGAATCTCAGTAGTTTTTCTGTACTCTGAGAGACTTAAAACAAAAAAATAAAATCTTTCCCACAGTTGACTAAGCCTTCAGATATCTCTTTATGTGAAGAAAAATATTGGGGATAATTGTGCTGCCCTAACTAGAAGAAAAAGCCATAAGTTGTCTCCATTATGTTATGCTAATGAAAGATGTCCAGTCAGCAACCCCAAAGACTGAAATCGTTCTTTTCCAGAGAAGGGCAAAACTCAGCCTCAATGAGTGTTTGGAAGGTGGACCAGGGGGACGCTAATTAAATTTCCATGACCAATTCAATCTCCGATCCTCTTTCTCAAGTTCCAGCAGTTCCTGATGATCATCAATTGTGAAGGTCTTTTAGGCTGCGCTAGGATCTTAACTAAGACCAATAACTCATTTCATAAGTCACCGAACAGTTGACAAAGGATAATGACTTTCAGTCAGTCTTAAGCTGGGGATAGATTCCAACCAAAGACATAAAGGTGAAAGTCCTCTACCCAGTGTCCATTATGCAGCTCCAAGGTAGTTAATTTACACTTAATGCAATTGTATATTTGAAAGCTGAAAAGATCCAAGTGATAATTAATCTTCAAGAATGCATTTAGCTGTGACTTATCTTGCTGAAAGCTTTTCCTACAGTGGACTTTGGAAAGTGGCATGTGCAGACTCCTCCACATTAAATAGGTGTGACTGTGTCCAGAGATTAGCCAAGCACAGTGTGTTTTTGTAGAACTCTTTGGAGCAGCAGATTAAAATTGAATTCGAGTTGTAGATACATGATAATATTAGAATTTTGGTGGTTGATTTTTTGTGTTGAAAGGAAATTCTATGATAAATGATAGGAATTTTTTTTTATATCACTCAGTGTTTCCCAATGGGTAATAAATAGACTCATTAAACACACGGAAATCTTTTAACAAGAGTATTTGACTATCAATGGATTATTATTTAACTATCATGGATAAACACTGAGATTCTCAGCAGAAAATTGCTCCACATGTTTATAAAAGGTGTGAAGATCTCTGTTTGCATAATACAAAAATAGTCATAGAATTGTTGTAGCTTGTGGAGATATTAAAATTCTCTGACCCAAGCCTCTTACTTGGCAAGTGAGAGAACTGAAGCCCAGAGTGCTTGCATAACTCACTGATGCTCAGACAACTTATACAGTTTAACCCAAATCTTTTGATTAGTGTCCAAGGTAGTTTTGACTTTATCATCCTTTCTCACCCACATCACATTCTGTTGAAATAAGGCAGAGAATAATGCTAACAAATCAAATAAGTAATATGAAAACATAGAACTTTTAAAAGAAGTTTATCTATGTATTCTTTGCTTGTAAAATATATTTTGTTCCTGAAATATAAGATGCCTTCTCCCAGGAAAACTGGCAAGTCCAGTAGGCTGTTTGTTTATTGATTATTAACCATGTGCTGGACAGCACCCAAGGTAATTTAAGGGTGAACCCCAAAATGGACAAGGCACTCTTCCTTCCTTGGTAGAGCTTAGACTCAAACTGGAGATAATAATAATATCAACAATAAAATCAACACTTGGAAAGTAATGTAAGGTTGGGAGAAGATAGCTGTGTCAGAGGAGATATTTGGTAAGAACCAAAATTGCTGTGGTTTTGCCATCTAGAACTCAGGTAAATGGAGGAAACTAAATATTAAAAACTGGAAAAACAAAATCCGCAAAGAAATAAATTGGAAACTGCAGTCATAGTATGAGAAGGATTCAAACAACCTGGAGGAAATATAGGTCCACTTTGCTTTGGGGAGGAGAGTAGATGAATTCTTGGCTAAGTCTTCCTGGTTTTAGAACTTTGTTCATTGCCACTCTTTCCACTCAGAAACAATGTTTGAAAAACTGCTTTTTTGATGTTATAATTTGCCTTTATTTATCACTTTGACTTTGCTACTTATTTCTGCGCTCAAAAATACCTTTTCATAGCCTTAACTTGGAAACTGCATTTATTCATATGCTATAAGCTAGAAACGATGGGATGGGGAGAGATACTGGAATGAAATGATGAATAAAATGAAGGTGATCCAAACTTTTTACAGTCTATGGGAAGGCATGGAACTGATTACAATAAAGTGTGACAATATCTATGTATAATAAAGGCAGCACAGGATGGCATGGCAACACATGGTATGGGCACCTAGTCCAAGATGAGATATCCAGAAAAGATTCTCAGAGAAAGGGGAAGTTGTTTGATACATAAAATATGGGTATGAGGCAGCTAAAACAAGAGAGCTAACATGGAGGCTTAGGGCAAAAGCTTTCAGGCAGAGAGATTAGCAGGCGTAAGGCCCCAGAGCAAAGAGGGAACAATAGAAGTTCTAACTATAGTCATGCTTTGCTTAACAGTAGGGATACCTTCCAAAAAAATGAGTCGCTAGATTATTTCATCATTGTGCAAACATCATAGTGTGTACTTACACAAACCAAGATGGTATAGCCTGCTACATACCTAGGCTATATGGTACAGCCTATTGCTACACACACCTAGATGGTATAGCCTGCTACATACCTAGGCTATATGGTACAGCCTATTGCTACACACACCTAGATGGTATAGCCTGCTACATACCTAGGCTATATGGTACAGCCTATTGCTCCTAGGCTACTGACCTGTACAGTATGTTATTATACTGAATACTACAGGCAATTGTAATACACTGGTATTTGTATATCTAGACATACCTAAACACAGAAAAAAATGCAGTAAAAATACACTATAAAAGACAATTAAAAAAAAAAGGTGCACCTGTGTAGGGCACTTACCATAAATGGAGATGGCAGGATTGGAAATTGCTCTGTGTGAGTCAGAGTGTGAGTGATGAGTGAATGTGAAGGCCTAGGACATTACTGTAGACTTTATAAACACTGTACACTTAGGCCAAATTTATTTTTAAAATTTCTTTCTTCAGTACTAAATTAACTTTAGCTTACTATAACTTTTTCACTTTGCAAACATTTTAATTTTTTAACTCTGACTCTTTTGTTATAATACTTAGCTTAAAACACAAACACATTGCAAAGCTCTCCAAAAATACTTTCTTCCTTTATATTCTTATTCTATAAGGTTTTTCCTATTTATAAAGCATATTTTTACTTTTTAAACATTTTTATTAAAAACTAAGGCAAAAACACACACATTAGCCCAGGTCTATATAAGGTCAAGATCATCAATATCACTATCTTTCACCTCCACATCTTTTCCCACTGAAAGATTTTCAGAGGTAGTAACACGCATGGAGTGTTACTTCTTTTGGAATACCTCCTAAAGGAATTGCTGAAGGCAGCTTTACATTTAACGTTGTTGTTTTTTTTTTTGTAAATAGAAGAAGTACACTCTAAAATTACAATAAAAAGTATAAGCCAGTAACATAGTTGTTTATGTACATTACCAATTATTAGGTGCTGAACCTAATTGTATATGTTAGACTTTTATGCAACTGGCATCACAGTAGGTTTATTCACACCAGCATCACCACAAACATGTTAGTGATGTCTTGTAATATGACATGACAATGACGATGTCATTAGACAATAGGAATTTGTCAACTCCATTATAACATTATGGGACCACCTTCGTATATGTGGGCCATAATTGACCAAAATGTCATTAATGCTACACGTAAGTGTACTGGATAAAGTAAGGGAAGTTGGGTCACATCTGATAAAGGATTAGGCAGGAGGCAATCATGTGGAAGCTTAAAAACTGAGATATAGAATTATTATTTTCTCCATGGGATAAAAGATTAAGTTACTTTGAGTAGGTTCTCAGGTCAGCATTCTTGCTAGGCTTGTACCAATTTTGTTACTAGAACCCATAAAAAGATGGTGTTTCACATGGGACTATGTCCTGTAGAGTTTTAAAAGCCAAGTAATGGATCTTTATCCTGCAGGCAATGAAGGGGAGAGATTCATTAAATATTTGTGAAAAGAAATGTGACATGTTAATGATGTTTTAATGCATATATTCAATAGCAATGCTAAAAAATAATGGCAAGAAGAAAGCAGAGAAAAGTAGAAAAAAAATTATATGATGAAAACAATGTCCATTAAGTGGTATAGCAATTGATACGATGTAAATTGAGTGCAATTTGAGGGCAGTAGCCCCTTAAAGATTGGTAATTGCTATGGTCTGAATGTTTGTTTCCCTCCAGAATTCATGCTGAAACTTAATCCCCATTGTGAAGGTATTAAGAGGTGAGGCCTTTAAGAGGCTATTGGGTCATGAGGTCTCTGCCTTCAGCAATGGGATTAGTACTTTTATAAAAGGTCTTGAGGGCCAGGCGCGGTGGCTCACACCTGTAATCCCAGCACTTTGGGAAGTCGAGGTGGGCGGGTCACAAGGTCAAGAGATTGAGACCATCCTGGCCAACATGGTGAAACCCCATCTCTACTAAAATACAAAAAATTATCAGGGCGTGGTGGCGCATGCCTGTCCTCCCAGCTACTCAGGAAGCTGAGACAGCAGAATTGCTTGAACCTGGGAGGCGGAGGTTTCAGTGAGCCGAGATCGCGCCACTGCACTCCAGCCTGGGCGACAGAGCAAGACTCCGTCTCAAAAAAAAAAAAAAAAAAAGGAAAGAAAAGAAAAGGTCTTGAGGGAGCCTGTTTGGCTCCTTTTTGCCTTTCCACCATGGTAGGACACAGTACTGGTCTCTTCTTCTGTGTGAGAATGCAGTAAGAAAGTGCCATCTTGTAAGCAGAGAGTAGCTCTCACCAGATGTTGAATCTGTTGTTGCCTTGCTCTTGGACTTCCCAGTGTTCAGAACTGTAAGAAATAAATGTCTGTTGTTTATAAATTATCCAGTCTAAGGTTTTCTATTATGATAGCCCAAACTAAGACAATAGTGTACTTATGAAATTCCCTTTCTCTAATTCCAATTAAACCTACAACATAATCATTTTTGACCATTTAAGATAGATTAAGTTTTATAATTTTGCCTTTGTCACATCTGTCTAGCAATTTTGGAGAACAATGTGTACAAAATCCATAATTTGATATTGTATAAAATTAGGCAAATATATAAAGGTGATTGCAATTTTGAAATACATAGATTCTTTACAGAAGATGATTAATTATAATGTATAAGTAGGCAAATTTAAAGAGCACCTGCTAGAATACAAAACCTTATTTCTAGTCAATATTAGCCATTTTAACTAACTTAACTCTGTTCTTCCTTTGGCAAAAGAATGCCTAGTTGCAGCTCCATGAAAAACAGCACAGATTTATTGCCACACATATTTCTTACTCTAACTCTTCCTTGAAACATTAAGATTGCAGGCATCAACATCGGGGGTAAAGGATATTAGCTACTCCAGGTGTGTCAAAAGATGCAAACAGTCCAGATGCTCTATTCTAAGTCCTGTTTTTATTTAAGGCTGCTGGCTTTCACAGGTAAAATTATGGTGGCCTGAGGCTGTTGTATTTTTTTTTTACTCACTTCATAGTCCAATTAAAGAATTTTTTGAGAATTATTTAACTCTTTTTTTTTCTTTTTTTTGAGATGGAGTCTCACTCTGTCACCAGGCTGGAGTACTTTTATACTCCAGCTCACTGCAATCTCAGCTCACTGCAACCTCTGCCTCCCAGGTTCAAGCGATTCTCCTGCCTCAGCCTCCTGAGTAGCTGGGACTACAGGCACGTACCACCACGCCCAGTAAATTTTTGTATTTTTAGTAGAGATGGGGTTTTACCATGTTGGCCAGGATGGTCTTGATCTCTTGACCTCATAATCTGCCTGCCTCAGCCTCTCAAAGTGCTGGGATTACAGGCTATTCAACTCTTTCTTAGTCTTGCCAACTGAACTAACTCCAATAGGTGCCATGTATCAAAAGTTGACACTCTAACTTGATATACTATTTGGATAGAAAATGAGTGGAGAGAGGAAGATACTGGCAACATTGTTGGGAAATGATGTGAGAAGAAAGGGAACCTATGCTGACACTCAAAATTCTTTTTGAGGAAGGGAGGCCGTGACCACTTACATGGTAATTATGTTCTCACTCAGAATCATGTTCATCCTCCAGTCTTCTCCTTCTACCCTCTAAGTCTCACTCCCTCCCTCCCAACTCCTTTCTTTCACCATTCACTCTCTCTAATACCTGCCTGCTGGTTTTCATACATAGCCGCAGCCCCAAATTTGTGACTCAGCATTGCCACTTTCTTGGTGGTGATTCCCACCCACAGCTCTTAGTCATGTTATTCTAAGTTGTTGTTTTCTAGTTGAGTATTGCCCTAGGAATTCTTCTTTATGCAAATGTTTAGATTGTTCATTTAATCAGCATAGCAGTCTGACAACTCTCAGCAGTTTGCAAATTTGAATTCCGAGATTCAAAGTAATTTATAATCCAATGTAGCATGTATCTCGGTGTGTTAAGAAATAATATAACATGGCAAGACCATTTTAAAAGAATCAAATGATAATTTAGGCATAATAATGTAGATATTTCTATGTATTTATTTCTGTTGTCATTGGCATTCCTGACATATATAGTCTTCTTGCAAAGGATCAAAGAATGCAAGAGTACTTTAGCACTTTGGCCTAAAGATTTATTTGACAAAAACATGTGCTTTTAAATTACTGCCATGTTCTCCTCAGATGGGTAGTGTTTGTCTTCTTTGCATTTTGTGTTTAGTGTTTCATTTCAGTATTAAAGTTTCCATGCTTAAATTCATCTCTAGATAAAATCTGTGTGCAGTTGGAGGGGAAACGTTTAAACAATAAGCATTCTAATAGTTTCATGGTCTGATAATCATGTGCAGTTGTTAAGATTGCAGGAGGCAAACTCAAAAATCATTTCCCAAACTCAACAGTCTGGGATATTATTTTGTTTACTTAGCTAATGCTGTTATTGATCAACTTCTCTAAACTCACTGCAAGGTTTTATTTGATATTGGAAAACCTGACCGCTAACCACATGAAGTTAAAATCTGCATTCTTGTTAAAGGGAGGACATATACCCTCAGTGGAGCTAGTTAGAGGAAGGGGAATTGAGCAGGGGGAGATCTTTCCTGAAAGTGAGAGGGCTTAATTTATGCCCAAGAACCACAGAAAGAGCTCCAAAATGGTGGCATGGCTCCAAAACACCACAATAGCTATGTGAAAGATTTCATTATAATTTTTTTGTTGTTGTTGCCGTGAACACTCTATATTTCCCCACATATTTTGTATATGTAGACATTTCATGGAATGGCTTTGGCAGACAGCCACATCAAGAGATTGAGCTCCACATTGAGGGTGAGCACAAAGCTTAAGAAGGAGATTACACCAACAGATGGGCACTATAATGCTGTCTAAGCTTGGCTGGAGGGGAGACACCAGGCCAGACATTCTTAGGAAACTGCAAAACCCTGGAATTTTTGGAAATTACAAGACCTTGAAATGTTCCCAAAGTCTTAGAAAAGACATGAGGCATCTCATAGAATGGAGGGCAGGGAGTGGGTAAACTGGTCTTGCTGTTTTTTATTATCATTACGTATGATGACCTCTGTTAGTATTCAAGTTATATATCATTTTTGTGTTTATTCCCAATGATGTTTTAGAACAAAAAAATGTAAAGACTGTCACTTCATGAGTTTTCTCCTTTATGTTTATTTTTCTGTTCATGTTTACTCGAATCTATCTATGATTGTTTAAAAATGTGTCAGTGCTATTTGTTTGAATAGTTCTTCTGGATATTCAAAACTCTTCAATCATTCCATTATTCTTATTTATTTTTTTTTCTGCTCCCCTGCTCCTTCTTTCCACACTATTTGTATTATCCAAAGCATATAGCTTGGCAGTGTTCTTTCCTGAAGTCCCAGTTGACAATAAGTACATACAATTAGCCACTTATTTGCTGATTTAATTCTACTCACTGGAATTAAAGTTTGTAAATTTGCTTTATGTTCAAAATTTTTAAAAAACTTTTTAAGTTATTTTATATTGTGAGAAGTTATTAGATAACTTTAAACCTGCATATTATAAAATAGCTTAACCATCATAGGCAGTATTTCCAGGGTACAGGCAGGGTTCCATTAAACTTGTGAACCTAGACAACCTTTAAAAAAATAGATCACACCTTCCCAAAGTGAACCTGATACTGACTTTGACATCAAGTGGACCATAGAAACACAGACTGATGGAGCTAGCAGGAAACTAAGAGATCATGTAATCCAATTTTTTAGATAAAGATATTGAGTGGTTACTTGTCTCAAGCTACACAGTTAATTAATGAAACAGTTTAGGCCGGAAACTGTGTTATCTGACTTGCAACAAAGGAGGTGAACAGGGTTTAGTAGAATCACTGGGGTTCTTTGGAAGAACTTTATCCATTTTCCTTCTTATTATGATCCTATGATATAAGTGATATTAACCAACAGGCATTAGGTGGGCACTTACAGTTCAAGTTCCAATAAAAGCACTCTGGTAAATTTTTTAAATTATACCAAAAGAGTTCCCAAAATGAATATGTTATTTAAACTTGCTTACAACTTCCCATGATTGTTACTTTAAAAGAGAGACTATTACCTTTTGGAAACATTAATTATTGTATATTTAATAAAATTAGTCACATAAACCTACAGTAATAGCTCATGAGATAGCATACACTGAAACCATATCCTTAGATCATCTTGTTAAATGGGCCCTCCAAGTGAAGGAAAATGTTACTTGCATCTTAAGCAGTGCTGTGGCATGTCATTTTGGAGCAAATTGTTCATCTACAAGATGATAGCCTATAAGATGCCAATGCAAAGTCAAGTAAACACTTGTTAACTCCCAAGTTAGTGGGTCTTGTTCCACACAACAGTTTCTGACACAGAGCCCTAGAATGAGAAGAATCTGAGAATGCAGTATGCAAGGATATCATTCATGGAACTGACCATATTGCATCCTTGGAAGGCCTTCATTGATGCGTTCAGATTATGCAAAAGAAGAAAATAAGTTATACACACACACACACACACACACACACACACACACACACACGGAAATTTGTTTGAATAGACAATTTACCTAAGACCAAAAAGCAGAAAGATCCAATCCTTCCATAGTACTATATAATTTTATTTGTCCTGGTTACTATTTTTCCCACTGTCAGATTCGTTGATCTGTATCATGGGTTCCCTTTGCCTCAGTCCTTTGCTTGTTTTGACGCTATCTACGGTGCTTACCTCCAACCTTGAAATCAATTTTTCTGGACTAATCGAGCCTACAGTTTCATAATGATGTGGAGTCTCTTGTATAAACCAGGTACTTCTCTGCTCTCTTGCCACTATCTCTGTACAGACCTAAAGTTAAATGAGGCAATCCTCTCTTCCATTCTCCTCCACTGTGCTGTCCTATGTCTTACTCTCCCAAGACTCTTTCTGAACCCAGTTTCTCTGTCATAGCTCCTGATTAAGTACATAACCAAACAGAAGTTACTGTCATGAGAAGAAGTGTTTGGTACAGTGAAAGGATATTGAGCCGGGTGTTAGAAAGTCTGGTTTCCCATATGGGTCTAATGCTGAGCCATGTGACCTTTACCAAGTCATGTGAAATCTTAGAAATGTTTTCGCATTTACAAAAATTAAGATAATGTCATATTCTTTATATTACCCTCAGAAGATGATCACAAGATTTACATGAGGTAATAATGTGAAATATCCATGGAAAATAATTGTAAGAATCCATATTTGCAAGGTATTTCATGTTGTAGTCAAAATAGTCAATAATTATTATGCTCTTTCTTGGAGTTTTCTTAATTCTATCAGATGGAAGATGAAGTTTTAATATAATCTCAGAGCAAACTATTTATTCACCTGGTAAATAAATGAATACTAAAATAAAGACGTTGCCCTGAGAACTTAAAAGTTTAGAGTTAAACTTAGAAGTTAGACATGTTGGGACTAGGAAACATAATAATTAGAAAGTAAGAGAAAATCAGGTATTATACACTGCTTTCTCTTCTTTTCTAGGAAAACGGCATTTCATCTCTTAGGAAAATAGCCACTGTGTAGGTGTGAAGAGAAGCAGTCTTTCAGACTGAAAAAAAAATGAACAAATATGAAATTGAAAGAAAGGTAAAAAAAAATCTCATAGCATTAAGAAGAAACACAGGAAGGGAAGCAGAAGATAAAAAGGAAGGAAAGAGGGAAAGAGGAAGGAAGGAGGGGAGGGAAGAAGAAAGGGAAATGAAAGGGTAAGTGGGACAAAAGAAGAAGAGAAGGAAGAAAAGCAAGAAAGGATGAAGGAAAAAGGAGAAAATGAGGGAAGGAGGAAAACATAAGCTATGCATTAATAAATTGAGTCACTGGAGTCACTCAACTTTTCTAGACTTGATTTCTTTAACAAATAAAAGGACTTGGACTAGAAGATAGCTAAGATCTTTTCAAAAATTGGAGGAAGTTCTTCCCTTTTAATTCTCTTTTTCAACTCCATGGAGCCATGAGCTACTCACTTTGTGAAATCAAAAGCTAGAAAAACACTATTATGAAACCTCACTCTGCAATATATTTTGTGGCAATGAAAAGAAAAAGACAGTCAAGGATACTTCTGCTATACAGGAGGGTTATATAGAAAACACTTTTTGAACTTATTAAAAATTATCAAGTCTTTCTACACAAGGCTAATGTGTTGAATGTGGCTGTTGAAGCTGTCTGTTAACCATTAAACTAAATAGAACACCATTTCATGCCTGACTTCCTTCAGCTATATGAAGATTGCTGTGGCATGTTAGAAGAGGTAGTGAGAACTCAAGGAAATAAAAAGTTCCTCTTTGTGATTGTTGACAGTCTCCTCTGATTTAAAATTCTTTTAAAAAGAGTACCGATTCCTGACTCCTGGAAGCAGCACATTTTCACAGATGACATTGTCTACTTGGGTGATAGCACAATTGTTTGTCTTCCTCACAATAAAAAGGATGGAAATAAAATGAACTGGTAACACAGAGCTTCACAGATATTATTATCTGTGATAATACACTGGTCTTGGGAAGCAGGCAGTTTAATGAACAACTCTTTTGATTTCACAAGGCCAGTTTGACCCAAAAGAAAACTGAAAATCAGGTAGGACAAAAATTCCCTCTGTCACTCCAAGGCTTCAGTTTTAATCTCTCTTTCCTCAACTTTTCTTCCCCTTTACTCCTTTTGTTTCTTAGAAGCCAATAATATCTTATCCTGGTTTCTTCTGTCTTACTCTGATTTCTTTTATCATGAAGTTTATAACTCATTAAGACTGAAGTGTTAAGAACATACTTTGTGGTCTCTCCTGAGATTATCTGATTGCTAAACAGAATACCAGCAAAAAGCAATGGGGTAAACGCAACATGACATAATAAATGTACATAGGACTAGAATCAAGGAGTTCTGCCTTAGCTTTGTGGACAAGCAGCTGTATGGCCCTGGGCAATTCACTCCTCTAGGCCTTAGTTATTTCAAATGAAATATGATCTAGAATACTTTATAATTCAGAAATCAATCCTTTAAGGCAGAGTTTCAGGACTCAATGGAGGAAAACATGGGAACATTTGGAAAAACTTGAGCAAGTCTCATTTCATTTCTACTATCATGACACAGGCCTTTATATTCTCTCACAGATGAGGCAGGTTGAGTAGAAGCAAATATAAGCATTATCACTTACTTGCAAATATAAGATAATCCTTTTTATAACATCAACCTAAAGGTGACCCATGACTTAGCAACATCACTACGTGGTTGATGCATGGGCCACCTTTATCTCCCTCAGGAACAGCTGGTATCACTGGCTGAAAATAGTACAAGTGTCCACTCTTCTTTCATTTTCTCTTGGCAGTGCTAGTAAATCACTTTAAGCATGATTCCTGCTGAGCTTACCTGCACCTGACAAAGTAATGGGACAATATAATACAGTGAGTCCATTGTGGGTGTCCTACAAATTAAACAAAATATAAGTTGATTTTGCAAGTCCATTTAAATAAGGCCAATGAACTCCTCTTTATCTCTTGAGAGAGGTTAATCTTAGGATAAATGGCTGGCAGGAGTAAGAGAGCATTCCCAGGGTGTATCTCAGGAGACAATGAACTGTGGACTAGCAATTAGAATAGTCAGGGTACACAGTTTTCTGTGCACAGCGACACAGAAAAAGATATTTTCCACTGCCAATGGGAATTTAATCCCAAGACTATGTCTGATATTTGGGAAGACATAGGGGATTTTTATATTTGAAACTCGTTAATATTTAGTGACTTTTAGATGCAGATCTGACAACTAGTGCCCATGAGCAGGGCTGATACTGTTGGTTGTACAATGTATGCACTGTACACAGGCACTCAGTCCTGTGTCAAGGAGGAAGCAGATGAGACTTTAAATCTAGTCAATACTGTACTCACCAAGTTCTGCATCTTGGTATAAGGTTGTATCTGCCCTGGTGATGGAGGATCATGTACCTCTCTAATTGTACAAAGATGCCATATAAGTTAACAGGAGCCCTGCCCCTCAGAATCACTTGGGAAGCTTGTTTGTCAGGTAGACTGGTTTATTCTGTGTGTATCTTAGACACCTACAGGAGTCCTCTGCTTATCCATGGTTTTTCTTCCCACGGTTTCAGTTACCTGTGGTAAACTGCAGCTTATAAATATTAATGAAAAATTCCAGAAATAAACACTTTCTAAGTCTTGAATTGTGAATCATTTTGAGTAGTGTGATGAAATCTCACAAAGTCCTTCTCCTTTCCACTCCATCCCGCCTGAGATGAGAATCGTCTGTGTCCAGCATATCCATGCTGTCTATTCTATCTGCCCGTTAGTCACTTAGTAGCTGTCTCATTTATCAGATTAACACTGTAGGTATCTCAGTGTTTGTATTTAAGTAACCCTTATTTTACTTAATAATGTCCCCAAAGCACAAGAGTAGTGATGCTAGCAATTCAGATATGCCAAAGAGAAGTTGCTAAGTGCTTTCTTTACATGAAAAAGTGAATGTCCTCAACTTAATAAGGAAAGAAAAAACATCAAATGCTGATGTTGCTAAGATCCACATAAGAACAAATCTTCTACTATCCATGAAACTGTGAAGAAGGAAAAAGAAGTTAATGCATAGTACATATTGTCTCAGTCCTATTCATAGTTTCATGCATCCACTGAGGGTCTTGGAATGTACTCCCTGTGGACAAGGCAAGACCTTGTCCACAGGGAGTACCCTTGTTTAGACCTACTGAGTTAGACTCTTCAGAAATGTCGTCCATGTGATTATTGTTTGAAGAGCTATGCAAATTACTCCAAGAGGCAGCCAATTTTGTCAACTACTTACTCACAGCATCAACCGATACATTTTCTCAACACTGCTATTTCCCTAACACATAGTCATACAGGTAAGTAATATCTCTCAATCTCTATCTGTATCCCTATTATCTCTATATCCATCTACCTTCTACTTCCAGGAGCCCAGGACATTACTATCTGCCAAGAACCAAAGATACAAAATTAGGTTACTCTAGAAAATATGCTCCTCTGATGAGAATAATAAAAGTATCAGGATTGTTTTTCTCTTTGCAGCTCTTCTGCCTTCTCCTCATCCTTCTTTCAGAGTGGTGCAATGCTATTAGATTTGCATTCTTTTTGAGAGGCACATCGTACCATAAAGAGCTTAGTATGAGAGAAGAACCTAGGGAAAAACCATTATGGCTGTACGCTCTATTCTGTCTCTCATCCTGACTTTGAAGAAACAAGTAGAAGAAGTTCCTGAAGTTTTAGCTCTTTAAAGGGATCCTCAAAACAAGAGAGTCCAGAAGGAATGCAGAACATTGCTGGAATGCAAAACTGTGCATCTACATGTAGCAAGTCCTCAGGAAACCAATTATGCCAACAGGAGAGTATATTGAACAGATCTGATTGAATCTGCAAAATGAAAGTCTAATGATCTTGTAAATCCTTGCTGAATACACTTCTTGCTTCCAAATACTCACTAGCACAATTCCCCATGTCAAAAGCTTCCTACTGATCAGTGTAGAGTTAAATAAATCATCGTAGATCTTTGTGCTTTTCAAAATTTCCAGACACAAGTGGTCACACTACTAAAATACTTATATACTTTTTTAAGTATCAAATAACTTGACATGACTCATTTCATTGTTCTCTTTGGCTTCATCTATCATGTCCATATAGAGGATTCCCAAGCATTTCATCTTAGACATACCTCTGTCATGGATTACAGTCTTATATGTCTTCTTACAGAAGAAGTGGACATTCTCATCTATGTGTCTTTAACTCAGCATATCTAAAAGCTGAATTCATCATCGTCACTCTCAAAATATTTCCAAGTTTATATTCTCTAGCTGTGAGACAATATGTTTTCTTGTTACTCCTCCCAGAATCCCAGTTAAATTTTACTGTTTTTTCTCTTTATCCTTTCTACATCTAATGAGGATTCAAGACATGTCCTCTACAATGGTATTTCCTAAATCCATTTCTTTACTTCAATTCTCAGTACAAGTGCCTCTATCCAATTTTTGCTAACTTCAAGCTCAGACTTCGATAACTATGCCTAATACATTTTCTTGCTTTCAGACTCTCAATGATCTAATGTATTTTATACAGCAATAGGTAATTAGTATTATTAAAGCAGACCCTTCTACTGTAAGAAACAACAACAACAATTTTTGGAAACTTTTGAAGTTCTCTATGAAGTTCATTCCAGAAGAGTTGGAACTACCTTTCTAACTTTACCCTACACAAAATTTTTCACATTACTTAAAATTTTCCAAACATGAGTAACATTTTTCTACCACTACACTCTTCCACTGCTTTCACTCATTGACCTGCCCTTTCTGTGTCTGTCTTCTCTATTGAAGTCCCTTTTATCTTTTAATACCAAACTTCATCCTTTCTCCACTGTACTTTTCTTAATCATCTCAACCAGAATGGGCCTTCTCTGGCCTCTGCACTTAGTTCTTATCTTACCAATTGCATGTATGCATTGCTTTGAAATGCAGATATTTATGTATATCACATCTTTCTTACAGGGTTTTTCAGATCAGCATAAATGGAATTTCCCAAAAAGTAGAACAGACTAGAAATAGAACTGGCCCCTAAAGAAGGAAAGGAGTTACAGATCACTGGAGTTATTCACAAACAGAAGCAGAGGCTATAAGTGCTTATGATAGAAATGTTCATGAGGCCATTTAAGAATCATGTAAAAGTGACACTAGATTATCTACAATAAAATACATTATACATTGATGTTAAAGTTATATTTTGCTGACTATAAGAAGTAAAAAGAGTTCTTGTATTTTAAAATGTATACTGAATGTCAATTACACATAAGAGATTATACTAGGCATTTTAGGTGAGTAGTTAAAAACATAGATCTTTTCATTTGCTTTTCCTTTTGTAGAAAAGGCAAGACTCCAATAATATGGTAGAGTAGAGAGTTGCATTGATCCTGCCACTGACACAGTAAAAATCCTGGATTATAACTACAAATACAAATACATACACAGTTTCTAAAATTCATCCAAGATGTCACAAAAGTGTAAGATACTCTTATGCAAAAAGAAAAGAGTAAAATAAGAACTCAAAGAATTAAAAAGAGAACTTGAAGTCGGCTTTTACCATTTGCCAATTTGCTGAACTTTAGATCCTATAGATGGATCTTATAGACTGAACAGAAAACAACAAGTCCAGAATCTACCCTAGTTTAGAATCTAAAAGGAGGTGCCCACACAACTACATCCACACTGTAAGTTGGCATGGTAACCAAACCCTTTTCCCATCCACCTTGAGGGTAAACACTTATCAGCACTGATGAAGAGCAGAATGGAGAAAATACTCACTGAAACCAGGATGTGCAAATCAGCCCTTACATAGATTTATATCCCAAATTCATACCATTCATGAATCATAAATACCTCAGGCAAAAACTTAACTCTGAGTAGCACTAGACTGGTAGTGCCTTCAGATATCCAATAAAAGCAAAAGCAAATCTTCTTTGGAAGAAACAATCTTCATCTAAGGCCTCAAATAATTTCCTCCAAGAAATATTTAAAAGACAAAAGTTCATTTTTTTTTTTTTTTGAGATGGAGCCTCGCTCTGTTGCCCAGGCTGGAGTGCAGTGGCACGGTCTTGGCCCACTGTAAGCTCCGCCTCCCGGGTTCACACCATTCTTCTGCCTCAGCCTCCCGAGTAGCTGAGACTACAGGCACCCACCACCACGCCCGGCTAATTTTTTGCATTTTTTGTATTTTTAGTAGAGACGGGGTTTCCCCGTGTTAGCCAGGATGGTCTCGATCTCCTGACCTCGTGATCTGCCCGTCTCGGCCTCCCAAAGTGCTGGGATTACAGGCGTGAGCCACTGCACCCGGCCAAAAATACATTTTTTAAATATACAAGATACCATGAGCAAGAACCAGCAGAAATGAACAGAGGGTTTTAAAAGAACTGTAAAGATTTCAGATCTAGAAATAACTAGAATGAGTTTACAGAATAACTATTTACTTTTACAGTAACTTTGATATCTAATGTAAGACTATGGTAGAATGAAGATTATGGTGAATTACCACCCCTAAAAGCAATAGTCAAATTGGTCCAAATGGTCAAAACAACCATTTTGCTGCTCTGGCAATTTATCAAAGAAAAACAACAAAACCTGAGCATTGGCTAGTCATGAGAAGTTGCTAGAACTTTGAGTAGGAGCTGCAGAGTCTACAATTCTTTTGCATGGAGCTGCTGCCATCCACCCTCTACCACCTCCTGCAACAAAAACAGTAGAGTTACCAGCGTGGGCTGGCCAGGAAAACTAGGGCTGTGTCTTCCAGCAAGGGTAGGCCCAATTTTAAATGGAGGGTGAACATGCACAGTAGTGTTGTCAGTGAAAGTAACAAACTTGCTACCAAACAAATGAGAAAAACCTACAGTTCTGCGAGCCAAAGTTTATGATGCTGATGGGGGTGGGCAGTGGGCCATCATATATTTAATGGGGTGATCCTGTGAGAGCCACAGAAGAGATGAGATAAGCTCTTCACACATTCCTGGTTGACTAGGTTTGTCCAGTTAGCAAAGTGCGTATATATCAGGCAAAGAAATAAAAAGAATGATCTACACCGCTCAGGGAAAAATCAGCCATTATAAATTTAACTGCAAGGGGACACAAATAATGAATTTAGCAGGCAAAGATTTTAAGCAATTATCATAAATTTAGTAAAAGAATTAAAGAAAACTATATTGAGTGAATTAAAGGAAAGATGTGATAACAACAACTTAAGTAACAGGAAGTTTCAATAAAGAAATAGAAGCATACAAAACCAAATGTACATTCTAAAGTCAAAATAAAATATAACCAAAAGCAAAATAACTAGGCAGTAGGTAAAGTAAAAAATAACTGCTTAATTTTAAGACAAAATAAAATGCAAGCTTGAATATGTGCAGAGAACAAACATCCTTGAAGAAAAACACAGAAGATTTTTTTTATTTTATTTATTTTTTTTATTATACTTTAAGTTTTAGGGTACATGTGCACATTGTGCAGGTTAGTTACATATGTATACATAGTGGGTGCAGCGCACCAGCATGGCACATGTAAACACAGAAGATTTTGCAGCAGCAAATAGAAATTGCAGAAATTAAAAAATACATTATTTGAAACTTAAAACATTAGTGTGCAAAACAGAAGAGAAAATTATCAAAGTGGAGCGGGGATCTGAGAAATTATCAGGAATAAAGTAAAAGGAGGCAGAATGATGGAAAATATAAAAGGACTCTAAGATACACAGAGGCTAAAGAGAAAAATATCTATGTTTATTCCAGAGAAGAAAAGAAAAAGTGGCAGAGACAATATTTTAATAAAAATGGCTGAGAATTCTCCAGAATCGAAGAAAGACATCTATATGTGTGTGTATGTGTACCTATATGTGTTTGTGTGTGTGTGTATCTATATATATCTTTAACAAATCTAATGAATACTAAACAATATAAACATAATAGAATAAAAACACAAAACTCCAATGATAAAGAGAAAAAACAGCTAGGGAGAAAGAGAGAAAGAGAAATTATCTTCCAGGAAATAACACATTGACAGCTGACATCTCATTGGCAAAACTAAAAGTTAAACACAGTGGAATAATATCTTCAATATGCCCAGAGAAAAAAGGAATGTCAACCAAAAGTTCTATGCCGAGTAAAAATATCTTATCATAGCAATATGAAGATATTTTCTGAAACATGTAAGCTGAATTTACATCAACAGATCCTGACTAAAGATAAATAAATAAATAGTAAATAGTATATAATGAGCAAAGTGATAACAGATGGACAATCAAATCTGAGATGAAAAAAATGATGGACACTAATGTGATAAATTTGTTAGTGAATTTAAACAAACATTAACTGCTTAACATAGTCATGTTTGATGATATTGGCTTATAAAATGCACAAAGTCTCATGCCTGTAATCCCAGCACTTTGGGGGGCTGAGTCGGCCAGATCACCTGAGGTCAGGAGTTTGAGACCAGCCTGGCCAAAATGGTGAAACCCCGTATCCGCTAAAAATACAAAAATTAGCTGGGTGTGCTGGTGCATGCCTGTAATCCTAGCTACTTGGGAGGCTGAGGTAGAAGAACTGCTTGAATCCAGGAGGTGGAGGTTGCAGTGAGCTGAGATTATGCCACTGCACTTCAGCCTGGGAGACAGAGTGAGATTCCATCTCAGAAAAAGAAAAAAAAAGTACAAAATCACTAGAGGATAAGTCAGGAGATGGCTAAAAGTAGTTTATATGTTTTTAAGTCCTCTATTATTTAGAAGGATGCTAATGATACTGAACAATTTTAGACTTTTCCTAAGTAAAGTATGTTTCAATTTCTAGGGTAACTACTAAATAAATCAATACAATACTTCCCAGCTGCTAGCAGCAAACATGAAAGGAAAAAATTAATCTCAACAATTCCAAAAAGCAGAAAGGAAGGAAAACGTGGCACAAAATATTTTGGCAATGGGAAGCTTGAAATAAGATGCTTGATCCAAATTCCAATATATCAAATATTATATTCCAATTAAAGTAATAAACAGTTAATTCAAAAAAATCAACCAAACTGAAAAGAATCCAACCACCTATGATTTGTAATAAGTTTAAAACTTAACGAAATAGGCCAGGCGCAGTGGCTGGGTAAACAGATAGGAATGTTTTTCCTATCACTATATACTTTTAAGCAAAAGCATTACTAGATATAGGTAGTTCATAATATTAATAACAATAAGTTAAATTCACCCATAAGTACAATAATTTTTTTATTATTATACTTTAAGTTCTGGGGTACATGTGCACAACGTGCAGGTTTGTTACATAGGTATACATGTGCCATGGTGGTTTGCTGCACCCATCAACCCGTCATCTACATTAGGTATTTCTCCCAGTGCTATCCCTCCCCTAGCCCCCCACCTGCTGACAGGCACCATTGTGTGATGTTCCCTTCCCTGTGTCCATGTGTTCTCATTATTCAACTCCCACCTATGAGTGAGAACATGAGGTGTTTGGTTTCCTGTTCTTGTGTTAGTTTGCTGAGAATGATGGCTTCCAGCTTCATCCATGCCCCTACAAAGGACATGAACTCATCCTTTTTATGGCTGCATAGTACTCCATGGTGTATAAGTGCCACATTTGCTTTATACAGTCTATCACTGTTCAGAATTTGGGTTGGTTCCAAGTCTTTGCTATTGTGAACAGTGCCGCATAAACATATGTGTGCATGTGTCTTTACAGTAGAATGATTTATAATCCCTGGGGTATATACCCAGTAATGGGATTGCTGGGTCAAATGGTATTTCTAGTTCTAGATCCTTGAGGGATCACCACACTGTCTTCCACAATGGTTGAACTAATTTACACTCACACCAACACTGTAAAAGCGTTCCTATTTCTCCACATCCTCTCCAGCATCTGTTGTTTTAATGAATGCCATTCTAACTGGTGTGAGGTGGTATCTCAATGTGGTTTTGATTTGTATTTCTCTAAAGACCAGTGATAATGAGCTCTTCTTTCATATTTTTGTTGGCTGCATAAATGTCTTCTTTTGAGTGTCTGTTCATATCCATAGCCCACTTTTTGATGGGTTTTTTTTTCAGAAGTGTCTGTTCATATCCACAGCCCACTTTTTGATTTAATGTTAAATCAACCTTTAATTTTTATGATAACCCAACTTGGTCATAGTTTTCATTCTTCTCATATCTTGTTATATTCAGTTCATTAACAATTTGCTTAGATAGTAGTTATGTTTCTAAGTCATTTTGGGCATATTTTTCATTCACATAATCTCCTTGCCAAGATTTTGTATCAAGCTAATTCTAGACCAGCAGCTCTCATCTGGGACTTATTTTTGCCTCCCAGGTTTTTTTTTTTATATTTGTTTAAGTTATTTGTAGATTCTGGATATTAGCCCTTTGTCAGATGGATAGGTTGCAAACATTTTATCCCATTCTGTAGGTTGCCTGTCCACTCTGATGATAGTTTCTTTGCTGTGCAGAAGCCCTTTAGTTTAATTAGATCACATTTGTCAATTTTGGCTTTTGTTGCCATTGCTTTTGGTGTTTTAGTCATGAAGTATTTGCTCGTGCCTATGTCCTGAATGGTATTGGCTAGGTTTTCTTCTAGGGTTTTTATGGTTTTAGGTCTTACGTTTAAGTCTTTAATTCACCTTGAGTTAATTTTTGTGTAAGGTGTAAGGAAGGATCCAGTTTGAGTTTTCTGCATATGGCTAGCCAGTTTTCCCAACACCATTTATTAAATAGGGAATCCTTTCCCCATTGTTTGTTTTTGTCAGGTTTGTCGAAGATCAGATGGTTGCAGATGTGTGGTGCTATTTCTGAGGCCTCTGTTCTGTTCCAGTGGTCTATATATCTGTTTTGGTACCAGTACCATGCTGTTTTTGTTACTGTGGTCTTGTAGTATAGTTTGAAATCGGGTATCGTGATGTCTCCAGCTTTGTTCTTTTTGCTTAGGATTGTCTTGGCTATGTGCACTCTTTTTTGGTTCCATATGGAATTTAAAGTAGTTTTTTCCACTTCTGTGGAGAAAGTCAATGGTAGCTTGATGGGAATAGCACTGAATCTATAAATTACTTTGAGCAGTATGGCCATTTTCATGATATTGACTCTTCCTATCCATGAGCATGGAATGCTTTTCCATTTGTGCCATCTCATATTTTCTTGAGTAGTGGTTTGTAGTTCTCCTTGAAGAGGTCCTTCACATCCCTTGTCAGTTGTATTCCTAGGTATTTTTTTCTCTTTATAGTAATTGTGAATGGGAGTTCACTCATGTTTTGGCTCTCTGTTTGTCTGTTATTGGTGTATAGGAATGCTTGTGATTTTTGCACATTGATTTTGTATCCTGAGACTTTGCTGAAGTTGCTTATCAGTTTAAGGAGATATAATCTGAAACTTAAAATTTAACTAATAATTCAGTCTCAATATGTATAGAAATAACTGAGATATCTTCAAGAAGAAATTGGCAATTCACAATCACAATGAGAGATAACATGTATTTTATATAAATCACAAAAAAGAGTTAATGATGTAGAAGACTTTAATAGTATAATTAGTATATACTGGAGCTACCGAGATATAGTTGATACTATACACCAGTTACGGAACACATAATATTTTCAAGCTCACTAAAAATGTATAAGTATAAATAGCATGCAACTATAAGAAAAACCAGAGGGAGAGCTATAGCCTTAAAATACTTATAGTAGAAAATATAACGTTTTAACTCTAGTGAACCAAGTATCTATCTTAAGAACTTTTAAAAAACAGAAAAATTAACCTTAAAAGGATAGTAAACAGGAAATAAACATAAGTAAAAAGACAATGAAATGGAAAATAAATATGCAAAAAAAGATCCACAGTTTTTTGAAAAACTGATAAAACAGAGAAACTTTAGTTATATTGACAAGAGAAGCAAACAAACAAAAACATATTAGGGACAAATGAAAAAATATGAAATATAAAAAGCAGACATCACTACAGGTACTGTAGATATTTAAAAGTTCTTAAGCTATAGAATAAACATCTTTAGACAATAAATTTTAAATATTAGATGAAACAAACAAATTATCAGGAAAATATGATTTACTAAAACTTCCCCCAAAAGAAACCTAACCTGTTCTATAACCATTAAAAAACAGAAGGTCAAACATATTTTCACAAAAAAACTCTTACGTATGCCATTCTAACTGGTGTGAGATGGTATCTTTATATGATATAGCCTCTATGTTTTCATTGGTGAGGTCTATAAAACATGTAATTTCAATTTTAGATTATGCAATTTTTATGAAGATAGAACAGTATTTCTCACTATTAACATTTTTGGCCAGATAATGATCTGTTTTGGAATGCTGTCCTGTACAATATAGGATATTTATCACCATTCCTGACTTCTACTCACTAAATGCCAGTAGTACCTTCACCACAAGTTGTGACAATCAAAAGTATCTCTGGGTATTGCCAAGTGATACCTGGGAGGCAAAAATAAGTCCCAGATGAGAGCTGCTGGTCTAGAATTAGCTTGATACAAAATCTTGGCAAGGAGATTATGTGAATGAAAAATATGCCCAAAATGACTTATAAATATAACTACTATCTAAGGCAAATTGTTAATGAACTGAATATAACAAGACATGAGAAGAATGAAAACTATGACCAAGTTGGGTTATCATAACAATTAAAGGTTGATTTAACATTAATTAATTTATGTTAGTTAAAATTAATATGAATTACTGAATACACAATTAAAAATGATTATAAGACCTCTTCAAAAAAATCTGGAGAAATATTTATTAGAGACCAACCTATATTCACAGTGAAAAAAATCTTGGTCAACTATGAAAAGGAGAAAATTTTTTACCCTGATACAGGTATCTAGAAAGGAAGGACAGAGACAGAGAGAGAAAGAAGAAGGAAAACCTCATAAAACAAATGTATTATTATGATTTATGTAGCTGCACTGAAAGCATTTTCTTTGAGGAAAATCCTTTGTGATATGACTTTTATCACAACTTCTATTTAGCCAGTATAACAATGAATTTAAAAAATTAAAATAAAAGGCATAAAGTCTGGAAAGAACAAAGGACAATTATTGGTAATATATTTGTTGTATTAAAAAGCCCAAAAGAGACTGCAAGTAAAATGTTGACATTAATAGGAAAATTTAACAAGCTTGCTGGCACAAAATTATTCCATTATTCCACAAGAAAATAAATTATATAACTATATGTTAAAAACAAATACCTAGAAAAAAAAGAAAAATCTAAAAATTAGCACTTAACAGTAGCATCAAAAATATGAAGTACCTTAAGACAAAACTACCAAACGTGTTGCAAACACTTTATGAAGAAAATTATAAAACCTGATTGAAAAACACTAAATGAGACCTAAAAAAAGGAAAATTCTCTGTTCTTGGATTCTACATTAGGAGATAAAATACTGTAAAGATTTCAGTTCTCTTCCATATTGACCTATAAGTTCACTGTTACTCTAATCTAAATTCCAACAGACTTAACCATGGAATTTGACAAATTGATCCTAAAATATATTTGTAAGGTCAAAGATCAAGAACAGACAAATGTTTTAAAGAGAGAGATTGAGGTTGGGGACTCATTATCTATCACAGCTCATTATAAAGCTATGGTAAATAAGGTTGAAAGAAGTTTCACCATATTGTGACACTGCCATCTGGACTTGTCTCAGAAGGAAAAGAACATGGAGAATTACAAGGTCTTTCAATGCTTCTGTCCAGAAATGAATGCCATTGTCCAAAGAAAAGACTAAGTCACATGGTCACATGCTTTTGCTTAGCTTTAAAGAGGTGAGGAATTGTGATCAGCCTTGTTGTCCCCTGAAAGAAGAGGTGTCCCGGAAATATTGATGGGCGCTAGTAACATCTATCACACCAAATGATGTCTAGTCTATGGATCAATGGGAACTGTCATACACTGCTGGAGAAGGTATAAATTGGTACAACTAATGTGATAAAAGTTTGGCACTATCTAGTTAAATGAAACATGCTCATGCCCTGCAATGCAGCAATCTCACCCATGGTTCTATACTATAGAATACTTCATGTGTACCAGGAGAAATTGCACGTGTGTCTACAGAATCATTGTATACAACAGCAAAAATTTGGTTTGGAAACAACCAAAAATTCATCCACAATATAATAGATAGTAAATTATGTATTCATGCACATAATTTCTATAGAGTAGTGAAAGTAAATGACCTAAGCCACCCAAATTAACGTGGATTAATATAATAAATACAACACTGAGGAAAGAACAATGCCTACAGCATGATTTAATTCCTATTAGGTGCATAAAAAACAGAACTGTTAAAATATGTAAATATACACAGTACATATATATGTATGTATACTTATATAATGATAGGAATATATTTATATTTTAAAATATATACATAAATTTATGTGCGTATATTTGTACATATTTAATAATTCATTTGTAAATATTTTCATTGGTAGAAAAGTTATCCAGAAAAGAAAGAGATTAATTATGACAAAGATCAGGATATCAGTTGTCTCTTGGGTAAAGGTAGGAGGATGTAAATGCTGATGCATGCGGGGGCTTCTGCATACTCTTAGTAATTTTTTTTTCTTACCTGGTTGTTCTTTGAAAGTTGTTTGATTTATTATTAATATTGTTCCTCTGTGTGCATATATGTATGTAAAAAGAAAATTTTAAATATGTGTAGGAAATATGTATTTTTTAATAGAGAAAATAATAATTGAGCAAGAAAAAGCACTAGGCAATATATTACAAATAATACCAAGTGAGAATATAGTCAATCTAAAAATGTCAGAGAAGGGTGAGATGATTATGAGTTGCATTGGGCCATGGTTGTATTCATGAAGGAGCTAGGACTTGGTTGAGGCATTTAAGTAGGATAAAATTCTAATAAGTGGGGGAAAATGGGGAGCTTGTTAAATGGAAGTAACATAAGAAGGAAAAGGCTGAAAGATAATTTGGTAGATAGTGAAAAAGCAACACAGGCTTGAGTGTTTGCTTGTGTAGGGTAGTGGCATTGTCTTGTTTTCTTTTTATCCATCAGTCATTAATTACACTTCTTCTCAGCAAAGTATACATGAGGGTGGTACAAAGTATGTGTCATTGCAAAGGTATGTGGGTTTTCACTTATTCCTTAAGCTAAAAATATAGATGGCAAAAAGTGTAATATTTTCCCTCAAAATATGCAGAAGATAGGCAAAGTAGAATTAGAGTATTAGAACAGGATGAAAGAGAACCTCAGAGTCTTTCTAAAATCTCTGAAATCACATTGTAGCAATGAAAACACCAGAGTGATGGGAAGCATGGGCAGTGCAGGGAGGTGCTGGTGCCTGAGATGTTTGTTACTGATAGGATGAGACAAGCTCAGAGATTGAAACTATTTAGAAAGTTTTATAGCTATTCAATGGAGTAATTTAGAATTTTTTAGCAATCCAATGGAGTAATTTGGTGTCTATTGAATGAAATAATAATAAATTGGGGTTTGAAGTTATATGTCAGTTTTTTATTCATTTTATTTTGTGTATGAATTTCCAGTATTGGTCAGTGATGGGCAGAAAATTTTATAAAAAAGAAAGAGATCCTTCAGCACAGATTATATGAGAAGTGGCAATATTAGTTTATCCAGACATGAGGTCTACCCTGCAAAATACTTTGATGGCTAAAGTAGACCGAGAAAAAAACGAATATAACATTTATGTAGCATTTCTGCTAGTGAATACAGTGATATCACCTTTTAAAAGATGAATTGTTTAATTTATTCTCACACAATATCTTGGAAAAATGGCTTTCCCTTGTCCCCACACCTATATTATGCAATCAACTTTCTTTCTGACTGCTCAAAAGAAGGCAAATGTTATAGATACTATCTGCCATCCCTAAACTCTTAAACTTTCACCATTCCTGTTTTCTCTGAATCTCAGCACATATTAAAGGATTCAGAACAGAGCAAGAGAATTTCTAAGTCATATACTTTTGATTTTGCCATTTCCCTGCTCTCAAATCCTGTTTTTGTCCTCATTATACTGAGAACAATTTTTTTAGTAGCCAAAGTACTTTCACACATCCTCTTCTTTCTATATCTACTGCCACTATCTTATCTGCAAATGTCATTATCGCTAGCTCAACCTTCTAGAATAACCACCAACATTAATTCCAGCCTACAAATCCCTCTATTATTCTTCGTCCCATTATAACTGTCAGATTTATTTTCCTAAAATGGAAATGTAATTCTAGGCTCTTCACAACCCATCAAGGCTACCTACTCACTTGCTATTGATAAAATAAAGTTCCTCACACTTGGCATTTGCCATTCTCCACACTATGATCTCAACTGATCTTTCTAGTGTCATTTACCATCGTTCCTCATCACATAACATATGATACATTAACAAACCAAATGATGTTCTCCAAATACAGCATAATCTGTGAAGCCTTTCCTACAGTCTTCAGAACCATATGCATCTCCCTCTTTAAACTCCCATGTTCTTCTTTTCTTCCACATCACTTTGCTTGCTAGACCACTTACCTTACTTTACATTATGTTAGAGTTATTGGTCATATAGCACACTAGAATATTAATACCTTCCTGGAGGTGTTAAAATCCTCATATTGCCTGTGATGGAGGTTCCATGAATAGGAGTGCCTAATGTGTGGAAAATTGAATTCCTCACTGCATATGAGGTAGACTTAAGCCTGCTCTCACCCATAACCACTTTTCCACTGCTATTGTCCACTCCAACATTTCCAAAATTTGCAGGCCCTTATAGGATTTAGAGCTTGTTTCTCGTGTATTTATTCATGCTGTTTTCTCTGGCTAGATATGCCTTAACTTTCCATTGTTTATACAAATCCCACTTATCCTTCAATAACCTAAGTTCCAACTCTGCTATCTTCCATAGTTTGAGAGTGAGAAGTGATTTCTTTCTCCACAATCATTTCTTACTTCTAGTATGGCAAATTAATATTGAACTAATATATGAAATCACATATATCTCTTCTTCATAGTCACTTTGAACTTGTACTTTCAACATTTATTATTGTTAAAAGTTTGAAGTGCCTATGACTTGTCTGCCATATAACTAATAAGACAGATACAAGTGGCTGGGCACATGGCTGGGCACAGTGGCTCATACCTGTAATCCCAGCACGTTGGGAGGCCAAGGCAGGGAGATCACTGGAGCCCAGGAGTTTTAGGCCAGCCTGGGCAACATGGCGAGACCTCGTCTCTAGAAAAAATACAAAAAGTAGCCAGGTGTGGTAGCGTGTGCTTGTGGTCTCAGCTACTTGGGAGGCTGAGGCGAGACTCAATTAAGCCAGGGAAGTCTAGTCTGTAATGAGCTGGAATCATGCTGCTGCACCCTAGCCTGGGTGAGAGAGCAAGATCTTGTCTCAATTAAAAATAAATAAATAAAAATAAAAAGCAGACATAGGATGTAGTTGCACTGTGGATTCAGGTTACTTGGGTTTAAATCTCAATTATGCTATATATTTGTAGCATGGGAGTTTTGTATCTTCCATGTGTTTCAGCCTTCCCTATGTGTAAAATGGAAATATTAGTTGTACTTAACCTCATACAATTGTTGTGAGGATTAAATGAGGCAATGCAAGTGAAGCCTCTAGAACAGTGCCTGTTGTTTGGTGCATGCTGGGTAAATGCCACCTGCCATTATCATTCCTGGAGAGTAAGGGTTTTGCTATTGTTATTGTTTTCTGTTTTATTTTGTTTTTCTGTAAGAGCACACATTTGTTCTACATATAGGTATTTAGTACCCATCCTGTCCTAGTGCTGTGATATTTACTGGGGATACCAGGGTGAACAAGATAAAGCTCATATTCTGCTTTACATGTTTGAGCTTGTTATCTTCCTCAGTTCCTGCCACCCTTATCATTTGAACATAAGAGGCTTTAGTATTTGTAACATCATGAGGCTTCCAACCTTCCTTTAGTCCTATCCTCCCAGTGAAGGAAAACAGAAAAATCCAATAAACATGAATTAAACTTCTAGGGAGCAGTACGATCTAGAGAAAAAGTCCAGACTTTGAAATAAGAAAGACAGTTCATTGTTCAAATCTACCATTTACCTGATGGCTGGCTGAACTCACTAACTTTCCTGAGCTTCAATTTTCTACTCTTTGAATTCATATAATTAATCCCACAACTTAGGATCATTGTGTAAATCAACTGAAATATGTATTTAAAGTCTCTGGCACATAGTTACACACCCACTGGAAGCAAAATATTATTGTTTTATGGAAGAGTATATATTTGTTACATATATCAGAGACTTTTGGAATATAACACCTTAGAATACCTTCTACATATTCTGCTCCACTAAAATTAGATTTAATTATTTAAATTTAATTTATTAGAAGTATATTAGGTAATTTTAAAACCCAATGAATTATGTGCTCTTTAATAAATAATATTTAATAAGTCTTTATGAGGTTTAAATATATAAGCTAATATCTTTACATAAAATCTCTATTTTCCTCACAAAACAGAAGAACTGCTACTTATAATATTATAAGAAAGTTAGTGTCTTGCTCATGTTTTTATGCTAATCTGCTTCTCTTATTGTTGTCTCTTCAACAATGCCAGCACTCACAACTAGACTTATTCTTAAAGTATACAAGAAGCAATCTCTCCCCAGACCGAACCCTGCATGGGACTGTGTGGAGCAGTGGAACAGTGATGCTTTTGCTGCTAATAGATGCTCAATCATGCTTACCATTCCTGGTGTCCATTGTGGAAGGCACCATTTTGTCACCATACTTAGAAAACATTAGAGAAAGTTCTAAGCATGCTTAAGAATAGGGTCTAATAAATATATAATTATGTTTATTATCTAGGCATGCACCATTCAATACGGTAGCCACTAGCCACAGTGACTATTGAGAGGTGGTATGCTAGTAAACGTTTAACAATATGCTCCCCAACACTCCCCCCACCACAATCAGAAATTGCAGCATTTTATAATTCTCTGGAATAAACACTCCCACAGTGGGCAATTTCAACCTACCATCAACTAGCTCATGAAATTCCAAAAATTTAACTAGCTCTTATAATCCAATGAGAGCTGGCTCCAGCATTCCACTGGGATGGTTAGTCCAAACTGAAATGTGTTTTAAGCATAAAATACACAACATATTTTGAAGACTTAGCACACAAAAAGGATGCAAAATATCTTGCCATCTTTCTATTCATTACACGTTGAAATGTTCGTATTTTAGATACATTGAGTTAAATAAAACATACTATTAAAATTAATTACTTTTTTAATATGACTACTGGAAAATGTAAGATTGCCTATTTGGCTCATGTTATATTTCTATTGGATGCACTAATCAAGAAATATCTTTAAAATAAATAAGCGTATTTGCATTTTATATTATATTTAGTTGCTATATTTGTTTAGCTACCTTGGTGACAAAAGTGGGGTAAAAATCAAGCTTCCAGAATCAGATAATGATGTTCCAGATTCTAGGTCAGTCTTGTGGTATGTTTCACCTCACCAAAACAAACAAACAAACAAAAGCATGAAATAAACACACACACACACATATATATATATATACACACACATACACACATATATATTTCTATTACTTCCCAGATTCTGTTAGTTTTGATTAGCACTTCAAAACACTTTATATTTGACATATCCGGTAAGGATGGAGTCAGAGGGAGAATTTTAAATATAGAATGTGGTTTAATTGCATAACCCTGAGCACACCTGTAAGAAATAATGAGGGAAGCAAATTGAAAACTGCTGAGCATGGGCTGAATTCAGAGAAGTGTGGGTTTTATGGAGCCCTGTAATTTTCAAGCAGTTCCACTGATGGCCTACAAATGTACTGAGTGTAAGAGTGAAAGGGCTTTGACTGTATTTCAGTAAGTTGATAGATGGGCTTAAAGGAATAAAAATGCATCCCACAGATGAGTTGCGCCTTTAAAAAGGAGCAGAATAAGAGCCAGGACACAAAAGAAATGGTTTAAGGTCAAAAAGTCATAACTGGTAGATGACATATGAGCCCTGTCAGGTTCCCATGCCTCACCATGCTTATCAGGAAATATTTCTTGTAGCCTTGCTTGCACAAAAGGGTAGAATGGTTTCCCTCGTCAAAATTATGAATTTCAAATTCAATATCCCTTTTTCATTAGGAAATCTGTGGGATCTGTCAAGCCATTGCACATCACTTTTTATTATGCTAATGTGCATACTCTTGTCATCCTCACAAACGCCATGATGTAAAGGTGCCAATGGATAGAGCTCCAGTTGGGTGCAGGGCAACAGGAGGTAGAAAGGCATCATGGTGGAAGCATGCTGAATTGTGTGGGTATCAGGAAACTTCCTTCCAATTCTGACTTTCTCAGTAACTCTCTGTTTAACCCTGAGCAATCCATTTAGACCTTAGGCTTCAGTTTTTTCATCTACAAAATAGGTATTACAGTAGATGCCTTATGTGGTGATTGTGAGTTTGAGTTCAGCAATTACCTAAAAAGGGCCTTTGAAAGTGGAATATTTTACAGAGTGTTACTATTAAACAGCTTTAGGGAGTAAGTAGGTGCCATAAAGGAGAGTCAAAAATGTAACTTTCTGAGGAAAATCCACCTTTCAAGATATGTTCAGATAAATAATTCATTGAGCAAGGCTGTCTAAAATTGAGAGTTCTCTGCAAAGTGTTAAGAAAGCTTTTTTAAAAATCAGCTATTTCCCTTGCTCTTCAAATCTTACAGTTTATTTAGTTTGAAACATGCAAATAAACACATAAAACAAACAGGGCAATTCTCAAAAATGACTGAAAAAACAACATGTCTTTGTGAATTAGTTGAGTTCTCTTGCCACCTTTTTTATGAGTAAGAGACCAGACTAGGGTGTTATTCTGTGAAGGTTTAAGGAAGAAAGGAAGTCTTAGGCAGGGGATTACAATATGTCTAGATTTACTCCTTGGCCACATTTGAAGGGAGCATTTCAGAATATGCCCACCTTGGCAGAGCAGTTTTCTCATCCTGTTTTCTGTCCAGAAATCCAAACATATTGTAGAAGTCTTAGGCAGGGGCTTACAATATGTTTGGAAGGGAGAAGGCATAATAAAGAAATTGTAGTAGCCAGAACCAAGGGTAGATGTTAGGGAGTCAGAAAAAATATTATGAAATGTTCAGAAATCATGCATAGAAGTTTTTGACCGGTTGATATAAGGGTCTGGTATGTTAAACAAAGAAGCTCAGCTTGGATCAGCTGTTCAGTGAGGAGATATTAAAGTACCTGAGCAGAGTCATATTTTCAATAAATGGAAGCATATGATGGTTGGGATCAAATATTTTAGAGCTGGGTAAGCCCTCTATGAGAGAGTTCTGTTTCTCTATCTGTAAAATAGAAGTTTCATTTTAGGATTTTAGGATTATAGACTTAAAAAACAAAATTGGCTTCCATATGTGTAGATGTTCAATATAGCAACTTTTATTTTACATTTAAATAGAATTTTACAGTTTAGAAAGCGCTAAAATACTTTCTTTTATACCACAAACCTGATCGTCAAGAAGTAGGACCTGAGAGGCTCATTGGCTGCACAGAGACCAACATCTAGCAAATGCTGGCACCTGGGTGGGCATCAGATGTTCTGGTTTTCTTTCTTTTCCATTTGCCCTGATGGACGAGAATCACTCAGGAGGGTTAGCAAACGCAGAGGAACTTTATCTGTGGATTGAATGATGCCTTGAAAATGCGTTAAAAGCAGGCAAAACTGCTATATTGCCAATGAACAGACACTCAAGTACAACCTTCATCATTCAGAGAGCAGTAGCTCACAGCTTTGGTGGGCTGCCGGTGAAGTCATGCCCCAGCAGTAGCTCAGACATGTCTTACTGAGGAAATGAACTCAGATGGTGGCAATAGGGCTGGAGAGGAGTAGGCAGATGCAAGATACCCTAAAGAGGAAAAAAGTCACTGTTGGCCAGGCATGGTGGCTCATGCCTGTAATCTCAGCACTTTGGGAGGCCCAGGTGGGCAGATCACGTGAAATAAATCAGACAATGAGGTTGGAAAACAGGTTTATATTCCAACCTTGTGTTTTGTAGCTGTGTTGACTTTGGTCAACCACTAGAATTTCCTGGGCTCACTTATGAATTGACGTGAGGTCAGGAGTTCGAGACCAGCCTGGCCAACATGGTGAAACTCCATCTCTACTAAAAATACAAAAATTAGCCAGGCGTAGTGGCGAGCACCTGTAATCCCAGCTACTCAGGAGGCTGAGGCAGGAGAATTGCTTGAACCCAGGAGGCAGTTTGCAATGAGCCAAGATCGCACCACTGCACTCCAGCCTGGGCAACAGAGTGAGACTCTGTCTCAAAATAAATAAAATTAATAAATTAATAAATTAATAAGCCGGGCACAGTGGCACGCACCTGTAGTCTCAGCTACTTGGGAAGCTGAGGCAGGAGAGTCACTTGAACCCAGGAGGTAGAGGTTGCAGTGAGCCGAGATTGCACCATTGCACTCCAGCCTGAGCAACAAGAGCAAAACTCCATCTCAAAAAAGAGCGAAACTCTATCTCAAAAAAAAAAAAAAAAAAAAGTCACTGTGGACTACAGCAACAACGGTTCAACAGCAGGCAAACCAGGTTGCGAGATGTTGAGGGGAATGGTGAGGATGCTAAGGACAGAAGCTGGTGAAGATTACTCATTGACGCATTTGTTTTTTTATAAAAGGTTGCCACCCTATTCAAATAGCACCTTATTTTTCCTAAGTATACACCCCACAAGACTTGAGTTAGATTTGGTTATCACAGTGTGTAGTTAGATTACAAAATTTATTCGTGCATATATTCATTCACTCAAGGAAAAATGTGCCAAGTACTCATCCTGTGCCAGGTTCTGCAGTAGGCACCCAGCATAAAATAATGTAAGAAAACTGTGCTGCCACCCTCCAGGGCTAAGTTTCTATACTTTCTCTTATTTTGGACCCTGTTCAAATTCATTCTTTCCATTTTCTACAGGGAAAGGAGTTCAGTAGTGCCCTTCACCTATAAAATAGCAACTATTTATTTCTTTTAGGAAACTTTTTTTTCAATTGTAAATTGTTCAGATATTTACAAAATGGACAGGAAGTGGTGGCTAAGCATTTAAAAATGGTAAGGCTATCAGACAATGAGGTTGGAAAACAGGTTTATATTCCAACATTGTGTTTTGTAGCTGTGCTGACTTTGGTCAAACCACTAGAATTTCCTGGGCTTACTTATGAGTTGCAGAATAAGCCCTGTTCCACCTATATGACAAGGCTGCTATGAAAGTGAAATGAGGTGATATATGTAAAAATGGCTGAAAACTATAATATGCTCTAAAAAGACATATTTGTGTATGTGCTAAGTATGTCAAAGTGTGAGAAACATACAACTATAACTATAGAAACAGCATTTACATAATTGTTTTTAGTCAGCCTCAGTGTTTTCTATAAGGGCACAAATGATTACATTGCCATGGTGGACCTGTGGTAATTTTGAAACTTTGTAGGTAAATGCAGGTAGGCTGAAGCCTGCTTGATCAGTAGAGGGAAGTTTTCTCAGGAATATGAAATTATGCACGCTTACTAGCTTCCTGGGAACAAAAGTCTTCATCTGTATATTAAGGCCTTATTAAGTCACTTGTACAAGGCAAAAGTTTTTCTTCTACCCAGTAATGAAAGATTAACAATATTATACCCAGGCTGCTACAAGTGGAGAAGTAAACTTGGTAGCATTTTGTCTTTAGATGGAAGTTACTTCTGCTATTCTTGACTGCAAGCTGTGCTTGCTGTCATGTGGGTGAAGGAGGACTACTTCTGGAACATTTTAAATGGTAAAATCTTTATTAGCTCCCTGACCTGGGAATTTCCCTGAATCAAAAAAGTGTAAAAAAACAGCAGTGGCAGGCTGGATGATATAGAGAAAAGGGCACAGGATGTGAAGTTTGGAAGACCTGATTAAAAAATAATTCAATGTTTTAATTACTGTTTTCTCTCCACCTCCCTGAGTCAACTATTTCTGACATGTTAAGTGAGCATGCCTTCTTACATTTCATGCAATTGACCACATTTGTATCTATGTATTATATACAAAATACTAATGAACATACTCTAACACACACACACACACACACACACACACACACACACACAGAATATAATCTCTCCAGATGAGAAATAGTTGATTGTTTTGTTTGATATTATTTTCCACCATTCAGAACAGACTTGGACGCTAATAAGTGCTTATATTAGTTAACTTTCAAAGAAGTTATATTGGATTTTTAAAAAACTTAATGGCTAATAACAATAAACATTTATTTCTTACTCATAGATCTTTAGGCTTGCTGCAGCTTGGCTTTACTCCTGGTAGCCTTTTCTGGGCTCAGCTCCAAGTCAAGGGTCAGGATCAGGTCTACTTTATATGTCTTGTCATTGTGGGATCCAGGATTGAACATACTGAATGTCTTGTCCATTTATGCTCCATTGGTAAAAATAAATTTCATGGCCAAGTTCACAATCAATGAGCACAGAGACAGAGATGACTATTTGCTGAATAATACAATCTATCACAGTTACCCTCCTGTTCACCACGTTTCCTCTATTTATCTTGCACATAAATATACTCACTTTATCTTCAAGGAAGAATCCCCAAAGTTTCATCCTATTAGATCATCAGACTCAAAGTTTTGGCTCCTACAATAGTATCTGCAACAATATTTCTAGATATGGCTTTTCTTAATCTGGAGAATTATAAACCAGAAAAAGGAGGAATAGAAGGAGGAGGATAAGGAGAAGTTGAAGCAGAAGTATAAGGTGAATTTGAAGGAGAAGAAGGATGAGAAAAAGGAGGAGAAAGAGGAAGAGAAGGAGAGGGGTAAGTAAGAGAAAGGTAAGGAAGAGGAGAAGGAAGCAGTGGAGGAGGAGGAGGAAGGAGAAAAACAAGAAAAAAAACCAAGAGCAATAGGTTGTTTCCCTCCACACACACAATTAATATACAAAGGGGGAACAATCTCCATAATGGAGGCTGATTCAGAAAGGACAATTCTGAGCAGCATTGAGCAGTTACTGGTCCATAGCAATTCTGAAATTCCCCAGACGAAATGTTAGTGATATTCCCTGGGGACAGAAAGTATTCCTTGATTAGGCTTCAGTTTTGCTGCCTGAGAATACCTCCCCAGCCCACAGCTTTTCGAGACTCTTGGCTCCTTTCTTGAGAACTTGACTTCTTCTCCATTGTACTCCTTGTCACATTTGAAGGGAGCATTTCAGAATATGCCCACCTTGGCGGAGCAGATTTTTTACCCTGTTTTCTGTCCAGAAATTTGTAATTCATAAGCCTGTTCACATATCAGAATTCATCTAAGTGAGAGATACTTTTAGTAAATTATCTCTTTTGAAACTAAGTGTGTTTTGTTGTTTATTTCAACCCTTCTCCATGTAGAGATAAATATATACATATACACAACTGGTTTAAAGAAATCTCTCTCTCCCCCACCATCCCTTCCATTCTCTCTCCAAACACACACACATGCACGCGTGCACATGAGTGCACACACACGCGTGCACACACACACACACCATGGAATATACCCTAGCTGGATTCTTTGAAGTGTCCTTTTCCTTATAAACCCATAAACTCAGGCTCAAGATGCCACTTTGTCTACTCCTATACTGAAGGCTAATACCTTGAGCCAAATCAAAAAGTTCACATGATATTAAATAAGATTTGGTCATTATGTGACCCCAGTGAGCTGACAGGCCATGAATATTAAAGATGTGAAGAATACGAGTACTAAGGATCTGGTAGGATGGACTTGTATGGCCGATTATTCAATATTTCCCTCTGTCAATGTCTTACATAATAAAAATAATATGAGTTATACATAGGAGAGCAAACAGATGTTAAATTTTAGAACAGTTATGGAGGGGACTCAAGCCAGTACTTAGAGATTATTTAGAGTCAGTAGTGTGGAGGATAACCCTCTAGCCCTAGAGCTACACATGTCCAGGTCAGTTGGCTCACCTTCAAAGAGGAACCACAGTGATATCACCAGCCCTAGACAACCTTGGCAACCACATCATGACTCCACAATTAAGCAAACCCAATAAAATACATTCTTCCTGTTTGAGCTGGTAAGGAAAAGAACACTTTAATCAATTCAGAGAAGTTATATTTCATGGTTAGAATTTAGTAAGAAAAATGAATGTTTTAAGACCAGGGCTTGAAACTTTTTCTTATCTGTACTCTTTGCAATCTTTAGTCTCATATTTTACCACACAATCCTCCCCTCACTCACTTCACTCCAACCACATTGGCCTCTTGTTTCTAGAACAAGGTACAAGGACTTTCCATTCTCTGTCCCACTGCCTGGACTGCTCTCAGGCCAAATCCTTTCAAAGCTCTCTCCTTTACATAATGCAGGCCTTACAGGGGTTGGCTGTGTCCCCACCCAAATCTTACCTTGAATTGTAATAATCCCCAGGTGTCAAGGGAGGGGCCAGGTGGAGATAATTGATCATGGGGGCAGTTTCCCCCACATTGTTCTCATGATAGTGAATAAGTCTCATGAGATCTGATGGTTTCATAAACAGGAGTTCCCTTGCACAAGCTCTCTTGCCTGCCACCATGTAAGATGTGACTTTGCTCCTCATTCACCTTCTGCCCATGACTGTGAGGCCTCCCCAACCATGAGGAACTGTGAGTCAATTAAAACTCTTTTTTAAATAAATAACCCAGTCTCAGGTATGTCTTTATTAGCAGCGTGAGAACAGATTAATACAAGGCCTCTTCTCAACTGTACCTTTTCAGAGCTTTGACCACCAACTAAAGTAACCCCTCCCACCTACGTCCATCCATCTCTCCCCATCCCTGCATCTTGTATTCAAGAACACTGTCTGGAATTATGCCATTTATGTGAATATTTGCTTACTATTTCCTTCTCGCCCCTCTCAATATAAGCTCCATGAGTGCAGAAGTATTTTTCTTTTCCCAGAAGCTAGAGCAGGGTTTCATTCAGCATAAATGCACAATCACTAGTTGTTGAATAAATTAACTGAATAATAAATGAATTTTCCCATGCCTGTGCTTGCAAACATGGTCTTCTTTAATTTTTACATTAAACCCAAGATGTGGGTTCCATTATAACCCCAACTTTCACATGAATAAACTGAACCATAGGGGTTAAATAACTTGTTTCAGCTAGAAACTGGTTCATCTGGAATATAAACCCACTATCTTGTTTCATAATTAGAATAGGAAAACACAGAGAAAGACTGTGGAGATTAATAGAATAAAGACCTGATGGGAAGCAGAACTTGAATTCCTTGTGACCATAGAGGAGTGGCCATAGGAAGTGACCACAGAGAAGTGATTCTCTGTCTCTGGGTAATGAAGGTGGTAGACGAAATCAATCATTGTCAAACTTTGGACAGGCTCACTCAGAAACCCAATGTGTGCAACCGATGAGAGTATCATGGCTTTATCAGCCCTTAGAGAGGCTCTTAGAAGCACAATGAGAAAAATGCTACTCACAATCATCCCTAGGCTGTGCTCAATATGAGCAGGGCTCTAGGGAAGAAGGAAGGCATGGGCTCTGGGCTCAGTAATGGATGTCTAGCTCACAGGAAGGAGTCTTCCCATGGGAGCAATAGTACTCTGAGCAGAGTGAAATGCAGCACAGTAGTGAGGGTATAATCGCACACAACACTACCCATTTTTCTGACCCTGGGGAGGAGTAGATATGAGAGCAACTACAGCCTCCTACTTGTGGGGACAGAGATTGAAACACTGGAGATGAGCAACAGACTTCAGAGATGAGCAAAAATGCTCTATGTTTCAGGTCCTATGATTTTCAATGGCAGTGTCTAGAAAAGGGAATTAATATTCATGCCATTCCTCATTTCCTTTAACTTAATATACAGTTCTGATGTGTTAATACATATGTGTGTGTACATGCATGCACACACTTGCAATGCAATCCCTAAAATGGCTTCATCACAGATGAAATGAAATAAATTCCTCGTAGCTACTGAAGACATTGTTTTACTCATCATTTCCACTTGTTTCTCCTCAAATATGTCCATCCATTTAATGATAAGTTTGCTGTTTCAGTCACTCTGTCCTGGTGCCCAGACCTCGGTGAAATTCAAGATGAATTCCAGAAACATTAAATATTTCTTAACATTTGTACACCAGAGGTCATTGGTTTGTTGCAACTTTCTTTTTTTAATGTTAAAATGATTACAGAGTGAAGCAACAATAAAAATAATCCCCAGAGAGCAGCAGTGTGACACATAGGTACATGAGCAGAAGACTTGGATGATCTTGGAAGCTATGCTTTTCTCATCTCTAAAAACAGAAAGGAAGACTAGAGGATATCCAAAATCCCTTCTAGCTTTATGTCAGGGTAATTGCATATTTGAGAAATTAAAATTCAAAGACTTAGCTCATGATGACCACAGAAGAATGGAGGCTGAGAAAACTCCCTTGATTCAGGGGCCAAGAAGGACCAGTGTTTGAAGAGAAGGCTGCTCTGTTTTCTACATCCTTATAAAAAGACATCAATTCTATCACATTCCACTGAATGAATGCTTGATCACTCTCAAAGATTACCATATATGGTCTTTAACAACTTTTAGAGTATGGACCTCTTTTTAAATCGTATGAATGCCATGGACAAAAATGCAACTTGTGCCTAGGATCACAAAATTATATATCCAATTCTAGAGGGTTGGAGGTCTCCTGAACCTCATCCGTGGAGGACCAAGAAGAGGTTTCCACTGTAGGCGTTTAAGCACTTTCAGAGTAATAGGATGATTTTGGGGGAATGGAAAAAATATATAACTTCAACTTGTAAAAATTATCCAAAAATTATAGAATTTAACTCATTAATATATAGTATGATTAAAAATAGTTTACTTATATAATTTACAAATAATACGTATACTGAGGCCCACGCATTTTTTTCAATTTTTTGAGATATTGCATAATCAACAGTTTGAAGAACTGTCCTATAGGATCAGAAGTAAAGAACGTCTCTCTATTTAAAGATATCCCAATCCTGAACTACAAAAACCAAGATTGCTCTCATAGTTAGGAAGAGCTGTGATTTGAAGTCTTGCTAGTCATATAACCTATTTGTAGTCCTACTATTGTATCTAAATATCTCTTCACACATTTTTTAGTTGTTATATAATGAAATTATACACACACACACACACACACACACACACACAATCTGGGAGAGTGAAACCATTCAACCCTTAACAACTATTAATACTCAGTTATGAGTATGTATAATGTTTCTCTAGTCAGCAGGATTCTCGGAGAACAGAACACATAAAAGTAATGTTTCATAGACATTATGTGAAGAAAAGTACAGCCAGGAGAATGTACAGAGTCATCAGGGGATCCAACTTTGGCCCAAACTATAGTAGCAAACTCTGTGTGCTACAAGATAGCAGATGAGAACTAAGTATCAGCAAGTAGGGTAAAGGGGGGTTAAAAGTGAAAGGAGAAGTAAACAAGAGAGAAGTCAGAAGTCATTGCAAACACTTCTTCCTGACTCCCAGTCTGCTCATCCGGCCATATTTTTGACCACCATCTGATGTTTCCATGCCTACTACCGCATAACTTAGACTCGTGGTGTATTCTGTTTAGGTAATTGACTTGAGGGAGCTAAACTCCTGGAATATCTTAAAGTGTTTCTTAACTGGACGTGATTTTGCCCTCAAGGGAAATTTGGCAATGTCTGGGGACACTTTTGGTTGGCACAACTTGGAGAGTGTGTTACTGGCATCTAATGGGTAGAAGTCAGGCATGCTGCTAATATCCTGCAATGCACAGAACAGTTCTCATGACAAGGATTTCCTGGTCCAAAACATTGATACCTCCAAGGTTGAGAAACCCTGTCTTAAAGGTGACAGGTAATGCCACTAAGACTGGACCATGGCAGGAGGCAACATCAGAAATGTGTGTGTTCACTCAGTGACTGCCTGTTTACTGTTCTAGCCCAGAAACCTCAATCCTATGAACAGCCAGTCTGCCCCCAGTGAAGTCTGAAATCTCACTGATTCATCACCAACTATCCATCTCACAATAGGGAGGAAATTTAAGACCAGCTCTATCAAAGGAAACATAAATCTGCCCTTCCCATTGGCCTTAAAGAAACAGAATTTAATGATCTCAGCTGGGGCCTAATGAGCCAGTGTCCACATCAAAAAGCTGCTCTGTGTTTGACATGTTTGACAGCGTGTTAGGGGAAAACAGGGAAAAAAATATACATTGGAAGACTAATTGAGCACCGCAGCTGAGCAATCCATGGAAGTCTTGTCCTCTAGCTAAAGGTTGTTATGCTTCGGTGGAGCCAGAGACAGACCCTGACATGAGAATGTCACTCTTCTACGTCGAAAAATATGACTTTAAACATAACAAAAGCTGGGAGTGTCTGAGAGGCATGATGGTAGTTGCAATAACTTCTGTTAAAGAGAACCATTCAGCTGCAGCTAACAGTCTGACTTTGATGTAAGGTACACCTGCTATCAAAAGCTACCAGGGGCTTCATGTTCTCCTTTGGGACTGGGAAAGTAGGGCTGTGGTATGCGGGGCCACCATCACAGAGTGGACCAGGCCAGTCCCATGAGACAAGGTCATTATGCAACATATCTGGGATGACCAGGGGCTCCGAGTACAGAGTCTATTCCCACTTTTGTGGCTGCTCCAGGTGACAACAGAGAAAGACCTCAAGAGAATACAAGGGAATATCAACCAACAGCAGAGCAGGTAGGAGAAATAAGATTCTGAAACAGCCTCGTAATGCACCCCAGCTCTGGGCCACTGGAAAATAACTGAGGTTATGAACTAATCAGAAGTGTAACAAGCATTTCCATGCATTGATCAAATCAGACCTGAATATGAAAATTAATCTGACAGCTGCCTGATGCCTTGTTAATTAACATCTATCTCTCAGTCTCAGTTGTCTTATCTTAAAAATGGAGACACTGGGCCAGGTGCAGTGGCTCATAACTGTAACTCCAGCACTTTGGGAGGCTGAGACAGGAGGACCACTCAAGGCCAGGAGTTCAAGACCAGCTTAGGCAACATAGCAAAACACCAGCTCTTAAAAAAAAAAAAAAAAAAAAGTCGGGATGGGGTGGTGGTGGTAAGTAGAGATACTAACAGCCCTCACAGAGTTACTGTAAGTTTAACTAAAACTGTTCATGTAAATAACTTTACCAAAATCATCTATAAATCTAGCAGACAGTATACTCTTTTTATGGAAAATTTGTCAACACATGATTGAAATCAGTAAGGTTATAAGCAGGACTTAAGTAATAGCCCAAGTGTATGAGGAAAGAACTTTCTGACACCATCATCCCATCTAAAGTTTGCTATGGCACTTGGAACACTTTATTAGGGAAATGACTCCCTCAGTTTAAAGCAAGCAAGGTTATCCTTAAAATGTGAGCATCTACAAAGAAGTTGACCTTTCTTTATCTACTAAAATCTATAAAAGTTGTTTAGTAAATTAAGAAATACAAGAAATTGTGAAAAAATACAAAATGTTGGAATTATCAGATTTGCAATCTAGATCTTAAGTGGAACTGGCTGTATAACCTTGGCCAAATAACTTCACCTGAGTTGTTGCACACTTATCTGTAGTTAAATGCAATTCTAACCAGTCCTCCAATTCTTAAAGGCATTATAAGAATCAGAAGGGATATTGGAGGCATACACATACTATTATCCAACAAGTTACACCCACATATTTGCATGACACAGAGTGTGCACTAGTAACAAACTTATCTTTGAATGTAAACGAAGATAGAAAAAGACAAATCAGTTAATTTTCAGCATCAAGATTCAGAGGATGAATAACATGAAACAGCATTATTCAGGAGCATCTTCTAGAAATGAGTATCTTGAAAGAAAGAAGAATGTGGAATGATACACCATGAAGCAGGGCTTTCCAGAGACACATGTCAAGTTTTGGTAGCAACCATTGACCCTGGGAAGTTATACTCCCATCCCATTTATTCCTTACCTTCCTGAATTGGCTATCATAAACCTGCAGAAGGAGTTCAAATGATCATCCTTTATATTTATTGGTTTGTTTCCTATACTTCTTTTTTGTTTATGACAGAGTCTCACTCTGTTGCCCAGGCTGGAGTGCAGGGGTGCAGTCTCCGCTTACTGCAACCTCTGCCTCCTGGGTTCAAGGGATTCCCCGGCCTCAGCCTCCTGAGTAGCTGGGACCACAGGTGTGTGCCACCACACCCAGCTAATTTTTTGTATTTTAGTAGAGACAGGGTTTCACCATGTTAGCCAGGATGGTCTCGATCTCCTGACCTCCTGATCCACCCACTTCAGCCTCCCAAAGTGCTGGGATTACAGGTGTGAGCCACCACACTCAGCCATGTTTCCTATATTTCTTAATTACATATTATTATTAACATCTGGAAACTGGATTTGGCAGAAAGTTACTGAGTCAGACTTAAAAAAATGCTTGCATTAGTAGTGTTGGGTGCCAGCTCTGAAGTGAATTAAGATTCAATGTCTCTGCTAATAGAAGCTGAAGCAGGGCAGTGGTCAAGAACCGTACTATTAAGTAGGACTGCTGTGGACTCCACTCCACAGCAGTGGCATCACTGTCAGAACCCTGGAGCTCAGATCAAGTTCAGACCCTGGAAATCTAGAATTCCATGTAGAAGCTTGGCTACATGGCAGTAGAAAAAAAATCTAGTATTTATTAAGTGTTGGCTTCTCGCCATATGGTGAGCCAGCTGCTATGCCATCATCACATTAGAATAGAATAAAATGTTTATCATGCACATTTTGCAAATGAAAAAAACTAGGTACTTGAAGAGAATCTAGAAGCCTAGGCAGAAAGTGGCAAAGTCCATGCTCTTTCATATGTATTTCCTAGTACCCTGCACTTAGTAAATGCTTAATTAGTACTAATTTATTGGGGAAACATTGAATTCAATTTTACTAATGATATTGCTAAATAGAAACATGCCCCTGTGCACTCTCATTTTCCCCAACAAGACTGAGTTCTGCACCTTCTCCTCTCGCATCTTCATCAGCATGACAGCCACATGGTAGAAGTGTAATAAGCACATTTAATTTTTAATAAAACTTAATTGAAAACTTTGATATCCCTAGTTAATACATATATGTCAGAAAACTATTTTCTTCTGAAACCTCCCAAATACATAAGACAAAATTACTACCTTTTTAAAATGTATGTATCTTCACATTAGGGGGTCCTTTCTTTTATATATGAAGAGCATATTTTATCTTACCTTTAAAGTACTTACTTCTCTGGCAATTCCCATTACCTCTCATACCACTTCTCCCAGACTATCTTTTTCCATCTAGCAGTTCTAAGGCTGGCTGACTCATTCTACATGGACAATTAAACACACACAGACCTTCTCTTCAGGTTCCTCTGGTAATAAGCCTCTGGGATACTCTACCTTCCTAAACCACCTACCTACACATGCACACACACACACACACACACACACACACCCCCCTGAAGTTCATTCACACTGTCCAAAGAATAGAAGGCACAGACAGTGGGCAGTGAAAGGTCTAGCTGTTGGCATTGCTGCTGACCCTCCAACTTTGAACTTAGAAGCAGAGGATAGCAATGCCAACAGACAGCACTACCCTTCCTTAACTGGAAATGCAGGGACCTCTCACAGAAGGAAAGAAATAAAAGAGAAACACATATGTATAAAACATGCCTCATAATGCTGAACTCAAAAATCACAGGACTGCATGGTTTTGTTTTTAACCTAGATTCTCTTTTATAACTGATGTCACACTGCTGTTTTGTACCCTAATATGTAGGACAAAAGAAAATGCTTGCTACCCAGGAAATATGGATCAGCACAGAAAGCTCCACGGACCTATTAAACGTTGCCTTTAATCACGTTAAATGGGAGGGAGTGACATAGCTCATCACAGAAGACCAGGTTTTTCTTTCCATTTATTTAAATATATGTGAATGTACTACAACCTACAGTAATGTACATTCACACTTCTGCATGCAACATATTTCACATCCATTTTAACGAACCCCACTGGGCATTCACATTCTTTTGTTAAGCTGGAATTGGACTAGAATGAGGGATTCCCTAAACATCAATCTATAAATTGAATACCTACTGATGGCCAAGCTGAACCACTTGCCAGCCTCTGAATATAGCTCCTTTCTCTTGCACGTGCTGTTTCTTGAAACTCCATTTCACAGCTTGGCCTGGTTATATGTAAGGCATTGTTCATTTCAGGCCTTCTTTTCTTCCAGAAGCTCCCCCTGGCCCATTTTGTACACAACACATTTTCCCTCCTGTGTGTGTCGTTTACACCATTTGCTTAATTCTACTTAACATGTCTCCTCCCCATCTTCATCCTTACATTTTCTATACACCCTACTTCCCCACTCTCAACTCCTCTCACCCCCCAACACACACACACACACACACACACACACACACCACACACACACACACACACCTGAGATCCCAGGGTACACGGTCCAGCAGCACAGCAGCATTCATATTTCTTTCTCTTATTTTTTTTTTTTTTTGAGACAGAGTCTCCCACTGTCACCGAGGCTGGAGTTCCAGCACATGATCTCGGCTCACTATAGCCTCCGCCTCCCAGGTTCAAGCAATTCTCATGCCTCAGCCTCCAGAGTAGCTGGGACTACAGGTATGTGCCATCACATCCACCCAATTTTTGTATTTTTAGCAGAGACAGGGTTTCATCAAGTATTAATCCTTTTATCTTTAGTGTATAATATACTGCCTAGCTAATAGTAAGTGATTCCCAAACTGAAAAAGTAATAATTTTGTTTGTGCCTCTATATGAGTGAGTAGATATACTCTACGTAAGATAGAAAAATTATTCCAGCCAAAATTTACCATATTTAGGGGCCCAATTTGGAGGGGAAATGGTAAATTTGGGAAAATCTTATACTGGATTTGGAGGAGCTAAAAATAATGAATAAAATAGCTTTTTAAAAAAGTGAAGGAGTTACAGAGCTGTAGACTCTTTTACTTATGTTGTGAAACAGTGCCAAGAGCACATGAAAATTTGTACTATAAATAGTGACTGCTTCATGGGCTGGACCAAAAATAAAACCCTGTGATTATTAATTATATGGATTTCCATTGTCGTGAATGTACTATAACCAGATCAGCAAATTTTCACCAAGGCTTCCGCTCTGAAATAAAGACAAAGCTTTGTTATAGAACACTTTTGTCAGAATGGCCTTTACTTTTACAGAATTTTAAAAGGAAAGATGATGCATTGTTCTCTCCTGCACCAACCCTCATTGGATTCATGAGGGTGAATAAGGCAGCTTTCTATTCCAAGCTCTTACTCAGCCAATAAATTCTTGCTCATCCATTGTCTCAACTAAGTTCCATGAGTGGAACAAGTGCTGTCTGGTGAGCAGAAAAGCTCTTTGAGATACAAGAGGGAGCTAGAAGTACGTAACTATGGCATTGTCTATGGCTTTGGCTTTCTTCAATTGGATACCCTAGTTCTTACCTCAAACTGATGAAAGATGAGAAAAACAAATGACTCAGACACTCAAGCAAAGGAGAAAGTCTACTTACACACCTCTGAGTGTGTATCTATGCACAAAGAACTGACATTAATCAGAACTGGCATCCTTGCTGATGATAAGAGCACTGAAACAAGCCTCCCTTCAAAACACCTTCCTAATCTGCTCATTGTAACTCATGTCTACAATTCTTTTTCGAGGAAGAATAGAGTCTTTCCTTTCATTAGAGATGAAGTTATCTGTGGGAAATTACTCTGGGAAAAGAGGAATTCAGAAATTTAAATTTATAATAAAATATGAGAACAGAATCGGGGTAGGATTACAGGAGAATACTGCCTGACTGGATTGAGGGCTCTCTATTTAATGAGGAAAAAATAAATACACAGAGAAGATTGGGAATGAAGTCCAGATTTAACAGGAACTGTAAAACTCTTTCACCCTGATTTTCTCTGTCCTTAAGCAACTGTTCTCTAACAAAGAAAATGCCTGCTGAAACATTGTGGAGCTTATCAAACTACACATCCATCTCTAAAATTGGCTGCTGCTGCACAATGTTAAATATTAGTCTGGACATGTGTTCACAACTCATGTTTCATACTGAAAGTAGATCATGAATTTATTTTTATTACTCAACTGTTGTGGGTTTAATTGTATTTCCCAAAAGAACATATTAAAATGCTAACCCCAGAAAACTGTGAATGTGAATTTTTTTTTCTGAAAATAGGGTCTTTGCAGATACAATGAGGCTAAGATAAGATCATATTGGATTAGGGTGGAGCCTAAATTCAATGGCAAGTGTTCTTAAAAGCAGAGGTTCTTACAGAGGTTCTTAGGTGTCTTTCTTTATAGAGGGATATAGTCACACAGGGAAGAAAGCCACATGAGAAAAGAGGCAGAGATTTGGGTGAGGCACCTGCAAGTCAGGAAAAGCCAAGGATTTCCAGGAGCCACCAGAAGCTAGAAAGAGGCAAGAAAGGATATTTTCTTGAAGTCTTTAAGCGATCATGGACCTCGTGACACCTTGATTTGGGACTTGAGAAAATAAGAAGTATTCTTTGTTAAAGTGAACTAAATATGACCTGAGAAGGAATCCTCACTTCTATATTTGAGTCTTTGGGGATGAACTGCAACCTAGCTTAATAGGTAGAAAAAACTGAAAACCTAACTTAACAATATGTGCCTGTAAGTGAGTCTTGGCCAATCCCGGCTGCCATACTTCAACCATTCATATACTGCTGAGCGTTCAAACTGTGTTCAAATAAGACAAATGTCAGCTTGTAACCAATCTAGCCATTCTTTACCTCGCTTTCTATTTCTGTAAGTTATTCCCCTCCCCTTTTTTTTTGTCGATAAATCTTCTCCCACCACATGGCTGTGCTGGAGTCTCTGTGAATCTGCTGGGATTCTGGCGCTGCCCTATTTGTGAATCGTTCATTGCTCAGTTAAACTCCTTTGAATTTAATTTGGCTGAAGTTTTTCTTTGATCATGTTTTAGTTTCTGCAATTCGTTGGCGCTTACTCAGGTAGGTAAGAGGCTATAGGTTCATGAAAGAAAAACACAGTTCAAGGGAAAAGCAGTGCTGGAATATTCTTTCCCTTTTTCACTTATTTCATAACCTGTTTCATTTTGGCTAGTGGTCCAACAATGTCACTTTCCTCTTAGATTCTAAATCAAAAATATTTCAAGAGTTAGGCTAATCTAACACTGTTAAATACTCCAAAAGCTTTAGAAAAGAAAGTTAGGCAAGGAACAGAAAAGCCAAATATTGCAGGCAAAGTCAGTGACATGGGGTGGGCCTCCCAGACCCTCTGGCCTCCAGTGTAGCAACATCTTTATGTTAGAAAGGTTGAAGTATCCATCGCCCAGCCTCAATTCCCGGAATCTGAGTGCACCGTCAGTCCTGCTAGCTCTGCTACAAAACACATCACAGAGGCAGAGACCTCTGAAAGAGTGAAAAAGGCTTAGAGCCCCCAGAAGTTTCCAGACAAATAGAAAGCTTTTCTTGTAAAAAAAAAAAAAAAAAAAAATCCTAAATTGCACATTGTAACATCTACTTAATATTCTTCAGAGAGTCCTAATGCTATAAATACACTATTTACACCTAGACGTGTGCTTAGGTGTGTAATTGTGTTAATATGCGGAAGGGCAGCTCATCTTGCTTGTTAAATCTCCCCCTACATTTTACAGCTTTACAAATGTCAGGCCATTAGGCCATAATTCTCCTGTTGAGGACCTCATTACCTATAAAGTATTCATATCTGCCACATAAAAGATGCAGGTGAGATGCAGATTCAGCAATTAACCCACACATCTTTATCTGTCTGGCTGGTCTTGCCTGTTTTTTTAAACAAGAATTATGTTTTCTCAAGCCTTTAACAAAGTAGCTCTGTTTCCCTTTATGTTTCATTTGCAGGATGAAACTGCCAGTCACAAAATTCATTTCCTCTGGTTCAGGAGGAACACCTTACTAAAAATAATAACAATAATTAGGATAATCCAGGTAAAATTCCAAAATTGTAGGAAATGTTTGCAACAGTTACAGGAGCAAGAGGTTTCCAAGTTCCTTGACTTGTTCCAGACAAAATTGCAAAGTACGAGAGGATTACCCTCCACTTCCCCATGCTCCTCCCTCTTCTGCTATACCCACCCCTGACACAAGCAGGCCACCTGGAGGTTCAAGCCTTGCCACATAAGCCCACCCCTCAGGGCAATACCTTTAGCTCAGGGTCTTTTTATTATTTCTGTCCTTCTTTGAGGGAATCTGCTATTATTTCAAAAATCAGGAACAAATATACCCAAGGTGTTAGTAACTAAAATCCTTGGTTGTTGGGGTAAAGATTAATATTGGTTCCAGATCTATGCCTGACACTCTATTGCACATACATTAGCTCTTTTAATCCTTATCATTACTCCAGAAAGTAGCAAATGCTTTCCTTGTATTTCAAACGTGGAAACTGGGACTCAGAGAAACTAAACAACTAGCCCAAGGTTCCTCAGTGCTCTATGGGGCCTCAAAGCTAAGGCTCATTCCACCAAACATTTCCACACTCCCTCAAAGGAAGCCTCAGCATCATTCCTCCAGCTCAGGAGAGAAAATGAAAGCCTTTTGTGTGGCAGCCTAGCAACTATTTCCTGATTATTTTCTCTTTAGAAGTAAGATGCTAACCTGGAATAAATGACCCTGATAAGTGAAATATTTTTCTTGCCATATATGGGCCTCGCTGTTCCCTAGTGGTATACACAGAGAATAACAAATCAAATCCTCATTTGTTTCTACTCTGGGGGTGATGGGGAAAGGATGCTGCCTTCCTAGGATGGTATAAATGTATAACTCAATTCAATTTACATTTCTAAAAGGAATCAGCCAAGCACACTTCTGTATTCAGCCTGAATGTGAACAGGTTAGTTCCCAAGGGAATACTTAAAAGAATCTTACAAACAACCCCTAAAGAAATTAGAATGTAAGTGCTATTTTTATGACAACTCTCAAGTGCCCGGGATAAAACCTACAATGTCTTATATCTATTAAGGCAATTTATTACCAGCCAGTTTCACTTACCTAGGTTCTTTAGATTTTTGAAGGACAACTTTCAGTCAGTTTGCCAAAAATATTTCGTCTGAAGCAAAGACTCTTTTTTCCCCGCTCTGAGGAGTGTGGTTACTTAGGTAAGTAATTCACCTCAACTTGAAATGTACTGAAAATAACCTTGCTTAATATTTCAAATCCTTAAAAAAGTTACTAAACATTCACTATAAGTCATGTAGTAGAGCAAGTGATCACTACAGATGTTCCATATATGGAAATAAAATAATAATCATGCCTTCAAATGTGTATAGTATTTTCAAAGCATTGTTATTAATAGTAGCAGCCATATATTGAGTCCTGAACATTTTTAAAAGGTTACTTAATTTAATCATTACAGCTACCTTGATAAGTTGTTGTCATTAGCTTCACCTTAGAACTGCCTTAGAACTGATGGAACTGGTCACATAGCTCATCCTCATAGACAAGCCCAGATTTTAAACCTAGTCCATCTTATTCCTAAATCCATGCTCTTCATCCTGGCCATGTACAACGCTCTCACTTAAAAGACATCATTCCATCTGTTTCTCAGGATAAGCTAGTAGGAGTCATGTGAGAACAAATGATTGTCCCATCTAACAGATAATTGCTCTATGCTGTGTGATTCATGAGAGAAGAAAGACAAATGTCTGGGGCTCCTGACTCCAGGCCTGAGCTTTCTTCCCCAGAATGAACCAGCCACCTGAAATGTGACTTGGGCTAGGTTGTGCTCCTCAAGCTCACTCTACAACCTGCTGCCAGTAAAACTCAGGCCAGAAACATTATGAGTTCTGCAGCTCAACATATTGAACACTTTACAGCTTTCAATTATGAGATACAAAAGGGTGAGAAAACAAGACCACATTTAATCACCCACACAGAAGGACATCATCTACACAATGGAGCCTAAAGGTAATGGGGTATTAGTAAATTGGCTTTCCAAAAAAACAAGCCCTGATGTGTAGGGTTTGCCAATTCCCATTGTGTAAATACTCCCACCATGGCTAACTTTAGGCCACCAATGTGAGGTTACTAGACATGGAAAAAGAAAGAGATGTGTACAATTAGTTCTTGTAAACCAATGGAAACTGGCCCAGCACACTACCACCAAGGCCATTAGAAATCTTTAGGAATTCTGAACCTTTCTCCTGAAAAATCATCTTGTTGAGTTGGCCATCTCCATTATCTTTACAAATGTAAATGTTCTAGGAAGGATGCAGCGGAGTTCCTACAATATTAGATTTAAGGCCAGTGGTCTCCCTGGTGCTAGTTTCTTACAACAAATGAAATAGAAGGTGGGAGGAAAACAGCACCAATAATGAGTAGGAGACATGGGACAGGTATGTTTTACTTGTCAGTAAACGAGTGATCAGACTCAAGAAGGAGACCCCAGGCGTAGAGGCAAAAAAAGACAGACAGACTTGAGAATAGAAGAAAACATCCATTTAAAAAGGGAAAATGCCTAATTGCAAGCAACCAGAACAAGATCTTGGCCCATGCAGTAAGCCTGGGAGTCAAAGCTTCACCAGAGTCACGTTTCAGATTGGCAGACTGAGGAAATCAAGCCTGGACACGTGGGGATTTGTTATCTTGCAGATCAGCCAGGCAGCCTAAATTTTCTCTTTTAAAAAGTACTTTCTTACATTTCCCAGGCTTGCTAGGCCTTCTTGCAGGCATGAGAGCCCCTGACAGAGGCCAAGTGACAACTTCATCATCCCAGAAGGTACAGAAGATTCCCACAAAACAATCACTAAGGACATTCTTTATAATCATGCAACTCCTTTCTAATTTCCTACCCCTTGTCTGGTCCTGACATTTTCCTCTCAGGTAGTTTCTCCATGTCACCCCCATGCCATGGCCACCTCTAGGTGCACAGCAAGTGCACGGTGGATACAGACTCATCCTCTGGACTCTGCCATGTTCAGTTGTTTGGGCAGAAGGGCCAAGATTGAGGAGATCACACTGTGTCTCAGCAGCTTTTTGTTAGTCTAATAGAAACTGTCATGCGTGTCCGTGTGAAGAGACCACCAAACAGGCTTTGTGTGAGCAACAAGTCTGTTTATTTCACCTATATTCAGGCAGGCTGAGTCCGAAAAGAGAGTCAGCAAAGGGTGGTGGGATTATCATTAGTTCTTATACGTTTAAGAATAGGCATACAAAGTACATTCTTAAGGGTAGGGGAGAATATTACAAAGTACCTTCTTAAAGGCAGGGGGCAGCGGTGGGAGAGAATATTACAAAGTACCTTCTTAAGGGCAGGGGAGAATACATGTAGGGTGGGGCAAGAACAAATCACAATGGTGGAATGTCATCAGTTATTGCTTTTTTCACTTCTTTTGTGGATCTTCAGTTGCTTCAGGCCATCTGGATGTATATGTGCAGGTCACAGGGTATATGATGGCTTAGCTTGGGCTCAGAGGCCTAACATTCCTGTCTTCTTATATTAATAAGAAAAAAACAAAATAGTGGTGAAGTGTTGGGGCTGTGAAAATTTTTGGGGGTGGTATGGAAAGAAAATGGGTGATGTTTCTCAGGGCTGCTTCAAGTGGGATTAGGAGTGGCGTGAGAACCTAGAATGGGAGAGATTAAGCTGAAGGAAGATTTTGTGGTAAGGGGTGATATTGTGGGGTTGTTAGAAGGAGTATTTGTCATATAGAATGATTGATGACAGCCTGGATATGGTTTTGGATGAACTGAGAAACTAAACAGAAGACACAAGGTCCGAATAAGAGAAGGAGAAAAACAGGTATTAAATGACTAAGAATTGGGAGGACCCAAGACAACCAATTAGAGAGTGCCCAAGGAGGTTCAGCATAATTACTTGCTTGGTTGGCAAGTTTTTGGGCTCTATCCTTGAGTTTTTTTATGTTGTCATACATCAGGCCAGATTGATTTAGGTAAAAACAACACTCTTCATTTAAAAATATAGAGTCCTCCTTTTTCAGCAGTGAAAGTCAAGGCCTTGGAGGTTTTGGAGGACAACTGCAGCTAAAGAGTCAACTTGGGCCTGAAGGACTGATAAAGTTTGTGATATGTCTGTGATGCTAGCGGAGAGTCATTAGAGAGGCCATGGAAGGTCATGACAGAGGTTGAAATGCCTGCTATCCCAGTACCAAGAGCAATAGTGGAGGCAGAAAGTCCTAAACAGACAAGCAAGGGAATTAGTGGAATAATTCTTTTTTGTTGTGTCAGTGTTATGAGGGGAACAGGAAGCTCTTCAGTCCCATCTGCAAATTGAATTTTGGGAGTAAGGAAAACTAGTGTGCATGTGCCTGTCCAATTTGCATGTAGGTAGAGGATCCACAGAGGAAGAAGAGACCTTGTGCAAGGCAAAACTGGAAATGCAAAGTAAAAAGATGAGAAGGAGTACTAAAAAAGCTGTTTTGTACCCAGACTCCTAGGGATCCAGCTAGGGTGACAGCCATCAGCAGTTGTAATGGGGACTGATGGGATAACTGCATAGAGGTTTGATTTTCATGGTGTGTGAGAAAACGTTGAGTGTCTATGAGCAACCTTTCACTGTTATTTATGGGGCTGGGTATAAGTAAATAAGAAGAGGGCCTGGGAGGAGAGTCTGACGAGCAAGGGGAAGGTAGCCAAGGATGGAGTGAAATACAGGGTAAGTGTCTTCCTAAGCAATAATAACTGCTGATGTTTTTAAGTTTGCCAGTATTGATAGAGGTTTTATCTGTAATATGGAGCTGGAAGCCTCCAACTGTTTCAGTGATGTGTGTAGTTGAACTTTGGAGATGAAGACTGAAGGAACACCGAGAAGATGAAAGGTTACCCAGGGGAATTCCAGTGGGTCTTTGCTGAGAGATACATAAAAGAGTGGCCACAGGAATAGTAGTTTGTGTTCTGAGGGGTCCAAATATGGGGGGAGTAGAGTTGATATAAGGAGAAAGGTTTTTTAAGTAAGTGCGGAGGAGGGTGGCAGCTTGCTGATGTGAAATGTCTGAGGAGGTCTTGCTGGACCTGTCTAGAAAGTAAAGAAGTTCTTCAGGAGGGCAAAGGTGAGGGCGGTTAAAGGAAGTTCGGAGGTGTAGGGAGACAGGAGATGTTCCCAGTCTGTCTGTAAGGCGGGGACAGCTGTATAGGCACAGGAAGAAAGGGAAATGCAAAGCCAGCAATTGTTCACTAAGGAGGGATTAGAAATGGCTAGGAAAGAGTGAATGAGATTGATAGTGTGGTGAAAGTATTGGAGGGTGTCCTGCCACCAAAGATCATCTATCCACTCTAAGAGGGAGTAAAGAGTGGTGGTTTGGGGATAGCACCAGGAGATATTAGCTGTGATGGCTTGGAGAAACAGTGTAAACTGGCAGTGTAAACAAGAGTAGGGCATTTATGAGTAGTTGAGAATGGTGAATAGGAGTATGACTGGACAGAAGACAGTAGGGATGACAAGTTTTGGGGGGTCAGGCCAAGTAGTGGGGGTGACTGCATAAAGTCCTGTTGCAAAAAGTAGGGTAAGGACGAATAGACCTAATAGAATGAAACGATGTATTAGGTTCATAAGAGTTATTACTGTTCTTCAAAAATGTGAGTGAGTTTAAGTGAAGTAGGGGAGAGTACTTGAGACTTCCAGGAGGAAGAGGAGAGATTAGGCTGGCTGTCTGGTGGATACAGCTTTATTCTGGAACAGTAAACCCAGTGGGGAGGATCCTGCAGGCAAACGGCAGTTGGGGTACTACAGATAAGTAGGGTCCGGTCCATTGAGGTTGTAGAGTTTGAGGGGTCAGATTCTTAACAAGAACTGACCATCCAGCTAGGGTGTCTTCATATGGCTGGGAATCTGGAGTAGGCAAGAGAATATTAGCAGCCTGGCAAATTTCCTATCTAGCCTGCTGGAGGACTGGAGGATAGTCGCCTAGAGGGCTGGTGTCTGGGATGAGGTTGGGGGCCAAGCAAGAAAGTACGTCCATGCAAAAGTTTAAATGGACTGTACCCTGTAGCATCTTGAGGACAGGCTCTAATTCTGAGAAGGGCAAGAGGTAAAAGTACTGTCCAGTCCTTTTTAAGTTACAGGCTGAGCTTGGTGAGATGTGTCTTTAAAAGACCATTAGTCTGTTCTACCTTTCCGAAGATTGAGAATGGTAAGGGGTATGAAGTTTCCACTGAATACCAAGAGCCTCAGAAACTGCTTGGGTGATTTGACTAGTAAAGGATGGTCTGTTATTGGACTGTATACAGGTGAGAAGGCCAAACTGAGGAATTATGTCTGACAGAAGGGAAGAAATGACCATGGTGGCCTTCTCAGACCCTGAGAGAAAGTCCTCTACACATCCAGTGAAAGTGTCTACCCAGACCAAGAGGTATTTTAGTTTCCTGACTCGGGGCATGTGAGTAAAGTCAATTTGCCAGTCCTGGACAGGAGCAAATCCCTGAGCTTGATGTGTAGGGAAAGGAGGGGGCCTGAACAATCCCTGAGGGGTAGTAGAATAGCAGATGGGACACTGAGAAGTGATTTCCTTGAGGATAGATTTCCACAGTGGAAAGGAAATGAAAGGTTCTAAAGAGGCAGGCTAGCAACTTGTAACCTACATGGAAGAGGTTATGAAATGATGACAGAATACAATGGGCCTGTGAGGCTGGAAGGGGATATTTTCCTTGGTCTAAGAACCATTTGCCTTGTGTGGGAAGAGATTGATAGGTGGAAGTTTCATGGGAGAGTAGGTGGGAGTGACCAATGACAAGGAGAAAAACTGGCCATGAGGGACAGAAGTTGGAATACTAGCTGCTTCTTTAGCTACCTTATCAGCATAAGCGCTCCCCAGAGCAATGGGATCTGACACCTTTTGATGGTCCTTGCAGTGAATGACTCCAGCTTCCTTTGGAAGTAAAGTGGCCTTGAGAAGAGTTTTTATTAAAGACGCATTAATGATGTAGGAACCCTGTGTAGTGAGGAAACTTCTTTCTGCCCCTATAACAGCATGGTGGTGCAGGATATGGAAGGCATATTTAGAGTCGGTATAAATATTGACACGTAGTCCCTTTTCAAGAGTGACGGCTCAAGTAAAGGCAATGAGTTTGGCTTGCTGAGAGGTAGTGGAGGGGGCAGAGCGGTAGCCTTAATGATAAATGTGAAAGATAATATAGCAAAGCCTGCCTTTGCTGGTGAGTGATGATTAGGCTTGGTGGAACTGCCATCAATAAACCAAGTGTGATCAGGGTGAGGAACAGGAAAGAAGGAAATATGGGGAAATGGGGTGAATGTCAGGTGGATCAGAGAGATACCATCATGGGGGTCAGGTGTGGTATCTGGAATAATGTGGGAGGCTAGATTGAAGTCTGGGCCAGGAACAATGGCAATTGAGGGAGACTCAACAAAGAGTGAGTATAGCTGAAGGAGTCGGGGAGCAGAAAGTATATGTGTCAGGTGTGAGGAAGAAAATTGATTTTGGAAGTTATGAGAACTGCAGAGAGTGAGTTGAGCATAGTTTGTGATTTTGAGGGCCTCTAAAAATTATCCAACCATTCCCAGGAAGGAAAGGAGTTGTTGTTTTGTAGAAGGGGTCAGGGTTTGAGAGATCAGTCAGACACAATCAGCAGGGAGAGCAAGTTTGTTTTCATGAAGAATTATGCCGAGGTAGGTAACAGATGGAGAAGAAATTTGAGGTTTGGAGGGGGATACCCGATATCCCTTGGAGAATAAATGTTGAAGGAGCAGGAGGGTGTCTTGTTGAGAAGATTCAAAGGAGGGGCTCCAAAGTAGAAGTTCATCAATATATTGAATAAGGTGAGAAGTGGAGGGGTGGAAAGAAAGTAAATCATGAGAAAGAGCTTGGCTGAAGTAATGAGGGCTACCCCTGAAGCCTTGTGGCAGTACAGCCCAGGTAAGCTGCTGGGACTGATGGGTGTCAGGGTCATCCCAGGTAAAAGCAAGGAGTGGCTGGGACAAGGGGTGCAGGGGAATAGTGAAAAAAGCATCTTTAAGATCAAGAACGGAATAGTGAGTTGTGGAGGAAGGTATTGAGAACAAAAGGGTGTATGGGTTGAGCACCACAGGGTGGATAGGCAAAACAATTTGGTTGATAAGGTGCAGATCCTGAACTAACCTGTAGGACTTGTCCAGTTTTTGGACACGTAAAATGGGAGAATTGTAAGGAGAGTTTATAAGTTTTAGAAGTACATGCAGTGGCAGGTGAGTGATAACAGGCTTCAATCCCCTTAAAGCCTGTTGTGGGATGGGATACTGGCATTGAGCAGGATAAGGGTGATTAGGTTTTAATGGGCTAGTAATGGGCATGTGATCGGTTGCCAGGAAAGGGAGTAGAGTTGTCCCATATTTGTGGGTTAAGGTAGGGGGATATGAGAGGAAGATGCAAAGGAGGCTTTGGGTTGGGAAGAAGGGTGGCAATGAGATGTGGCTGTAGTCCAGGAATAGTCAGGGAAGCAGATAAATTGGTTAAAATGTCTCAGCCTAATAAGTGAACTGGGCAGGTGGGGATAACTAAAAAAGAGTGCATAAAAGAATATTGTCCAAGTTGGTACCAGAGTGGGGAAGTTTTAAGGGGTTTTGAAGCTTGGCCGTCAATACCCACAACAGTTGTGGGGGCAAGGGAAACAGGCCATTGAAAAGAAGGTAATGTGGAGTGGGTAGGCTCCACATTAAGAAGGGGACGGACTTACCCTCCACTGTAAGAGTTACCCAAAGCATCTGTGATGGTCCAGGAAGCTTCTGAGGTGATTGGGAGATTAGTCTTCAGTCACTAAGCCAAGAAGATCTGGGAGGGAGTCAGTCAGAAAGCCTTGGGCCAGAGTTCTAGGGGCTCTGGGAGTGGCTGCCGGGTGAGTTTCAGTGGACAGTCTGATTTTCAGTGGGGTCCTGTGCAGATGGGACACGGCTTAGAAGGAATCCCGGACTGCAGATATTCCTTGGCCCAGTGGCCAGATTTCTGGCACTTGAAGTAAAATCCTGATGGAAGAGGTCTTGTAGGAATGCTTGACCACTGCGGTGTATGCATTTTGAAGTTCTTGTGTGCTGGAGATGTGGCTGGGGTTTCTTTCACAGTGGAGGCAAGGAATTGCAACTCAGAAATATGTTGCCACTTGGCTGACTCTACTCTATTATTGTATACCTTGAAGGCGAGGTTAATTAAGTCCTGTTGGGGGGCTTGAGGGCCAGAATCTAATTTTTGGAGCTTTTTTAATGTCGGGAGTGGATTGGGTAATAAAATGCATGTTGAGAATAAGACGGCCTTCTGACCTTTCAGGGTCTAGGGCTGTAAAGCATCTCAGGGATGCTGCCAAACGAGCCATGAACTGAGTTGGGTTTTTATATTTGATGAAAAAGAGCCTAAATGCCAATTGATTTGGGAGAGGTCGGATAAAGAAAAAGGAGCATTAACCCTGACTATGCCTTTAGCTCCAGCCACCTCTTTAAGAGGAAATTTTTGGGCAAGTGGGAGAGGGCTAGTCGTGGAACGAAAGTGTAAGCCAGACCGGGTGTGAGGAGGGGAGTTGATAGAAGGATTATAGGGTAGGGGGAGTGGAGGCTGAGAAAGAATTGGAGCCTGATTCAGCCTGGCAGGGAGTGACCCGAGGTGGAGCAGTCTGGGGATGAGGGGAGAGGTCAGATGGGTCTGTAGAAAAGGAAGATTGAAAAGACACAGTGATGCTTGGGGTTGGGACTGAGGGGACAGGCAGGAGGGAAACAAGGAGGATTTGGGACGAGTCACATTGAGAACAGAGACTAGAGAGGGACTGATGTGTAAAAGAATGCCTGGACATCAGGCAGCTCAGACAGTTTGCCCATTTTACGACAAGAATTATCTAGATCTTGTTGGATGGAAAAATCAAAAGTGCCACTTTCTGGCTATTTGGAACCACTGTCGAGTTTGTATTGGGGTTAAGCAGCATTGCAGAAGAAAATAAGGCATTTAGGTTTTAGGTCAGGTGTGAGTTGAAGAGGTTTTAAGTTTTTGAGAACACAGGCTAAGGGAGAAGAAGGAGGAATGGACGGTGGAAGTTTGCCCATAGTGAAGGAGGCAAGCCCAGAGAAAAGAGAGGGTAGAGACACAAAGAGAAGGAGTGGGGTGTGCTTGCCCCCCAGGAAAGTGGTGCTTGCCACTAAGGGTGAAGGATCAAAGCAGGCATCCCCACTGTGATCAGACACCTCTGAAACGTGGGTGAATAATCAAGCAGGCATCCCTCCAGTGATTAAACACCAAGGGAAGACTGTCTTCCTGAATCCATGACCAGTGCCGGAGTTTTGGGTTCACGGATAAAACGCATCTCCTCTGTCTCTACCAGAAAAGGAAATGAACTGAAATTAAGACAAGGGAGAAATGAAGGATGGTGCCAAGATTGAAAGGAGAAAGAGATTGAGGGATACTGAGAGAGGCTGGAGAAGAGAGTAAAAAGAGGCTGCTTACCCGATTTAAAATTGGTGAGATGTTCCTTGGGCTGGTTGGTCTAAGGACCCAAAGTCGTAGGTGGATCTTTCTCATGGAGCAAAGAGCAGGAGGACAGGGGATTGATCTCCCAAGGGAGGGCCCCCAATCCTAGTCACGGCACCAAATGTCACGCACATCCATGTGAAGAGACCACCAAACAGGCTTTGTGTGAGTAACAAGGCTGTTTATTTCACCTGAGTGCAGATGGGCTGAGTCCAAAAAAAAGAGTCAGCAAAGGGTGGTGGGATTATCATTAGTTCTTACAGGTTTGGGATAGGCATACAAAGCACATTCTTAAGAGCGGGAGAGAACATTCCGAAGTACCTTCTTAAGGGTGGGGGAGAATATATGTATCAGTTAGGGTGGGGTGGAAACAAATCACAATGGTGGAATGTCATCCGTTAAGGCTATTTTCACTTATTTTGTGGATCTTCAATTGCTTCAGGCCATCTGGATGTATAACGTGTAGGTCACAGGGGTATGATGGCTTAGCTTGGGCTCAAAGGCCTGACAGAAACTCTGGGCAAGTAACCATGATTTGATGACAGAAGATAGAGAAAAAGGAGAGGCAACAAGAGAAGAGAATAAATGACTCAGTTTGCTTTTTTCCTTACATGTCTGACATGCAGTCTCTCCACCCTCTGGAGAACCCGAGACCCCATTCATTTGTCAGCCCTCCTTCCCTAATAGCCTGGGCGTCTCCTTCCTAGAAGTTACTATTTCCAAAAGAGGGCCTAATACCATCACCTCCAGAGCAGATGGTCACTAATTGCCACAAGTAAACAAACATAGACTACAACAGATACATCTTGTAGCTTTGAATATCATTAATTTTCAAGAACACCAGGGGTACCCATCCCCAATTAGTGGAGCATGTGAAGCTGGGAGCAGAACTGAGGGAGCCATGCCAGGCAGGCCATGCTGGGGGCCAGACTCCCATCCTGCAGGCCTCAGACCCGATAGGAAAAATTCAGGAAGCCACTTAACCTTGTTGCCTTGTTTTCTCATCTGTAAAACAGTAGGTAATAAAATCTTTCAGCTTCCTCACTGGGTTTTATGTGAGTGAACTAATTAATGATTGTATAAAACCTAATACGATGCAACATGTAATTGAAAAGTTTAATCATCAAGGTAATAGTCCAATAATAGTAGGTTGCAAAGTAGTGATAAATAGTGCTTTTAAAATGCAGCTATTACCATTTTGATATTTTCTCTCTGATCTGCATTTTCAAATTAGAAGCATATATAATTTCAGTTTTATTTCCATTTTTATAATATTGTTTAATTCCTACAAAGCTGCTTCCTCTGTTGTTCTCACTGTGATATTTCAGGCAAATAGAGAATCGCCGTAGATTCCACTAATAACTAGATGTTCCAATTAAAAGTTCTTATGCCCAGGAGTCCTAATGCCAAACTAGTTGGTCAAGAATCTGCCTACCTCTTACACAGCTGGAGAACTAACTCTTCATTTTCCAAATTAGATAAAAAGAAATCTTCACAGTCATAATTTCTTTGCCCTTTGACCTTGTTGCCATTCTAGTAAGTTCATATTTTGCCTTTCCTGACTCCTCAGCCTTTGCACAAGCTGTTTCCGCCGCCTAAAATGCCCTATTGCCTCCTTCATAGAAATGCTTCTTTCTAGAGAATTCCTACTCCTTTTGCAAAAAGTAAACTAAGCCTCGTTCTGTGACACTTTCCCTGACACCTCTGAGAAAACCTAGGATTCTCTCATCTCTGCAATCCCTTTTGCACCTACAGGTCCCTCCATTATTGAAATTTTCACAGTGTATTGTTTTGGGTTGTCAAGTATTTGTTCCCTTAATAGATGCTAACCAATTTAAGAACGAGAATTGTCTCTTCTAAATTGCACCTCTTCCTTTCCCAGTACCATGAAGGGCACAATGTAAGTGTTCAATAAATTTTTTGGTAGTGATAAGCATAAATTTATTAAGTGCATTATTAATTATGGCCCTATGTCATTATATATTTTCTCATTTAGTAACTATTTTGTCTCATGTGCATCTGAAAAAATGTGGTTTTAAGAAATATTCTCACATTTGATATAGTTAAGGACTGCCTCATGCTCAAAATTCATAGCTTTACAAAAAAGTTTTCTGTGAATTGGTGCCTGCCTATTTTTCTAACCTCAAAACCTATCACTGCCCTCAAGACAACACCTACTGCAATTGCACCAGACTTCTTGTAGCTTCCTGAATCATCCCTGCTGCATCATGCCTGTGCCCGCGAGCCTGTCATTCTGGAATGGCCTTTCCACTCTGCTTGATAAGCTCCTACTCATCCTTCAATTTGGTTATCATCTCCTGTCTGTGGATGCCCTTGACAGTTTATGCCCCACCTTACAAATGGGTGCTTTTATTCTTTGTACTTCCCAGGGTCTTTACAAACCACTGCCTCACTTATCTCAATATCCTAAGTGCATATGTATATACCTCCTCCCCTTCAAGCTGGGAGCTCCTTTCAGATAAGGACAGTGTTTGATTCTGACTTGAAAGAGCAGATCTTATTGCAAAGCCTGACACACAGTTAAAGCTCAATTAGTAGTTGTCAAATGAATGAATGAATTGGTAATAGCTCTACCTATTATACAGGCTGACTGAAGGAGATGAAAATTGCAGAGTCCTTATTGTTTACTCTTTAACTACAAGACATCAAATTTTGTATTTCTCTTGGTTTATTGTAAGATATATTGGAATAAATATTGAACATATTTTTACTAAATTTACATTGTTTTCCTAGGACAAAAATATGTCTGTGCATCACTCTTGCTTTATTTATTATGCCCTCAAACATCCCCCTATACAATCTCACATTACCCTCTGTCGGCCCATGTTTTAGACTCATTCCCCAGACTGTCTTAAGAGTTATTTCTTGCCTGCACAACTCCATCCTATAAGAGGAAATTTCCCAACCACACATCAAATCTGTCTATCTTATTCGTGGCTGAGAGAGCTTGGAGGAGAGTAAGTGATTGTGAGTATTCCAGAGTAAACTCAGTACATGTTAAAGTTTACAGAATCCTAAAGATTGAGAAGAGATTTATGGCTTGGATAGGAGTTAAAAATCTACTATTTTACCATACTTTTCTAATCCATACAATTTTGGGAAAAATCATTTTTGCACCAAGAACTACAGACTAATAACTTTTTCTATTTATTTTACTGAAGCATTTTATGTTCAGCTCAGAAATGACTGCTCATCAAAACTAAGTGCAAGCATTGATGATAAAATCTCCTAGAATTTTTACACAGAAAACCAGAAACTGAAAGCATTCCTTTACATATGGTAAAGAAAAATGTGCAATCTTCATTTTCAAGGCTGAAGAGAATTTGAAACATATATATTTACACATATATACATAAACATATATATACATATACATTACACATTTATTTTTGAATCAAGATAAGTCTATTACCATCATCATCATCTCATCATTATTATCATTATCATCAACTAGCACTTACTGAGCACCATTTATTAATTGTTCACTGGACTAAATGGCATTTCCCTTGCCAGAGACTGACAGAATTGAATAAAGATTTGTGGATTCTCTGAAGGAAGGGCCAAGGGGCACTTCTTAAATAAATCTCTTAGGTGTTGTTATCACCATAATCTAGAGACTCTCAGCCAAATCTCCACAGAGAAAATTAGAGTCAAACTCCTTTGATGTCTTGTAAAAGAAAAAAATCCTTGCTTTGTCATTGAAAAAAAACACAACCTATCACTTATTAATAAACACCTCAGAAGATCATCTAATAGGGTCAAGCCATAGACTTCTTCTGTCTTGTAGTGCTTCTCATGTCTATGTTAAATAGGCTGTGGAACCCTCATCTTCTAAGGAATACCGTTTTTACCCCCTGCTAGTAAAAACACTTACACTGGATCCACTGAGACATGCCTGATGTGGCTCACAGAGGCTGAGTTGATTGTGCTATTGTACGTTTTGGTGGCTGGTCCTTTTAGGAGAGAAAGCTCATAATCACTTCACAATAGTTTTACCCCATGGGATTTTTATCTAACTTATTTCCTGATCAAGGGAATTTTCTTAAGCTAGACTGAAGAACTTTGCAGAGGAGAAGAGAACCACTGCTTATAGTTATTTTCTTTGTTTTTTGTTTTTGTTTTTGAAAGAAAGTGACTTTTAGAAGCAAAATTATAAAGTTAAGCACAGTCCTTTTTCAACCCTGATTTGCTTATTCCATGTTCTCTTCCTACTGAGCTATTTCTTTCTTTCTCCCCTGTATCCTTCTTCCTACCTCCATACTTCTCAAACAATGCTCTTAGTGGAGATGCTCATACCACTCAATTACAGCTTTCTGTGAATTTAGCTCACAGTTATCTCTGTAAAAGGATTGTTTAAGTCTCCTTTTAAACATAACCCTGGCATGCTTTGAATTCTGCTAAAAATATTTCATATAGCAGTGAATGAATAAGAACAAAATCTTTTGCAATCAAAATTAGGTTTCTAACTTTTCTACCTAAATTAGTTCTGCTTAGATTAAGTAGCAATTTTTTGGGCAGACATGGTGGCCCATGCCTGTAATCTCAGCACTTTGGGAGGCTGAGGTGGGATGATCACCTGAGGTCAGGAGTCTGAGACCAGCCTGGCCAACATGGCGAAACCCCATCTCTACTAAAAATACAAAAATTAGCCGGATGTGGTGGAGCATGCCTGTGATTCCAGCTATCTGGGAGGCTGAGGCAGGAGAATCACTTGAACCTGGGAGGGGGAGGTTGCTGTGAGCTGAGATCACACCACTGCATTCCAGCCTGGGCAACAGAGTGAGACTACGTCTCAAAAAAAAAAAAAAAAAAGTAATATTTCTATCACTACTAGCCACCTGGAGTACATTAGTCATGCTGTTCTCTCCTTCCTACCCTTTGGTAAGGAAGTCATTCCACCTGTGGCAGAAACAGGATAACCTATGCTTCTCCCTCCTGCTTAGAGGGTATGGATGGTCTTGAACTCTAATTCTTCCAAATAAGGTTGTGTTGGTGACTGTTCATCAGACTAAAATGCAAGCATGCTGAAATGTTCCATATGCTTCTATCCAATATTTTATTTGTAACCTGCATAAGAGATGTAAATAAAACTGACTTTTATCTTGATTCAGTCACTCCTCAGTTAATCACAAATGCATAGTTTAACATGAAATTCAATTTATACTTCTGACTTATCACTGCACAGTGTTAGATTATGTTAAAGAAATTTGATTGAATCTTAACAAGTGCCTCAATGTGTGTTTTTTTAAAAATATAGTTATTTCTCTCATAAAACTTTAAACAAAAACTGAAGCATATAAAGTTATGAGATATATTTAATTATGTGGTTCTTGAAATAGGCTATGAATATTGTTCCCCATGGTAACATTCATAAATATCAGATATTTGAAGTTTTAGTGGAATAAGTGTGTGGCTACCCTTGCTGAGTACTTATATAAAAAGAATATTGATTTGGATTATGAATTCAGTAACTTAAAATCATAAGAGTGTTGGCATTGGAAGGAAGGAGACCTTAGAGATATTGCTGCTAGTATATTAGAACCTGTCTGAAGCATTCTTTCAATAAATTTGAAGAAATTCTCTATCATTCCTATGGGCACTTAAGTTAATGGAATAAAGATTCTTATATTTTTGGTGCAACATTTAATTTCCCTAGGGGTAATATTTTCGGCTAGTCATTGGCATCAAAACTTTAATTTGCAATTCTTTAAGCATAAACTCATTATTACACGTTACACATATGATAATAATGAGAATTACAGCCTTCAGAAATGACGCTTACATCATTGCACCTTTTTTCTCACTGTCATTCCTTCATCAACAAGTATTTATTAGCACTACTGTGTACCAGCCATTATTTTGGGTGCTGCAGATTACAGTTATGAACTTTGTAGGCAAGAATTCTGTTTGCAGAGCTTACACTTTTTCAAGGGAGCCATATTACTATAAGCAAGCAAAAAATGAATGAATGAAGAATAAAACACTTTAAGATAGTAGAAGTTTTAGGAAGAAAATAAGGCAGTGGGATGTGATAGAAAATGTATGGCACTTTTATAGATAGTTTTTTGAGATCATGAAAGACCAAAAAAAAAAAAAAAAACTGTGCAAAGCTATGAAAGAAGATTATGGCAGGTGGAGGGATCAACTAGTACAATATCTCTGAATATAGTGTGTATAGGATGCAGAAAGAGGATAGGCATTTGTGAGTGAGCCAATCCTCCTCTTCCCAGGGTTTCTTTCACCTTTTCCCACTGTACTGCATCTGTTCAGGCCCATTCCCTTGGACTTTGCTCTGTTCTCATCAATCTCATGGTCTTCTTACTTTCAAGCTCTGTTCATTCCTTATTGACACTCAAATGTCTTTCTATATCAGAGTTCTATTTCCCTTGTCCTGAACAAAGACTGCTTGTAAACCAAAACCCTCAGGCTTATCTCCCATAGCCTCCGTCATCTGGCTCCAACTCGTAATGCTTCCACTCATATGTCCCCTACTGCAAATGCACAGTGCTATTTCTCAACCTAATGTGTTTGTTCAGATCGTTCTCAAACAGCCACCTTGCATATCTCCTTCCTAATTCTGTTTAAATGTTCAAATCCTGCCTATACTTTAAGCTATATACTTAAGACACTAAGATCTAATACTAAACTTTACCTCAAAATCTTCACTGTTTATTATAGCCCGAAATATCTCAATTTTCTTTCAAAGTCTATGGCAATTCCTATCTGTATAATTTATTTGTTCATTAATTAAGTTCTGCTTTGTAATACCTTTTCTTTTATTAACAATTAATATTATTTACTTTCGATCCTTATTTATCTGTTTACCTGGTTGTTTTTGGTCTCTCCAACTAATTGTGAATATTTTGAGAGAAAAACCATGTTTCATGTTCCTTCCATTATCTTATCCCAGCCCAATGCTAGGGACATCATAGGTGCTCAGTCACTGCTTATGATTTAAGCTCAGCTGAACATAACTCTGTCTGACTGAATACACGGAGGAATGATTTTGATGGACTTGCCTCTAATCTGGCAGTTCCCTTCTTCAACACTCATATAAAAGGAATGAGTTATTACGGTATATGCTATACTAAAATATAAAGTCTCTTCAATTCTTGCTCCAAGCCCTTTCCCAGGAATATTTGTGAAATGTACATTAGCTCTCAACTCTATTGACTCAGAAACAGAAAATCTCAGGAGGTAACACAACACAGGCAAATTAATGATTTGTGAGTGATGAATGGAATGGCACTGAAATAGATGAGAGACCCCAAGGAAAGCTGTCTAGCCAGCATGGAATAGGAGTAACAAAGAAACAAATCCATTTTAAATAAATGTCATACCTCCTATAAAATCCTGCGAAACCAAGAACAACCAACACTGCGAACTACTTGCTGATGCCAGTCTTGCTAATGGTATAATTTTCCTAAAAAAAAAATGAAAGAAAAAAGAAAATTTTATGAACTAAAGGGTAATATGTGGAATCTTTGATTTTTGACTATGGATATAATTTAGTGTAGTCACTTATTTTAAAATGAGGAAATTGAGCCTAGACTAGGAGAATCGCTTGCAGAGATGACCCTGGTATGGATACACTGCTCCCTATATCATTGCTGCCTGAGGGAGAGAGGGGCTATTTCTAGTGCAAAGTGGCAGTTGCAGGGACTGGTTTCTATTGTCAGCCTCTTTGCTGTGACCAGAACTTTCTCATGAGCACCCTCACTTCAGGTCATGAATAACTCTTAAGAGGCCTGAATCCTCTCACTCCCAATTCCTCCTTGGCCAATGGAAGGACTAAGTTGAGGAAATCAGGAGGCCGTCTCAACCTACCACCTCATACTCCCATATACTCCCAGCACCCTTGTTCATATCCTGCCTCTTCTCTCAACTCCACATTGCTTGGTTCTTCCTCTCTCTTTTTTTTTAATTTAAAATTTGTTTTTTTGAGATGGAGTCTTGCTCTGTCACCCAGGCAGGAGTGCAGTGGCGTGATCTCGGCTCACGGCAACCTCTGCCTCCCAGTTCAAGCGATTCTCCTGCCTTAGCCTCCTGAGTAGCTGGGATTACACACGCCCACCACCACACCCAGCTAATTATTATTATTATTTTTTTGTATTTTTAGTAGAGGCAGGGTTTCACCATGTTGACCAGGCTGGTCTTGAACTCCTGACCTCAAGTGATCCTCCTGCCTCAGTCTTCCAAAGTGCTGGAATTACAGGGATGAGCTACCATACCTGGCTGGTTCTTCCTCTTTCCAGGGACCCTCATCTTCATCTCTTTTCAACCACAAGCATTTCCATGAAGGCACCTGGATCTTCTCTTCCATGGTAAACCCCTTTATCTTCAACTGCTTCCTGAATTGTTTTGCCCCTTCCAGGCCTCAACAGATATCTAGAAGTGCCTGAAGGATACAAATTGTAATAAATGCATCTCAAATGAAAATTTCTTTTTCTCCTTCATTTTCCTTGCCTCTAGGTCAAAGAAATGGTTATCATTCTCATTACTCTCTCTCTAGTGATTTTTCCAGAACATTTCTATTTAGACCTCAGTAAGAAAAATAAGAAAGAAAAAGACATCTTGCAGCTCTTTCTACCTAATCATATAATTTGAATACCTCCTCATCACTAATACCTACCATGCTTCTGGTCATTCATCCTTCTTCATTGCTTCCTTTAGCTTAAAGCACACTACCCTTTGGCCCAGCTCCATTTCTGTCTTCACCCTAGGTGCCCTCAGTACCCCTTGTGTTAAGCCACTGTACAATTGGTAAATTCCTCTCTGTGTTTTTATCACCAGTGCCTCCCCAACCCTATTTCTGCCATCCACCCACTGCCCTCACCCTAAACTTCGCTACCATCCAGTGTTATTTTACTTCTGAAACATTTCGTTTAAATTCGGCTCTCACATAACTGAATTGCCCAACAATAGGAAATGGCTAAATTATTGTCATTGCATAATACAGGATATCATGCAATTATTTATACAAACGAGGTAGATAAAAATATGCTGATATGAAAGTTTTCTAAAACATATAGTTAGATGAAAAAAGTCAATTAACAACGTATCTTAATGGACTTTTATCAGAATATTACAATCCATTTTTGTGCAAATAAATCATTTACAGCTATGTGTATGTATAAATGCATAGGAATTTTCCAAAAGGATAAATAAACTGCTAAGAGTGATTTCTTTGGGAAAAAGGTTAATAATGAGGACAATAAGGAGATATTTTAATGTTTCATTCTTTGTAGTTCTGTATGTCCTGAATTGCTTTCAATAAGTATGTATGTATACATTATTTGTAGAATTTTTAAATGTACATATATGAAAAAAACTCTTTACCACAATCTTTATCTTTCTTATACTCTGTTACTCTCTTTACCTATATCTTGACATTATTGAGAATTTCTGGGGTTTGACACTTTTTTATCGCCTCATGTCTTTCTTTCTTGGACTCTCTTAGTTACCATTTTCTGATCACTGCAACAATCTTACCATAATTTTTAAATTTTTGCCCCAGTTTTCCTTTATTACATCTACCCAGTATTATTCCACCTCAAGGTAGAGTCAACCATCCACTTTATCTACATTCAAGCTAATACCACCACATTTCTCTGGTTTACTTCCTACATAGATGCCTCCTCTAAATGCATTACAGGTTATTTTTCTCTACCTGTGCCTATAATGTTAGGGTTTCTCAGGGTTTTGCATGAAGACTTCTTTCGTCATTCTTCATGCTCTTCATAGTAGATTTAATTTAATTTTGAGGCTTTAAAAAAAACCCTAAAAAACTAAAGCTTAGTAATAATTCCTAGTCTTTACTTCATCTCATGCCTCTCTACTTTGTTCCAAACTCATATGTCAAGGTGACAAGTTGTGATTCTCATGAGTTCCTCAAACTCAATATGTTCAAGATCACATCCTTCTTTCTTTACTTGGATACTTGTTACAACTATCTCGAGGAATGAACCCATCATGCCACAACCTGTGTTTTTGATTTGAATTATTATTCTTTCCTGGTCTTTATATTCATTCGTTCACCTAGTCTACTAATTCTACCCCCTAAATAATTCTCAAAATTCTTGTTTCAAGCCATCATCATCACCTGCCTAGATATTGCAATGGTCTCTTGTCTAGTCTTTCTAACTTCTGCTTTTTTCCCTCTAGTTCATTTCTCATAAAGCCTAACTGACCTTCCTGAGATGCAAATCTCATCATGTCACTTCTCTGATGAAAACGATTTAATGATTTCCCCAACAAAAACAAGTTCAAAATTCTTTATAGGACTAACAACACCCTTCACAAGGCACTACGGGCTATCTCTTCAGTTCATGTACATTTGATTCACCCTTTGCTATCCACGATGAATCCATAATGAGTCCTTCAAAATTTTGTGTTTTCTTTTCCACCTCCATGGCTTTACCAACTCTGGCCTTCTCCCTGGCCTGCTCTTCCACCATTCTGCATTGAGCAAATTTCTATCCTCCATTCTAATACCAAATTAGAGGTAATTTCTCCCTCTAGATCCCAAAGGACATTTATATATTATTTTACCATGATTTTTGTCACTCTGTATTTTAACCGATTCATTTGTCTGTTTCATCTACTGAAGTATGAGCAAATTCCTGGGGAGTCAGGACAAGGTAATTTATTATAATATACAGGGTTTGATACATGGTGGGAATATGGTATCACGCAAATGCCAATGGCTCCTGAACCTATTGCTTCAACTGCGTTCTCTACTTTAGTCTTAATGCCCATGACTTATACTGTCTACTGAACTTTCCCACCTCAGTAATATAAGTTTATATAACTGCATGTGATAAGAGTTTAACACATCTAAAATATATACTCCTTATGACCCAACCTTTTCAAATAACCTGCTCTGCCTCCCAAAATCCAATTTTTGCTGAATTTCCCCAACATCCCCCCAACACCATCCTTCTCGTGGGCCCCTCAGCCTTTATCTTGTTCTTCTCAGGTCCAGGTTAGTCTATTTTTTTCTATTGAGAATTTCAGTAATGCATCCTTTTTTCTTCTCTCTGTACTTTCTTGGTTATCATTGCAACTTTGCAACAACTCTCTTGGAGAATGTAAACATAATCTCCTTTAATAACTAAATTTGTACAATTTTCTTCTGGCTATTGGTACTAAATTCAATTACAATATTCATTACCAAGATCACTTTTTAAGATAATGTAGATATTTTGAGTTATGATCCTCTTGGTTCACATTGGGAAAAGGCTGTTATCCTGATGTTCTTAAATAGGCCATTTTTCTTATTTCTCATGATGTGATTAAATAAAGATTTATCAACATCAATCAATTAATGTAACTGGACAAGGAGTAAGAATAGATACCTATCACATAATACCACTGTCTGCAGGGGTTAGCAGTCAATTGGCCACGGCAACAACCCCTAAAAACCAGTTAGCAGAGTAATCTTCCAATAGAATTGTTCCGATGGGAATGTAGTTGTTTCCTTGCACTCTGCTAATTAGTGACCCTGTATTTAATAATTTTAGAATACAAAATATAAATCTAAGTAAAAATTCTATCAATGCATTTTCTTGAAAAAATTTATGTGTTCAGAATGTTGGAAAAAAACACATTGTTTTCAAGCCCCTCCCTGAATATCTTTTTTAAAATATAAAATGTTGTGGAGACAGTGTTGATTAGATGCCAAGATTCTTAATTTTTGTCCTAATTGTTGCTAATTCTCTGTGTGATTTTGGAACTGTTACTTCTAACATTTACTTTTTGTTTCTTCTTTAAAATGAGAGGTTTGTATAAACTAAACATATCTTTAATATCTTATTTTATTTAGTATTTGTATTTAGTATCCCGCACTCATTTTCATTACTGGCTCTACAAATATACTGAGAGTTAATTTTGACAAACTTCAGTCAAGTCAACCAAGTAATTAATCAATCAGGGGCTGGCACCTTGACTTAGTTTACTGTAATTAGAGTCAGCTTGTTAAGATGTACCAGTATTTAAATAATATTCAAAAATTGTTTAATATGAACATGAAAGAAAGGACTCATTATTCTCATCAAAAGCATGTTCACACCTCAAGTAAATGTTTTCATTTTCATTGAGCACAGAATAGTATTCAGTCCTTAGCCTCACATTGGACAGTAATCAGATACATTTGTTATTAGTATTTTATGAATTAGTATTGTGAGAATAAAAGTTTTGCTTTATAAATTACTGTCCTGTCATGTCACTAGTTGACCTATATTATTACAAAACCACTGTCAATTATTACAAAAGAATTATGAGAAGATTATAAAACAGGATATGGCCAAACATAGTACTAGCTTTTAAAAAATGAGGAGAAGTAAATTAATGTTTATTGAACATATGCAATGGATCAAACCTTTTACATGTATTATCTCAATTAAATATAAGTCTTCTAAAAAGCATGACTTTATAGAGGAAATGAAAGATAGAATGACTTGAAATAGAGGTTATGACTTGTACAAGTGGAAGATACAAAATTTAAGACAAGTTCTGCCTAAATTGCAAAGCCACATATTCTTTAAAAGCAAAAAACTGATAGTAAAATAAAAAGTAAATGATAGTAAATTGAAAAGAGGCCTGGAGGCCTAGGAGGTTCTATATTCTATTGAACAGAGAGTTTAATATTAATTTCTGTCAAATTTTCAAAAAGTATTATTTTATGACATTTATGTCGTTTTTGATGTGTCTGTTGCAATGGCAAAACTGATGTATTGATTTATTATATTCTGATGTCAGAAAAACAAGCCCCTCATGACATATTTTTTGACAAGATGAAAAATCATAAATAGATGGATAATATCTGATTAAACAATTGTACACCCCAAAATGTTAATTGATGGATGTGTCATATAGTAGTTTATAAATCTGATTTAATAAGTACACACATGCACACAAACACACACACACACATACACTTACTATGGGAATGTGATCTGAATGCTCAGTATGTAGGTTATCAACTGTTCCTGTTTTCCTGGGAATGGAAAGCATTTCCAGGACAAGGTGTTTCCAGTTCTAAAATGGGAAAATAAAGATTTTCCATTTTTATAGACAAACAGGAACAAGTTGGCCACCTGATATAGTTTGAATTTGTGCTCCTGCCCAAATCGCATTTGGAATTGTAATCCTCAATATTGGAGGAGGGGGCTCATGGGAGGTAATTGGATCATGGGGGCAGATATCCTCCTTGCTGTTCTCATGATAGTGAGTGAGTTCTCACAAGATTTTGTTGCTTAAAAGTGTGTGGCACCTCTCCCCTCTCTCTCTTCCTCCTTCTCTGGCCATGTAAGACATGCTTACTTCCCCTTCACCTTCTGCCATGATTGTAAATTTCCTGAGGCCTCCCAAGCTGTGCTTCCTATACAGCCTGCAGAACTGTGAGTCAATTAAACCTCTTTTCTTTATAAATTACTCATTCTCAGGTATCTTTATAGCAATGTGAGAACTGACTAATACAGAAAATTTGTATTGGAAAGTGGGGCATTGCTATAAAGATAACTGTAAATGTGAAAGCAACTTTGGAACTGGGTAATGGGTAGAGGTTTGAACAGTTAGGAGGGCTCAGAAGAAGACAAGAATATGAGGGTAAGTTTGGAACTTCCTAGAGACTTGTTAAATTGTTGTGACCAAAGTGCGATAGTGACATGGACATTGAAGTCCAGGCTGAGGTGTTCTCAGATGGATATAAGGAACTTATTGGGAACTGGAGTAAAAGAAACTTTTGCTAAGCTTTAGCAAAGAGACTGGTGGCACTCTGTTCCTGCTCAAGAGATCTGTGGAACTTTGAACTTGAGAGTGGTGATTTAGGGTAGCAGGTAGAAAAAAATTTCTAAACAGCAAGCATTCAAGATTTGGCCTGATTCCTTCATGTATGGTCATATATATGAGCAAAGAGATTATCTAAAACTGGAATTTATATTTCAAAGGGAAGCAGGGAATAAAAGCTTAGGAAATTTTTAGTCTGACCATGTAGATTTCCTCTCCCCATTTTTGGGAGAGGAATTCAAATCACTTCAGAAATTTGCATAAGTAAAGGGGAGCTGAATGTTAATAGCCAAGAAAATGGGGAAAATGCCTTGAAAGCATTTCAGAGAACTTTGTGGCAGCTCCTCCCATCACAGGCCTGGAGGCCTAGGAGGGAAGAATGGTTTCCAGGACCAGGCCTATAGCCCTGCTGCCCTATGCAACTTCAGGACACTGGTCTCTGTAGCCCAGCTGCTCCAACTCTAGCTGTGACTAAAAGGGCCCCAGATATGCCTCAGGCTTCTTCTCCAGAGGGTGCAAACCATAAGCCTAGGCAGCCTTCATGTGGTGTTAAGCCTGTGAGCAGGCAGAAGGCAAAAGTTGATGCTTGGGAGCTTCCACTTAGATTTCAAATGATGAAAGGAAAAACTTGGATGTCCATGCAGAAGTCTGCGGCAGGGATGGAGCCCTCATGGAGAACCTCTACTAGGGCAGTGTGAAGGAAAAATGTAGGGTTGAAGCCCCAACACAAAGTCCCCACTAGAGAATTGCCTAGTGGAGCTGTGAGAAGAGGGTCACCATCCTCCAGACCCCAAAATGATAGATCTACCTACAGCTTGCACCATGTACCTGGAAAAGCCACAGGCACTAAATGCCAGCCTTTTAAAGCAGCTGCAGGGGCTGTACCCTGCAGAGCCACAGGGACAGAGCTGCAAAAGTCCTTGAGAGCCCACCCCTTGCAACAGTGTGACATGGGTGTGAGACATGGAGTCAAATGAGATTATTTTGGATCTTTAGTATTTAATGACTGCCTTGCTTGGTTCCAGACTTGCATGGGGTTTGTAGCCCTTTGTTTTGGCCTACTTCTGCCTTTTGGAATGGGAGTATTTAGCCAATCCCCATATCTTCATTGTATCTTGGAAGTATTAACTTGTTTTTGGTTTTTACAGTCTCACAGGCAGAAGGGACTTGCCTTGTCTCAGATGAGAATTTGGACTGTGGACTTCTGTGTTAATACTGATAATGAGATGAGTTAAGACTTGGGGGACTGTTGAGAATAGTTGATTGCATTTTGCAATGTGAGAAGGGCATGAGATTTGGGAACAGGCAGGGTTGCAAATATACGGTTTGAATTTGTGTCCCTAGTCAAATCTCATGTCAAATTGTGATCCCCGGTGTTGAAGAGGGGGTGTGGTGGGAGGTAATGTAGATCACAAGGGTGGACTTCTCCCTTGCTGTTCTCATGATAGTGAGTGAGTTCTCACACAATCTGTTTGCTTAAAAGTGTATGGAACCTCTCCCCTCCCTTTCTTCCTCCTTCTCTGGCCATATAAGACATGCCTGCTTCCCCTTCAACTTCTGCCATGATTGTAAGTTTCCTGAGCCCTTCCAAGCTTGCTTCCTATATAGCCTGCAGAACTGTGAATCAATTAAACCTTTTTAAAATATGAACTATCTAGTTTCAGGTAGTTCTTTATAGCAATGCAAGAATAAACTAACATACCACCCTATCAGGATAACACATATAGACTCTCCTTATTTATGCCCTGATATTTTAGCCCATTTTCCATGGAAATAACCATGATTCCAAGCCAAAGAGATAATGGAAAGGCATTAAGTTAATAATTAGGACTGGAGACACAAAGTTTATCTAGACTATGTTATCCTGGACTGACACATGCAATCTTATTCCTCTAATTTCTCCCTAAATGCTCTCTTGCCTGACTCTTGTGCTAACACGAACCAAGTAGCCATCATTTCCAAACTGTACCTTCCTCCCCTAGCTGCCTAAATTCCAGCCATGAGTATTCTTCATCACTTCCTTTCCATTGTTTGGCAATTACAGGAGCATCAATGTTATTGCCCTAGCTGACCACTGAATGAATGGTCATCAAGAATGTTAGCCTCATTCCTGAACAAACCAAATAATAAAAACTAACTGAGGTTTAAAAGGTCAAAGCTAAAATCAACATGTTACCTCACCAGCTAAGTATCTTGTGTTCTTTTTTGCCTGCTGACCACAAAGAGTCATCTGTGACAGGCAGAAAATGCAAGAGAATATTTCAGGCATAGTAAGCAGGCACTCATGGGTTAGAACTGTACAATGATGAACTCAATATTCCTGCCAAAATACAGACTTTTGGTTAAAGGCAATAAATCACTTTTGTTTATGTAAAAATTGGTTGAACTTAAAAAAAAACATAAAGAAGAATAGGTTATGTTTTATTATTCACAGCCATCCAGAAGTGAGGACTGGGCTTATATTTTTAATACACTCTCTGTGGACCTTAAATAGACATAAAAGTAAACTAGGGTATACAGTGAGTCCTCCTATAACATTGTCAATAGGTTTTTGAAAAGTTTGACTTCAAGTGAAACAATGTACTGCATTAAAGAAATAATTTTACCATAGGCTAATTGATATAAATAAGAGTTAAGTTTCTATAACATACAGTATATCCAAAAACCTATAGGCAAGTTTAAATAAGGACATACTGTATTCCCTAGTGATGTGTTACAGGGTTCAGTATTCAGTTTGACTTCTTTTTTAAATGTTTTATTTTTAAAAAATTGTAGGTGACACGATAATTGCACATACTTATGGGTACATTGTGATTTTGCTTGACTTAATGTAGTGTGGTGGTGGTGATGGTGGTGGTGGTTTCTGCTTATTCAAATGATCTTTCCAATTTTGATTGAGAGGATTTTGAGAAGCAAAACTAAAAGAGATAATGAAAGGTTGAAGTCAGCACTAACAACTGCCAATTGGCAAAATTTGGCCAGTTGTTAAGGCACTGGTAGGTTGAATTCAACATTGGTTAGAGTATTTATACCAACGAAATTGTCAAACACGGTTATCAGTGGGGATTTTTTTCTCTTTTTATTTATTTATTTTTCTTTTCTGGAGAGCCAGTTGTTAAACATCTACCAACAAACAACTGGACAAAATCTCCCCTAAAACTTGCAATCCAGATCACTGTAAATTATGATAAGCAGCAGAGGAAAAGCACCTCACCTATATCCATTTTCTCATTCACGGTTTCAGGGGATAATCTTTACCACCTAGAACTCTAGATTAATTCAGGTAATAAAAACAAGCCTTCATAAAGAACTTGGCTCTCAGGGAGCTGAGGAACAACAAAAAAGAGTTAACGTGAAGTGTGAAATGGTTATGAATACTGAGCCCCATTTATTTTAGCTGAAAGCACATAATTTATTAAGAATGAACAAAAAGGGAAAAGTCATCACTTTTCCTCCAGTTAATAATGCCCTATGCTTCCTCCATCTCCAAATGCTTTGTTCAGTGACATTCAGATGATATTAAAAAAAAAATCCTGATCCAGCTATTCTATCCAGAGTCTTGTTAAAAGCTTAAGAATCTTTTCTTAGATTAAACCTAACTTCAAAAGCATCAGTTATGGTCTCTGTTTGTCACTGTGAGAGGGATTTAAGCACTGCAGAACTAAGATCTTAGAGTGAAGGTTCTCTTTTACTTCCCAAAACACATTTTTTTCAGGACAACCCCATGGAGAAGCAGCCCATAAAGAAGCATTAAGAAGAGTGGCTTTTGCATTTTGTACATATGTTATGGATCTCAACATTCCAGGATGAGTTTGTGTGGTATTCTTCTCATCAATCTGGGGGATTTGTCACAAAATACCAACATGTAGCTCATTTATTTCTCATTTTCTTTTTATTTATAGTTCTGGGTGGTAGTTTCTTACTGTGGGGATTTGCATTCTCTGGCATTGGTCAAGGTCAAAGTACAGAGCCTTTATGTGCATTCTAAGCCCTTTCAAATATGTGTTCACCCCCCAGTGTGATGCATTAAAAAAAGATACCTTGTTCAGAATCGACCCACAAGCTCCTGCATTTTGTTTGTCTTCTATTAAAGACTAAGCAGCTACATTTCATTTCAAATTCCACATAAATGCTTTCAGAATAGCTTAAATCTGGAGCTGTCTGAAAACAGGAAAGATATTAGATGACCTCTCAGAATCCTTCCTTGTTCCTCAGTTTTCAGCATTGCAATGGCTTCCTATTGTGTGTGCACATAGCTGTTCTAACCCAGTACTGAAGGCTGCAGGCTCTCTGGCCTGCACTCAATTCCTTTCTCCATATCTATGTACCAGGTACTTTTCTATCCCTACCTCCTGTCTCCAGACCTAAACTTTTCCTCAATAAAGTTGCTGATAAACTGTGTGTGTGTGTGTGTGTGTGTGTGTGTGTGTGTGTGTGGCATGCATATGTGGGAGAGATTGTGAACATATTCATCTTCACAATATCCAATTAAGGTGGTATAAAGGTCTATTGAGGGTCAGGATAATGCCATAAAATGGATTTCAGAGATTAACATTGTTAAATTCTTTGCAAATTCCTTGGGTCAAAAACAGGTAATTTACTGAGCATCTTTAGGCCTGCTGCCCTATATGTAAAACTGAGAAAATACCACTTCATAGGTTTGTTCTGAGAATTAAATTATAAAATGTATATACCCATAAAGCACTTGCTCTGGTATATAGGAACTCTGCCCCCAATCCCCACAAATGCAAATAATATTTTGGGTGTTGCTGAATTACCTGTGCCTTGAAAGGATCAGCTCGCTATAAGAAAGCAGGATATTAAATTCAGACACAGCCTCCACTAACCTCAACCACAAAGACAAAGAAGCAGCCTGAGGCATACAAGATCAAGGAATGAGGCCCAGATGCTCAGAGCAAATAATTATGAAAGAATTGGAGGTCAAAATGAAAAACTAGCCCTATGCTCCCTGGCTGATCCCTGATTTTCTTCTCTTTACTCATTTCACTTTTCCTAGCTGTACAACATACCTTAATGCCCTTAGGGCTAGCAAATCAACATAACCAAAATATTTGCAGGCATATAATAATTCCTTCGTTCTTCATTCTTAGATTTGAGCACAGATTCAACACACTGATCCAATAAAAGTTTTTCAGAAAAAAAGAAAGATACTTTCTACATTAGATTTAATTATTAATTACAGGACACCTTAATTTCAGAGATACACAATTGTAGAAAACAAGTGCGCTTTTCAGGATCAAGGAACTATGGTAGTCAATTGAAAATTAGTTTCCGGACTGTGAGAACCACTCTTCTCACCAATTCGCTCTCTCCTTTACAATTTTCTGATGGTATTTAGATTGGTTTATAAAAATCCTGTATGTCAGATAGGCCAGACAATGTGTCCAGAAAGTGAGCTAAGACACAGATCAGAAGTTCAGTTAAGGAAGTGAGAGAACAAAGACTCAGAGCCAAGTAAGATTTGGACTCCTAAAATCGATGCATGTAGACAGCCAAGTGACATGAGAACCAACGATGGGACTTTTTTAGTTCCTATATTTGAGCCAAAGATCTTTCCACAACATTCTAGAACAATATCAGTGCATGGAGTATGAATCATCTGATAGAGGAGACAGTAGTGTGATGGGTTGGCTAGTGGAACAGCTAGGTTTAGAGTAAGGGCAGAGGTCTAGAAGAATTAATCATGTCATGTTACTTTAGCACTGGTGATGTGATCAGGGTTAAGCCTCGAACTCCTAGGAATTTTAGAATCACAATTTGAGAATGCCTTGGTACCCAGGCATGGGGCAGCCAAATCTATGAACTTGCAGGACAGAGACTCAGCTGACTCATTAGGATAGTGGATATCACAGTTATAATTGTGAAGGGACAGAATAATGGCTTCTGTGGGAGGCTAAGTTTGCCTCCCCACCCCCATGGCCACTCCTTTCCCTTGCCCTCTCAGAGGAACAGCTACCTCACCCATAAGCATCTCAACAGCTATCTTCTCCCTACATATATCACTGCATAGCTATATTCTGAATGTTTCTAAATTCAATTGTGAATCTAGAAGTCCAGCTGAATCTCTGTAGAGAGCCAAGCAACCTCTGACACTGGAGTAAAAGAGAACCTCACTCTCAGGTTGGAGGGTCCTTCTGTCCCATTGACAAGTCTTCATGAGTTCCCCTCATGTGAGACATGGTTCCTTGCATCATGGGGGTATGAGATACAAGCAAATGGCTCAGAGTAGCATGGGAACACTGGGACCTGAATTTTATCCATATCCAGGATGTTATGAGAACCCTATTATGAAATATAGGAAGGACAATAAAATTGATTTCAGTTAATGAATATATAGATGTCTTGTGTTCTTTTTCATTAACTCTAAAAACGATGTCCCCACACATTTAAAGCGGTGTGTAGAGGGACATTTATAGCACTAAATGTCCACAAGAGAAAGCAGGAAATATCTAAAATTAACACCCTAACATCACAATTAAAAGAACTAGAGAAGCAAGAGCAAACACATTCAAAAGCTAGCAGAAGGCAAGAAATAACTAACATCAGAGCAGAAATGAAGGAGATAGAGACACAAAAAAACCCTTCAAAAAATCAGTGAATCCAGGAGCTGGTTTTTGAAAAGATCAACAAAACTGATAGACCACTAGCAAGACTAATAAAGAAGAAAAGAGAGAAGAATCAAATAGATGCAATAAAAAATGATAAAGGGGATATCACCACTGATCCCACAGAAATACAAACTACCATCAGAGAATACTATAAACACCTCTATGCAAATAAACTAGAAAATCTAGAAGAAATGGATAAATTCCTCGACACATGCACCCTCCCAAGACTAAACCAGGAGGAAGCTGAATCTCTGAATAGACCAATAACAGGCTCTGAAATTGAGGCAATAATTAATAGCTTATCAACCAAAAAAGTCCAGGACCAGATGGATTCACAACCAAATTCTACCAGAGGTACAAGGAGGAGCTGGTACCATTCCTTCTGAAACTATTCCAATCAATAGAAAGAGAAGGAATCCTCTCTAACTCATTTTATGAGGCCAGCATCATCCTGATACCAAAGCCGGGCAGAGACACAACCAAAAAAGAGAACTTTAGACCAATATCCCTGATGAACATCGATGCAAAAGTCCTCAATAAAATACTGGCAAACCGAATCCAGCAGCACATCAAAAAGCTCATCCACCATGATCAAGTGGGCTTCATCCCTGGGATGCAAGGCTGGTTCAACATACCCAAATCAATAAACGTAATCCAGCATATAAACAGAACCAAAGACAAAAACCACATGATTATCTCAATAGATGCAGAAAAGGCCTTTGACAAAATTCAACAGCCTTTATGCTAAAAACTCTCAATAAATTAGGTATTGATGGGATGTATCTCAAAATAACAAGAGCTATTTATGACAAACCCACAGCCAATATCATACTGAATGGGCAAAAACTGGAAGCATTCCCTTTGAAAACTGGCACAAGACAGGGATGCCCTCTCTCACCACTCCTCTTCAACATAGTGTTGGAAGTTCTGGCCAGGGCAATCAGGCAGGAGAAAGTAATAAAGGGTATTCAATTAGGAAAAGAGGAAGCCGAATTGTCCCTGCTTGCAGATGATATGATTGTACATCTAGAAAATCCCATCGTCTCAGCCCAAAATCTCCTTAAACTGATAAGCAACTTCAGCAAAGTCTCAGGATACAAAATCAATGTGCAAAAATCACAAGTGTTCTTATACACCAGTAACAGACAGAGAGCCAAATCATGAGTGAACTCCCATTCACAATTGCTTCAAAGAGAATAAAATACCTAGGAATCCAACTTACAAGGGATGTGAAGGACTTCCTCAAGGAGAAATACAAACCACTGCTCAACGAAATAAAAGAGGATATAAACAAATGGAAGAACATTCCATGCTCATGGATAGGAAGAATCAATCTTGTGAAAATGGCCATACTGTCCAAGGTAATTTATAGATTCAATGCCATCACCATCAAGCTACCAATGACTTCCTTCACAGAATTAGAAAAAAACTGCTTTAAAGTTCATATGGGACCAATAAAGAGCCTGCATTGTCAAGATAATCCTAAGCCAAAAGAACAAAGCTGGAGGCATCATGCTACCTGACTTCAAACTATACTAAGAGGTTACAGTAACCAAAACAGCATGGTTCTGGTAGCAAAACAGAGACACAGACTAATGGAACAGAACAGACCCCTCAGATACAATACCACACATCTACAACCATCTAATCTTTGACAAACCTGACAAAAACAAGAAATGGGGAAAGGATTCCCTATTTAATAAATGGTGCTGGGAAAACTGGCTAGCCATATGTAGAAAGCTGAAACTGGATCCTTTCCTTACAACTTATACAAAAATTAATTCCAGATGGATTAAAGACTTACATGTTAGACCTAAAACCACAAAAACCCTAGAAGAAAACCTAGGCAATACCATTCAGGACATAGGCATGGGCAAGGACTTCATGTCTAAAACACCAAAAGCAATGGCAACAGAAGCCAAAATTGACAAATGGGATCTAATTAAACGAAAGAGCTTCTGCGCAGCAAAAGAAACTACCACCAGAGTGAACAGGCAACCTACAGATTGGGAGAAAATGTTTGCAATCTACTCATCTGACAAAGGGCTAATATCCAGAATCTACGAAGAACTCAAACAAATTTACAAGAAAAAAACAAACAACCCCATCAACAAGTGGGCGAAGGATATGAACAGACACTTCTCAAAAGAAGTCATTTATGCAGCCAACAGACACATGAAAAAGTGCTCATCATCACTGGCCATCAGAGAAATGCAAATCAAAACCACAGTGAGGTACCATCTCACACCAGTTAGAATGGCGATAACTAAAAAGTCAGGAAACAACAGGTGCTGGAGAGGATGTGGAGAAATAGGAACACTTTTATACTGTTGGTGGGACTGTAAACTAGTTCAACCATTGTGGAAGACAGTGTGGCGACTCCTCAGGGATCTAGAACTAGAAATACCATTTGACCCAGCCATCCCATTACTGGGTATATACCCAAAGAATTATAAATCATGCTGCTATAAAGACACATGCACATGTATGTTTATTGCAGCACTATTCATAATGACGAAGACTTGGAACCAACCCAAATGTCCAACAATGATAGACCGGATTAAGAAAATGTGACACATATACACCATGGAATACTATGCAGCCATAAAAAAGGATGAGATCATGTCCTTTGTAGGGACATGGATGAAGCTGGAAACCATCATTCTCAGCAAATTATTGCAAGGACAAATAACCAAACACCGCATGTTCTCACTCGTAGGTGGGAATTGAATAATGAGAACACTTGGGCACAGGAAGGGGAACATCACACACCAGGGCCTATTGTGGGGTGGGGGGAGGGGGGAGGGATAGCATTAGGAGATATACATAATGTAAATGAAGAATTAATGGGTGCAGCACACCAACATGGCCCATGTATACATATGTAAAAAACCTGCATGTTGTGCACGTGTACCCTAGAACTCAAAGTATAATAAAAAAATACATTAAAAATTATAAAACTAATGCAGGAACAGAAAATCAAATACCAGTTGTTCTCACTTATAGGTGCGAGCTGAACAATGAGAACACATGGACACAGGGAGGGAACCAACACACAATGGTGCCCATGGTGATGAGGGCTGGGGAGGGAGAGCATCAGGAAAAATCGCTAATGCATGCTGGGCTTAATACCGAAGTGATGGGCTGATAGGTGCAGCAAACCACCATGGCACACCTTTACCTGTGTAACAAATCTGAACATCCCACACGTGTATCCCGGAACTTTAAAGATTTTAAAAATTAAAATAAAAATTATAAAACTAAAAATAAATAAATAAAAATAAAAATGATGTCCCCAGAACTAGATTTCTACATTTTTAAATTTAATAAGTCAAATACAGTCTCAAAACTTAAACACAAAAGAATGCTTTCTATAAAGGTACATCTATGAACATGCTCGAGAAAAACGATGTATGAAAATATAGCATAATACATGTCACAGTAGAAACATGCATGGGGTACAGTAGAAGCCCAGAGAAAGAGGGTAAAGTCAAACCAGGCAACAGGATGAGAAACAGGGAATACTTCACAAGGTGAGTAAGCTCCGAGCCCTGTCTTGAGAGATGACTAGAAATTAGCCATAGTAAGATTCTAGGCAGAGGAAACAGCATAAGAAAAACAAGAGAATATGTAGAAGTGTGCGTGTGTGTGTGTGTGTGTGTGTGTGTGTGTGTGTGTGTGTGTTTACATGCCTGGGAATCCCAGCTCTCACCCTCCTTCTGAAGTTAGTGCAACCAGTCATGTACACTGCCCTGATGTGCATAACTTTAAACTCAACATGTTCTCTGTACCAGGGGTTTTGCACTCTATGCCTAGTCTCCAGCAATAGAATCAAAAGTCTTTGTTCTCTAACAAGGGAATCTCGGATACCCATATCAGGTAGAGGTCATATATGTTTAGTGGAGAATTACAATAGTCCTTATAAAGATACCTCCTCTATAAACAAGAAGGCCCTGCCTTTGTTTTGGCAATATTGCAAGCTTCCAAGATGGCACACAGCTAGGAGGCTGCTTCCTGCCACAGAGAGAGCATCCAGTACTCACCAACCATGTGGCTTCTCTCCTGCCCTGGCCAGGCTCCAGGCTATTTCCCTCTGTGAGACATGCTGCTCATGACATAACTGGGTCATGCTACAACCACAATGTGATGCTTCTGGGGAACAAGCCAATTTCCTGCCTTCCCTAGCCCATTCGCTGCTCAATGGGTCAGTCAGCGGTATGGAAAGTGGCAAGAAGCACACCCAAGCAACAATGATGGTAAGGGATACCGGGGCAAACCCCGATTTCAATCCCTCTCAGATGTCCATGGCCCTCAGGACCAAAAGGTAATTAATTATCATTGGCCATTTTTTTTTCTCATGAAATAATATTACCCTCCAAGTTGTTTTGCAAGGAAACAGTTACAACCTGGGTTAGTAGCAACACAGGACAGAACACAGCCCTCTACATTGGAGATCAGAGTTCTTGTACTTCAGGAGAGCTGAAGCACTAGAATTGTGCTTCGCTTCGGAGAAGCCACAATTATCTGCCGCTGTGGCTCTTCCTCAGGCGAATAACGATGCCTGTTCTTCCTAGGCTGCAGGGACTACTACTATCAAAGAGATTAAGGCATTCTCAAAAACTTTAAAAAGCTAAATAATGCTAAATTAAGCTAGGAAGTTGTTCATACTGAGAATTTGTCGAGACGAGTGAGAGCAAGCAGGCTATTTTTGTAGGCAGGTGGGTCAATTGCAGCTGTCACATTTTCCATCCATGCAAGATATGCTGCCTAATTTAGAAGGAAGTCTGGAATTAGAGGAGTTCAGTACACTCCACCTAATACTAAATATTCTTTGAGAACCTATCATGCACAATGTACTGTGCTATAGGTTTTAATTTTAGTGATTTGTCCAAGGTCAGAGGGCTGGTTAGTGTAGGGCTAAGCTAGCTGCCCTTGCTCCCAGCTGTGTTATCCATCATCCCATTTCCATCACGTGTTCTGGAGCAACTATTTTCAATTGGGCAAATAACATGGACTTTATCTGTGTTATGTTTACAATGGTTTAATTGGAACCTCCAAATAAAGCACACCAGTTTTTCCGGAAATATTTTATTAAATTTCACTTAATTTAAGGAAGGGAAAATATATTAGTGGCACCAAGATTTTTCCAAACAGAAAAAGAAAATCTGGGAAATGCAGCTGGATTCCTAAGGAAAAGCAGCAGGAGTAAGAACAGCACACAGTGCCAACACACCCATACACACACACACACAAAACCACATAAATAATTCTGCAATTGTTGGCAGCTCCAAATTCACTGGCTGTCATCCTAAAAGAAAAGGAAGTCAAACCAGAGGTCCAACAATATGAACCAAATGATCATCTGCCACTCATCTCAATCAGTGCTGCCCATTAGTGAGGGAAGTTCTCACTAAGCTGTATCCACCCTGCTGTAGCCCTAACCACACAGAAATAAAGAAAGGGAAAGAAATTTGGCTCTTGTCACAGAGTATGTCATGATGATTTATCAACCTGAAATATAGTTTAATCTGCATAAAAATGGAGTCTTGCAGACTGACTGGGATTAATAGGCTTCAGCTCTAATTCCTTCTGGTGGTCTCATTTAAATACGCCATTCATCACCATGACCTCTTTTGATAATAGCCTTACTGTAATATTTAATTTCACATTAATTCTGTTGTAACTTAGCCTATGTTCATTTGCAGAAAATCATTAAAGAATCAGCTCTGCCCCCAACCCCTACCTTTATCAACATCCTCATGAATGCCAAAACAATTGAAAATGGTCAATTCCCATATTTGCTAAATGCACTGGTCAAGAATCATATGTGTTTGGATAGAATAGGGCATAAGGAAAAGTAGACATTAACAAAGAATCCTTACCTAGACAACGAGGTAATACATTTATTTTGAGCCAATTAAGACATAAAATATGTCTCCATGGAAGAAATTCAGTTTAACAGGTCAATTGACACACATTATTTGATTTCTATTTGTGCTAGGGTCTGGCAAAATCATCTATGTGACTCTTGCTTCTTAGCCAGAACATTTCTGGTCCTGAGGGACATAATGGATTCTAATAAATTCAGTTCAATTCATTACAATATTATGTGTTTACACAGCATGTATTGTTGCCCTCTCTAGGTTATGAAGTTAGCATATAGCCATCCTCAGGAGGCTTAAGTATACTTTGTGGATAAAGGATTGTTTATGCCATAACTGGGTCATGTCATAACTAAAACTAGTGTTTCGATCAGCTTGGCCAGGAGTGGGATGCAAGCCTTTAAGTCATTCTGAGCAGCCAGCAGCGCACTGAGTTGAAAGTGGCAGGAATATATAGTTCACACCTAGAGCTGTACAGACAGTCAGAAAAACCAGAGACTGCTGCATCTGGAAAATCTTTATATTAAGTTTAAAACTAGCCTTCCAGGCAAGAATAACCTAGGGACAGAGAATTTTCTCTCTCCCAAAAAGAGCCCAAGACATTCTTACTAGATCAGTCTCACAGGGGATTCACAATGGACACCTGAAGGTGATGTAAAAGCCTCTGCTAAATGAACTAATGTGTCTCAGGTGTTCTGGGCTGGCAGCAGCTGCGAAGATGGTTGCAGCATTCGTTTTAGATATAAGAGACATTCACCATTGTTCTTCAGCGTGTTATTTCCCCTCTTCCTACAGCTACATCTCTTTCAATAATACACATATATGATTGATAATGAAAGTGCCTTCTTTTTAGAATTTAAAGATGATATTAAAGATTATTTAATTCAATTCTAAGAAGCATTACTACCTATAAAGATCAAATAACTTGCTAATAGTTGCAGATAGAAGAGTTGGGCAGTGACAGGGCCCAGGCCAGGGTCCGCATCTCTTGATTATTGGCCCATTGCTCCTTCCACCTCCCATGCACTCATACTACTTCAACCATCTGTCACTATGAGTGGCCATTTGGATCAGAGCTCTGTTAAGGAGTGAGCTAGATGAGCAGCTGCCTGGGGGCCAATTTATATGGTACATTAAAATAAGTTCCTCCTCATCTTAACTATTTCAATAATATCATTTTGAAAGGGCATCAAATTACTAGTCTACCAAGGGTACCCACAACTCTAATCCTTTTAACTGATGTAAAAGAAAGTTATTCTTTATAACCCAGTAGCTAAAGATGAAAAATAATGCTTACCAGGAATCATACACAATGAGAAACAAGAAGTTTTCCCTGGGCTCATAAGCTGAGCCCAGATCACAGAAATAGATCCCATCAAAATCATGACGATCTTTACATTGCCCAATTTCATTTTCAATTCTCAGTTCTCATCTTATATAACTTCTCTGTAGTGTTTGTCACAGTGCTTCATTCCTTCTTTCTGGAAAAACTTTCTTCACTTCGTTTCTAAGACATCACTCCCTCATGGTTTGCCTAATGTTATATTGACTGCTCCTCAACTTCCTCTGTTGATTGCTCCTAAATTTTCCAACCTCTAAATGTGGGAGAGTCCCATGGCTCAGTCCTTGGACTTGTTTAGTCTCTACCTACACCAACTGCCTAGGCAATCTCATTCAGTCAAGTGGCTACAAAAAACTACATAGATCCCCCAGAAGTCCTAGATTGATAGTTTTAGTTATTAATTTATTTCTTTTCTTCAAGTCTGTTCTTAAATGTTACAGTGACAAAGAAGTCTTCCCTTATAATCCTATATAAAATAGCATCCTGCCCACCTTTGCCTGTCCTCTTTATTTACCTTACCCTCCAAATTACAGACATATCCCACAACACAAGGGACAGCCTTATTTGGATGTCTAATAGGCAGTTCAAACTTAACACGTCTAAATCCTAACTCTTGACATCCCCCTCTTAAGGCCTGGTTTTCATCAGTTATACCCTTGTCAGTAAATCACAATTCCATTCTTTTCAATTTTCTCAGTCCAAAATTATTTTTAATCATGTTAATCTCCAAGTCATTCTTATACCCAATCTGTCAATATCTTTGGCCCCAACTCCGAAATACATCCAGAATCTCCATAGTACACCAACTCCAGCCACCACTGTCCCTCAGCTGGGCTAATTCAGTAGTTTCCCAACTAGTCTTTATTTCCAACCTTGTCCCTCACCATCTTTTCTTTACACTGTAGCTAGAGTTACAGTTTTAAATGAAGATCATCTTACTCTTCTGCTCAAAAACATCTGATGATTCCTCAAGTTATTCAAAGCGAAAGCCAAAGTTCTGACAAAACCCTCAAGGACTTTACGTGACCTTTCTCCACTACCTCAATGATTGTCTGAACCTTTGCAGAAGTGCACCTGAGGCAGAAAAGACAGCATGCATAGGTGAAAGGGAGAGCACCAAGTATGTGGGAGGTAAACTACACAATATTAGTCATTGAGCCCCACACAAGTCCATTTTATAAGCTAAAGAATTTAAACTCTGAAAATGACAGCTAATTTTTGGAAGCCTAAAACTGGTAAATGAATAGGGACTTCGTAGTAACTCATCATAATGTCACTTTTATTCCTGAAAACAAGAGCACATCTCAGAAAGAACTTAAATCTTCAAATGCTTTTAAATGAAGTCATCCTCAGGGCACTAGGAAATCACCAAGATGGATGAGAGTTTCCATTCCAGATTTTCAGCATGGCATGAAAAGTCACAGAAATGCAAGAGCAGACATTTAGATTTGAACTGTATTAATGTACTCTGCAGTAAATTTTAATGCTACTCTTGTTTTTATTTATTCTTGATTTGAGGAGTTTCTTATAATATAATTGTTTAACTTCATCAAAAATTATCTAATTTCCATAAAGGTCCTAGGATGCACAGAAACTCATAGTCTTCAGGCAAGGCACTGTCTTAGAAAGTTTATGACACCTAAAAAACAAACAAGAATTACTGATGTTACTTCTGACCATTCACCCTCCATAGAAGTCATCTTATATTATAATAAAATAGTTCTTATCCATTCATATTCACTTCAAGTTCATCTTGAATTTGGAGAAATAAAGTCTCATCAGCTGTTATAATTATTATCTAGTCATACTTCTACATGTTAGCTACCCAAAGCATAGGATGATAACATATTGACTTGCATTGTGCATGTACTACTACATTTATTATCAAATTTAATCACCCTCACCACCATGTAAGACATTAGTTATCATTTCATTTTATAGATGAGGGATCAGGACTCAGAAAGTTGAAATTTCACACCAAAAGGCAACCAGGAAGTGACAAGAGAGCCAGGATATATACTAATTTTCAATCTTGGAATAATTTTCACTGTGCATCTGTTGGCAGAAGGGCTTTTATCTGTTCTCTAACCTATCATTCTCATTTTATACAATTTGTAATTATAAGTCCATTCTTAGGAAGGCAAACACATTCAATTGTGTTTTACACAAATGCACTTCAGTTAAATGAGCATTTATTTTTAGTGAAAAAGTTAAATATCTGCAAATGATCAGATACTTAACAGTCATAAGAAAAGTTGCTTCTTGACTAATTATTTGACTAAATTAAATGTTTTAAGTTATTTTCACACCACTTTGGGGTCTAAGCATAAAACCAGCTTAACATGTCTCCAGGAGCTTACTATCAATGTGGAAAAGACCCAGAGTGTAGTTTCTCTCGCCAATGTCTGAGGAGCCCTCCACATACTAAAGAGCAAAAATACTAAATACTACTCCACATGCTAAAGCGCAAAATCCCCACACATCTGACAGATACCCTCCTATCAAAACTTCTCTATGGCCAATAAGTTAAGTGGTCATAATTCCATTATGACTACTGGAATTTTTAAGTTAATTTAGCTAAATCGGCTTTTATAATCTTTTAAGCAGTTTAAAGCCTTTAAGAGAAACTGATATATGAAGTTATAAAACATTTAAGTTTTCAATCCATGTTTAAATATTTGGAGAAATTTATGTTCGAAATTTTTTAGTTTATTAATTGTGTAAGTGGATGAAAATATTTCCAAAATTATTGTTTAAAGATTGCAAAGATGGTACATCCCTCTAACATGTTTCAAGCTATACCCCCATAAAAGCACAATAATGTGTTTAAAAACAATTTCCAAATTTCATAATTGGTCTACATCAAGAAATAAAAAAGAAAGATTTACTCTAAAAGAAGGAAAAGAAGTTGGCTATAATTCGCACTTCATGGCATAACCATATGGTCAACACAGACATTCTGTAATAGTAAAAAAACCTTGGATAATCTAAACCAACACATAACATTGCTTATGTATCACTTTTATATAGATGCTGCGACATTTAATTATAATTATGACTCTGAACTTGTTTACTAACATACTTATTTATCTCTGCTGATCTCCTCAGAGAGATCTCCTCAGAGAGATGATTTTTCCTTCCTTCATTCCTTACGTATGAGATTTCAAGTCCTGGTTACCTGTGGAACAGTATCATTTCTGTTACAAAACCCTCCACTTCTCTAATCACTGGGGCTCTAAATTCCAAAATAATCTTTAACTCTTTTTTCTTTAACTATCATGGTAGATACCACATCTGGTCTTTCATTCATTCCTTCCTACATTTGGTTCCATTCAAAATGTCATCACCCAATTTCAGATCCATATCATTCCATGCTTTCTTAGTTCAACCAAATGTCATTCGGCTGCCTTATCTTCTACCTTTTCTTCTTACACTTCATCGTATGTGACATCACAGTAAATTATCCTTTAATACAATTTTATACTTACCATTCCATGTTCAAAATAATGATCCTTCTTTCCTACCACATTCAACTACATCCACCAGGTTTACCTACTCAGTTTATCCGTAGAGAAATATTGTCTTCTCATCATCATCTTTACTTTCCTTATTTATATCTCTTCCTCAATGTATACTGAAATATATGAATTTCTGCAGGTATACCTTTACTCAATTCATCTCAGTCTGCCTAGTCACTTGCCCCATGTGCATTGTAACCCCCATAGCTGAAGCCATTCAGCCCTCTCAGGACTAGAACTTCAAGTCCAGACCACAAGGCAGTTAAAACATAGGACTTGTAGATCTGCATTTCCAAAGTGATTTAGTTGCATGCTAATTCTGTGAGTGGTTAATAGGCATATCATACATGCACGCACGCACACACACACACACACACACACACGCGAGAACCATGGTTAAAGATGAGTTTGGGAAATACTGGGTTAACCAAAGCCAAAAAGTCATCTTTGTCTTTTCTGTAAAATTGAATATGCCACTGTACAATGTATTGTCTAGGACCATACTATGCTGGCACACAAAGTAGGGAGTATGTGGAAATTACAAACCTGATGAATGTTCTTCTCATAATTTATCCCTAACAATGGTGTCTTTCTCATTACTTGGAACATTTATATACTTACTGTGAAACCTGAATGCACGCTTGCTTCTTTGCAACTGGGCCCCAGCCTTATTCTCATACCCACTTTCAAAAACAAGAGTCCTGCTGGGAACAACATTAATTCTGGTTGTGTCCATGCTACAAGCTCCTCAAACTGATGGATACTCACTACTTATCTATGGAGACTTTCTTTTAATATTTACTGTTGGGACTCTGACCAAGTTTGGTTCAGATTTATCACTACACCCTTCTATACTTTTACCTCTATTTTGGAAAATCCCAATCATTCACTTTACAAATTTAAAGTATTGATTGCAAAAATACCTGGATAACAGTCTATGGGTTTCTTAGTTTTAACCATATCTATTTTTAGAAAATCAGATAAAGTGTATACCCTATTCATAAAGGGCAGATAATCTCCTTTTGAACATAAAAGAATTTGCTCATTAATCACACCAGACAGTTAGAAAAGATTATATCAGTGGTCTCTTACAGCTCTGACAAGGAGATTCTATAAATTGCCAATTCCGGTTGCATGTTATTAGCTATTTTTGCAATGTGGGATCTCAGTGGGTCCTAAGATATGAATCTCACGGCCTGGGTAGTTCTATCTTTCCTAGGCCATGTGACTCCATAAATCCTCACATTAAAAAATGATAATAACTTTAATAATAAAAGAAAGCTCTGTGGAAGGTAGGCATTTAAAATGAGAAAAAATCAATAGCCTTGACTTTGAAAAAAAAAAAAAACAGCAACAACAAAGAATTGCATGACAAATCAAGTTACCAATATCCATTGAGTCTTTAGCTTATGGACAGAAAGGAGGCAGAGGAGGAGGCCTTTCAACCAGATATGAAATGCATACAGGCTTTCAGAGAGGAGACCAGAGATGTGGCTCTCCATCAGGAAAAATAAAGCTAGACAGGTAGGATGGGGTCGGATTTTAGAGGCAGGCAAATTTCATTTATTAATTTCCTTTTCTTTTTATCCTTAAAAACTCCTTGTGCTTGGAAAATAAATTCTGTCACCACAGGCAACATTTTCATCCCGAGTCAGAGCTCTTTTGCAAGCCCAAATGCTCGCTGCCATCCGTTCACATCTATAACATTTAACTTTAATGCCTCTGTCCCTGAAGAGGTGCTGAACACATTTCAATGCAGCAGCAGCGGATATGGCCTGAAGAACTAGCTGCTTGGCAGCCAATCATCAAGTGACCTTTCCTATTAACGCTGTCTGCAGGGCTGCTTGACCACATAGGCAGGAATAAATCTCTTCCTGAGCTAGCCTCAGATGGGAGATGGGAAATTGCACACCCATTCAGCAACATCAGATTTATTAAAGAGAAGGACTGTCCATGGCAAAGTGAGCAGAAACCATGAAAATAGATCCAGAGAGCTGATCTGTCGTGCTGTGAAAGCTACATGTACTGCATTCAGTTGTGGCCACTAAGTTTATACTGAAAGTTCCCCAGAAATCAAAAGTGGAGTCTGGGTGAATGAGCTTCCAGCTGTCCTCCTTCCTCCCCCTGGTGATCTAGGTGGTCACTTTCCCTCTGCCATACAGCTGCCCTGTTTTTGGAGCTACAAGCCAGACTGGGGTAAAATTGAAAGTCAAAAAACTTCATTCTCCAACCCTTTGATTTGACCCTCTGGCCTTTCACAATGGTTTGGCATAACTTACATTAAGTTTGAATTAAATTAAAAATTGATTTATCACTTATTTGTGGTTGGCTTCGGGTGAAATATTATTTGGGAATTATGATGAGGTATAAGCTTTAAAAATGCTATAGATTAGTGAATTTTAAATATTGTAAACTGCATAGTTTGTTTAAGAAACATAAAGGAATCCCAATATAGAAGACAAATGAGACAATAGTTTCACCACTTAAAGAGGATTAAAGCCAAAAAGGCTGTAGTTTCTACTTTCCAAAGCAGGCTCAGAGGCAGATGTGTGCAATCCTGGATTTCTGAGGATGACCATTAAAAAGCTCTGCTCAGTGTAGAGAAGCTACTATAAATGTGTGTTCTCATCATCAGGATAAAAAAGGCTAGTTCTTGGTGAAGACAAGTAGAGATGTCAATTATACAAAAAAACTTTGTATATCTATGCAATACATTCAGTAATTTTGAAAGAATAGTTGCCTCCCTAGTTCACAGCTAGCTTGAATTTTTATACTTCATAACTGTAACAAGTAACTTAACCTCCTAAATTTACTTTGGGCTCATTAATTCTTATAGCCTCATTGTGAGGATTAAATGGAACAGCATAAGAAAAATACCTGGAACAATGCATAGCCTAGATTTATCTCATACCCTTACCCACCTCCCAGCCAAGGCCATGGTTTTCAATGCATTTATAATTCAGGATAATGGAAGTAAAGAACAAACAAGCAAGAATGTATCAGGCTGTTCAGTGCCATAATAGAAATATATGTGAAGTGCTGTGGAAACTCTAATGCTCAAACAATTGCCTGTACTTGAATCATAGAAAAGGCTTCAAAATGAGGGAGTCATCTAAATAGGTCTTAGAAGGTTGAGTTCACATACACTAGACATACAAAGGAGGCAAGTGGATATTCAAGGCAGAAAGAGGACTGTGAAAAAACCTTAGATGCAACAAAGTACATGAGGACTCAGTGTAGTCCCAGCACAGCGTGTAACTCATGAGAGCCTGAGTCTTGTCTGTCTACATGTCCTAAAAGTAAGCAACATCCGTGGTGCAAAGTTGGCTGATATATAGAGATAAGACTGGAGCAATAATTTCAGTTTTTATTATTCTGCTCGTCTTGGTAACAGTTCAGACTTTATTATACATGCACTAGGAACCACTGAGGACTTTTAGACCATAGTAGCATAATTAGAACCTGGTTTTGCAAAGAGAATCCTGGTTTTATTCAGGAAGACAAGTTCCAATTCAAACACTGATGCCAAGCCAATGATAAAGGAAGGTATTTTAAACAGTCTAGCAAATTATGATAATATAATCATAGATAGAATTTATTTTAATATGTGCTAGGCACTTTTCTAAGCATATTATTGCATTATTTGACCTAATCAGCATCATAAACCAATGAGAAAGAACTTACTATCATCTCCACTTTAGAGGTGAGGAAACGAGATATTGAGAGATAAGGCAACTTACTAAGGTCTAGAACTGCTTAGCAGTGGAATCTACCTACGAATGCAGAAGGTTCAACTGATGATGAAGATTTGAACTAAAATCAATGGGATTTGATGACATTGAACAAGAAAGTGGCCAGAGTAAATAAGAAGGTTTCTAGTTCTGAAGAGCGATAGATTATAATGCTATTAAGTAGAAGGAACAGTTTAGGAGGATGAATATATGTACTGAGAAACTGAAGACAAATGGCCAGGATTGGGTGTGGAAAGTCAATAATTTAATATAAAAATTCCTTCAGAGGTTGGCAGAGTAGGATGGCTGAATAGAAGCCTTCACTGATTGTCTTCCCTGTGGTAACACCAAATTTAACAACTACACCAAAAAAGGCACCTTCATAAGAACCAAAAATCAGGTGAGCAATCACAGTACCTAGTTTTTACTTTATATTGCAGAAAGAGAAACTGAAGGGGGTAGGACAGATGGACTTGAATAGCTGACACCACCCCTCTTCTGTTCCCCTACTCTGACCTAGAAGCAGCAGCAGCCACATGATGCAGAGAATCTGTTCACTTGGGGGAAGGAGAATGCAGCAATTGTGAGCCCCTGTATTGAAGTCAGCGCTGCCCTGTCACAGTGGAAAGTAAAACCAGGCTAAACTCAGCTGTTGCTCATCCATAGAGGGAGCATTTAGACCAGCCTTAGCCAAAGGGAATTGCCCATTGCTCATCCCAGTTGTCAGAACTTGAGTTTTGGCAAGCCTTGCAACTGCAGGCTAAAGTGCTCTGGGGTGCTAAATAAACTTGAAAGGCAGTTTAGGCCACAAGAACCACAATTCCTAGGCAAGTCCGAGTGCTGTGTTGGACACAGAATCAGTGGATGTAGGGGCACACATCCTACTGAGACATCAGCTGGGAGGCTGTGCTTGTACTACCCCTCCCCCAACCCTTGGCAGTGCAGTTTGCAGCAATGAAAGTGACTCTTTCCTTCTGCTTAAAAAGAGGAGATGGAGAATAAAGGGGAATGTGTCTTGCATCCTGGATAGAAGCTCAGTCACAGTAGAATAGGGAACTGGGCAGAGTTCTGAAGCTTCCATTTCAGGCCCCAGCCCCTGGAAAACATATATAGATATATGGTGGGCCAGAAGAGAACCCGCTGCCTTGAAGGGAAGGACTCAGTCCTGGCAGGATTTATCCTGCTAACTTAAGAACTCTTGCTGCCTGCTAACTTAAGAACTCTTGGCCCCTGCTAACTTAAGAACTCTTGGCCCGTGAAGAACCAGCAGCAATACACCATGGGCCTTGGGTGAGACTCGGAGACATGCTGGCTTCATGTGAGACCCAACACATTCCCAGTTGTAGTAGTTATGCTGAGAGACTACTTCTGCTTGAAAAAAGCAGGAAAAGTAAAGGGGACTTTCTCTTTCACCTTAGGTGCCAGCTTGGCCACAGAGGAGTGGAATACCAAATAGGATTTTGAGGTCCCCAATTCCAGGACTAGGCTCTTGGGTAGCATTTCTTGACCTGGTGTGGGTGAGAGGGGATCCTACTGCCCTGAAAGGTGAGTTCCAGATTTAGAAGCATTAACCACGAGCTGACTGAAGAGCCCCTGGGCCTTAAGTAAACATCAGCAATAGGCTGGCAGTATTCCCCATGGGTTTGTGATGGTGGTAGCCATAGGAAGAGGCTCCTCTGACTGTGGAAAGAGGAGGGAAGAGTGGGAAGGACTTTGTCTTGTGGTTTGAGCATCAGATTAATAACAGTAAAATAGAGCACCAGATAGATTTCTAGTTTTTTGACTCCAGTCCCTGACTCTTGGATGGTATCTTTGGACCCACCTGAAGCTGCGTGGAGCTTACCATCCTAAAGGGAAGCACACAAGCCTGTCTGCCTTTGCCACCTGCTGATTGTATAGCCTTAGGGCCTTGACCAAACATAGATGGTAGCCATGTAGTGAATACAGCATGCCTTGGATGAGACCTAGTGCTGTGCTGGCTTCAGGTCTGACCTAGTGTAGTCCCAGTGATGGTGGCCACAAGGTTGTTTGTATCATCCTACACCCAGCTCCAGGCATCTCAGCACAGAGAGAGAGAGAGTGTTTGGAAGAAAGTAAGGGAAGATAACAAGAGTCTCTGCCTCATAATTCAGATAATTCTTCTGGCTCTTATCTAAAACCACTAAGATGGTACCTCTATAAGTCTACAAGAACCACAATGTTACTGGGCTTGGAGTGCCCCCTAATGCAGGTACTGCTTATAGAACAACACCCAAGTCCCATTGAATACCCAGAGAGCATCCCAATAAAAACAGGTATAAATAAGCCCAGACTGTGAAGACTATAATAAATATCTAACTCTTCAGTGCCCAAACACTAAAGAACATCCACAAGCATCAAGATCATCCAGAAAATCATGACCTCACAAAATGAACTAAACAAGGCACCAGGGACCAATCCGGGACAGATATGTGACCTTTCAAACAAAAAATTCAAATTAGAAAAAGTAGATATCAATAACAAGAGGAATTTTGCAAACTATGCAAACTTATGGAAATTAAACAATATGCTCTTAAATGTCCAGTGGGTCACTGGAGACAATAAGAAGAAAATGTAAAAGTTTCTTGAAACAAATGATAATGGGAACACAACATACCCAAACCTATTGGATACAGTGAAAGCTGTACTGAGAGGGAAGTTTATAACAATAAGAGCCTATGTCAAAAAAGCAGAAAAACTTTAAATAATTCAGCTAACAACATATCTTAAAGAACTAGAAAAGCAAGAGCAACTCAAACACAAAATTAGTAGAAGAATAGAAATAATAAAAATCAGAGCAGAAATAAATGAAATGGAAATGAAAAAAATACAAAAGATGAAGGTAACATTAAGTTGGTTTTTTGAAAAGATAAACAAAACTGACAAATTTTTAGCCACACTAAGAAAAAAAAAAGAGAAGACCCAAATAAATAAAATCAGAGATTAAAAAGGAAAACCTTGCAAACAATACCGCAGAAATTCAAATGATCATTAATGGCTATTACAAGCAACCATATGCCAATAAGTTGGTATATCTAGAAGAAATTGATAAATTTCCAGACACATCCAACCTACCAAGATTTAACCCTGAAAAAAAAATCCAAAACCCGAACAGACAAATAACAATAATGAGATTGAATCCATGATAAGAAGTTTCCCAGGAAATAAAAGCCTGGGACCTAATGGCTTCACTGGCTGACTTCTACCAAACATTTAAAGAAGTAACATGGCCGGGTGCAGTGGCTTATGCCTGTAATCCCAGCATTTTGGGAGGCCAAGGCAGGCGGATCACGACGTCATGAGTTCAAGACCAGCCTTACCAACATGGTGAAACCCCATCTCTACTAGAAATACAAAAATTAGCCAGGCGTGGTGGCATGAGCCTGTAATCCTAGCTACTCAGAAGGCTGAGGCAGGAGAATCAATTGAACCCGGGAGGTGGAGGTTACAGTGAGCTGAGATTGCGCCACTGCATTCTAGCCTGGGTGACAGAGCGGGACACCATCTCAAAAAAAAAAAAGAAAAGAAAAGAAAAAGAAGAAGAAGAAGAACCGATATTATTTCTACTCAAACTGCCCTGAAAAACGAGGAGAGGGGAATATTTACAAACTTATCCTACAAGGCCAGAATTACCTTTACACCACAAACCAGAAAAAAGACACATTCAAAAAAAACCTACCAGCGTATATCTCTTATGACTATTAATGCAAAAATCCTCAACAAAATACTAGCAAACTGAATGCAACAACACATTAAAAAGATCATTCATCATGACCAAGTGGGATTTATCCCAGGGAGGCAAGGATGGTTCAGCATACTCAAATAAATCAATGTGACACATCATATAAACAGAATGAAGGACAAAAACCACATGTTCATTTCAACTGATGCTGAAAAAGCATTTGATAAAATTTAATATCCTTTTATAATAAAAACTCTTAAAAAACTGGGTATAGAAAAAACATACCTCAACATAATAAAAACCATATACAACAGACCCATAACTAGTATCATACTGAATGAGGTAAGACTGAAAACCTTTCCTCAAAGATCTGGAACGTGACAAGGATGCCCACTGTCACCACTGTTATTCATCATAGTACTGGATGTCCTAGCTAAAGCAATCAGACAAGAGAATAAATAAAAGTTATCCAAATTGGATAGGAAAAAATCAAATTATCCTTGTTTGCAGATGATATAATCTTTTTTGTTGTTCAATTTTTTTTTTTTTTTTTTTTTGAGACAGAGTCTTGCTCTGTCGCCCAGGCTGGAGTGCAGTGGCGCAATCTCGGCTCACTGCAAGCTCCAACTCCCAGGTTCATGCCATTCTCCTGCCTCAACCTCCTGAGTAGCTGGGACTTCAGGTGCCCGCCACCATGCCTGGCTAATTTTTTGTATTTTTAGTAGAGATAGGTTTTCACCATGTTAGCCAGGATGGTCTCAATCTCCTGACCTTGTGATCTGCCTGCCTCGGCCTCCCAAAGTGCTGGGATTACAAGCGTGAGCCACCGCAACTGGCCAGTTTTTTTTGTTTTGTTTTGTTTTTGTTTTGTTTTTGAGGCAGGGTCTTGCTCTGTTGCTCAGACTGGAGTACAGGGGCACAATCTCAGCTCATTGCAACCTCTGCCGTCCAGGCTCAAGCTATTCTCTTGCCTCAGCCTCCTGAGTAGTGGGGAATACAAGTGCATGCCACCATACCTGACTAATTTTTTGTACTTTTTTGTAGAGTTGGGGTTTCACCATGTTGCCCAGTCTGGTCTCAAAATCCTGGGCTCAAGCAATTTGCCTACCTCAGCCTCCCAAAGTTAGATGATACAGTCTTACATTTGGAAAAACCTAAAGACTCCACCATGAAACAATTGGAACTGATAATTTCAGTAAAGTTGCAGGATACGAAATCAGCATACAAAGATCAGTAACATTTCTACATGCCAACAGTGAACAATCTGAAACAGAAATCAAGAAAGTAATCTCACTTACAATAGCTACAAATAAAATAAAATACCTAGAAATTAACTTAGCCAAAGAAGTGAAAGATCTCCACAATAAAAACTGTAAAATGTTGATGAAAGAAACACACACAAAAAAGAAAGATATTCTATGTTCATGGAATGGGAGAATAAATATTGTTAAAAGTCATACAATTCAAAGCAATCTACAGATTCGATGCAATCCCTATCAAAATACCAATGACATATTTTTTTAAACCCTAAAATTCTTGTGAAACCACAAAAGACCCAGAATGGCCAAAGCTATCCTGAGCAAAAAGAACAAAACTGAAAGAATCACATTACCTAATTTCAAATTATGCTACAGAGCTATAGCAACCAAGACAACAAGGTACAGGCATAAAATTAGACACATAGACCAATGGGACAGAATAGAGAACCCAGAAACAAATCCATACACCTGCAGTGAACTCATTTTCAACAAAGGTGCCAATAATATACTTTGGGAAAAAGACAGTCTCTTTGGTAAATGATGCTGGAAAACTGGGTATCCACAGGCAGAAGAATGAAACTAGACCCTTATTTTTCTCCATATATAAATATCAAATCAAAATGGATTAAAAACTTATATCTAAGATTTCAAACTATGGAACTCTTAAAAGAAAACATTGGGAAAACTCTCCAGGACATTGGACTGGGCAAATATTTCTTGAGTAATACCCCACAAGCACAGGCAACCAAAGCAAAAATGGACAAATGAGATCACACCAATTTAAAAAGCTTCTGCACAGGAAAGGAAACAATCAACAAAGTGAAGAGACAACTCACAGAATAAGAGAAAATATTTGCAAACTACCCATCTGACAAGGGATTAATAACTAGAATAGGTAAGGAGCTTAAAAAAACTGTATAAGAAAAACACTAATAATCTGATTTTAAAATGGGCAAAAGATCTGAACAGACATTTCTCAAATGAAGACATACAAATGCCAAAAATGTATATGAAAATGTGCTCAACATCATTGATCATCAGATAAATGCAAATCAAAACTACAATGAAATATTTTCTCACTCCAGTTAAAATGGCTTTTATCCAACAGTCAGGCAATAACAAATGCTGGCGAGGATGTGGGGAAAAGGGAACCCTTGTACACTGTTGGTAAGATTGTAAATCAGTACATTCACTATGGAGAATGGTTAGGTAGCTCCTCAAAAAAGTAAAAATAGAGACCATATGATCCAGCAATCCCACTGCTAGATCTACCCAAAAGAAAAAAAAATCAGTATATCAAAGAAATATCTACATTCTCATGTTTCTTGCAACACTATTCACAAGAGCCAAGATTTGGAAGTAACCTGTCCATTAACAAATAAATGGATAACCAAAATATGAGACATATACACAATGGAGTACTATTTACTCATAAAAATGAATGAGATCCTGTCATTTGCAACAACATGGATGGAGCTGGAGATCATTATTTTAAGTCAAATAAGCCAGGCACGAAAAGACAAACTTCTCATGTTCTCACTTCTTTGTGGGAGCTAAAATTTAAAACGATTGAACTTATGCAGATAGAGAGTAGAAGGATGGTTACCAGAAGCTGGGAAGTGTAGTGGGGGTGTGGGGGCTGGGGGAAGTGGGGATGATTAATGGGTACAAAAAATAATTAGAAAGAATGAACAAGACTTAGTATTTGATAGCACAACAGGGTGACTATAGTCAATAACAATTTAATTGTACATCTTAAAATAACTAAAAGAGTATAATCGGGTTGTTTGTAACACAAAACATAATTGCTTGTGGTGATGGGTACCCCATTTACCCTGATGTGATTATTATGGATGGCATGCCTGTATCAAAATATCTCAAGTACCCCATAAATATATACCTGTACTGTGTACCGACAAAAATTAAAATTTAAAAAATTCTTCAGCTTTTTCATAATGCCAGTTTTCCTATATAGGCAATTAAGAGTAATAAGATATATGCAGATATGTAGATGTTAGATAGATGACAGATGATAGCCAGATAGATAGATAGATAGATAGATAGATAGATAGATAGATAGATAATAGATAGATAGATACTACCTTATCCATAGAATCTATTTTAAAATAAACAGCAAAGTCCTTTTGAGTTTTGAATTTGGACATATGTCCTAGCCTTATGTCAAAAGTTAGATGGTTACTTTATTACTAGACTTGGTGTCTTCTGAAGCTTTCAAAATTTAGTATCTAAAAGACATCCAGAAGTATGAGAATATATATAACTATAAAATATATCGGCCATGTGCCATGGCTCACGCCTGTAATCCCAACACTTTGGAAGGTTGAGGCAGGTGGATCATGAGGTCAAGAGATCAAGACCATCCTGGCAAACACAGTGAAATCCCATCTCTACTAAAAAATACAAAAAATTAGCCAGGCATGGTGGCACACACCTGTAGTCCCAGCTACTTGAGAGGCTGAGGCTGGAGAATAGCTTGAATCTGGGAGGCAGAGGTTGTGGTGAGCCGAGATTGCACCACTGCACTCCAGCCTGGGCAACAGAGCAAGACTCCATCTCAAATATATGGGTGCAAAAAATAATTAGAGAATGAAAAAGACTTAGTATTTGATAGCACAACAGGGCAACTACAGTCAATAACAATTTAATTGTACATCTTAAAATAACTAAAAGAGTATAATTGGGTTGTTTGTAACACAAAGCATAATTGCTTGTGGTGATGGGTACCCCATTTACCATTTTATATATATATATATATATATATATATATATATAATCAGTAGATATTTTTAAAAAGATGAAAAAACATTAAGACATTTAGAGAACATCTCAAACATACAAGATTTTAAAAGAGACATTTCAATTAGGGAAGGACTTTTGATATAATCTAGTACAAATCCCTTCTTTTTTTGAATGAGTGACACAAATAAAAGAAAGATAATATAACTAGTTCAAGTTTTCCTTCACATTGTATGTCAGGTTCCTATCAGATTTAGTTACAGTAAGTAGAATTGCTGCAGTTAGACTGAAAATAACTTTCTTTTGACTTGTTTTAAAAAGCCACTGAGAATAAAAATCATCTATAATTTTATTTATCAAATCATTGCATGCATCTTCCATACAAGTATATTGTAGGAAGAATACTTTTAGATAGAATATTGGAAAGGATTTGTGTGATCATTTGTGGAGCTTGAGCTCACAGCCATGTAGGTCATATAATGTCATTCCTTGAAAAGAGAGGTGGACAGGTACATCTTGATATACTCCACAGACAACATATTTCCTACATTAATTATTTTGCCCAAACCTTGAATGGGCTTCATCTGCTTTATTCAAATATTACTCCCAACAAATGTAAAATGCTAGAGCATTTGAAGTCTATTCCAAAAATTCTAGCATTTGATGCTATCCTGCCTTGTTTATAGACTTATCTCTTCTAGAAAGCAGCAAACTCCTGAAAAGCAAATAAAATATTTTTATTCCTCTGTTATTTACTACCTACTCAAGAACAGAAAACATGGTAGGAGCTCAAAATATTTATTGATATGACTTTCTTTAACATGATTTAGTCTACTTTACAGAACAAATTATGCAAAAGTATTTTGTAAAAGAAAAAAAAAAGGATTATTTGACTATTTCCAACAGTGACAGTGACAGGTCTACATTATTTTAAAACTTAACTTGTTAATTTTACTGCTTTAAAAGATATGCACAGTTAGTTAGGGTATGTTGGATTCATTCAATAATATATAGTTGGTGACTCTGCCTTATGATCACATTTTATTAAGAAGTCTTCTCTTCTTTTCATATCCAGACATGGCACTTCCATTTTTCTCTCCTTCTGTAAGCACGTTGCTTATTTATATCCTGTGATCCTTGGAATATAACTCTGTGCTTGTATTTTTTCTGTCATTGTTTATTATAATAAGCATTCATAAAATATTATGTTGACATTCCAAGTTGCAGTTTGTGGCTACAAGAGGAGCCACTTTTAAGTATACATGATAATAAAGCCAAGAAAGTGATCTGGTAGGATGGTGGGTCACTGAAATTCCAAGAACTATAAATTTTTATCAAAGAAGAACTTTTAGTGTGTTTGGGAAGGGGGTGGGTAGAATGTACATAGAACCTCAACTCCTGACATGAGCATGTTATCAGAGGTCATTTAGAACCAAATAAAGACATTTTATAAAAGTTCAGAAAATGTAAAGGTCTCAGCTTTCACAGGATTTTTTAGTCTTCTGTGAAATTATCAGGAAGCTTGGTAAAACTCAGATAAAATAAATAACACAAAGTGACCTGTAGTTTTCACTACACTGCAGTATTTATTCGTTCTTGGTTTTTAGACATGTAAACAAAAACTCAGCTGCTTTTTATAGACACAATGGAGTATTTCATTGGAACACAGTAGGAAGACTTAAGACAAGAAAGCCAGGTTCAAGGGCTACTTATCATGCTGGTTTGTTCACTATTTCTATACTGATAGGGGCAGGAGGCAGAGAAATGCTAGGCAGACAGCGGCAGGTCCTGGCAAAACCCCACCTACGAGCTGAAAAGCCTGAAACCCACAACCCAATGTAAAAACTTCTATCCCTGTTTGCCTGCTCTCTCCCAATTTGTTCTTTCTGAATAATGTCTTTTTTCCAATTGAATGGTGCCTTTTCTAAAACTGCCTATGGCCTGTCCTGCTCCCTATCCTGTGCCTATAAAGACTCCAGATTCAATTGGTAGAGGGAGAGAAGCTGCTTGACTGCAGAGAGGCAACTAGACTTCAGAGGGATGACTGGACTCCGGAGGAGAGGTGGCTTCAGATGAAGTCCAGATGACTGGACTTCAGAGAAGGGCTGGCTGGGGATGGCCAGACTTTAGGGAAGATTATCTGCCTGTCCCATCCCCTCTCCAGCTCCCCTCTCCACTGACAGCCCTAACCATGACTAAATAAAATTCTCCACCTCCACCATCCCTCAAGTGTCCGTGCGACCTCATTCTTTTTAGACGCCAGACAAGAGCTCAGGACTCACCTAGTCAGGTACAGAAAAAAGGCTGTCACATTGGCCCTTTGCCCTCACTGGCAAAGGGCAGCTGCCCTACACGATGAGGTAAGGGACCTACTGAGCTGATAACACACGCTGTCAATGGGTGGTGGAGCTAAGATACTACTGTAACACACCCTCTGGGGTTTCAGGGGTAGCAGGCACCCCCAGCTGGGCACTAAAATGGGGCCACTCATTGAGCCTGTTCCTGCTAGTGCCCAAAATGGCCAGCCAGATCCTGCACTCACTAGCTAATGCATTTCCTCCTGCAAAAGGTTGAGTGTGGCAGCCTGAGTAAACAGGGCACTCCCATTGCAAGTCTGATGAAGAGTTCAAGAAAAACTCCTGCATCAATACAAAGATACATGGTATGGCCCATGTTGAAACAAAAATTTCCTCCATATTGAATGCCTAGAATATCATTTCTTTTTAAATACAAATTGCAGTATTAGTATTGACTGAACTGTGACCCCTGGCCATATATCAAATCACTAGCATCAAATCTTATTCTACCAGAGAAATATCTGCCAGTCATCCATGTGTAATACCATCTTCTGGTAAAAAGTTGGTTGGCTTTAAAAAACGTATAAGCCAGGATTAAAATATTCTATTTCAAATGGAACCTATTAGATATTTTTGCAGGTAATGACATGATTTGATTTATGTTTTTAAAGAGTCATTCTGGTTCTTCTGTAAAGAAAGGAAAAATGGACAGAAATGGGAGACCAGGTAAGAGACTGTAAAATAATCCTGATGATAGAGAGTGGTAGCTTCATGTGGAGTAGCAGCTGTAGAAACAGAAAAAAGTAGACAGATTTGGAACATATTTTTGGAATGGATTTAAATATGGGGAGTGGAAGCAGGAGGGAGCCAAGGATGACATTTACTCAAGTGATGCAAAAGATAATTTTTAGTCAATTCTTTTATTGGCATTTTTGTCTGATCCATCATCTTACACAGCATCTTGCTTATTCTTAAGGGCTGCTGGTGCTGCCTGGTAATCCCTGTTCTTGGCTCAGTTTTGACTTTCACCAGAACTTTATTTACTCACAACTTCCTATATCCAATCTTACCTATACTCGTAAAGAAAAATGTGTATCTATACTTAATGGACACATATGTACTTAACAGAAGAAATCAAACATTCATCTACCTGACTGTGTATATGAATATATCATCTTTCAAGGATTTTGTCCACTTTGTAGCTGGAAATTGGTGTGTCTCATGCAAAAGCATTGGTTCTTTCCCCTACAATGAGCTGCCTCCCTATAGGCATGACACCTTCCTACAGAGCAGAGGAAATATAAATATATATGAGAAATTCATGTCTTCTAGATAACTTGCAATCTTGTGGAGGAAAAGAATTTTTTTTACTTAATAATATGGATCAGCAAAGGGCAAATACATGATTAGTTTTACAAGTACTAAAGAAGTTGAGAAAAAGAGACCTTTCTGGCCAGAGGGGACAGTAAAGGTTTTGCCCAGTAAAACTAACTTAAATTAGTCTGTAAAAGTTAAGTAGGAAGAGAGACATTGGGTGGACATTTCCAACACTGAGATCAGTGAGTACAGAGAAAATCAGGAATTTGTCTAAAGAATGCCAAAAAAGGGACCTAGCACTTGTTAGGAGCCTACTATATTTCCCAAACTGACACTTTTACATACATTGTATTTCATCTTATTTAATCCTTATGCTGAGACAGAAAAACATCAGTATCTTCATTCACAGATATAAGAATTAAGACTCAGAATAGACGAGACACTTTTTCCAAGGTCATAGAAAAATAAGAGACAGAGCTAGGTTTTCTCCTACATTTCTTACAAATCTAACATTATCTTCACCATGCTAAATCTGCTTAGTGAATAGTAAGAGAGGAAAAGTGGGCTGAAGCCAGCTTGAGATGGGCCTTGATTGGAAGACTGAAGAATTTGGATGGGTAGACATTGTTTTGGGCAGAGCAATGATTGCTTTTTGTTTGTCTGTTTTGATTTTGAATTGTACTAGGATTTGGTTGTGGTGAGCAATGGCTTCTGAAATAACTGAGAAGCCTCCTAAAGTAAATATTTTGAAACATTTAGATATGGAAAGTTCTGGCAAGTTTGTTTAACTGGTCTCATTATTTTGTAGTCTCTTCTTAGAGTTGATACTGTAGACAAGAAGCTGTGACTCACGAATTCCACAGTGCAACGGCTTTAAAGTTACAATGTTGCAAAATAAATCATCATTTAATCTGCTTACTCTTTTTCTGGAAAGAGGTTGGTGACGATACGTCAACATTTTGGTAATTTTTCAAGGGAATCACGACTCCCGTCTGGCCCCCAGTAAGTATTTATTAACTTTCTACTATGTTCATAGCATTACAGTGTTAGGAAAGCAGAGATTCATAATGTTTAATCCTTGATCTCAAGTACTTGTCAGTGTGGTTGGGAAAAAAAAAGATGCCTCCACTTCAGAAATTATATGATATCATAATAATCATTACTGACTTTCCTGGAATTCCTCATAGCTTATGAAGCAATGGCACTAACATAGTAACAGTGAATCATGGCAACACCCAACGATTACAACAGTGGGGCAATGTTATCATCCTTCTTGGAGAGATGAGAGCATGTGGATTCAGATAGGCTAGCTAACTTCCCCAAGGCCACACAGGTAGTCAGGTAAGCTTCAAGACTGGAAGCACACAGGAGCAGAACAAACTGCCTCTTTCAAAATCTACCAAGTAAGTGACATCACAGACAATATGCATGCTCTGGCGAGCTCAGAGGGAGAATAATTTCTGCTGGGTAAATTAATAAGCAGATGCTTCCAAAATAAGGTGGAATTTGACTGGGCCTTGAAGAAAGCTAATATTTGGCAGCCTGAAGAACACCTGGGACCTGAAACAGTACCTACAGGACATTTTTTTTGACTGTCTATGGGACTCACCTTCCCTGACCAAATGCCATATTCATAATGCAATAAAAGATAGGCACTCTCTTAAGTATATGAAAACACTAATTCCCTTCACATTTGTCCCTTCCACTATGCATAGAAGTGGCAACCACGAAGTCCAGGTTTGGTGAAAAGTGAGAGGAACATCTTTACAGAGGGAAAAAATTGGCTTAAAAAAAAAGACCCAGGCAGAGTGGCTTGCGCCTATACACCCAGTTCCTGGAGAAGCTGAGGTGGGAGAACAGATTGAACCCAGGAGTTTGAGACCAGACTGATCAACATAGTGAGATCTCATCTCTAAAAATAAATAAATAAATAAGTCAGAGTTTAAGGCTGATGTCAGCTATGATCACACCACTGCATTCCAGCCTGGGCAAAAGAGCAAGACTGACTCAAAAAACAAGCAAACAAAAACAGTAGCTGCCAACCACTCATGATTTTTATAGTTAACAATTTGCACTCAAGATGGTCAGTCACGTCAAGTATTTTTTCCCTGGATTTGCAGCCCCACCCCCATTCCCACTCACCCCTCCCATACCCTCAAGTAGGGCTAAAAAAAATTGCCTTGGACCTTATCCACCTTTCCTCAAAATGCTTCCAAGTCTGTATGTATAATATCCTCTGCAAAATGATGTCTGGGCTTTTTCTCTGAATCGTCTTGAGATCTTCACAACAGCCATGCTTGGCTAGCCCCACTGTCAGCGTGGGGCAGCCAGGGCACAACCGTGGGACAGGGAGGCAGATGGGAGGAGCACTCAGGACCAGCCTCTCTGAGTGAGTATACCTCCAGTGGGGTTGACTGCATCTGACAACATCCCCATCAGGCCAGCTGCATTTGCTTGTGTTGTCTCACCCTGTCAGCCTGTGAAACGTCCAGGTCCCCATATTCAGCAAGACAGCCACAGGTTAGGTCTGGGCCAAATGGGGAAGGGAAACATACAAGACAGTTGTCAAAGTTAGCGAAAAATGAATAACTGCACCATTGATTCACGAGTCTCCAGTGCTCTATAGAGTTCTACCTAAGTCAGAGGAGGAAATAAAGGAAACATACTATCAACATTATAGCTGTCGAAATGTCACAATAACTTTCTGAAAGTCATGGGGTAGGGGAAGGAGGGAATTCTCTTTGATAGTGTTCAGACAGGACCAAGAAGAACTAAATGTCTTCCCAAAAAACCAAAATAAGAATATGTCAGTTCCAAGCTATAGACGTAAAGCAAATTTGCAAATATTGTGCCTTCAATGTGAAGCAGGATTATATTAGCGTAGATAGCCAATTGGACCACATCTAGGCTTGTAAGCAAGTATCCTTACATAACTCTGAAAGTGGAAGAGAGGTCACAGTAGGGAAATTTTACCAGTAGTGGTAATAAAGAGCACATCCCATAGGACAAAGCAAGACAATGGATGGTGATCATATTAGTCATGTAGCAGGAATGTGAAACAACTCAAGAATGCTAAAGGAAGATACAAGGTAAAAATACATTGACTGTTTCAGCTAAACTAAAGAGAAACAAAGTGTGACATTACTGAGGAAAAAAGTGAGAATAAAACTGGACATTGTTAATAGAAATATAAAGATCAGAGCAAGAGAAAATATCATCTTTTTTTTCCATGCTGGTAGTGGCTAGTTGGTCAAGTTGTCCACACAAAAAAAGGGAGCCCACCCACAAGATTAGTAAAAAGAAAGCAAAACTAGGGCTTATGAAAATGCTTTAGAAGGACTGAGGCAGTAAGTCCTAGGAAGGCTGGAAGGCCTGGAGAAAAGAAGACTCAAAGGGGAAAATGACCATTGTCTTCACATATTTGAAAGAGTATTGTCTTGGGATACAAATTATTATTTTAGATAGGACTATAGGCTTATCATTTAGGTTTGGTCTGCTTAATATTTCTTTGAATCTTCCTTTACTTTTCCAATGTCTGGGTTTTTATGATGTAAAGTAAACAATGGACAGAAACCAATACACCTAAAGTTGGCAAGGGCAAGGGGAAAGAATGATGATGATGAAATTACACTGCGAAATTCCAAAGATAAAAGTAGCCCAATCAGAAAGCAAACTACTGATGCATTAAGAGTAAGATCGAGCAGTGACAGACTGGGATGGAGGGCAGAAGGTAATTTTGGGATTGGAAAATAGAGAAGCCCCTGGGAAATGAAAAGAATAAGGATTTTTTGTAACAGCTTTTAATACTATGTAAAGGCATCATCTGAGAGTTCTTAAAGAAATAACAGTTAAAGCCCAAGTGAAACAGAGTTATAGTGAAAAGTACATTGGATAAAGAATGAGAGAACTTTAGTGTCAGCTGAACTATTTCCTAAAACTGTCACCTTGGGAAATTCGTTTAACCTTTCTTAGTCTCAGTTCCTCATATGTCTAAATAAACAGAAAAAAAAAAAAGACACATGACAACCTATTTTCCAAACCAAATAGATCCAGGCATACCCTTCCCCCAATGGATGTGGCTTATGGTAAACTGAGTTCCCTGTATTTCCCATTCCAGAGAATGGAAGTCAAAGCCCAAGGAGAGAGAGAGCCATGTCTTTATTAGGACACCATCCCAGTGAGTAGCAGTCATATCAACCACTCAGACATATTGGGGTGAGAGGCATCACTTGTAGCAGCTGGCTTTGTGCCAGCGATATCCTACGTAATTTGCACAATATTCTAAATAATAGTTAAATTTATTGATAAAAAGCTCTTGGTTTCATCTGACTTTATGACACAGTAGATTAGACTAAACCCAGTTAAAGATAAGCAACTTAGGTTAAATGTAAACTTACATCCTATGATATCTTCTATATGATGATTCATTAGCAAGCTCACAACTATTTCTTAAAGGAAAATTGTTTCAGAAGAGGGCTTGACTTTGCTCCAAAACTGGGTCCTCAACTGTAATTTCCCATAGAGCTTGAGAAAGGGCCCATAGAACATACTGATCTGCCTCAGATGTTTTTAGCACCGTTGGATTATCTGGGTCATGACAGCCAACTAGCAGCGTTGCTTATATACAAGATGGATGCTTATATACAAGACCTTCCTCTTGCTCAGGGCTATAGGCATTTTGGGCAAATAAGTTGAAACAATACACTTTATATGTGATATGTGTTGCCTCCAAAATCCAAATAGGACAATTAAACATTATGCCTCTATCCTAATAAGAGAAGATAAAATGTGCTGCAACTTGTATTTCTCTTTGGAAGATGTAGCCTCAAATGTTAAAGTATATATCACCCGATATCTTCACTGGGGTGCCAAGCACACATGACTCCTACTGAACCATTTAAGACAACCTTACTTTCTGCTCACCTGGTTCTATCAACATGATGTCATCAATTTTGTAGACCAACACGTTATCCTGAGAAATTATGTGATGGAGAAAGTTCCTGAGGACAAAATCAAGGCATGTAGCCCAGATGAAGATGGTTATGGTACTAAGCCCAGATAAAGATGGTTATGGTACGCTGGTACTCCTTCCAGGTGTGGGAAAAATCTATTTCTGGCATTTTCTGTTTATTAGGATGGGGTGGAGGAGGAATTAAAAACATGCTCAAGCTAAATAGCTAAAGAACAGGAGCCAAAAGCTGGGATAATCTGCTAATAACAAAGATAATATATCTGGAAAATTACAATTGGATTCATTATTTAATTACACTTACATTAATAATCCTTTGTCATTACCAAGGTTCTTCTTTCACTACACAGTCATCACAATGTTAAGTGGAATATAATAGAAAAAACCATCTTTGTATCTTTAGAGTCTATGATTATGAACCAACCTCTGCAGTTATTCTAGGAATATTTCTTTCAGTTCCAAGGACTTTCACTTGTCTTTTAATATCTACCACTCCACAAGTTCAAGGCTAACATGGAACTGCTGCTTATTGCTGAGTATATATCTTTTCCATCTATACCACAGTAGCCACAAGATGAGTTTGTGAATCCTCTGGGCCCACTAGGACATAATATCAAGCATAAATTCTCTTAACCACCTGATATTCACTCATAAGTCTCAACTATGACCTCTGGACCACAGTACTGTTGTGATTTACCAGAGAACAGTATGGTCATAGAGTCAATGTCCAATAACTTCTCCAAAGACCAGGAGCCAATTAAGGCAAAGTTAACCTTAAATTTGCCACCAATCTCTTTGGGAAAAGCTAGGAGAAAAATTTATAATGACTGCTTGGAAAGTCATTACAGGGTCTGTGGTGATTTGTTTCCCCTCTCTAAAACTCGTAGTAAAATTTAATTACTAATATGGTTTGGATCTGTGTTCCCACCAAATCTCATGTTGAATTGTGATCCTCAGTGTTGGAGGTAGGGCCTGCTGGGAGGTGATTGGATCATGGGGGTGGATTTCCCCCTTGGTACTGTCCTGAGTACTCATGAAATCTGATTGTTTACAAATGTATAGCACCTCCCCTCTCTCTTTCTTCCTCCTCCTACAGCGATGTGAAATGCCAGCTCCCTCTTTGTCTTCTGCCATGATTGTAACTTTCCTGAGGCCTCTCCAGAAGCTGAGTAGATGCTGCCATGTTTCCTAGCCTGTGGAACTGTGAGTCAATTAAACCTCTTTTCTTTTTAAATTACCCAGTCTCAGGTATTTCTTTATAGCAATGCAAGAACAGAATGATACAGCAAATTGGTACCAAGGAATGAGCATTGCTGTAAAGATACTGAAACTGTGGAAGCAACTTTGGAACTAGGTAATGGGCAGAGGTTGGAAGAGTGTGAAGGGTTCAGATAAAGACTGAAAAATGAGGGAAAGTTTGGAACTTCCTAGAGACTTGTTGACTGGTTGTGACCAACATGATGATAATGACATGGACAATGAAGTCCAAGCTGAGGAGGTCTCAGATAGAAATGAGGAACTTATTGGGAACTGGAGTAAAGGTCACTTTTGCTATGCCTTAGCAGGGACTGGCTGCATTGTGTCCCTGCTCTAGGGATCTGTGGAACTTTGAACTTGAGAGTGGTGATTTAGGTGATGAGCCTATGCTTATATGTGTGAGCAGAGAAATGACCCAAAATTGGAACTTATATTTAAAAGGAACACAAAGCATAATAGTTTAGAAAGTTTGCATCCTAGCTATGTGGCAGAAAAAAAAAATCCCATTTTTGTGGGGGATAGAAATTCAAGTAGGCTGAAGAAATTTGCATAAGTGAAAAGGAGCCAAGGGGTAATAGCCAAGACAATGGGACAAAGGCCCCAAAGCCATTTTGGAAACCATAGTCCCTCCCATCACAGGCCCAGAGGCCTTGGAGGACAGAATGGTTTTGTGAGCCAGGCTCAGGGTTCCACTGTTCTGCACAGCTTCAGGACACTGCTCCCCATGTCCCAGCTGCTCCAGCTCAAACCTTGGATCAACGGGGCCTAGGTACATCTCAGTCAACTGCTTCAGAGGGTGCAACCCGTAAGCCTTGGCAGCTTCCATGTGATGTTAAGCCCGAGGGTGCAAGGAGTGCAAGAGTCGAGGCTTGGGCGCCTCCACCTTAGATTTCAGAGGATGTATGGAAAAACCTGGATGTCCAGGGAGAAGCCTAATGCAGGGGCAGAGCCCCATGGAGAACCTCTACTAAGGCAGTGCAGAAGGGAAATGAGGGTTTGGAGGCCCCACACAGAGTCCCTACTGCAGCATTGCCTAAAAGAGTTATGAGAAGTGGACTACCATCCTCCAGACCCCAGAATGGTAGGTCTACTGACAGCTTGCACCTTGCACCTGGAAAAGCCATAGGCACTCAACACTAGCCCTTGAGAGTAGCCACTGGGGCTTAATCCTGCAAAGCCACAAGGGCAGAGCTGCCCATGGCTTTAGCAGCCTAATCCTTAAAACACTATGTCCTGGATGTGAGGCATGCAGTCAAAGGAGATTATTTTGGAGCTTTAAGATTTAATGACTGCCCTACTGGGTTTCAGGCTTGTGTGGGGCTTGTAGCCTCTTTCTTTCGGCCAATTTCTCCCTTTTGGAATGGGAGTATTTACCCAATGTCTATACATCCATTGTATCTTGGGAGTAACTAACTTGTTTTTGATTTTACAGACTCATAAGTGGAATGGAGTAGCCTTGTCTCAGATGAGACTTTGAACTTTGGACTTTTGAGTTAATGCTGGAAATGAGTTAATACTTTTGGGGATTATTGGGAAGTCATGATTCTATTTTCTAATGTGAGAAAAACATGAGATTTGATGGGCCAGAAGCAGAATGATATGGTTTGGATCTGTGTTCCCACCAAGTCTCATGTCAAATTGTATTCCTCAATATTAGAGGTGGGGCCAGATGGGAGGTGATTGGATCATGGGGCAGATTTCCCACTTTGTATTGTCCTGAGTTCTCATAAGATGTAGTTGTGTAAAAGTGTGTAGCATCTCCCCCTCTCTCTTTCTCCTGCTCTGGCCATATGAAGTGTTAGCTCCCTCTTTGCCTTCCACCATGACTGTAAGTTTTCTGAGACCTCCCCAGAAGCTAAGCAGATGCCACTGCCATACTTCCTAAATAGTCTGAAGAACCATGAGTCAATTAAACCATTTTTCTTTATAAATTACCCAGTCTCAAGTATTTCTTTATAGCAATGAGAGAGTGTACTAATACGATTGCCATTGTAACACTGTTAAAAAGTGGAATTTTAAGAGGTAATTAGGCCATGGTGACTCCACCCTCATGGATGAGATTGGTGTCATTATAAAAGAACAAGCTCTACCTCCCCTTGTTGTCTCTCATGTTCTCACTTCTGCCCTGCAATGATGCAGCAAGAAGGCCCTCACCAGATGCAGGTACCTTGATATTGGACTCTCCAGCCTCCAGAACTGTGTGACAATAAATTTGTGTTCCTTAAAAATTACCCAGTTTCCAATATTTTGTCATAGCAACACAAAACAGACTGAGACAGGGTCCCTCCTTAAGCATGTTCAACTTTCCCTTCATTCAACTGGTGCTAGGTCAGTTTTATAAGTTGGTTGAGGGCCTACAGGAGTCTATACCATTGATTCAAGTCAAGCTTCTATTTATCAAGCCCTGAGTTATTCTCTTTTAGGCATGCAAATCAAGTCAAATTTTCATGAAATGTCTACCCATTTAAGCTCTAGGAACCCCATGATCAATTAGCCATTGCCAAAATTTCATGTAGATCATATTATTCTGATTATCAGTTATGCCTGCTGTTTTCAATGGTAGCATAGCATGCCCATCTTGCTTCTGGGCATTAACAAATATTACTTTGTCATTGTTACTCTGAGTACCCACCCTTATCATTAAAATCAGGAAGCCATTTAAATGGTTACATTTCTCATCTTTATCACACCCTAAAGAGGAGAGTCATTGAAATACTTTTTAAGGCCTCTGTTGCTTCTCTCACCAATGTATTTTTCTATGCTGAGTGAAAAGAAATAACATCTAGGCTGTTTTTCAGGAAGGACTAGATGTTTTGAAAGGATGAATAAGTCACATGTGATTAAATCCACCCCCAACTCCAATATTTTCCTAAGACTTTGGATTTCTTGATTTATATTAAACCAAAGCATTTCTGATATCTTCACTTCATTTGCTATAGACTACCATTTGGTCCAGCTTTAATAATAAAAAAAGTCCAAGAAAATTACTAAATCTACTTCCAGCTATTTGGGCTAGTTTGACCTAGTACGTTAAATCCAGAATTTATTGTAAGTGCGCCAATATAGACATTTTCAACCTGATGTAAAATATAATTTCCCCTCTTTGGTCTAGCATCCTTAGGACAAATTCCCTCATACATATCCAAGGTCTTTTGCTGGTGTAAAATGTTGAAATGTATAAGTCCACATCTGGATTTGGTTTGTTGAATTTATCCCCAAGAGCATACTGGGATCTACCTTCAGATGCCAGGTGAAGTAGCAGAGCAAGGCAGGGGGAGTCTTAGCACCATGTTCTTTGAAGTCATTACAATGTCTTCAAGCATCACAGGATCAGCCTTAACTGACAGGAGATGGGGACTGCTTCTACCTGCCCTAGGAGTTTCAGGGGATTTGGAGTTATTGAAATTTCCCCAAGCATCCCAATTCTAATCCTGTGGAGTCTAATTCTTTACCAATCAATGCCTTAACATTTGCCTGGGAGACCTGATAAACCGTAAATTTAAGTATTTTAAATTCAGCAACCTACATGATCAGGTCCTGTGACTATTGGTGCACACATTAGCCCTGGAGCTACAGGACATCGTTTTAGGTAGGTCACAGAAACTTCCTTGTTTTCTAACTTGGCCTAGAATCTAAGATCCTGAGTCTGTTACTTTTTTTCTCTTTAATTATTCAATATGGGTAGAAGTAGCTAGTCTTTTGCATCATTATTGTTCTCTTTGTAAAGCTCTATTGTAGAATTATTTCAGTCTATCAAAACGATTCTTTCATTTCTGGTGTCCCAAAGAGATAATTTAAATATCACAGTTTGCACTGGGTGGCATGGAATAAAACCAATACCCCACCCTCTAACAGTAACTGAATCCTTCCCCCTACAAATTAGAGAACCCATCTCAGATTTTCATTCCTTTTTGGATCTCCTACCTGCCACTTCTGTTCCCAATTATTGTATGGGTCAGAGTTCTTAGTTGCAGGCAACACAGTCTATTCTTAGCTTAACTTAAGCAGAGATAGATACCCATATACATCACTGAGGTATTCCAATGAAAATGCCAGTGATAGTGTTACCTACTGCTTAACACCCAAAAACCTAGGCTGTTAACTAGGGTGTTAAACACCAGAAGTTCCAGAACAACTGCCACAGAACCAAATGCCACAGAACAAACAAAACACAAGTATTTTCATGAATACACTTTCACAAAACTGTACATCTCTGTGTTCTGATGTTTACATCTGCTTTCCAAGTCTCATCCAGGTGTATTTGACTGGCTGACTCAGATCACAGCAATAGTTTGAGCTTATGGGAGTCTGGTAATTGCAGCATTTGACTACAGGAAACATACTACAACAGGGTTGGAGTGGTGTTGAGTAAACCAATCTTCAGATTCTGCAAGAGTCATGTTTACCTATATGTAGTGGTTTTTGATTCACATACAGCTTTAATATAAAACTTATTTATTATTTGAACCCTGACTATTAGTGCTGCCATGCCTGCTATTTTTCTTTGAAAAGAGAAAAACATCTGCAGAGGAAAATTTCCATGTGCAAAATAACACTTGCTTTATTTATCTCTAATATTCAAGGTTAGATAAGCACGGAATGCTAAGAAATACCTTCAAGCTCAGCTCCTACTTTCATGGAGCTCCAGTCAAATAAGGAGAAAGTCACATAAATAAATAATGGTAAATTATTGTGGGAAGCGCAAAGGGTGAAACATTCACAGGGAAACATTGTGATTGTAACAGTAATCACCGCAATGATGAAAACTGAAATGGATTGAATGTATAGCATGTGTCTAGTGATTTTCTAAGGTTTCACAGGGAAACATTGTGATAGTAATAATAATTACTACAATGATGAAAGCGGAAATGGACTGAATGTATAGCATGTGTCTGGTGATTTTCTAAGGTTTCACAGGGAAACACTATGATTGTGACAATAATCACTACAATAATGAAAACTGAAATGGACTGAATGTATAGCATGTGTCTAGTGGTTTTCTAAGGTGTCTTCATGTGTTTAATGTCATACCATCATCTCACAATGAAAACTCAATTGGATCCTTGAAGTCTTAAGTTCCTATAATTCACAAATTATCTTCGTCCAATAGGACCTTATTATCACCTCTCAAATCACACAGAGGAAGAAGCTGGTTTTCTTTACCTTCTAAAACTTGTAGCTCTACTCCTAGGCTTTAAGTTTCTCCCCAGACTAAACAATGATAATCTCACTGCTTAGCTTTGTGCCACTTCTCCCTTTCCAAGGCAGAGGATACACAATTTGAAAAGCTTTCTCTTAGTATTCTGTAACTTTAAATAAAATGTATTTCCCAGCAAACAATTTTATTTTAAAAAGTTTGTACCTGATGGAGTGGGGAAAAATACCTTATTTGTTCCAAATCGTTTCATTTCACCCTCCTAAAATTTGATTGATGCCCAAATAAAATAGAGTAATTTTGCCACATGCCTGGAATGCCATCTGTTGCAAAGAATAACACTTTGCAGCAATTCCACAAACTGTATCCAATGAGTAAGGTTAGAATCTGCTCTCCAAAATAGTGAGTGGAACTGTCATAAATCCTAGAGTGTTGTGAGCAACATCTCCCTGTAACTAACCTTGAGTAAGACATCTTTTTCTCTCACACAGACTGGCATACACTAAGAAAATTTCACCGGTGCTTCTGTAGTTACCATTGCCCTCATTCTCTCACTGATTTCCCTGTGTGCCACAGGAGACAGAGAGAAAAAGAGATTCACTTCAAGCGGCTAGATAAAATCATCTATCCTAACTTCTTCAGCAAAACAATGAGGAAGTAATATTTCTAAGGTGAGTCGGCTAGTATGAGAAAGGGCCCATGATGGCCCCCCAAGATAATTTTTTAATATATATAATGTCCTTGTATGCAGCTGGTATTCTTGATCTACTATTGGTGTTTTGCTTTCTTTACCCCAGGTGAGGAAATGGATTAGCCAGGCTGGATGGAAGCCTGTCAGCAATTTGATTTATGGGGCCTGTGTCCTAGTTTCCTTCCCCAAACCTTAAACAAATAGGCTTTCATTCAATCATTACAGTTTTATTCCTTTGAGGTTTGGGGCTTTTAAACCTCAAGACATTGATTAAATCTCTCTTAGTAGTCACAAGTTGTGTTATTACCAGTATCCTTTGCGGAAATTTCTAAGATTTGCTCATCCAATAGAGACCCGAGAAAGGAAGAAATCTGAGTAAAATGACAGGCAAAATTCTAAGTTTTGCTGACTTCCCGATTTTTCCAAGGGAAGCTGTTGGTGGCATGCCATATCAATGCTCCTTTGGGGTCCTCTTGGTTCCCAGGATATTTATTTGGAGTAGGCTGGCCTAGGTTACAAGCACTCTAAAGCTATGAAACAGAAATTTAAAAAATCAATTTCTCTCATGTTGAGAATGAATGTCATGACCTTGGTTTAAGGCAGTTCTCTCCAAACGGGCATCCCACACCTTGATAAAGGCAGCTGGAGCCAACAGCATGTATTTGGTACTGCCAACACCGTGAGTGGAAACAGCTCCCCATTTCTCACCCAATTAAAAAGCCTAAAGCCCTTTTCCAGGAATGACCTTTGAGGATTCTCACCAGGATGCTAGCCTTTTACAATATATAATAAAGGCTTGTCAGATAACTGTGTAGCACTCTAACATATGACCCCAGTGTTGGGATCAATCAGAGACCAGGGCCTGAGATTCAATATATCTTGTCGAAAGAATGCAAAACTTTCAGAATACATTATGGTGAAGTTTGCAAATCCCACATACATAAATTAGGAAATCTCCTTGATAGACTTGAATGTCACTGAATCTTTGTTGGGTACCTTGCTAGGTGTGGATACTGAGCAGGGCTGCTTCTGGAGCAGGAAGAATAGGCAGCTTTGCAGACATGTTTGCCTATCTTTCCATACCACAGAACTCTGGGGCTACTGAACCTTCACTTCCTCACATCCTACTATGTTCACCTCCCATATGACCTTGTAAGTACTATTTCTTCATCAAGAAGAAGGTGGAATGGTAGAAGATAGGAAAGAAAGAAATGTAAGAAAATAAGCAGAAGCAAAAATGTAATTTTTCCAACATTACTAATCATCAGGGAAATGCAATCAAAACTACACTGAGATATCATTTCACTTTAGTTAGAATGGCTATTATTAAAAAGAAAAAAATAACAAATGCTGGCAAGGATGTAGAGAAAAGAGAACTCTTACACACTATTGGTGGGAATGTCAATTGGAAAATCAATTACATAAAACAGCATGGAAGTTCTTAAAAAAAGCTAAAAATAAAACTACTATATAATCTAGCAATTCTACTGGGCATTTATTCAAAGTAAAGGAATCAACATGTTGAAGAGATATCCACATTCCTATGTTTATTGCAGCACTATTCACAAGAGCTGAGATATGAAATCAACCTAAATGTTCATCAGCAGATGAATGGATAAAGAAAATGTGGTATATATACACAATGGAACACTATTCGGCCAAAAAAAAAAAAAAAACAAGAATGAAATCGTGTCATTCATGGAAAAATGGATGAGGCTGAAGGACATTATGTTAAGTGAAATAAGTCAGGCACAGAAAGATAAATACCACGTGTTTTCACTCATACATGGAAGCTAAACAAATTTGAGTTCATACAAGTAGAAAGTAGAATTGTGATTCTTAGGGCTAGGAAGGGTAGTAGGGAGGGGAGGATAGGAAAAGTTTGGTTAATGGGTACAAAATTACAGCTAAATGGGAGAAATGAGTTATTGGGTCCTACAGCACTGTAGGATAAATATGCTTAACTATTATTTATTGCATGTTTTCAAAAAGCTAGAAGACAGGATTTTGAATGTATACAACACAAATTATAAATCTTTGACGTGATAGAAATAATAATATCCTTGATTTGATCATTATACATTGCATATGTATTGAAATATCACTCTATATCCCATAATTATGTAAAATTATAATATGTCAACTAAAAATAAAAGTAAAAAAATAAATACAATTTAAAAATAAAACTTTTGGGACTGATGGGCATGCTGAGTATTTTGACTGTGGTGGTGACTTCCCAAATATATAAGTGCCAAAACTTATAAAATGTTCACTTAAATATGTGCAGTTTATTATATGTCAATTATACCTCAATAAAGCTGTTTTTAAAATGTTAATGCGCTTTATATCTCAATGAGAAGTGTGAAAGAAAAATGTTTTTCCACAGGGATTTTGACTTTGTTACTATGATGCTATTTGCATAACCGATGCTCTTGCTTCTAATAGAGTTTGATAACCCTGGACCTGCCTTCCCAGAAATTTCTCACTGCTGATTAGCTCAGAGGCTATGGGTTTATAACCTGATTTAAACCACATCTCTCTCCTTCAGAGTACAGGGAGGACTCACCCTGCTGGCCTGGAAGGGCACTGTTGCAAAGGTGCTAATCCTTTGCTTCAGTCAGAAATGATTCTAGAATTAGCAGATGGTAGCGGCAGAGGAAATGAAGCAAGAGGTAACATCCATTGACTTTTGGAAAGCATTTATTCTCTTGATAACATCACCCAGGTCTGACTTCAACACTCACATGCTTTTAAATGTCATAACCATCAATTTTCGGTGTTAATGAAGTCAGGGAAATGAAATTATGAAACCCAACGGAGAACAAACCTCTGTGTCTCTGCTTGTCATGACCTGCTGACATGAAGGACCCCACACAACAGCTGCTTGCAAATGATTACTTCTCTTCTATTCTTTTCAAAGTTCAAAGTAGAGACATGATAACCTTTGTAAAAAAGTTATGTGCTTCAATGTGTTCAAACTAATCTCAAAAGAACCTCCAAAATAAGGATCATGAAATAAGCAGCTGTCTTCCTCTAGTAACAAAAGCAGTGACACAAAACACTCAGAAACATCAAATCACATGTTCATGGTACCTTGCTCCACTATCAATGTGAATGAATATGGGAAAAACATAGATGGGGCCATAAAGCTGCCGTTCTTCCTGCAGAGTGAATTATGCCCAAGGCTAAGAAGGAAACCAAATTCTTTACAAGTAAAATGTGATCAAAGCACATGCTATGAGTGAATATTGAAACACCTGTTCTTAATTTACTCAAGTAATCAATAAGCCTTTAGTAAGCAATCATCAAAATATTTACCTCTTGCCAACAACCGTAGAAAGAAAAAGACCCCCAAATATACTGGCCTAAGTTAAACAGTAGTGCAATTCTCTCTTATGTATGTTAGGTAGTCGAAGGCTAGCATGATGACACAACAGAGCTGGAGATTTTGCCTCCTTCTATCTTGTAGCTCTGCCCTTCCTAGTGCTCTGCCCTCATCTTTCATGGTCCAAGATAGCTCATCACCACATTCACATTCAACTCCACAGGAAAGGGGAAGAAGAGGACATAAAGATCATGTCCATTCTCTTTTAAGGGTTTTATTAAGCTGTTCTTTGCATTGCTATAAATAAATGCCTGAAACAGGGCAATTTATGTAGAAGGGTTTAATTGGTTCACAGTTTGACAGGCTGTGCAGGAAGCATGGTGCCAGAATCTGCTTAGCTTCTGGGAAGGCCTCTGGTAGCTTACAATCATGGTGGAAGGCGAAATGGAAGCAGCATGTCACATGGAAAATAGTGGGAGCCAGAGAAAGAGAGAGAGTGCGAGGTGCCACACACTTTTAAACAACCATTTCTTGCATGAACTCAATCATCACCAAGCGGATGGTGCTAGGCCACTCATGAGGTATTCTCCCCCATGATCCAAACACCTCCCACCAGGCCCCACCTCCAACACCAGGGATTACATTTTAGCATGAGATTTAGCAGCAATACAGATTCAAACCACAAGGAGGGCATAACCTGGAAACTCAAAATATGAATTTGTTTACATCCCATTAGCCAAAACTTAGACAAATGGCTGCAACTAAGTACAAAGAAGTCTGGAAATTTAAGACTTTATTTTGGGTAGCGTGTGTCCAGTTAAAATTTAGAGGCTCTAATTCTAAAAGGAAAAGACAGAAGATAAAAACTGGGAGATAAACAGCATCTCAGACATGTATGTGGATAGTCAGAGCCTGCTATGAAATACTGAATAAAAGAAGTCAGTCTTCCAAAGTCAAGTACTTCTCTTTGCCCACCCACATGACCCCATACTGTCTTCAAACACTCAGCACCTTTAGGATAATCCTGTGCACACTCAAAGCCACTCCTTAACTTGAATTAAAACCAAGTGCCCTCCTTGGTCCCACTCTCTCAGGAATTTCCTCAGCATGGTTACACTGTGTCAACAAAAGAAATGCATGAACAGATGCCACATTAGAAATATTCACCTTGAAACTTTTTTGGAAAATATTGTCTTCTGAAGCACTTATGCTCAGGTCCTTGTCTTCTCTAATGTTTTTGATCCACCCCTAAAGTCTTTATTCCCTCAGTCGTTTAACAGGAAACTTTGGGATGCTTCTTAAGCCTATGATGCTTCTAAATTGTCTTGATCAATTTTTCTACTTATTTTAAGTAGTCTAATTTATCATGATGGCTTGAGTTTCATCCTACCTCCCCCTTGAAGTCTTGCTTGATCAATTTTGTTCTCACTGGTCATATTTGTCTTTGAATTTTTCTCAGCTCTTACAATAATTTTAGCCTGCAATTTGTATTTATATGCTCTATTATATAAGATATTTACATGTAATGTCATATGTACTAACATTGGCTTTTCGGTAATATTAACAATTCCTTGAAGACAGTAGTCATTTAATATGCTCAGTACCAGCTCAAAGCTTCAAACCTGAGGTGGTAATTTTGTTAGTATTTATATGGTGCTTATTGTATGACTGTCATTGTACAATCAAAGTTGGCATCCATGCAAAATAATAAAGGTACACAGGTCTGATTAATAATCAAAACCCACAATATATTCCAAAATATTAAAGCTAAAATTTGAGCATGAAGAAAAGGTGAGGGCCAGGCTCCATGGAAGTATTGCAAAGCCAGACTCCTCTTCAGTTTAGTTGTACAAATGGGTAAACATTTCAGCAGTAAATACTGCAGAGTGATATAACATGAGATCATTGTCAGGGATCATGCTTGCCTTTCTATCAGTGTTGGAATCCATAGTTTCAACTTCAAATGTCAGTTTGGATCCAACTCTTTCAGGGATTTCTCCTCAGCAATGCTGAGGTTCTATTGCCTCAAGACTTGACAAAGATCACAAAGGAATTAATTGAATATGAACATTAATCGAATACTATGATATAAACAGATTAATTCTGAACTAAATATAATATTATATATATATATATATAGGTTATATATGTAGGTAAAACGAATTGCAATTTATCAATACCATGTGGTTGTGGTATTCACTATAATTCTTCCTCATAATGGACCAAGAAAAATCCTCATTCATCCATTTAATTAGATCATTCATCTATCTTCTTTCTTTGTATGGTCTCACCCCATCATTATTTTCTTTGGTCTTATCATTCTATGTCACATGGTGATCCCTACACTGACCATCCTATTATATCAAATCTGATATACGAGTCACATGGCCTCAGTTCTTCCTCTCCCCGTTTCCTTCCTTTCTCTTTCCCCATACCTCTTTCTTCTCCTCTTCTTTCTTCTTCTGGCAATAACTTCTTTTTTCCTGTGGCAGTGGTATGAGTAACATTAGAAATTCTCATTTAGGTGGGAATTAAGTAACTTTCAGAAGTGACATACTGCATAAAATATTCATCATTGTTCAAAATCCATTATTATTTTTTCTCAAACTACTATACTTGTTTATGCTCACTTATATGTGTGCAGACATAGCTCTACACATTGCAAATAATGATTGCTTTGCCATATCTGTGCCAGTAAAATGACACACATAATGCATACAAAACTATCCATTTGCACGTTTTGAAACATGAAGACCTGGACATAGACTATTTTCCCTTCCCTTTTATTGTTCTGCATTTTGCATTCTGGCCTGCAGTGCAACTGCCCTAATCGCTCTAGCTTTAGAGTGATACAATGCATTAAAGTGGTTTTATGATTGATTAAATGCTCCAGCTCTGCTACTACATTTAATCAATGGCAGAAACTTGACACAGCTTCATTGGCTACGAGGCATTACAGATTAAGCTTCACACATTTTAGCTATTTCAGAAAAAATTATAATTTTTATAACTACAGTATTTGTAGAGCTTCAGAGAGTGACTATTGTTTCTAGGAAAATAACATATTCATTTTAATTCTAATTAATTTGAATGTCCAAAATCATTGCAAGGTACATTTCATTAGTACCTTGCCTTTGTAAAGGCTATAGTAATGTTAATTCCACATTTCTTTCAATAGTCTGGTGATGACTCTTATAGTAAATGGTCATAAGATCTGACAGTCCAACCATCAGACACAAAATTTGCAAAATATTGGAGAGATTATATGAAGAAAATTTAATCTGCTTAAATCTTCCATTAAAGGTAAACAGATTTCTTGGTTCTGGTGACTCTAGATATGCTTGTTTTCAATTGCATATATATTTCTATGATATAGTTATAGAATATATATTTATACATTAAGATATATATAATATGTAAATATATAATATATATTTTAGAATGAAGTGAAAAATGCTCTCCCCTTACTCTTTTAGGACTCATGTTTCTCCCCTAAGCAACTGGCCCAGACACACTCCATATTGATTAAAATAACAGGTTACAGATTTTCAACCACAATTGCTAAAACAGATCTAATGACCACAATTTACCTTTCTCTGAAGATGTCTCCCAGTATTTTGTTTTTCTTGAGAGAATGGACTATGTCATATTACCTTTGTGTTCCAAACAAGAAGTACAATTTCTTGCTCAGAGTGAGTGTTTAATATATGTTTGTTGAATGTCTTTTTTTGTGGCCTAAAAGTCCAACAAACTTTTGAAAAGCCTTCAAAATGACCATTGGAAATAAGCTACAAAATAATTAAAACAGCAACCCTTTTGTTAATAATGCCAGAGGACAATCCCAAGTAAACTCTTATACTGTGTTGATGGTGTTTTCTTTAAAATATAATCATGAAAAGGAAATGTTTCCAAGAGAGACTACTACAAAAGAAGCCAAAAACTCTGAGTAATTTATATTCATGAATGCATCAAAAATCATAAGACTTTTTAGTTTCCAAAACCAGAGCTGAGTAGACCTGCAACCAATAATCATGAAAGATAATTGATCAGTACATTCCAAAAGTGTCAAGATATTGAAAGAGATAGGACTAAGGAATTGTTATAGATTGGAAGAAACTGAGGAGACATTATAATGAAATGCAATGTGGGATCTTTGATAGGATCCTGGAACACAAAAGTGGACATTTGTGGACAAACTAGTGGAATTCAAATAAAGTTCATAGTTTAGTTAATACTATTGTACTATAGTTAATTTCATAGTTTTGATCAGTGTACTGTGGTTATGTAAGATGGTAATATTAGTGAAGAGTTTATACGAACTCTACTATTTTTGTCAACTTTTCTGTTGGCCTAAAATTAGTTTAAAATAAAAGTAAAATAATAATAAGTAAAGGTGAATAGTAAATAAAGTCCCTAACTATCAACTCCGGGAGGTTTAGCTTACCAGTTAGGATTCTTTTAGATACAAGCAATAGAAATCCAACTCAAATTAGTTTAAACAGTCAGGAACTTTGTTGGCTTCTTGAAAGTTTGGAGGCAGGTAGTCTTCTGGCTTAATACAGTTGAAACTCCAGCCCCATTTCTGTGATTCTTTTCTCTTCTCACTCTGGACCTGCTTCAGACTGTATTTCACCATGATCTTATGATGGATATCAGTTTTTGAGGCCAAGATTCCTCTTGTCTTTTCTGAGAAAGAAAAAAAAAATAACCCTCTTTTCCTTTCTCATAAAAGCAGAATCTTTGCAAACGCCTCCAACCATTTTCTTCTTAAGTCTCACAGGCCAGAATTGGGTTATATGTCTCTTCTTAGATGAATGACTGTTAAGTCATTACCACGATTAATTTAACTAATCAGAGCCCATCTGTGAAACCAGAGATTGGCTCAGCTTTTCTTGGTTAACATAGCTGCACAAGAGAAAGACAGAAACCTGAGTAAAATCTGTCAAAAAGGAGAAAATTTATGTTTGGGAGGCAACAAGAAATGTTCATGACAATTATAATTAGAAGAAATATTCTTGAAATTTGAAAGCAATTACTATAAAGCAAAGTACTACTTTACAGAGTAGAAAGAACCCATGTGGAGAATAGTAACCTAAAAGTTGACATGCAGTTGCTTTAAGTTCAAGTGGGTTTCTAGCTTAGAAGGACTAATAAACTTCAAGTTAGAGTACAAATTACAGACCATGGAATCCTAGATTTTGAGTTTCTTTACAGTTTTGCACTTATCCAGGGCAGAAAACTGCCTCACCCCAAATAACTAGCCTTTTCTAAAATATTTCCCATATACATAGGCTGGCCTCAGATCTACTTTGCAGGAAGTTATTTTTTATGTTGCTTTCATTCTGTCTTCTGGATCATCACTAATATAAATGCACTTCTTTTTCCCATGGCAAGTCTTCAGTTTCCAGAAGATAAATTCCACATTTCTCTTCTCCTGCACACTGAATAAGGTTGTTTTTAGGCATCTCACATGCCTAGTCACCCTCTGGACACCATGTTTTCTCTTAAAAAACATGGACGTAACACCCGCCTTCATGTCTGAGCTCAGTAATAGGAGTAGAGTTGGGCCACAATTTGTAAGAGATCTGTACATTATATTAATTAATGCAGCCTCACATTACATGCTTAATGTGTTAATATTATTTCATATTAAGTTCCTTGGGGGTTGAGGAGGAATGAGTTCCCAGATAATAAACTGCCTGAATGTGCTGAATAATGATAGAAATGTCACTTCCATTCTTCCTCCCATGAACTCCTGCTTAGTGGCCTCATGAGGGCAATAACAATAAAACAAAGTTAAGGGGAAAGTTGGGGGGAAAGTTAGCAGATGTTTAACCTATTTGAGCCAGGGGACATGTTCTCCTAGTGAGGTCCCAAACAGCTTTCAAACTGTAATAAAATAAACCTTGTTATTGTAGCTGAAGGAATCAGCCTGAGTTATTGCCCTGTAGGCATTAGGAATTAGAATATGCATCCATCTATTCTGTGGCCTTCAGAGCAGGTCTAACTCAATCTTCAATAGCAGAGGTGAGAGGGAGAGGCTGGAAAATCATTACATCCAGCAAATCCCTGTTTCTCACTCCATGGACTAAGGGTGTCCTTCACCCAAAATATGGGTTCTGGGCAGAGCTGCTTACACTGGGGAAAAAAAAAAAAATCTTAGTCTCACAAAACCAAACAATCTGTTACTAAAAAAGAACATTTCTTTCTCCCACAACAGAGTTGTAGTGATACTCTGGTCTGTACTAGCTGGGTTGACCAAACAGACCTATGTGTGGGGACAGGCCTCATTGTTATGGGTTGCTGTGGTGTGGATATTAACAAAAGCCCTTCTCATTCTCAAAGACATCTGAATTTGGACAATAAATCACACAGTTATTTGATGCCACTATATCACAGACTTAGCTCCACATGTTAGAAGCCCATATTAAGGTCTTATCATCCTAATAAGGCTATTATGAAACACATGATAATCATAATAAAACCCCCATTTGGCATATGAAAGAATAAGTGACACCCAACATCACACAACTCAGTCACAACCGGACCAGCTGTGGAACTCAGAGCTCCCGAGCGTGATTTCAAATGTTTCACTGGAAAATGTTGTTGGAGGCTGTTTTTGCAGATCCATTCCCTTCCTATGCCAGCCTGAAGAGGAGAGAAGGGCAGCTAAGGGAACCTCGATTTTTCCTCTGTATACACTGTTTTGCTGAATTCTCCCTTCTTTTAGATGAAAGAGATAGTAAGATTTAAAAATACATAAACTAAGTTATTTTTTTCTCTCTGCTTCATAAAGTATCATTTACTTTTCTTTTTAAAGTAATGCATGATTAATAAAAACCTTTAGAAGATAAGAAAAATGTAGAGAGAAAAAGAAATAGGCAATCTAGAATGTGGTGGGCGGATAGTCTACTTTTAAAAGTTAAAATTTTTGTTTGTTTGTTTAAAACCATAGTTTCAATTTATTTATCTGCCTAGAATATTCTTTCTACTTTTTTCCATTAATCTAGATTGCTAAATTTTCTTAAGACCTCCCCGAAACTTTTCTAAGCGCCGTAGTCCACAATAATTCTCTTCTCCTTACTGGGCCTCAATCACTTATTCTACTTTCTAGTACTTATTTTATTGCAAACCTTTGTCTCGGAGACTCAAACCTTTCTAAGAAATGGGATCCCCTCTGATACCTCTGTTTATCCTTAGTACCTGCCACCATGCTTACACATGATAAGAGTTTGAGAGATATCTTTTGAATTGCAGTTAATGATGATGAGGACCATGGTGATGACGCTACTATTAAATGTATCTCCAATTGATTGTCTAGTCTTTGCACATACACTGCCTTCACTTTGTTTGATTATTAGCCTTGACCACATATCTTAAAGGAGTTTTAAATCCTGTAAATAATATCTGTGTCTCCTCATAGAAAATTACATTCAGGCCTAGAGCTTCTCAGATATAGAAAGATGTTGACAAATTGCTGCAAATTCAGTGGAGAGTTGCTGGATTGATTAAGGGGATGGAGGACTTGATTTATGAGCAAACATTAAAAGAACTAAATATGTAAGGCTGGGCTTCACAGCAATTCTGAGCGGGCTTGAGGGATCTGACAACTGTATATTAGTAGCCAGAGGATGAAAATAGCATTGCAAGAAGAACCGCTTAAATTAGAGAAAAGAGCCTTTGGTGACACCAGGGATTTTAATTACTGGGGTGGGGAATAAATGTCCTGATACATGAATTCGGCACTTCTCAAACTTTAATGTGCTCACAAATCACCTAGGGATCTTGTTAAAATGTAGATTCTAATTCAGTGAGTCCAGGGTGGGCCTGAGATTCTGAATTTCTAGCAAGCTCTCAAGTGATGCTGCTACTGCTGTCCAGGGACCAAACATACTTAGGCAATCCTCTTCTCTTTTAGAATGGTACAATCTTATTTAATTACAGAGTACAAGTTTCAAAAATGAGACATTGAAACTAAATAAAATATTCTGCAACCCCTAAGAAGGAAGTCAGGGCACAAACCAGCCAAGCAGGGCAGGATGATGAGTTGTTTTTCCCTATTTGGCATCCATACAGGGCCTGCACGCTGTGATGAACTTCCCAAACACATTGCTTCTCTCATATTTATCTTTCCACTCATGCCAGATGACAGCATAGAAAAAAAAAAAAGCACAGCTACCTCCAAGTGTTGATTGTAGGCTCTCAGAAAGTTTCTATTTGCTTCCAAAATAATTACCTTTTGATTAATGCCTGGAATTCTACAGCTGGTGCTTCATTCTTTTAGCTTAAAACTTCCATCTCTTCTGCAGTGGAGATCTCATCAGTTATTTGTAGTTCAGTATGGATGGCTTTTAAATCTTTTCCTGATAGATTTTAATGGAGGGCAAAAAGACACCATAAGGATACTATACTGGGGAGTAGACAAGAGTGAAGAATGTGAGGACAGCCCAACCATTTAACACATAAGAGTGAGGTCTAAAGAAGAAAGGTCAGGCCAGGCACAGTAATGCACGGCTGTGATCCCAGCACTTTGGGCAGCCGAGATGGTTTGAGACCAACATGGGAAACACAGTGAAAAATAATTACGAGGACCACGGTGAATTCTTCCTTCTCTTAAAAAAAAAAAAAAAAAAAAAAGGCTAAGGTGGGAGGATCCCTTGAGCCTAGGAGGTTGAGGCTGCAGTAAGCCATCATCATGCCAGTGCACTTCAGCCTGGATGACACAGTGAAATCCTATCTTGAAAAAACATAAGAAAGAAAGGAAGGAAGGAAGGAAGAGAGAGAGAGAGAGAGAGAGAGAAGGAGCGAGGGAGGGAGGGGAAAGAAAAAAAAAAAGAAGAGAGGCCAATTTGCCAAGGTCTTCCACCTCCTTGTTGCTGAAATCCTGATTTCTAGATTTTCAGACCAGCATTCTTTTCAGTACACCAAACCTTCCTTTCTCCTCTCCTGGAAATCTGCACTGCTCAGGTCTTCTTCTGTTTCAGCCTACAAGTAAAGCCAAAGGGCATCCTCCAGCCCTTGGAGCAAGTCAATGATGGCCAGTTTCTCTCACCCAAATTATGCTTAATCAGATAACTTAAGGTAATGTTTCCCTCATCAGATATAACCCCTGAACAGGTGAGTTTCAGTTTCTTTATTATAACCAAAGCAATTAGAATTCAAACTGGAAGGTGAGCCCAGCTGCTTTCTATCAAACAAACAGCTCAAGAAGACTTTGAGTAATTCACTAATTACTAAAAGTGACATCATCTCACCTCCATACATATGATCAAATGAGCACAGTAAAGACACTACCTCACACCCTATCAAACCCCCTCCGTAGTCCATGTTTTCATTTGATACCATAGATAATGACATCTTCTGTTGTCATAAGGTTTCACCAATCATATAGATACTTCATGTATATCTCTAATTTGATTCTCACAATAATTTTTAAGATAAGTATTATTGTTACTATTTCCTGTTTTTGGCTGGCAAAACTGGTTCACAAAAAAGTTAACATCATGCCAAATGTCACACTAAATCCAGAACTTGGACCCTGACCATTGGACTTCAAAATCTCATGTTATTTTCAAGAAAATATACCTACTTGGCTGGGCACGGTGGCTCATGTCTGTAATCCTAGCACTTTGGGAGGCCGAGGCAGGCAGATCATGAGTTCAAGAGATCGAGACCATCCTGGCCAACATGGTGAAACCCTATCTCTACTAGAAATACAAAAATTAGCTGGGCATGGTGGTGTGCACCTGTAGTCCCAGCTACTTTGGAGGCTGAGGCAGGAGAATTGCTTGAACCCGGGAGGTGGAAGTTGCAGTGAGCTGAGATCGCACCAATGAACTCCAGCCTGGTTACAGAGCGAGACTCCATCTCAAAAAAAAAAAAAAAAAAAGAAAGAAAGAAAGAAAGAAAAAGAAAATATACCTACTTGATCAAGTTAATTATTTCAGTCCCAAGGTAAGTTCAGAACTTGTTGCTTTTACCTAATAAAGTGGACTTCACTGAGTCATAACACAATATTTACTTTGGGTGTTCTTGTGTGACTTTTTGATTTCCATGTGTCTTTTCTAGTAGACTTCCCACCTTAGGAAAGTATATTTATTAGCAAATGATGGTGCAGCCTCAATTAATTGGAACTGAAGTAACCAGTTGGCAAATGTAATATTTTTCTCAGTTCAATGGATTAAGAGAAAGAAGCAGTAGACAAGAAAACCAAAATGGAGCATTTTACTTCAAAAATACAGTGCAAATCCTAAGGTCATTATGGATTCGGTGTGAACTCATTCTCTGTCTCTGTTTAATACAGCACACTGAGAATTCAGGGCCATTAAGATGTCGCCAAGGCTCTTTAAGATCCCCAGTCTGCAGAGACAAAATCAATCACGTTCAATAGCCTCTCCTTACTGAGACGTAAAACAAATGTGGACACTAAGACAATGCCCACCAGAAAGTTTGACAAAAATGTGTTAATCTGGTTTAGATATTCGATTCCTCATGAGATATTATTGACCAAATTTCCTACACCTTGCATGTGCTGGTTAACTGAATCTTTATGGTCATTTCTATTTTTTTTCCAGCTCTGCTATCAGAAACAAAAACACTGAAGTATTTCCATCTCTATCCATTGGGATGAGCCTTTGGATCAGTTATACAAAGCCTAACCATCATTTAAGGACCAGTTTCTATTCTACTCAATTCTATATAAATAATGTCAGCCTAATTCTTTCCAGTGATCTCAGATTGGCTGTGTGGAAAGCAGATGGTGCTAGTGTGAAGTAGCACATTTGTTTTCTCTATATATTTGTCTGTATGTATTACCTGACCTTTTAATTAAACAAGCAAGCAGTTATCTAAGTTGTCTACCTTATTTTCCAGGTATATCCAAATGACTACTACCTTTTAATGCCTAGGTAATAATAAAAATAAAACTGGGGTAGTGTTGTAGCTAGAATGAGATTCTACACAAAAGTACACCGGAGGAAATTGGGAAAAGTAACATCAGAGAAGGTGACTGGTGTAACTGAAAAGCAGGTTAGTTGCTCCCTGTATGTAGAGTTCAATTAATGAGAGTAAAGCCTGACACACACAAAACAGTGAATTTATTCAGAAAGAGGAAGATGACACAAAGCATCCTGCCTTTAAAGGTGCTACTTCACCTTTGGAGCAGAAAGCAGACATTTTTATAAGGTAGGGAAAGAAAGGAGCAAGGGCAGGGGTCCCCTACTACCTTTTACCTACAGGATTTTGAGTTGGTGCTTTCCTGGGCAGAAGTAAGTCATAATAGTGGCCAGGTGGGCATGCTTTACGTAAGCCCTTCTAGTGAGTGTGAGTTCAGAGGTGACCCAGGGAGGATGGAAGTTCTGAGACAATTCCCTAGAGATGAAATTTCCATGGCAGTATGCTTTGGTCTGCAGATTGACTGTCAACTCTGCCAGAGAGATCTGTCTTGGAACACACAGTTAGAAGAACTTGGCCTGTAACACCAGGACTAGATACAAAGATGGACTAAATCTGAGGTGCTAAATCTGAGAATGAAACTGGAAAGCTAAAAACCATATAAAAATCTAAAGCCAGAAGTTACCAAAATATATATATGCACATCATCAAAATGGCTAAAACTAAAATGATTGTCAATACCAAACATCAGCAAGAATTGAGGAAACTGGAAGTGTCACACATTGTTTGCAAGAATGTAAAATAGTATAACCAAGTTGGAAGACTGAGTCTTAGGGGATGGACATAGCTTGATGATTAGTTTATCATGGAAAATAATCATTGCCTTTATCATGGAAAAGGCAATACGTTTAAATGGAAAATTTTTAATACTTACTCATACAGGTTGGCTGTGTCCCCACCCAAATCTCATCTTGCGATGCAGATCCCATAATTCCCACCTGTTGTAGGAGGGACTCAGTAGGAGATAAATTAATCATGGGGGCGATTCCCCCCATACTGTTCTTGTGGTAGTGAATGAGCCTCATGAGATGTGATGCTGTTATAAGGGGTTTCCCCTTTTGCTTCGCTCTCATTCTCTTTTTGCTGGCCGCCATGTAAGACATCCCTTTGCTCTTCCATTGCCTTCCACCATAATCGTGAGGCCTCCCCAGCCACATGGAACTGTGAGTCCATGAAACCTCTTTTCCTTTATAAATTACCCAGTCTTGGGTATGTCTTTATCAGAAGCATGAAGACAAACTAATACACTTACCCATTAAATGGAAGTTCTACTCCTAGACATATATCCAAGAGAAATGAGTACACATGGCCACCAAAAGATGTGTACAATAATGTTCATAATAGCTTTATTTGTAATGATCAAAATAAGAAAATCATCTAAATGTCAATCAACAAGAAAATGGACAAATAAAAGGTAGTATTTCCATGAAATGGAATATTATATATAAGAATTTTAAAAACGTAACTAATGCATGCAACAATATGGGTAACTTTTATAGATACTAAGTTGAATGAAAGAAGCTAGATGCAAAAGATGTAGAATGTATGACTTCATTAAGGAAATTAGAGTAGTAGTTATGGGCTGGAAGGGGGCCACCAACAGGAAAGAAGCATGAGAGAGCCTTCTGGGGCACTAGAAACGTCCCATATTTTCTTCCAGGTAGTAGATACATGAGTGTGTACGTATGTCCATACTCATTGAGCTTTATTCATAATATTAGTGTACCTTATGTAATTTGCTATGTGCACAACATATGCTAACCACATAGTGTTATATCAATTTTTTAAAGTGTCAAAAGGTAACAATAATTCTAAACACGGGAACTGAATAGAATTCACGTTCACCTCCCATCTTTGCTTAAGGGCTTCCTTTGAAGACCCAAGTCTCAATTAGGGAGAACAGCTTCAAGACTCTTAAAGATAGCCAGGCGTGGTGGCTCACGGACATAATCCCAGCACTTTGGGAGGCTGAGGTAGATGGATCACAAGGTCAGGCATTCGAGACCAGCCTGGCCAACATATTGAAACCCCGTCTCTACTAAAAATACAAAAAAAAAAAAAAATCAGTCAGGTGTGGTGGCGGACACCTGTAGTCCCATTGTCCCAGCTACTGGGCAGGCTGAGGCAGGAGAATCACTTGAACCTGGGAGGCAGAGGTTGCAGTGAGCCGAGATTGTGCCACTGCACTCCAGTCCAGGTGACAGTGCAAGACTCTGTCTCAAAAAAAAAAAAAGAAAGAAAGAAAGAAAAAAACACTCTTAAAGACAAAGACTCTACACAATGCTTGGAAACAAATGCCTCAGTAAACTCTTGATCCTTATTCTCATCAGACGGCATTTGGCTAAATAAGCCAGGTTCTTCCACAGAACTTAACTGTATATCAGGCAAATGCCCTCTGGCCAATGAGTAAAGCTGCAGTAATTGTCTTTCTTATGAGTATTATGCATATGTATAATTTTCATCACCAATGCAAATTTTTCTACTAACTGCATATCCATTTCCCTATTTTAAAACTGTAAAATTTGGTAATTTGCCATGGGAATTCAGGATACTTGTGAGAATGAATAATGTTCCATTATGTTTTAATCACCTCTTATAAGGGTTTTTATTTCTCATCTGTGGGTTGCTAGTTTATTAAAAATTGGTATAGAAGAAAATTAAAAATCCTTAGGAAGCATGGTGCTGGAATAAGATTTTTTTTTTTAAAAAAAAGGCTTTGTAAGTGTCGAAGGAACTTACTACTTCCCCTTCTACCATTTAAAAGTGAAACTTAATTGACAGTAACAGTGGTTTAATGCTGAATAAGGTGCAGACTGAATAACATTCTGAGTCTTAGGGGATGGACATAGCTTGATGATTATTTTATCATGGAAAAACACATTTAACTAGAGAGATCACAATGACTTGGGGGACAATGATGTTACTTAGAAAATTGTACTGTAATTAAGGTGCTATTGATTCAAATTAATACTATGGCATTTCTAACAACAATGCTGGGAATCTAATACCAATGACAGCCAAAGTATTGTCTTTAAGTAGGTTGAAAATAAAGGTATTTCCATGTTAAATCTCATCTTAGAATGACTAATTGTTTTCTCAAAGAACTGTCACTTAAAATGTTGATATCTCTTTCAAATCAAAAGCCTGTTTCAGCCAAATGCACAGTCTTATTATCGAAAACTCAAAGCATCAGATTTCCCCTCTATATATTGATTTCTAAAATTACATTGCTTTTTAATATTTCTGCAACCTCATTATAGCAACAGAATAATTACTTCAAGACAATTATAAAAAACAACAAAAAGAGGCTAAGTCTGGGCATTTCCAATGTAGTAGTATTTCAATCACTCCTTGCTTCTATATGGGCAGTATATACTTTATTCACCAAATTTGTATAAAACTCTTACTATGTGCCAAACCTCGTCCAGGTTTTAAGGAAGCAGTGTTGAGAATGGAGCTTAGAGTGAACAGTAGGGAAGATAATTTAATCAAAATATCACAGTATTGAGTGTATAATCTCAAACAGAGATAAAGAAACAGGGCCCAGTGAGAGACTCTAATCTAGACTGATGTCTAATGAAGTGACATTTGAGCTGAGATCTGAGGAGCTGTGCTGGGTGGAGCATCGCATGTGAGAGCGTTCGACGAGGAGTGAACACAGGCAGAACCCTGAACTGGGAGGAACATAGGAGTTTCGGGAAACCAAAAGAAAGACCAGGGAGCCTGGAGGGAAGATAGTAAGGAAGAGAACAGAGTGAGAAGAGGCTGGAGTGGTCTCAGAGACCAGGAGTAGTCTCAGGAAGCAGATTAAACACGTTTTTAGTTCATTACAAAGAGACATCATGAAGAGGTCTTGTAAGCAGAAAGTTTACAAGATCATGGAGGCATTTTGAAAAGAACATCATGCTACAGTGTGGAAAACAAACTGGAGTGGATCAAGATGGCTTCAGGGACATCATCAGCGTGCTGTCACAGAGTCCAGAGAAGAAACGAGAACTTAGGAGACACAATGATCACAGGGGTTAGGAGTCCAGACTCTACAAACCTATGCTCAAATGTAGGTTTGGAATGCATTATCCACCAAAAAGAACAAGAACTATTGATTCCAAGGCTGGAGAAATACAAGACAAGCCTAGAACACCTTCAAAGTAAGAATGTGCTTGAAGAATGATGGAGTATTGACAAACACCTCATATGTAGGCATTAGCTTAAATGGGTACCCTCTGTCCAAATCTAGGACAAGTGAGCATCGATTTCTTTAAAACAATAGCAATGGATTATAATCCTTTAAATAATGTTTTATGAGTCTTTTTTTTTTTTTTTTTTTTTTGAGATGGAGTCTCATGCTGTCGCCCAGGCTATAGTTCAGTGGCATGGTCTCAGCTCACTGCAACCTCTGCTTCCTGGGTACAAGCGATTCTCCTGCCTCCACCTCCTGAGTAGCTGGGATTACAGTTCCATGCCATCACACCCAGCTAATTTTTGTAATTTTAGTAGAGACGGGATTTCACCATGTTGGTCAGGCTGGTCTTGAGCTCCTTACCTTGTGATCTACCCACCTCTGCCTCCTAAAGTGCTGGGATTACAGGCGTGAGCCACCGCACCTGGCCTGTGAGTCTATTATTAATATGAAGAAATAATGATAGAACAAAAGATGAAGGGAGGGAGGGATGGAGGGAAGAAAGAGGAAGGAAGGAAGGAAGGAAGGTAGGAAGGAAGGAAGGGACAGTTCTTCCTGGTGGATAATGTATTCCAAACCTATATTTGAGTGTTAGGTTTGTAGATTCTGGACAGAAGAAAGAAAGGAAGAAGGGAAGGAAAGAAAAAATGGAAGGAAGAAAGGCCAGAAGGAGGGAAGGGAGGAAAGTTCTTCTTTATAGTAGAATGACTAACTAGATGTAGAACCAATATTGGAATTAATAAAGTAATTCTTGACAACCACTATAATAATAATTGACTTAGGTAAGAATCACCAGTGGATGCTAAATGTAGTGGGTGAAACTTTTTTTAGTAGCTGGACATTTATATAGTCTCGAAGTATCTCCTGACAAGATACGTCTTAATCATAAAGGGAAAAAAAATGTAACTTTTTACAACGGAATCACTTAGAAGATACCACTTTGACTGAGTGACCGAAGCTAACATTAGCAGTAATTGGACAGAGCCAAATCACATGCCTCCCAGTGTGATGCACTGGGAAGAATACAAGGTCACTTCTCTGGTATTCTCGGCCAAAATGCATAGCCTGAGGATACAGCAAACAAATCCAAAATAAGGAACTTTCTACAAAATAACTGGCCAGTAGTTTTTAAGTTAATATCATGTAATTAAAAAGACTGTGGAACTGTTCCAAATTAAAAGAGACTAAGAAAACATGAGTATTAAATGTGATGTGTGATGCAGGATTTTCTTGGACTATAAAGAGAATTATTGAATATATAAATCTCAATAAAGTCTGTGGATTAGATTAGCTATTGCAACAATATTAATACCGTGATTTTAATTATATGATAGTTATGTAAGTGAAAACCTTATTCTTAGAAAATACACTGAAGTATTTAGGGGCAAAGAGGTATCTCACAACTACAAAATAGAGAGAGAACAAAATTGATAAAGCAAATATGGTGATATGTTAACATTTGGGAAATCTGGGTGAAAAGAGTATACAGGATTTTTTTCTTGCAACTTCTTTTTAAGTCTGAAATTAGGTAAAAATAAAAAGGTAAAAGAAAAAATAAAATAACAAAAGACAAAACAAAACAAAATGAGTGTGGGCTTGGAATGTATGTGTGAGCTGGAATCCTGACTCTCCTGCATACAAGCTGTAACATAGATCTTGGGCAAGTTGCTTCACCTGTCCAAGCTTCAAGTTCACAATTTATAAAATAGCAATATTAATAGAATTTCCCTCCCAGGGTTTTTATGAGAATTAAATAAGTTATTACATGTAAAATGCTCAATAAATTTATCACTGAGGTAGCGGCAATAGAGAGGAAAGTGGACAGACACTAAAGCACAGATGAGGCAGTAAGAAATTCTGGGCAGTAGCTCTTGTTGTCCCCAGGCCACTCAATTATATCACTAGAGCATTTTAACTAAGGCAACTCTCTTTGAAGGTTTCAAGTTTCAAACTAATATCCTTGTCCTTTCTCTGATCTCCCACACTGCCTCTCCAGAACTCCAACTTCCTGGTCCTCATTATGCTGATATACATCAGGTGATGACAGAAAAGCAATCTGATTAATAAAAATTAGAAAACAAAAATAAACACACCTAGACACAGGGATGATATTGTAAAAAGTAAAAAAAAAAAATGGTGCTGGACATTTTTAGTATTTGTAGATAATGAGACACCTAAAATTGATCACACTACTTTAGATATTGTGTGCCAAACAAATGCAGAGCACAGAAGAACTGGCATCTCACTTCCTGAGATATGAACACTCTATTTCTCTTTATGGGACCCAGGTTGCTGGGGGTAAAATAACAGTTTGAATGTCATGAAATTTACTCTCCCAAAATTGTATACAATTTAAACCAGTTCTCTCATTGCAGATAAATGTTTTGACATTAGTTCAAGAAAATTTTAAGACTGTTCATTCCCCAGAGCTGTTGTTGGAGAAGAACATTTTTCTGAGCTCTGAAATCATGCCCCTACTTTTCCCCATGCAAAAGGCCAACCCTGTTAAATAATTTCCCATTGTATAGGACAATCACTTTTTATAGTTCTCTTTCTTGGACTGTGCAGTAAAGCATGCAGCCTTATTCATCATGTCATGTTTCAAGGAAGAAATCAGAAATCTATCAGCCTTCAAGGCCTGAGTGATGGGAACAGGAACAAAAAACACCCCAAATTGGGGCTGGATAGGAGCAAAGTTGACAACAGCTCCCAAGAGGCCATTTGTTTTATTTATTTATCACCTGTCAGGGCCAGAAGGAAAAGGGAACCTAATAGGACACAGGACACAGCAGTGAATCCAAAACTTGCCCTTATTTAGAAAACATTCATGAGGAATACAAAGAGTCTGACTAGGGACAATAGGTGTTATCTATAGGATGACCATGTAAATTATCATTTAAACTGAAGACCTCTTGGAGAGTAAAGGGGTTACTATACCCCTTTACTGTTACAGTGCTAATAACCATACCAGCACAAGAGACATCCATCAGAACCGCCTTGGCAAATCAGGGTATATGATCACCATAGTGATGAAGTTGTTGGATAGAGATTTATTCTAATTTTACCAGGTAACTGTGCAGATTCCAACCTCTTTGTTTTAGAATATTAAACATGCAAAACAGAAATTTTAGAGTTCAAATAGTTCACAATGTCCATTTTTATAAGTGAAGCTGAAAGAGGTAGAGAAGTTTTATTAACAACTGTGGACGTGTAAAGTGGCAGAGATCAAAAGTCTTTTTTGGTATTGTTAGTTCAGCTGCGAGCCTGGGATTTATGTTTCCAAAACAGTGCATCTGATAAGAGAAGCCAGCGTAGCCTACACTCAGAAGGTTATGACATTTTCTGTATACTTATCACATTCAACTTTTTAAAAAATGGACTCAATTATCATATCCTGAGCTTACTGCTCACCTTCATTTGTCAGACCATGATGCATGAGTAGAAGTTACACTTATTGAAATGAAGACCCAAACCTAGAGCCCAAAGGCCATCCCACCCATGGGTACCCATGCTTGTGCATGAAGCAAGACAGATGGACTCCAACTCACAACATGACTGAAGCAAGTATACCAGGACCTACAGAGAAACTACATGCACATAGAATAGCTCTGGGGAGAAGCATGTGTCAGCATATTACAAATAGCAGTGGAGGAAGGCTTGAATGCATTCCTCAAGAACATCATCCTCAAGTTGGGTTCCAAGATGGCTGAATAGGAACAGCTCCGGTCTGCAGCTCCCAGCGTGATCAATGCAGAAGACGGGTGATTTCTGCATTTCCAACTGAGGTACCTGGTTCATCTCAATGGGACTGGTTGGACAGTGGGTGCAGCCCACAGAGGACAAGCCAAAGCAGGGCAGGATGTCACCTCACCTGGGAAGCATAAGGGGTCAGGGGATTTCCCTTTCCTAGCCAAGGGAAGCTGTAACAGACTGTACCTGGAAAAACGGGTCACGTCTGCCCAAATACCGTGCTTTTCCCAAGGTCTTAGCAACTGGCAGACAAGGAAATTCTCTCCCATGCCTGGCTCGGTGGGTCCCACACCCACAGAGCCTTGCTCACTGCTAGCGCAGCAGTCTGAGATTGAACTGCGAGGTGGCAGCCTGGCTGGGGGAGGGGCGTCCACCATTGCTGAGGCTTGAGTAGGTAGACAAAGGGCCAGGAAGCTCAAACTGGGCTGAGCCCACTGCAGCTCAGCAAGGCCTACTGCCTCTTTAGACTCCACCTCTGTGGGCAGGATATAGCTGAACAAAAGGCAACAAGCAACTTCTGCAGACTTAAAAGTCCATGTCTGACAGCTCTGAAGAGAGTAGTGGTTCTCCTAGCACAGCGTTTGAGCTCTGAGAACGGACAGACTGCCTCCTAAAGTGGGTCCCTGACCCCTGTATAGCCTAACTGGGAGACACCTCCAAGTAGGGGCCAGTAGACACCTCACACAGGCAGGTGATGCTCTGGGATGAAGCTTCCAGAGGAAGGATCAGGCAGCAATGTTTGCTGTTCTACAATATTGGCTGTTCTGCAGCCTCAGCTGGTGATACCCACACAAACAGGGTCTGGAATGGACCTCCAGCAAACTCCAACAGACCTGCAGCTGAGGGACCTGACTGTTAGAAGGAAAACTAACAAATGGAAAGGAATAGCATCAGGATATCTACACCAAAACCCCATCTGTAGGTCACTGACATCAAACACCAAAGGTAGATAAAACCACAAAGATGGGGAAAAACCAGAGCAGAAAAGCTGAAAATTCTAAAAACTAGAGCGCCTCTTCTCCTCCAAAGGATTGCAGCTCCTCACCAGCAAAGGATGGAGAATGACTTTGACGAGTTGACAGAAGTAGGCTTCAGAAGGTCGGGAATAACAAACTCCTCCGAGCTAAAGGAGCATATTCTCACCCATCACAAGGAAGCTAAAAACCTTGAAAAAAGGTTAGACGAATGGCTAACTAGAATAAACAGTGTAGAGAAGACCTTAAATGACCTGAAGGAGCTGAAAACCATGACACGAGACCTTCGTGATGCATGCACAAGCTTCAGTAGCTGAATCAATCAAGTGGAAGAAAGGGTATCAGTGATTGAAGATCAAATTAATGAAATAAAGTGAGAAGACAAGTTTAGAGAAAAAAGAGTAAAAACAAACAAACAAAGCCTCCAATAAATATGAGACTATGTGAAAAGACCAAATCTACATTTGATTAGTGTACCTGAAAGTGATGGGGAGAATGGAACCAAATTGGAAAACACTCTGCAAGATATCATCCAGGAGAACTTCCCCAACCTAGCAAGGCAGGCCAACATTCAAATTCAGGAAATACAGAAAACACCACAAAGATACTCCTTGAGAAGAGCAATCCCAAGACACATAATTGTCAGATTCACCAAGGTTGAAATGAAAGAAAAAATGTTAAGGGCAGCCAGAGAGAAAGGTCAGGTTACCCACAAAGGGAAGCCCATCAGACTAACAGCGGATCTGTTGACAGAAATCCTACAATCCAGAAGAGAGTGGGGACCAATATTCAACATTCTTAAAGAAAAGAATTTTCAATGCAGAATTTCATATCCAGCCAAACCAAGCTTTATAAATGAAGAAGAAATAAAATCCTTTACAGACAAGCAAATGCCAAGAGATTTTGTCACCACCGGGCCTGCCTTACAAGAGATCCTGAAGGAAGCACTAAACATGGAAAGAAACAACTGGTACCAGCCACTGCAAAAACATCCCAAACTGTAAAGACCATCAATGATATGAAGAAACTGCATCAATTAATGGGCAAAATAACTAGCTAGCATCATAATGACAGGATCAAATTCACACATAACAATATTAACCTTAAATGTAAATGGGCTAAATGCCCTAATTAAAAGACACAGACTGGCAAATTGGATAAAGTGTCAAGACCCATCATTGTGCTGTATTCAGGAGACTCATCTCATATGCAGAGACACACATAGGCTCAAAATAAAGGGATGGAGGAAGATCTACCAAGCAAATGGGAAGCAAAAAAAAGCAGGGGTTGCAATCCTAGTCTCTGATAAAACAGACTTTAAACCAACAAAGATCAAGAAAGACAAGGGATCAATTCAACAAGAAGAGTTAACTATCCCAAATATATATGCACCTAATACATGAGCACCCAGATTCCTAAAGAAAGTCCTTAGAGACCTACAAAGAGACTTAGACTCCCACACAATGATAATGGGAGATTTTTAATACCCTACTGTCAATATTAGACAGATCAACAAGGCAGAAGGTTAACAAGGATACCCAGGAATTGAACTCAGCTCTGCACCAAGCAGACTGATAGTCATCTACAGAACTTTCCACCCCACATGAACAGAATATACATTCTTCTTAGCACTACATTGCACTTATTCTAAAATTGACCACATACTTGGAAGTAAAGCACCCCTCAGCAAATATAAAAGAACAGAAATCACAACAAATTGTCTTTCAGACCACAGTGCAATCAAAATAGAACTCATTCAAAACTGTACAACTACATGGAAACTGAACAACCTGCTCCTGAATGACTGCTGGGTAAATAATGAAATGAAAGCCAAAATAAAGATGTTCTTTGAAACCAATGAGAACAAAGACACACTGTACCAGAATCTCTGGGACATGTTTAAAGCAGTGTGTAGAAGGAAATTTACAGCCTAAATGCCCACAAGAGAAAGCAGGGAAGATCTAAAATCGACACCCTAAGATCACAATTAAAAGAACCAGAGAGGCAAGAGCAAACAAATTCAAAAGCTAGCAGAAGGCAAGAAATAACTAAAATCAGAGCAGAACTGAAGGAGATAGAGACATAAAAACCCCTTTAAAAACTCAATGAATCCAGCAGCTGGTTTTTTTGAAAGGATCAACAAAATTGATAGACCATTAGCAAAACTAATAAAGAAGAAAAGAGAGAAGAATCAAATAGACGTAATAAAAAATGATAAAGGGGATATCACCACCGATCCCACAGAAATACAAACTACCATCAGAGAATACTATAAACACCTCTATGCAAATAAACTAGAAAATCTAGAAGAAATGGATAAATTCCTCGACACATACACCCTCCCAAGACTAAACCAGGAAGAAGTTGAATCTCTGAATAGACCAATAACAGGCTCTGAAATTGAGGCAATAATTAATAGCTTACCAACCAAATAAATTCCAGGACCAGATGGATTCACAGCCGAATTCTACCAGAGGTACAAGGAAGAGCTGGTACCATTCCTTCTGAAACTATTCCAATCAATAGAAAAAGAAGGAATCTTCCCTAACTCATTTTATGAGGCCAGCATCATCCTGATACCAAAGCCTGGCAGAGACACACAAAAAAAGAGAATTTTAGACCAATATCCCTGACAAACGTTGATGCGAAAATCCTCAATAAAATACTGGCAAACCGAATCCAGCAGCACATCAAAAAGCTTATCCACCACGATCGAGTTGGCTTCATGCCTAGGATGCAAGGCTGGTTCAACATATGCAAATCAATAAACACAATCCATCACATAAACAGAACCAATGACAAAAAACACATGATTAACTCAATAGATAGAGAAAAAGCCTTCATCAAAATTCAATAGCACTTCATGCTAAAAACTCTCAATAAACTAGGTATTGATGGAACGTATCTCAAAATAATAAGAGCTATTTATGACAAACTCACAGCCAATATCATATTGAAAGGGGAAAAGTTGAAAGCATTCCCCCTAAGAAATGGAACAAGACAAGGGATGTCCACTCTCACCACTCCTATGAAACATAGTACTGGAAGTCCTAGCCAGAGAAATCAGGCAAAAGAAAGAAATAAATCCTTCCAGAAAGGAAAAGAGGAAGTCAAATGATCTTTGCTCACTGATGACATGATCCTATGCCTAGAAAATCCTAAAGATTCTCACAAAAGACACCTACCCTGATAAATGGCTTTAATGAAGTTTCAAGATACAAAATCAGTGCAAAAAACAAGTTGCATTTTTATACACCAACAACTACAGCTGAGAACCAAATCAAGAACTCAATCCCCTCCCAAAAAAATACTTAGGAATATATCTAACCAAGGATATGAAAGACTTCTATAAGAAGAACTACAAAACATTGATGACAGAAATTGTAAATGATACAAACAAAAGAAAAAAATATCCTATGCTTATAGATAGAAAGAATCAATGTCATTAAAATGACTATACTGCCCAAAGCAATCTAAGATTCATGCAATTCCTATCAAATTAGCAATGTCATTTTTCACACAATTAGAAAACGCTATTCTAAAATTCATATGGCACCAAAAGAGAACCTGAATAGCCAAAGCAATTAATATGGTTTGGCTGTGTCCACACCCAAATCTCATCTTGAATTATAATGCCCATAATCCCCACATGTTGTGGGAAGGACCCAGTGGGAGGTAATTAAATCATGGGGGCAGTTTCCCCCATGCTGTTCTTGTGATAGTGAATGAGTTCTCACCAGATCTGATGGTTTTATAAGTGTTCTGCATTTCCCCTGTTGGTACTCATCCTCTCTTCTGCTGCCCTGTGAAGAGGCACCTTCCACCATGATTATAACTTTCCTGAGGCCTCCCCAGCCATGTAGAACTCTGAGTCAATTAAACCTCTGTTCTTTGTAAATTATCCAGTCTCTGGTATTTCTTTATAGCAATATGAGAATGGACTAATACAGCAATCTTAAACAAAAAGAATACAGCCAAAGACATCATATTGCTCAACTTCAAACTACACTGCAAGGCTATAGTAACCAAAACAGCATAGTACTGGTACAAAAATGGACATACAGATCAATGGAACAGAATAGAGAACTGAGAAACAAAGCCATGCATCTAAAACCAACTGGTCTTCAACAATGTCTACACGAATAGACCAAGGGGAAAAGACACCTTATTCAATAAATGTTGCTGGGAAAACTGGCTGGCCATATGCCTAAGAATGAAACTGAGCCCCTATCTACCTCTAACCATATACAAAAATTGACTCAAGATGGATTAAAGACTTAAAAGTAAGGCCTCAAACTATAAAAATTCTAGAAGAAAATCTAGGAAAAACTCTTCTGGACATTGGCCTACGCAAATAATTTGTGACTAAGGCCTCAAAAGCAAATGCAAGAAAAACCAAAATAGACAAATAGGATTTAATTAAAGAGCTGGTATGCAACAAAAGAAACAATCAATAAAGAGACAACCTATATAATGGAAGAAAATGTTCACAAACTATGCATCTGACAAAGGACTCATACAGAATCTCTAAGAAATTTAAACAAATAAATAAGCAAAAACCAAATAACCCCACTAAAAAGTGGGCAAAAGATGTGAACAGACACTTCTCAAAAGAAGACTTACAAACACCAACAAACATATGAAAAAGGGCTCATAATTACTAATCATCAGAGAAATGGAAATTAAAACCACAGTGAGATACCACCTCACACCAGTCAGAATGGCTACTAGCAAAAAGTAAAAAACACAACAGATGTTGGCGAGGATGCATGTAAAAAGAAACACTTATACACTGTGGATGGGAATGTAAACTATTTATAGTTCAATCCCTATGGAAAACAGCATGGAGGTTTCTCAAAGAACTTAGAATAGAACAACTATTCAACCCAGCAATCCCACTACTGGGTATCTACCTAAAGGAAAAGAAATGATTGTCATCAAAAAGACTCCTGCACTCATATGTTTATTGTAGAACTATTCACAACAGCAGAGACATGGTATCAACCTAGGTGCCCATCAGCAGTGAATTAGGCAAAGAATATGTGGTATATATACACCATGGAATACTACACATCCATAAAAATGAAGGAAATCGTATCTTTTGCAGCTACATGGATGGAGTTGGAGGCCATTATCCTAAGTTAAATAACTTAGATACAGAAGATCAAATACTGCATGTTCTCATTTATAAGTGGGAGCTAAACAATGGATACATATGGACATAAAGATGGGAATAAGTACTGGAGATTCCAAAAGTAGGGAGGGAGAGAGTGGAGTGAGGGTTGAAAAACTATCTATCTATTGCATACTGTGTTCACTATTTGGGTGATGGGTTCACCAGAAACCCAAACCCCAGCATCACACATTACACCCAGGTAACAAACCTGCAAAATCCGCATATGTACCCTCTGAGTCTATAATAAAAAATAAAGTGCCTAACATTTTTATGGGGATTAAATGACATAATACATGTATAATATTAGAAAGTGTCTAGGATTTAACAAATGTTAACTGCTATAATAATTACATAGCTCCAAACCATCTTTTAAGGCCTGGCTCATATTGTACCCACTATATCTATTGTACTCAAGCTGAGTATATATAATAAATACTTGAAGAATCTGTTTAAAGGGCAGATTTTCATTCCCTGTCCCAGAGACTAATTGAGTAGTCCTGGATGAGAATGCCAGGAATCCATGAATATATATTCATGCTACCATGTATAAAGTATTCTTATGCAAGTAGCCTACAGGTCTCACTTTGAAAGCCACTCTAATTACCCTTTGTCCACCTACCAGCTTTGCTGTTCTGAATTCATATAGCAGTTACAAATTGGCAGTTATTATCCTGTTCTCTGTTTAAGTTTTATTATTAAGATTACAAATTACTCAAAATCAGAGATTATATTTTCCTCAGTTTGGTATCCTCCAAAGCCAAGAGTATGGTACCTTTTATACATCAATGTAAGATATAAATTAGTTTTTTGATGGATTGATCATTGAATCTTCCAGCCTCCAATGCGAAATCCAGGTCTTCTAATTGAATTTAATTTTAAACAACTAGCAACAGACTCTGCTCTTCAACATGGTCTCAGGACTTTACTTGAAGTGATCTAAAAATACAGTTATTCAACATGCTACATGTACATTTTGATTTCCATGAGGACATCTTGACTTAAATTATAGTTTGTGTTACACTTCAAATATTCTACAAACAATTTATTAAGGCCTTGAGCAGTAATACAGCACTCTCAAAATCATTTAGATAAGTTTGGTATACTCCAAAGAAACAGTAACTTGAACATAACCTTGGATAAACATGGTTATAATAACCCAAGTACCATATTCTTTTATATTATATTGGGTTAATAATATAAAGTCCTGGACTCTTCATAATGGGGAAAAGAAAATATGTTGAAATTCTTCCAAACCCATTCGCAAACACAAATCAGATGATTAAGTTCAGACTAGTTCAGCAGCCGCACAATAGAATCATGTGTAACTTTATAAAAATCCTGATGCCCAGACTATATCTTAGACCAATGAAATTAGAATCTCTAAGGGTTTGACTGAAGTATCAGTGTCTGTAAAACTTCTCAGGTGAGTGTAATGTACAGCAAGATTGAGGACCACTGGGCTGGCTTCATAAGAATCTAACAAGCATAGTAAGCACTAAGCTTACCAAGCACTTAGTAATCACTTAGTAAGAGATTTTTTTAAATAGAGATATTTTTAAATGCTTTTTCAATTCTGATCTACAGTGAGCTGTAAAAACCATCCGTCTAACCACAGTCCCCATTTTGTAAATTAGAATTAGGGACAAAGAGAGATTGTTTCAAATCTCATTAGTGAGAAAGCATGCCAAGAGATACTATTTCCTGATGTTCATTACCACAACATCTAGTGTAAATGACATATGTGGTTCTTTCCTAATAGTAAGTTTGGATAATCAGAACTCAAATTCACTGGAGTATTGAAGCAGAGGAGGAAAGATCTTCAAGGAATCAAAAAGAGTAAATAAGTAACCTGATACTAACCAAATTCAGCAGTGTTACGCAAGCTTCATTGAATAAATATACTTAAAGTACTGATATGATTTGGATCTGTGTCCCTACCCAAATCTCTTGTTGAAATGTAATCCACAGTGCTGGAAGTGGGGTCTGGTGGGAGGTGCTTGGATCATGGGAGCAGTTTCTCATGTTTTAACATCATTCCCCTCATGCTGTTCTCATGGTAGACTTCTCACAAGATCTGGTTGTTTAAAAGTATGTGTGTAGTGCCTGCCCCTCTTTCTGTTCTTTCTGCTCTTGCCATGTGAAGTACTGACTCCCGCTTTTCCTTCTTCCCTCATGATTATAAGTTTCCTGAGGCCTCCCCAGAAGCCGAGCTGATGCTGCCATGCTTCCTGTACAGCCTGCGAAAACATGAGCCAATTAAGCCTCTTTTCCTTATAAATTACTCAGTCCTAGGTATTTCTTTGGAGCAGTGCAAAAACAGACTAATACAAGCACCGAGAACTGTACCTGGCATATACAAAGAGCTACGTATTTGTTACATGGAATAAATATGTGAAGACTGTCCCTACCTGAATGTGCACTCCTCTAGGGAGAATACCTGACAAGCCCCATCACTCCAAGGACCTTACTCTAGTTATGCTTTAAACAATACATTTTTCAGCTTGAAATTCACATTTTAAAGTATATAGCACACTCAAAATGTACATAATTGAAATCATAATTTCAAGCAGGGGTCAGCACACCACTGCCCAGGGACCAAATTCAGCCCAATCTGTATTTTTGTAAATAAAATTGTATTGGATCACAGTCACACTCGTTCATTTACATATTGTTTGCTTCCACACTATAAGCAAAGGTAAGTAATTGAGAAATGGGTTACATGGCCTACAAAGCCTAAAATGTTTACTATCTGCCTCTTTACAGGCCTAGTTTGTCCACCTTTGATCTCGATAATTCCATTTAATAAAAGAAAGTCTTCTCTTCTGTTGTCAAGACAACAAGAACGAAAGTATTTGTATTTAGCCTCATTTTTTTTACCCTTCCCATAGTTACCCACCTCATTCTGGAGTTTTGTACTTGTAAAGTCAGATATAACCTAACATAAGAATAACTTAAGATATGCTACCATAGGAGCGAATTATAATGGCAAAAATCACAGACTGTTAAATTTCTTATAAGACTCATGAGCAAACTATGACATATCCAATGGTTGAAATTTATGAAATCACTAAAAATAATATTTCCTTAAGGTTAAAATAACATGAGAATATCCTTATATTACACTGTCAAATGAAAAAGTCAGGACTCAAAACTTATAAAGTATAATTACAACTACATAAAACAAACTACACATTTTCACAGGAAATCTCTCAAGAAAAACATTCAAATGTGCTAGCTTTGAGTGATAGACAATCAACTTTTTTCTCTACTTTTTATGTGGTAAACTCTATAATAAGCAGGCATTACTTTTATAATAAAAATAACCTTGATTTTTAAAATATGGAATATGTGGAATATGAATTGTTTGTATTTAAGTCTGAGACTGACAATTTCTCACACACATGTGTTATATGTGGCACGTGATATTTGAGTGTCTCAAACAAAAGCAGTATTATGCATGTACAACTCTTTGATGTTTACAAAGGTTTTTCAGAAACAATATCTTATTCAGTTCTCACTACTTCAAAAAAAAAATTAGAAAGCAGCAACTGACAAAACTAGAATACCAAGTCAGACCTTCTGGCAAAAGTAGAGCACTTGAAAATTAATCACACTTACTCTATTGGTACTAACTTGTACCCTCCTCCCTCAACACCAAGCAACACCTAGAGTTTAGTTGATGAGTATTTTTCTATTTTTTTATGAAATCCCAGGAATTCACAATATGATGTAGAGGGCATTTGGAGTCATTTAAGTCCCGTTTGCTCATAGTTCTGTCATGACGCAAGCTGTATTAAAACCCCCAAAATATGTGTATAACAGCTTTCCCAATCACAGTATAACCCTGCAAAGGCCCAGTATCAGTGGAAATCACAGTTAAGGCAAGCTGGTGCAGATCTAAAAGGAAGAAGTCGAGGCAAAACTAATGTAAGTAGAGAGTTTATTTGGGCCTAGCTTGAGGATTGCAATGTGGATATATAGATTCAAGTTTCCCTGAATATACACTGCAATTAGTAACAATTACAAGTGGACTTTTAAAGGGAAAGAAGAGGCAGTTCCTAAGTTGTTTACCAATAATTCACATTAATATAACATAAACTACTGATTGACTATACATTGTTAAGCTATAGGGTGTGAGTTAGAATGTCTAATGTGGCCTTATTAGGTTAATTTATAACCACTTGTGGATAAAGAAAATGTGGTATATATGTATAACACCATGGAACACTAATCAGCCATAAAAAGAATGAAATGATGGCATTTGCAGCAACCTGGATGGAGTTGGAGACCATTATTCTGAGTGAAGTAATTCAGGAATGGAAAACCAAATATCATATATTCTCACTTATAAGTGGAAGCTAAGCTATGAGAACACAAAGGCATAAAAACGATATAATGAACTTTGGGAACTCAGGGGTGGGAGAGAGGTGACAGCCTAAAGACTACACATTAGGTACAGTGTAAACTGCTCAGATGATGGGGGTACCAAAATCTTAGAAATCACCACTAAAGAACTTATCCATGTAACCAAAAAACCACCTGTTTCCCAAAAACTATTAAAATACAAATTTTAAAAATTTAAATTTATAACCACTTGTGGCAATAGCAAGCAGTTTCCAGAGATGATTCTACAGCTTAAAAGCAAGGGAGTAGGACATGATTGCTACCTCATTTTAAATCCTCTCTTGGTCTGGTGACTTAAAAGGACTGACAATCCTCAGAAAAAAATTATTTTCTCATATCACCAGACAAGTTGAACTCTCTCAGTACCCAAACATCTTGACTGTCGTCCTATGGTTCAGCAGGGCTTAATGGGCCATTGATGCTTCAGAGGAGCAGACAAGGACCCACACACTAGTCTAGAGATGTCTAAGCCCTTGGTATCATAAGCAATGCTATATCTTAAGAACTAATAGTTTGGTGCAAAAGTAATTGTGATTTTTGCATTTGAAAGTAAGGGCAAAAGCTGCAGTTACTTTTGCACCAATCTAACAGAACCAGCCCTTGAAAGCATTTTTAAGAGATTTCGTTTGGCTTTTCCAGACCTCCAGATTTTAGGCCCAGGTCCCTCTCTCATCCCCATGCCACATCCTTGGCTCCCATTCTCTATCATCCCTGATGATGGCCAGTTACTGTTCCATCCCCTATTCTCAAAGGGCCTCACCCTCAGTGGCTAAGTGAATTCCCTACTAACATATTAATCAAAAAGAGCTCTCTGTTACACCTAAAAAGGATCTGCATTTTAATAAGGGGCTACTATAGAGCACATAAACAAATTTCCAAATTATAATCTTATTCTAGCTCTCACCTTTCCAGCTCAAAATTCATCTTTATCTATTCATTCTTGTTTCCTTCATGCCTCACCTCCTCCATTCTTACAACCAGGACTCTATAACACCTCTTCAAACATTTTGTTCTTCAATTAACCTTATCCTATTGATTCCTCCATTTGTTCCTCAAGGCATCCTTCTCTTTCAGCTAAAAAACAAACTCATGGTACTACGATACTCAAGATTTCCACAAGCTGGACTCAACCTGTATCAAACCTGGCAAGTTCCCTACCTCCCTTGGTTTTGAAGGAAATAAAAATATTTCACCTCAGAATATTCTTATCTGACCTATTTTGAGGTGGTTGTTCAGAGGGCCTACAAAACAGAATTAGCCCTGCAAAGCTACTTTTGTGGGGAAGATTTGCACTGATGAGAAAATTTGCATTAATGCAGCCAGGTTTTCTCTGAGGCCTTCCCTTGTCCAGATCTAAGAAAGATTAACTGAGAGTCTGACACCTTTAAAGGTTTGAAAGAAACATTTACCATGTCTTCTCTCTGAGGGCTGCTTTCTGTGAAGTTGCATCTACATAACAAGACTGCCTTTGCTAGCCAGACCCCTTCTTCTTCCCTCCCTATAACCTGTCTTGCCATCAAAACCTGTTTTACCATGATCCAAGCCCCCAGTCTTTCTGTAACCTCAAGATGGTGTATAAGCTCTGAACCCCAGTGAGAGTTTGGGATAATCACTCTGTGTTTCTCCACCATGTGCACGTTGATAAATTTGTATGCCTTTTCTTCGATTAATCTGCCTTTTGTCAGTTGATTTTTTGGCAAACCTTCAGAGGGCAAAAGGGAGGTCCTCACTTTGCCCCTACAATTTCTACCTCCACACAGAACCATTTCCTACTCATGGAATATGCCTGATTCTGCCACATCCACGTGCCTGTGCCTTGGTAGTATCCTCCAAGAAAATTTACAAGGACAACCTGGCCTTCTCAAAAAAGCCTTTCTATTTCCCCCAGGCAGAGGGAGCTGATTCTTCCTCTACACTACCATTGTCTTCTTCATATAACTCTATTACATAACTAATTGCATTCTATTACAATTGGTAATTTATGTTTCTACAGTCCTTATTTCAGTTATTCTAAGAAGCAATATGGGAGAGAATTTCTAGTTAAGCCACTGAGCCTTCTGGAAAATTGCATCACAGTTTCCTTGTTGTAAAATCACAATGACTACAAGAGAAGTCAATTACATGATAAATATTCTCTTTCCTTTTGAATTAAAATCAAACAAGCATGCATTTTGCATAACCAACTATAAAATTTAAGTGCTGTAATTAAACAAATATTACAACTAAATTAACTTGGACTACGCAGAATACTTCCTGGAAGGTGGTTAATCAGGTGTTAATATTGCTAGCAGGTCATGTAAAAAAAAATGGGGCTGAGGAGTCTAAAAATATTATAATGTATCATATTTCAGGTTTATCTTCACCCAATCTATGAAAGGAAAATATCAATATAATTTTAAATTATAAATATAGCTGTATTTCTAAATTAATTATATAATTAATAAATAAATTTTCTGGAATTATAAAAGTGGAAAATTTTTTAGACAGAAATTCACTTTTTTTCCTCTGAACACTCTTAGAAAAACTTATTGAAAAGGAAAGAGAATTTCCTTTTTTCTTATTACACAGCCTAGTATAATTTTACCTGTACTGGAAATTAATTCTTACGGAATAAATAAGTTTTTAAAAAAATAGTACCTGACTCCAGCTGAGCAGGACAGAGTGAGAGAGTGACTTGGGGAACCACATGGGTCAAGAAGAGCCCTGCCTGATGAATCTTTGTCTCCCTTTTTGCTGACCTGGTTAGCCCATCTTTAACTTTCCTTCATATTTTCCTGAAATTGCACTACTCAGATTTTAATTGGGGTTAATATAAGTAAAGACTGTTTGGAGTTTTGAGGGATAAGAGAGGTAGGTATTGCTCATGTATATATCAGTGGCAGAGTTACGAAATGAACCTAACTTAATAAAAACAAATTCATATTGAGATAGTTAAGAAGCTCTTAATTCTCCAAATTAGAGGATTAATTCTCTTAAATCAGCAACTTTGTTGTATACAGCTTGACACAGCTATATTAAATTGGCTTGAAAGTTATTGAGGAAAGAAAGTTGTATTCTTGAAGAGAGAGGAGATCAAGTTAGAAAGCTGAAGTGGGCAACTTCAGTGGGAAACTTTGGCAAACAGAGTTGTTCTTAACAGCATTTTTTACCCCTTATGTAGTCTCTCTCTCTCTCTCTCTCTCTCTCTCTGTCTCTCTCTCATTTTGGTATTTTGTAGCTGTATAATATCTTGACCATTAGAGGTGCGAAAACCTGGAAATACTTCACTATGACAAATTTTGGACTGGCAGTGTGTACTCCAATGTGATCAGGATTTTTATGCCATTTATAATATAATATATAATATATAAACCATAAATGCAATTTTAAAGAAATTAAAACTTATTTCAATGGGAATCAAAGCTACTTAGGTTTGGCTTAGTGCCATGGTAAGCAAAATTCTAAGATGCTTTCATGCTCTCCATCCTCTGGTGCAGGTACCTGTATAACCCCTCTTTAAATGCAAGTAGGACCTGTGACTTGCTTCTACCCAGTAAATATGGCAAATGTGGTAGGATCTTGCCCCCATGATTTATTTATTTATGCTGTGTAAGAATGTCCTAACAAACTGGAGAGAGACATTCTCCTGCTGACCCTGAAATGCAAACAACCATGCCGTTAACTGCATATGGAGAGAATCATGTGGCAGTGAACAGCCAAAAGCTTTAAGACCTGAAGGTAGCCAACAGCCAATAAGGAGCCAGGCTCTCAGTCACACAGCCTCAAGGAAATGGATTCTGTAAATGTACTAAGTGAATTTGAAAGCAGATTCTTCTTCAGTCAAACCTCCTGATAAGAACACAGCCCAGCTGGTATTGAAGACCCTAATTAGAAGACTCAGCTATGTCCAGACTCCTGCCTCACACACATTGCAACATAATAAATATGTACGATTTTAAGCCACTAATTTTGTGGTAATATGTGATACAGCATAGAAAACTGATGCAAGTATCTTTCTTCAAATTGGATCCCTCTATATACATAAAAGGGGCATAGTTATGAGATTTACATGCTCAAATACTCTACACTAGCTGCTGGCAATGCTCCTGGTCACCAGATAAATCCTCATAGGCCTGTTTGGTTTTTTATCTTTCTTTATTTAATTTATTTATCTGCTTTTCTTTTTTTTTTATTCTTTTTTTCATGTTTTAATATAACTCATACAGCTTGGGCTTTGTGATTTTAATAAAAGAAATATAATTAAAATATTTCCTTTGATGAGTTCATCCCAGTTTTATGTCCCCTCTCAATTTATACATGTGCATAGGTCTATTTCTTCCACTCTGTTATCTTTGATTTTAAAATGTGAAGTTTCCAAGAACTTCAATGACTTGCTTAGCTATTTTCAGTGCAGTAGGTGAGGAATAAAACAGAGTTCAGGATAACCTTCACAATTCCTTCTCATACTTATAATCTCTCCTCCTACACTGGTGTTAATTCTGAAAATAATGACAGTCATAAGCACAGGTGTAATATTTATCAAAATGCTCTCTTATCTTTTTCTGTCTCTTTGGATGCTCACAACCACATTTGAAATAGGTAGAGCAACAGAATTTGCTTATGTGGGGTTTTTTATTTGAAATAGATAAAGCAGCATTATTTGTTTGCTTGGGCATTATAATTTTGGCTCTCATTAAAGAAATATTTACAAGTATTTTCCAAATTATTATTTATTCAGGTGTTTGCATATTGAAATTTTTAATGTAAAAAGTTTTTGTATACTTTTATGTAAAAAAAGGAATGCCACTGTTTTTAATGTAAAAAGAGAGAAAACTGAAGAAGAAAACTTAGATGACTATACCAAGGCATTATAGCAAGTTTGCAGCAGAGAGAAGACTAAAATTCTGGATTCCTGATTCAAAATCCAATTTTCTTTTGCTGTTTCTATCTGAATTCATTAGGGAATTATTGTGAAGATAAAACGAGAAAGGATTTTGCAAAGCAGAGGAATCTTGGAAATTTAATATGAAATTAAACAAGTAGAAAACCATTTCTGAAGCAAGAAAGATTTATATGATGGTTACAGTATGATTTGACCGAGCTGGAATACTATGTGACTGTTACTGACATTTATATCTCCACAGCTAATATCAATGTAAAGATCCTACTTATTTACCTATGCTCAGAAATTATGATGAGCAGAAAGAGAGTTTTTTCCATGCCCCTGTTACATTTACTCAGCCCCAGAATATAGTAAAGTGGCAAGACGTGTGTTCTCTGACGATTCTAGAAACTAATTAGAAATGAAAATGAGTTCTCAGACTTAGGAGGCTAATAGCCTTGTCTATTTTGAAAAATGTAAAATTCCTGTGTGTTCCAACAGACTTTTTTTTTTTCCAATTCACTCTAAGAAGCAACAGAATCATGCATCATTAGGCTGGACAAGGAGATGATAAACAACATTGTTATGGCTCTGTAGTTGCTAGGTTGCTAAAGGCTCCAAAGAGGTAACTCTCATTATTTGACATAGACAAGTTGCTAAATGAGTGTCAAGGCAATTGTTGATGCCTGAAGTGGTTGAAGCAACCCACAGCATATTTACCATTCCGAGAATGCTGTCTGTGTTTCTCCAAGGATGCAGCCTGTTTCATTGTGCTTGCTGCTTTCAGCTTCTCCTTATTCAAGCACATCCAGGTCTTTTTCTTTCAATACCATTTTCATCCTACCATTTCCTATCCATGCAAAGGCACAAAATGGTTACCAACTGCATAAAAATAAAAGTTTAAATTCCTAAATATGCCTTTCAAGTTATACTGAAATCTATTCACAATCATCTCTCTATTGTTATGGTCTCAACTCTCCCAAAACAACCCAATAACCTGGACTAAGTTTCTCTGATCACAGCATATATAGTCACACTTTCACAACTTATCTGCCTCACAATTCCCATCACTCTTTCTATTACCATTCTTTTTTTTTTTTTTTAAGGCCTCTCCCATGAATTCTTTTCTGACTTTCCCTGTCTATTGTGATTATCCCATTCTCTTAATTAGATAACACATATTCTCCAGAAGGCTACGGTAGATGCTCATGTTTTCATATTTTAATTCTCATACTAGAGTATAAGCATCTTAAAAAAGAAACTTTGTTGTATACTTCTTTTTGAAACTCCATACAATCTAACAGTGCATTTTACATAGTAGATCCTCGGAAATTCCTTATCTTAGCATCTAAATTGGGTGAAACTTAAAGAAACTCCTTCCTCAAAAGACATCTCTACTCATGCCAGGCATTCTGGCCTTTATTTGAGGCAGTTAAACATTATGCTGTTGGCAGATTTACTTTTCAAGAAATTCTTTCTTATTTGTACTAAGACAAAATCTGCTTTGCAGCACCTTCCAACCAAGTCTTAGTTATGTTCTCTGAAGTGACACAAACCAACTCCAACTTATTTTAACTGATAGTACTGCATTTACTTGAAGGCAGATACCATGTCTTTCTCTTCACATGTTTTTGTTCCTAGTCAAACATTTCTCATTCTATGTATTGTTCTTCATATAACATGGTTTTTAGCCAACCTGATCATTCATTTGACCTTCTTCTGGACTCTAAGAATTTTATCAAAGTTTCTCTTGAATGTGATCATCAGATCAAAGCACAATACTCTAAATGTCATACCACCAATGCATATTTGAGTGGAATAGCTAGTTTTCTTAATCATGGCATTATATTGCTAGTAATAAACTCTAAGTTTATGTTATCATATTATATAATGTGATATTTTAATATCACTTATAATTTTGGCTCAAATTAAAGAAATGTCCACAAGTATTTTCCACACAAGTTACTATTTAGTCAGGTGTTTGCATCTTGAACTTATCCAATAAAATGTATTGCCCCAAAGAGATGATCACATAAACTGATTTTGTTCAAGCTGAAATTGACAGCTATCTCATTGCTAAAAGCTTCAAGCTAAAGTGAAAATATGTCAGGTGAAGTGGGACATCAGCTGGAGGTCCCATGTGGAGTTTCCACAGCTCAGAAATGTGGACTGCAAGAAGAAGGTTCAAGGGTTATATGGAAGAATGTGCTCTACTCCACCAGACAAAAGGCTACTGTGTAAATAGTGTTTGATAAGCATTAGAAATGGCCCGTGGTAGCTCCCTTAACTTTGCTAAACTTTGGTTTTCCTGGCTGTAGAGTAAGACCCACCTGGATAGTTACTATGCCCCTTTTCAAATAGAAGAGTCTACAGCCTTTCCTTTTCTAAGTACATTCAAGCCATCTGTTCAAGAATCTGTTCTGAATGTTGACAGATATTGGTGTTAAATAAATCAGTCTAAGGAGTCCAACAGCCACGTTTTCTATCAAGAAACTGGATCAAATTTCATCTCTTTTTTTATTGTACTGGTGATTAAATGATCAAATAATTTGATCACCAGCCTTCATGACAAGAAAAATTAACTCTTGAACAAAGGAATGTCCAGCAAAACCATGAACATTTGCCATGGTACATCTTCCCTTAGCCACACTGACATTACATTCCTGGGCAAAATTGGCTCCAGGTCCTGCTCAAGCTGAGCCTGAACAAAGGCATCTTGATTTGTGTGTGTGTGTGTCAATCACAACATGTAATCATCAGAAACCATGATCTCACATCCCCCTCCCCCCTCTCAGTTCAGATTTTGGATTTGTCAAGTGACTGACTAAGTGTTAACAACCAGCAGATGGACTAGAAGGGCAGATGGGGCTTTCTCAGGAAAGCAGCTAAGAAGTGATTAAAATCACCAAGGACTGCACTTATTTTTCCTCCTTTAAAGGATGCTATGTTTTTTTTACTGTGAAATCTGATTAAGACAGAAAAGCAGACAATAGAAGTGAGCCAATCCCTGTTATTCTCTCTTCATTTAAATTGCAACACCTTTAAGGAGACAAGATAGTTAGGAAATGTTTTAAATAGATTTTATCTGCTTGAATATTAATATCATGGTCATCCTTAATATTTGGGGATGCTCATAAAGATGTTTCCCATTTTTATAAGGTTTTAGAACTGTCAACTCACTTCCACGTGTATTGGGTGTCTATACCATTATTTTACTAATTCAACCATTTGGTGTTATGTATGAGTGAGGCACTGTGATAGGTGCTGATGTTACAGGGAAGAGCAGTTCAACCTCTCTAAACTCAGTCATTCTCCTTGGTGCTATAATATACCATCTGCATGACTATGCCTTTTGAAACACTCAGTTTGGGACATTTACACTTATTTTAACAGCAGTGCTCTTTCTTATATTGCTGGGTAACCCCCTTAGGAAATGTTTTCAGAACCAGACTCATAGCTCCAAAAGAAAATGTCTCATTACTTTGTAGGTAAATCTCATTTTCGACCTAAAATAGTTTTGCCTAGTTTGATGATCAAACTTGATTCTGAAAGATATTTTGTTACATGACATAGATTTCTATAATTGAGAATATTTAACACAATATGCTAGAGGCAGTAAATAACATATAAAAGAGGGCCTCTGGAAAGACTTTAATCACTGTGGTAGGCAGAAGAATGCCCTCTGAAAGACGTCCCTGTTCAGGCCGGGCACAGTGGCTTAGGCCTGTAATCCCAGCATTGTGGGAGTCCAAGGTAGGCAAATCACTTGAGGTCAAGTGTTCGAGACCATCCTGGCCAACATGGGAAAACTCAATCTCTACTAAAAATACAAAAATTAGCCAGGTGTGGGGGTGGTCACCTGTAATCCCAGCTGCTCAGGAGGCTGAGACATGAGAATAACTTGAACCCGGGTGGCAAATGTTGCAGTGACCTGAGATCACACCACTGAACTCCAGGCTGGGCAAGAGAGCAAGACTCTGCCTCAAAACAAAACAGAACAAAAAGCTCCTGTTCTAATCCTCAGAACCTGATATGAAAAAGAGGACTTCGTAGATGTGATTAAGAGTTTTGGGAGGGGCTGATTATTCTGCATTATCTTAGCAGGCCAAGTGTAATTACAAGAGTCCTCATAACGGAGAGGCAGAGTCAGAAAATAAGATATGAAAGCAGAAGTCACAGGGATTTGAAGATACTACACTGCTCGCTCTGAAAATGAAAGAAGGATCCACTACCAAAGAGCAGAGGTGATCTTTAGAAGCTGGAAAACTCAAAGAAATAGATTTGCCTCTAGAGCCTCCAGAAGGAACACAGCCCTGCCTGCTGATACCTACATTTTTGACTTCTGACCTTAGAACTGTAGAGTAATAAATTTGTTTTGTTTCCATCCACAAAAATTGTGGTAATTTCTTACAGCAGCAAAAGAAAATTAAAATAACAACAAAAATATTTTAAAGAGGGCCAGGCGTGATGGCTCACACCTATACACTCAGTACTTTGGGAGGCTGAGTCAGGAGGATTGCTTGAGGCCAGGAGTTTAATACCAGCCCAGGAAAAATAGCGAGATTCTATTTCTAAAGAAAAAAATAAATTATTTTAAATAAGTGATATCAGCATTAAAATAAATTTATTACCTACAAAAGTAATATAGCAGTGAGTTTTCTTCTTCTTCTTCTTCTTCTTTTTTTTTTTTTTAGACAGAGTTTCCCTCTTGTTGCCCAGGCTGGAGTGCAATGGTACGATCTCAGCTCACTGCAACCTCCACCTCCTGGGTTCAAGGAGTTCTCCTACCTCAGCCTCCCGAGTAGCTGGAAGTACAGGCACCCACCACGACACCCAGGTGATTTTTTGTATTTTTAGTAGAGATGGGGTTTCACCATGTTGGCCAGGCTGGTCTTGAGCTCCTGACCTTAGGTGATCCACCACCTTGACCTCCCGAAGTGCTGGGATTACAGGCGTGAGCCACTGCGCCCGGCCAAAAAGTGAGTTTTTTTTTTTTTATTTTTGCTCTATGTGGCCAGCTTAGATTGAAAAGCAGAGGCCTCTTGATGTTCTGTGTTGATTTCTGAGGCTAAATCCCAATTAAGCAGGAAATAATGCAGCACTTGATTAGTGATGCTCACAATAGGAGTAGGGCTAGGAGTGTTGACCTGTGTGTTAGTCACACATTTGCCACGTCTGATTAGTTAGAATGGGTAAATTAGGCCATTCTCTCAGAATCACAGAATATCAGTTTTGCTTCTTGTATCCCAGAAAAAAACTTTTAATTCCATTTCAGTGGAGAAATGTATAAAAGTCACTGAAGAAGTTTCTGATAGAATCAGGTCTAAAATTAAGGGTCTTTAACTTTCTATCTGAGATTCTTTCTATTACATCTCAGTAAGTTTTGGTAGTTTCATAGTTCAGGTAGAAATAACACTGATCAAAATAACAGTGGTCTTCTCTCCTCTCTTGGTGACACATATCCCAACAATCCAAGGCTTCAATGTTACTAAGCCACCTTGTTTAGTGCTTTATCCACACTCATCCCTGTTGGGTAATATTCAACCTCTAAACATCCTCATACTTCCCCTCTACTTCTATTCCATAACTACCTTTCTTGTTATCCTGATTAAGTCTTAAGTCTCAATTAAATATCCTAAAGAAAAGAGATAGAAGGATCTAATGAATTTATATCTAAAAATGGCTTATTTATTGTGTTTCAGAGAATTGTTTTAAATTGTTAGTATTTTTAAAATATAGTAAAAAAGAAAAGCTTTAAATCAAATGCTTGCATCTATCATTTCATGCAGTGAGATGTCAGAGAAGCAATAATAGCTAGTAAAAACAATAAATAAATAAATATTGTTTAGAAGCCTAGCAGGTGGTATGCTAGGACTGGGAATACTATTCTGAACAAAAGAGGCAAGATTTATTTCTTTGACAATCTTACAGACTTTCAGGAGCCCTTCATATCTCAGCAATTGATTTGCACATGGTCATTTCTGTTCTCTCTGCCAGGATCTGACCCTGAGAGATAGATTCAGCCACAGCTTATGGAAACACAAGTCTTCAAGCAGTCAGTGTGGGCCCTGAACTTTTTTCTGAACACTCCAATCCTTTCAGAGAGGAGAAAACCAATGACTTCCTGGAGAAACACAATTATTTCACAGGTAAGTAGAATGGTAAGTCATTAGGAACTCATAATCTAAAAACTGATTGCCTGGGTTTGAACTCAGTTTTTTCTTTTCCACGTGAGAGATATTGAGCAAATTATTTCACCTTTCTAAGTCTTTGTTTTCTCATCTATAAGTTGAGATGAATTATATTTACTGTCTCATGGGGAAAAGATTAAATGAAATAATCTATGCAAAGAATACCAAGTAGCACAGTTCCTAGGAGAAGGTAGGTGCTGATAAGTGAGAGCAATTAATATTGTAATTTATATTGTCATTAATATCAAAACAATTCCTCTCTACTTCTCTATTACCATGACAAGACACCTTCAAAATAAAGCCTACAAGAATATTAAAAGACCATAGTATGTCTGTCAGTCTTGGTAAATATGGCAGTTATACTGTTGATCACAATTCCCCTTGCCTTTTTATTCTGGTTGGAAATGCCCAAATCCACTCAAATACTGGCAGGCAGTCTCTCAGCCCAACAGCAAGATGAAAGTACAAAACCAAATAAAACCAAAGAGAAATACTGCTGAAGATTTCTTAGAAATATATGCCTCCCTGATAAATACAGAGTGAAGCATATGAAGACCATCCCCAGACACTCCCCACTTCCTACCTGCATTGAATATTATTGTGTGAGGAGGTCATGTTTGAATCCAATATTCTCCAACCATGAATCATGAAAACAAAGATAAAAGAACTGCAAAAAAGAGAAATGAGACCTGATGGAGTTGAACTGCTGAATTAACCAGTCTGGGAGCCACCTTTTTGGAACTTCTTATAATGAGAGATTTTGTTAATTGAACTCTGTTATTGAGGCCACTTTCAGTGGAGTTTTTATTTCAAACAACCAAACTTATTCCAAACTAGTAAAAATTATACTGATACTAAAAATATCTACCTTGTGATATTTATTGAGATTACATGAAATAATAATAGAAACTTCATTAAGAAAACTACTTGATATTATCCCAGATATTTATGTTTTTTAAAAAAATCACTCCAAATTATTATCACTGAGTATATTATAGAACAAAAACTTAATCACCTCCATTATATTCTCTGTTTTCCTTGCTCACAGAAAGCCTAAACATAGGTTCTTGCTACTACTATCTACTGATTGAAGCCCCCAGAATTATAAATTTATTGTTTGCTATGGCTTTAAGCTTGCCATCCTAAAGACAAAATCCACTGTAGTTTTAATGGATTGATAGAAATGCCTCAGTGATCTTGTCGAGAAAGACCTTGAGGGTGTTAATAATCTTGCTGGAACAAGAGGTATGGTTGAGCCAGGAGAAGAAAATAGACTTATGTCATCTGGGCACGATGGCTCATGCCTGTAATCCCAGAACTTTTGGGAGGCCGAGACGGGCAGATCACTTGAAGTCAGGAGTTCAAGACCAGCCTGGCCAATATGGTGAAACCCCATCTCTACTAAAAACACAAAAATTAGGTGGTTGTGGTGGCTTGTGCCTGTAATCCCAGCTACTTGCGAGGCTGAGACATGAGGGTCACTTGAATCCAGGAAGCAGAGGTTGCAGTGAGCCGAGATCACACGACTGCACTCCACCCTGGGAGACAGAATGAGACTCCATCTTAAAAAAAAAAAAGAAAAGAAAAGAGACTTATGTCTATATGTCTACCATTGACTTATCTTTCTTGACCTAGGATAAAATTGAGAACATCTGAAGTTATAGCCCTATAAACCACCTACAGAAGGCAGTCATGGTTCATCAACCAACCAAAAATGACTCACTGAGAAGTCAATCTGACAACTCACCTGACTACAGGTATTTAGGTCTTGGCAACCTATTCCGTTAATGTTCTATGGAAAATGTGTTATTCTAAGACAATATCCTTTGTGCTGGCTCAAAATCTCACATCTAAATTAAGTATTTATTATATTCTAGACCTAAAATAACTCTAAAAAAAGAATGTAGAGAAATCAAAGAAGAAAGATCTAAACTGAGATGCATGAGTTCATCCTATTTCAAATAGTGTAGCAGTGAGAGTCAAATCTGTAGAAAGCTAAAGGACATATGCTATTTCGAGTAAAAGGCCATTGTTCATAGGGTATAGGTCAAGATGTTGATCTTGTTTAATCTATTAATCTCCTGTCCTTCATCTTTTTATAACCTCTAAGACCTAGATGATCTCATATCTTGCATAAACACCTCTTTACAACTCTCTGCCTTGAACTTCTGTGCCATTGATGGATATTTAACCCAATGGCCTTTCTTTGTGTGCCCGCGCACATGCGTGTGTGTGTGTGTGTGTGTGTCTTTGTGTGTTTGTGTGTGTGTGTGTCTTTCCTCCTGAACTATACTATAAATTCTGCAAGGGTAAAAACTATGAGTTACAAATATATGAGTGTGCATTTAAGTATACATTTTATACATATAGAGGGAAGGTGATATGCTTTGTTGTTATCACGACACAATTGCTACAAATTAGTTCTGGTGGCACAATTTGGTCAGGAGTGAGGCTTTACCTTAATGTCACCAACATCCCTTGAAAAATTCAAGACCTCTCTCTTCTGCTGTCGGGGAAATGCTGAGAAATAAATGCCCAATCCAACAACAACAACAACAGAAAAAAAAAAAAAAAAAAAAAAAAGGAAGGCTGTTCACAAGGCATACATTGCACCAGGGTAAGGTAGAATCATACAATGCAGGTTAGACTATTTCAACTGAAACAAACAACACACTAACCGTTATCAGCAATTGGTCTCACCAGACATCGATGAAAGACACCACTTATACTGATCCAGCTTTCATGAAGCTTCCCAGTTCTAATGGTTTTTACCACAGTGTATCTCATGGTTCCTCAGTCCCACCCTCTGCTATCCACAAGATTACACTCCTTTGTCCTCACTTCAGCCACTGTCTTTTTATCTAGTCCCAGCAAGTATGCATCTGAAGTTTTTCTTGTTACATTTAAGCCATACGTTTGTTTCAGGTACCAATATTTACAACTCTTGTTTATAGTTTATAGTGGGTGGCTCATGTTTATCAGTTTGTTCTGGCACATAAAAAAGAGCTGCAAGAAACATTAAAGGAAAGGGATAGAAGGTATGGGAACACTTAGAATGTTATTCCTCCTCACATGTAATAGCTCCCATCACACTTTAGATGAGGTCCTGAACCTAAAGGTGAGCTTAAGAGCAGATGCAAGCCAATTACAGGAGGTAACAGCCTTACTGTCTCAGGCCTTTATTCCCCTTCCCTACTCTGCATTCCCTGTAAAACATTTTATTTTACCGATTAATGCAGTTTTAATTAGAGAATTCAATTCTATCCAAAGACTGCTGGAAAGGCTTTCAGATAAAAACATAAGATGGCACTTTGTCCAAAAAAAAAAGTCAAAAAATAAACCAGTGGAGACATTCCCCCTTGGGTAATAGTGGATTAGCTAAATTGGGCCAATACTTTCTCACAGGTACAACTGGAAATGCTAGAGACAAAAATTTAAAACATTTGCTCGAAAATATTGAAGTGCTAACATGATAGTAAATAATTATCAGGCCAAAATGCAGAGACTGACTTTTAGAAATACTTTCTTCCTGAGGGTGACAGAAGGTTGTATATAGTAAAGTTAATCAAAACACGAAAAGTAAGCAAATAACATATATAAATCAATGAAATAGAAAACAACCATAAAACAGTGAGGGTCAACGAAGCCATATATGGTTCTTTGGAAGGACCAATAAATTTAATAAATCCCTGGTGACACTGATCAAGGAAAAAAAAGTTAAAAGATACAAATAACCAATGTTAGGAGCATAGAAGAAGTCTTTTTTATTATAAACAAACTAAAAATTTCTTATTAAATGCTTTGTCAATAAATTTTAAAATTTTAATAAAATGAAAAAAATTTCTTTAAAAATACAATGTAATGAAACTGAAACAAGAAGAAATCAAAAGTATAAATATTTATATAACTATTAAAGAAATTAAATCTATAATTTTAAATATTTCCATATAGAACAACTGTAGGTCCAGATGTCTTCAGCAAATACTCCCAATAATTTAAGGAAAGGATAATTTCAATAATATACAAAATCTCCAAGAGTATAGCAAAAGAAAAAATACTTCTCAATCATTTCAGTAAACCAGGATAAACTTCCTAGGAAAATTTAATGAGCAAATCAAGAAAAAGAAAACAAAAATACCAGCCAATCTCATATAGGAATATAAATGCAAAAACCTAAATATTAAAAAAAGTTTTGGTAATATAATAACCAAAACAAACAAGGTGGGTTTATTCCAGAAATGCAATATTAATTAAGTATTCAAACATCAGGATGTGTGCAGTGGCTCATACCTGTGGTCCTAACTGCTCAGGAGGCTGAGGCAGGAGGATCACTGGAGCCCAGGAGTTCCAAGCTGCAGTGAGCCATATGGCACCACTGTACCCCAGCCTGGGTGACAGAGTGAGGCCAGGTTTCAAAAATAATAATAATAATCAATGAAATTTAGCCCATTTACAGAATAAATGAGAAAAGTAACACTATTGTCTCTTTAGATAAATAAAAATGTTTGATATAATTTAACACTCATTCATAATTTAAAAATATATATGGATAGAAGAAACTTCCATAATTTGATAAAGGTATTTATAGTAAACCTATGGTGAAGCTTTTCCTTTGCAATCAGACAGCATGCAAGGATGACCTTTATCATTTCTTTTAATCAATATGGACTAGGGGTTTTAGCCAGTACAGCAATGTAAGAGAAAGAAAGAAATTCTGTAAGAATTGGACAATGTAGTAGGTGCTATTGGTACTGCATCTATACCACCTTGACTTTAGCACTTCAGTGTACACCAGCCAACTACTAGCACCTTCATTTCTTTGCTGAAGTCTTTCTTTCATTGTTGGAGTCACTTCATCTGTCCTACCAGCAGGCTAGAAATTGCTCACCCCAGAGAATTAACTCACTCCTGGGAACATCCCTCAACCGCAGGTCCACAGAACATTTACAATAAGTACTTTAGATTGCTTACCCCTTTAATGTGAAAACTCGGATGCAATTTTTTACATTGATTCATTAATTCCCCAGTTGGATTAAGCTTTCAAGGTAACTTTCCTGAGAGTGAACCCTGTATCAGCTATCTTCTTTCACTTCTTTACTCCCATTCCAACGTTTCCTGAGATCCACTTCCATATAAACCATTTACACCTGAATGTTTGTCTCAGGGCTATGTATGGGGAATCTAACCTTCAATAGACAAGATGAATAAATCTATAATTATTCATAGTTGATATGACTGTAGATATGGAAAACTCAAAAGATAGATGAATTATTACAATTAATAAGTGAGTTTAACAAGGTTTGTGGATACAGAAATCAAAATACAAATATTGGTTGCATTTTCAAATGAAATTTTAGAACAGGTACCAGAACAGCAACACATACATAGGAATAAATCTATTAAATGTGTGCAAGCCCTCACAACAATAAAATACTATTAAGTAAAACACATGAAAGCAGGCATAAATGGAGGGATAGTCAGTGATCCCCAAATCTGACAAAGTTTTTATGTGAAACTTGTCAAACTGATTCTAAAATTTACATGGTAATGTGAAGGGTCAAGAATAGCTAAGACACTACTGAAGGAAAACAGAGTAGAAGGATTTACTCTACCAGGTAGCAAGAATTACCATAAAACTCATCACTGAGACTGTGTAACAGGGGTACAAAGATAGAAAATTACATTAATGAAACAGAGGAAAGAGCCCAGAAAGAGACCCACACAAAAATAAGTAATTGATTAATGACAAAATTGCTACTGTAGACCAATGGGAAAAGAACATTCCTTTCAATAAATGGTTCTGGATTAACTGAATATCAAAGTGAAAAATATAATAAAACTTGACTCTAACCTCACACAATAAAAAACATATCTATGTGTGATATGCAAAGCAACGAAGCTTCTGTAAAATCTTAATGATCTTGGGATGGTAAAAGGTGAATATGGCATAATATCATTTTTATATTATAAAGGGAAAGTACTTAAACAGTGTGCTACTACTGTGTACACTAAATGTTTATCATCAAAAGATGCCTTTAAAAGGTATCCACACTATAAGAGATTATATTTACAACACATATATCTGAAGAAAGAGTTATATCCACAATATAAAAAGAACAGCTGGCCAGGCGCGGTGACTCACGCCTGTAATCCCAGCACTTTGAGAAGTCAAGGTGGGTGGATCACCTGAGGTCAGGAGTTCAAGACCAGCCTGGCCAACATAGTGAAACCTCGTCTCTACTAGAAATACAAAAAATTTGCTGGGCATGGTGGCAGGCGCCTGTAATCCCAGCCAATCAGGAGGCTGAGACAGGAGAATTGCTTGAACCTGGGAGGTGGAGGTTGCAGTGAGCCAAGACTGTGCCATTGCACACTAGCCTGGGCAACAAGAGCAAAACTCCGTCTCAAAAAAAAAAAAAAAAAGAAGAAGAAGAATAACTGCTACAAGTCACTAAAAAATAAAAATCAATAGAAAAATGGGCAAAAGACCTGTATAAGTAAAGCCTCTATTTTAATAGCCAATAAATGTTCAACCTTTTCTTTTCCATAATCAGGGCAATATAATGAAAACCACAGTAAAATTATCCTCTACATTCTCTAAAGTGGCAAAAATTTAAAAATTAATAATACTGTTATTATCAACAATGTGAAGCAAAAGGAAATTTTATATTTCTAGTGGAAGAGTAAATTGGTACAACTCTTTTAATACACTACATGGCGGCAAGCACAACAGCTAAACATATATAACCTGTGACTTTACCGTTCCACTTTAGTTATACGTGCAAGAGAATTACAAAATGTACACGAACGCAAATGGTCACAGCATCATTATTCATGATAGTCAAAAATTTAAAACCACCCAAACGTTCATCAATATTCAAATGGATACATCATAGTACACCACAAATGGAATTCATTACTGCATTGAAAACGAACAAACCACAACACTACCTAAGAGATTGAAGGAATATTATAAATATGATTTTGAGCAAAAGAATCCATACAAAAAGTAATATATGCTTTATGATTCTATTTATATAAAATGTAAAAAGAGAGATGTGAAAAACTATAAAGAAAAGAAAGTAATCATCATGGATTCAGGATAGTTTGTTTACCTTTGAGGAAAGGAGAGATTAATAATTGTGAGGGCATAATAAAGATTTCTGGGGTACTGGTCATATTCTGGTTTTTGTTCCATTCTATTTTTAGTTCCATTCTAATGTTCCATAGATCACTGTTACTCAAAGTGTGGTCTATAACCCAGTACCCATCCATAAACTGCTATGAGTTATGCTGTTTTGGGGACTCAGAAAACCATACACCAAAATGAAGGCCTCAGAAACAGCCTCAGAAGCAAAAGTTTTTCTCTGACCTTCTCCCACCCTCCTGTCTTTGAGTCTCTTTCTCCTTGAAGGTTAACCATAGAAGTTCTCTTCCCCAAGATGGGTCATAAAAACCAGAATGCTTTCTCCCCAAAGGTCACCATAAAACCTAAAAATCTTACTCTAACTTCCCCCCCACCCACCACCTTTCAGGTAAAATCTGGCCATTTGCCATCCCATTACTGTGTATATACGCAAAGGATTATAAATCATGCTACTATAAAGACACATGCACATGTATGTTTATTGCGACACTATTCACAATCGCAACTTGGAACAAACCCAAACGTCCATCAGTGATAGACTGGATTAAGAAAATGTGGCACATATACACCATGGAATAATATGCAGCTGTAAAAAAAAGGATGAGTTCATGTCCTTTGCAGGGACATGGATGCAGCTGGAAACCATCATTCTGAGCAAACTATCACAAGGACAGAAAACCAAACACTGCATGTTCTCAGTCATAGGTGGAAATTGAACAATGAGAACACTTGGACCCAGGGCAGGGAACATCACACCCTGGGGCCTGTCATGGGGTGGGGGGCTGGGGGAGGAATAGCACTGGGAGAAATACCTAATGTAAATGATGAGTTAATAGGTGCAGCAAACCAACATGGCACGTGTATACCTATGTAACAAACCTGCACGTTGTGCACATGTACCCTAGAACTTAAAGTATAAAAAAAAAATAAAAAAAAAAAAACAAAAAAAACTGGCCAAAAAGAAATTATCTGACCTGCCTTGTTTGACTGTAGGTCATAAGACCCTCATTCCAAAGAGATTCCTGCCCCATGCACAGAAGGAAGAAATACATGCTCAGAGAGGCCAAGAAAAACTAGAAGCACAGGCCTTGCTAGGTTTCCCTGCTCAGTCTGTTAAGATAAGATCAGACTCTTTTTGTCCAATCATATTTAAAAACAGCTGCCCATACTTTGTTGAACCTAAGCATAAAATGGATAATTTCCCCTGTATCTTTGGGTCTTCATTCTGAAGACTTCTGTGTCACATAAAACTAGAATCAAATAAATTTACATCTTTTTTCTCCTATTAATCTGCCTCTTGTCAGTGATTTTCAGTGAACCTTCAGAGGATGAAAGGAAAGTCTTCCTTTGGCTCCAACACTGTGAAGTTAATTCCAATAGGCCTGGAATTGGCCTGCGCTGTTTTGCTAAATTACCTGCAAGATGCTGACCAAGGTACTGATTGTAGTGTGTTTTTGTTAACATGAGTCTAAGGAGTTTAGGGTGGTTTGTACCAGCTTGTCGGCACTGTTCATTGTTAACATTGAGATTAATGATTTAGAGTTGGTTCCAGTATGACCACTGAAGAGCTCTGTCACTGGGACTGGTTACATAGCAAGAATATGCCTATGTGACCAGCTGGGCACAAGAAGCACCAGCAAAATTCCATCTGGGGATCCCAGAGCCTAAATATTCAATGTGTATGTTAATGGTCCGAAAGAAAGTGTATCCAATATGATGCTACAGAGGTAAGACAATTGGAACCTGCATCTGGTCTCTCTGGACATCTTGCTGGGAGGCAGCCTGGCCCTGATGTGTAGCCTTACTTCAGTGCTACTGCCATATTGTATGTTCTTCTGGAACAGATTGCATTTTTGTAAGCTTTGTCAGTTTGGGTCCTGTCAATTTCTTTAGCAATTGAACCTTGTTTAATTGCCATGATTAGTCCATGGGTTCACATAAGTACAGGAATTCACAATAAATATTCAGAAACTTTATTTTACCAAGTAATTTTATGCCTGTTGGATATAATAATTTAAAATTTTGACCTGGATTTTGTTTATCTTTGTTCCTTCTCTTCTATTTTCCTGGTAATTCTTTTCTACTGGTTTATTCAAAAGTTTATATCTTTATAAAAACATGTGTTTTCCTTTTCCTTTTTTAGTGTTTCATTTTAATTGTATTTTTTAACTGATGGATTAGAAAAAACAAAACAAAAACAAAATCTGGTCTGTCATTACAGATAGTTTGAAAAGCACTTTTTAACATAAATGTTCAATTTATGATAAATCACTATGTGGTATATCTTTGTTCTACACACTTTTGTTTAAGCATGTTATATTTCACAACTACCACCAAAAAAAAAAAAAAAGGTTACAAGAAAAGGAAGAAAAGGTAAACAATTCTGTGAGACTGGTTTTGCTCTCTTATATTAATCTCTTTCCAAACCCCCACGCCATTTCTTTGTTGTCCTCTGAGTTTTCTCACATTCTGGTACAGCTTCCACCACTCCAGAACATAATTATTTTGTTAATGTGGGTGTTATCTACATTAGACTCTCAGCTCCCAGTGCCAAGACTACATCTAAGCGTTAAGTCGAGTGTCTGCCACATAGTATATACTCAGTAAATATTTGCTGAAGAAATAAATGTTTTCTGGCCAAGGTTTGTTATAAACACTCTAGCATCCACATGACAGCCTCATTCTTTTTCCATTTCATTTGTCTAAAGTTGTCAGCAAATTTACTGAGCACCTAGTATCTAGCATGTGCAGAAATACAATGTAATAGCATGACAAGCATTTGCCTAGGCTTCAGAAAGTGTATTTATGCTCTATTACAAATATACAACTTGTTTCATGGCTCTCTTCAGCCAAAATAACCTCTACTAGGATTTGGACATAACATGGCTCCCTAGCCAGAAATGAGAAATTGGATAGGAAAGCAGCTTGAAATATTTTGGGTGCCATCCAAAGCAAAACATAGGTGTGAAGTGATGATATGGTGGAAGTTAGGAATCTAGAGTTTACAAGCAGCTACAGCATGATCTGACTTTGAGTTACACCTAAATTGTCGTAATCATCACCTTTACTATGGCAGGTTCTGTACTAGATAGTGGGAAAGTAATGATGCTGAGTTTTATGGTCTGGTTGACCCAGACCTCTGAGAAACCCATTTTCTCTCTCATGGAAAACTTCTGAAAGCCTTTTGCTGAAATCATACCAAATACATAGAGTTTAACTGTAATTCTCCACTTATAAGTGAAATCTTATCTGGGTTTCTAATTCAGCAGCATACATTATTCCCCTCCAAATATATAAAAATCCTCTAGATTTGAAAAATCTTTCAGTTTATGCTGCTTAGGCTTCTAGCTAACATCCTGAGCTCTCCATCTCCACCAGAGTCCTCCTTGCTATGCATGTTGGTTGCTTGGGCATTATCGACACTGCTATGTTGGTGTTAAATGTGATGCAGGCCCGCTTTCTCATGGATTGAGGCCATGAGAGAAAATACTAAAAGTCTAAAGCTCACCACATAAATCAGAAACTACTTCATGCTGTGACTGTGATAAGTAGATCTGCAAATATCTACCAGGACAAATTTAGAAGAGTCTTGGGGCACTGTGTTATACCTGAATTAAAAGGCGGCTTTGCTAAAAATGAACTTTTCTCCAGGATAGTATGTTTGTTGTTTTATGTTTAAAAATGAAGTGTAGCAAAACCCATGTAAGGCATTAAAGATAATTTGCTATTGAAAACCAGGATGTATTTTGCTAAGGGGTGGTCATCAAATTGATGCAGGATTTTTCTCAGCGTCTTCATCAGACTTGTGACAGGGGGGCTCCATTTACTCAGCTCTCCATGCTCAACCCCTTGTGGGAGGGAGCACATGAGCAAGTGAATTTGGATCTGCCCAGGGTCTCTCTTCGCGCTGGCAGGAGCAAGCTCCATACAGTACCCATGGCCAGACCAGGCACCAGTGAGATACTGCAGGACCCAGCAAGCCACTCTGGGTGCCAGCAAGAGCAAGCTCCATGGGGCAGTGCCCAACTGTGTGTTTAGGGGGGTACCTGTGACCCCCAAGGCCCCACAGGGGGTATTACAATGATCCTTGAGTTCTGCCGTCCACAGACAGCTACGTGTTAACAGCTCAGTTGGCCCCTTGCCTCATCATGTCGGGCAGCTGTCCACCAGTGAGGGCAAAGGGCCATTGTGACAACCTTTTTATGAGTACCTGCACTCGGTGGGTCCTGAGCTCTTGTCTGGCATCCAAGAAGAATTAGGCTTCTAGTTAACATCCTGAGCTCTCCATCTCTGCCAGAGTCCTCCTTGCTATGCATGCTGGTTGCTTGGGCATTATCCTGCGGACACTTGAAGGATGGTGAAGGTGAAGAATTTTACTGAGAGGTGGGAATGGCTCTCAGCAGAGAGGGGAGCTGGAAAGAGTATGGGACCAGCAGGTAGTCTTCCCTGAAGTCCTGCCATCTTTCCCCCAAAGTCAAGCCATCTCTTCTTCCCTGAAGTCCAGCCGTCTTCTCTCCAAAGTCAAGCCATCTCTCCTCTACCAACTGAGCCTGGGGTCTTTATAGACACAGGATGGGGGTGGGGCAAGCCAGAGGTGGTTTTGGAAAAGGCAACATTCAATTGGTAAAAAAGATATTATTCAGAAAGAACCAATCAGGAGAGAGTGGGCAAACAGGGATAGAGGTCCTCACTTTTGGGTGCAGGTCTCAAGCTACTTTGGCTTGAAGGTGGAGTTTCACCAGGGACCTCCCCCTGTCTGCCTAGAATTTCTCTGCCTCCTGCCTCTATCAATATTAGGCAGATAAGACAGAGTTTTCTTTTCATAGGGCTAATTGGTTGTATGTTAAGTCCTGAGTGTTAGAAGACAATTTCTTGCTTTCATGGACTGTATCAATTTTCTTTTATTCTTGTATCTTTGACTGATATTCCTCCTTTTTCAGATTCAGGTAGTAGCCCATTAAAGATTATTACTCAGTATTGTTCAATATTCTGATTAAGTTAAATATTTTATTCTTGGAGGTTATTATCTTTAAATGCCATATGATATCCCTGTAATGAGTTCTGAAGGTCTAAAATTAGGAAACCAAAAGAATTAACCAGACTGGGTGCAGTGGCTCATGCCTGTAATCCCAGCACTTTGGGAAGCCGAGGTGGGTGGATCACCTGAGGTTGGGAGTTCAAGACCAGCCTGAGCAACGTGGAGAAACCCCGTCTCTACTAAAAATACAAAATTAGCCGGGCGTAGTGGTGCATGCCTAGAATCCCAGCTACTCTGGAGGCTGAGGCAGGAGAATCGCTTGAACCTGGGAGGCAGAGGTTGAAGTGAGCCAAGATTGCACTGTTGCACGCCAGCCTGGGCAAGAAGAGTGAAACTTGGTCTCAAAAAAAAAAAAAAAAGTATTAACTGAAATGACACAATATTTGGATTTTACCAGATTGCCAAATGTCAAAAAATAATAGGTCTATGTCTGCACTGGTACTATTTTGAACTCATTTCATATTTTTATCACAAGTTTGTCCCTTTAGTAGACAAACCAAACCCATTTTGCTTCTCAGATTACTGATTTTGAGTTAATGGATGAAGCTGGTGATTTGGGATGGCTCTGTGGATAACAGCCTCCAAAGAACAAAATTGTTCCTTCTATTGCAACAGTCTAGAGAAAAGGTATCTGTTGGGTTAAAAGACCCACTCCTGACTAGAAATGTTCTCTTACCAAACTTAAGGAGTATTTTTAATTTTCTTATTCTTGGGGGGAGGTATAACATTAGGTATAATATAAATGACGAGTTAATAGGTGCAGCACACCAACATGGCACATGTACACATATGTAACAAACCTGCACGTTATGCACATGTACCCTAGAACTTAAAGTATAATTTAAATTTTTTTTCTTATTTTTAATAATAGCATAACAGTAATAGAAACAACTAACACAGGCCTTCAGACAGAGAAGCTACATCCTTAATTATTATGAAATACAGATCCAGTTCTCTGTTTAATAAAAGAATAACAGTGCTATCTTGAATCCCTTTTGAAGGAAGGTTAGTAACTAAACAAAAACTCTACCTACTTTACAGTAGTATGGCAGCATGACTAAAGGATCTAACAGTGGGGCTAAGTACCCAAAATAGGGTACTTCACTGTGTGAGCATGGGCAAGTTACTTCAACTTACTAACCCTCAGTTTTGCTTTCTGGATAGTAGAGATATAAATCATACCTATTTCATACGGTTTTAGAATTCAAATAAACTCATGTATATAAAATGACCATGAAATTTATTATACTTTATAAAAGCTCAAAAAATGACAAAATATACTATCGTTATCATTATTGTTATTATAAACTGGTATACGTTATAGCATGTAGAAAAAAGGTGGAAACACTATACCTAAATGGTCAATGTGAATATTAAACAATGGCATTATTAAAGGCTATCCAGTGCTAGCTCCTAATATGGAAGTTATTGAGAAGAATGTGTCATTCTATGTCTGGGAAAACACCAAAGCAAAATCTGGAAGCCATGAAGTAGCTTGGAGGTGGATACTAAGAGAGAAAATCTCCTTGTCTGTTATGTATGAAATGCATTGGAGACAAATGAAGTAATAAAAAGTCACACTGAGAAACATAATAAAATGATACTTTACCCAAATGGCACAAATATTGCTTGCATAATTTATTGCTTTTGAATGTTTAGGTATAATTTTATTGAGATGTAATACAGCATCAAGGTAAGGAAATGCCCAAATTTGTGAAGATTGCCTTGAATTATTGTAAAATCAAGTTTAGCCTAAAGCTGCCTCATTTCATATTTTAAGTTCAGCCTAAAGGTTCCTCTGTACATAGTAAACCTAACTAAACGTGTAAGCAGACTAACTTACTCTTGTGCCAATCACCAAGCTTTGGACAATTAAAGGTAGCCAACTGTTCAAATTGTGTTCAAATAAGGCAAACGCCAAGCTGTAACCAATCTGGCTGTTTCTGCACTTCACTTCCATTTTCTGTATGTCACTTTCTCTTTTCTGTCCATAAATCTTCTGCCACATGGATGCACTGGAGGCTCCCTGAGCTTACACTGGCTTGAGAGGCTCCTTGATTCATGCAAATTGTTCTTTGCCCAATTAAACTCTATTACCTTTAATTTATCTAAGGTTTTCTTTTAACACTGTTACAGAAGGGAAGATGTGTCTTGACTGGGTGAATTACAAGGCACACAAATCCTGTTCCAAAAAGTCCCATGTGGATTCAGGCAATGCAAAGCAATTATCTAAATGCACTTGGAAAAGGCTTGGAAAATTCAACTTTTTAAAAAACATAACACTTTAATGTTTAATTTTGTTTATTATTTACCTGTACCGGAGAAATCGCCCTATTGTCCCCAACATCACCAGTACCACCACCGTATCTTTGTCAAGTCCTTTGGTTTTTGAAAATCAAAGCCTCAAATGAGTCCTGTGCTGCTAATGGTTTGACTTCTGTTTTAATTTATACCACATCAACAAAATAAAAACCATATGATCAACTCAACAGATGTCAGAAGAAGTATTTGGCTCTTAACTCTCTTTGAAAGATCATTTGAGAACAATTGTGGAAATAAGAAGGAAATGCATTGAGGAATGAAAGAAAAAGTTAATTTAACTACAGGGTAGAGTAGGTGCTAAAGTCTTGAATGGAGAGGCCAAGAAAAGTCTGGAACCCAGTCCTGAAGAGTTTTTGTGGAACAGATTCAATAGTCTGAGAAGTGCTTGAAAAAGGAGACTAAAGAGAGAGCATGTATAAGGGACATGTTTTAAATGCCCAAGGAAGGGATCACGCTAAGGAGAACTTGCTGGATAGCTTTGTCATTTTCATGTAAGTGGTAACTAGTGCCTTTACCCAGAGCCTCCACCAGTCAGCCAAGACTCACACTTCAGTCTGAGTAACAACAATGCCTGCTCTGACCTGGAATTGTTTCTTTCTACCTCATTTGACCTCCTAATTAGGATGTTTTCCCACAAGGCCTTAAAGTTGCATATAAGATTGTTGGATAAATATAATTAAAAACAAAATCTGCCCCCAACCCAGAAAACCTCTCCATAAAGATAGTAAAGAAAACAGTTTTATTATTGAATAAGCATTAAACCAGAATGTGATACACATCACAGGCAATCTACTAAGAGATTGCAAAGACAGAAAGAAATCTAACCCTTTTATAAAGCCGACCAGATAAAACTCATTATCTACAGAATCTCTAAATAGACAATAATTAGTCCTCCAGTAAGAGGATTTGACAGTGCCATTTATTACATATAGTTTATCCTAAATTTACCTGTTAATTGGGGTGACCATCTGTGTTAGTTAATTGGTTTTATACAAAAGAAAAATAAACTTTCCATATCTTCTTGACAGAAGGTAGTTTTGCAGCTTGGAGCCAGGCACCCACTGAAGTTAGGCTCCTACCCTCCCACAGAAATCGGGCTACAGGGTACTGTCTCCCTTGATGTTTCCATTTCAAAAAGAGGGCTCCCAGGTTCTTGAAAAAGACATTCCTGGGTCATAACGCTGGCAGGAGCCTTATTTAATTTCTAAGAAGCTAAACATACATTTTAAAGAGATAGAGAAAGAATTTACAAGTTTTCTATAGTAAATCACCTAACAAAAGGAGGCAGAGAGAAGTCTCCTCCCTTATATTTGACGAGGAGAATTGAGCCTCTTATTTTTTATTCTTATTTATTCTTACAAACCACAGGGACCCCTGCATCTGGATACAATGGTGGAGAGGAGTTTCTATGCTGGTACTCATGGTTGGAGTGACTGATCATGGTTCTCCTCTAGTTGGAACAGCAGCACAGGCGGTAGCTATTCCAGTGATGAGAACCATGCTTAGCCTGTAATACTTGGTTAATAAAATGTTGAAAAATAAATAACAAAAAGAAGATAAACTGACATGTGGCTTAAATAAAACTACACCTGTATAATGCATTTTAATGACCAATGCCATTTTTGTGAGTCATTAAGGAAATCGTAAGTGATTATTTCTCTCTCTTGCTGGCTAACCTGCCTCTTTCTTACCTGGTAGATTCCCAAACACAACTTTCCTGCCTGTACTGGATTCAGAGACATTTTCTTTTTTCTTTCTTTTTTTTTTTTTTTTGTTTTACTAGTGCATAGGAATTATAACTTTATCCCCACAGTACATAGTTATGCAAACCAAATAAGATCAAGGATGGGGCAGTGCTTATAAAGATAAAGTGAAGTATTACCATTCCTGGAAATGAAATGGACAATGAAACTTCAAAGAATGGTCACTCCAAAAGACACACATTAAGCTTTCAAATGCATTTCACAGACATATATTTAAGTTGAACATTGGAAGAGGTGCTATTCCCTGAGAATTTTGATTGAATGGTCTTGTAAGACGCAGTCTGGAAGGCGAAGGCAGTAGCTTTTCCTATTGTAATGCATCTCATTTATCCTCATGGATAATACATAAAACAGCAACAATTGTTTACATCTTGGTGACTGTCCTTGAAAAGCTTAGGGTTTATTACCTTTCATAAGCACTTACGACCAGCAAAAAAAACACCTCACCTCACATCCTATTGTGGGAACTCTGATTATAGTCCAAATCATCTATATCTTAAAATAAAGCTAAATTATTCTCATATCATTCTCTCTCTTGACCTAGAATTCAAATATCTGATTTGATTTTGTTCTTGCATAACTTGGCTCTTATAATCAAGTCACAAACCTGACCTGTGGAATTTATTAGAGAAACAAAGCAACTTCCAGGATATATTCCAGAATTTGCAAATAAAATTCTACCACCACATAATCCCTGCTTCTATCTAAGATTCTTGGTAATTAAATATATATTTAGAATGGTGAACCTAAAGCTTTGAAAGGTCTTCGAATTTTTAATCAGGTTGTCAATGATTTTTAACAGAATTTTAGTGATACATTAATTCCATTGTACCCTATTTATCTGGAAAATAATCATCTGTGTGATGCATATAATATTTATAGTGTGATAATTGCTAATTAAGCAAAATATCCAGTTTATTCAAATATTCTTCCTAAACAAATTCCTGAAAATATGAAAGTTTATTATTTACTATTTACTATTTTTACTGTATCAACAAAATATATAGCTGATTGGTATAGGAGTGAAGAGAAATTTTCCTTTCATAGGAGTGAAGAGAAATTTTCCTTTCCCTCTGAAAGTTCAACTCTGTTGAAAGAAACTGACAATAGAAACATTAACAGGCAAAAAAGGCATACACATATATTAATGTACATGAGCCCAGGAACCATAAAAACTATGAGACTCAAAGAAGGGCCAGAGAGCTGAGGTTTAAATGCACCCTCTTCATAGGTGAGGGGGAGATGGGAGTATGTAGACAATTTTCCCAGATAGTCAATGATTTTTTAGTAGAGTTTAATGGGCCCAAAATACAGACAATAATTTTTAAATGGTTCCTTTGGAAACTGAATGGGAATGGCAAGTTACAGGAAGTTGAGGGGTGGAAGTGTCCTGTGAACAAATGTTGCCTTATTATATAGATAAAGTCTCTTAGGTAATCTCTGGAAGATGCCCTTAGAAGAATGGATGAAAACTCTGACTGGGTGTGTTGAGGATTTTTAGTATCTTCTTTTCTTTTGTGATTAATCTTTCCTGCTTTTGCAATGGGATTCTGAGGGAACCAGGTTTAGGACAATGGCGCTTCTTTTAGAAAGAAGTTTCCTCAGTCAGATAAGGAAATTCCAGACAGAATACCTGCCCAAGTTTGAGAGAGGACAAACAAGAGAAGGACAGAAAGTTTTTGGTTCTGAGGCAGCCCCTAACGTTTCCCATTTATTTTAATTCAAAGTGCTCAGCATGCCAAAGCACAATACTTTCCAGTATTTTTTCCTGAGCCCTAATGTTGGCTAGGCTTTTCATTCAAACTGATATCTGGGCACCATATGGGTAGATAGGAAAAGGTCCCTGGAACCCAGACACCACGTAAATACTGTTGTGTATACAAGGACAATCAATTGGTTTGACTTAGTCAGAAGTTGTAAAAATGCCTATACATTAGCCACTGGGAAAAATGTAAATATTTCTTCTATTGATTCATTACACCAAATATTGACCAAGCTGAATACCATATTGTCACCCAGTATGTTTACATAAAAACAATAAATATATATATATATATATGTATATATTTTCTAGGTATAAGCCAGTGATAAAGAGTAAGTAAGGTAGTTTGTAAACATACCAGCAGCGATCCACCTTCTACCAGATGGTGAATACAGAACTGTGCTTAGCTCAATTTTAATAATAAACTCTTTGAAAATAACAAGGCAGGGTTTCATAAAAGAGTAGTTGGCTGTTGCCAAAGATGAAAGGACTAAATATGTATTCAAAGTTGGCCTACACAGGCCTCCCAGAGTGTTTCTGCATGAATGGCTTTCTGGATTCCCATTGGACTTTATCCCATAGACAAATTACAATGTTTCACATGGTCCATCACATTCCGAAGATTAATGCACAGACAATGACTTGGGGGAAAAAGTCCTCTTATGACAAATGTCCTTTCCAACCTGTGTTTTATACAGGAAGAAAAAATAATGAAACTAAGTATATTCCCCTGAATATTACATTCAGTCTCTTGCTAACATAAATATGCTTAGAAGATAAATAAATTTGTCTTATTTCAAGAAAGGTTCCTCCAAGGAGAGAATGGAATCCCTATTTAGGATTGTCTTTAAATACATTAATCTGACACAAGTTATCAACTGTGCTACTTCCATGTGTTGGGGTTCAGAAACTAATACCCCCCAAAAATGGCATGTTGACATGCTCAACTGAAGAAGAAGCCTCAAGGTCTCTCTCATCTCCACTCCCCGACCCCTGACCACAGCTCCCACTATCTCTTAATCCTGTCTCTCCCAAAGGACAGTATGAAATTGTTATCTGAAGTTCCCTTATCTGCCTAACATCTGGACCTGCCAAAGAAGAAAACAATTATCTCTGATTCCTTCCCTGAGTTTTCAGTAATTGAACTCATATTGCAGGAAGAAAGGCTAAAGACTGTCAACGGACTTTTGTCAAAAGCCATTGTCTGCTCTGCAGGCTCAACAGATTTTGTCCCAGGCCAATGTATGTTCTTCAAGCCCATTGAATTCTCCTAAAAATTATTTACCACCCCTTAAAATTATCCCCACTTCCCCATCTCCCTTTCCCCTTAGAAGTAAAGTATATGAGTATCTGTACCCTATTGGGAGATGGAGCAATGACTGTGCAATTTCCGCTCATGCATACTAAAAAATTTGTACGTCATTTCTCCTATTAATCTGCCCTTTATCAGTTGATTTTTCAGCAAACCTTTAGAGGACAAAGGGAAGCTTTTCCTTTGGCCCCTACACATATTTACTCTACATGCTCAACCTAAATGAGAACTTGAACAGATTTGCAAAGTCAAATGTCAACAGGACAATGATGGAGAAATCCCTGTAATGTGCGTGGGGAGAGAACTGGGAATGCTACAGTCACAGATGTTGGCAGCAACTCAAAGTCAGGTAATATTGGCAGGTTACAGAGAACAGGCAGGACTCAACCCTATTTTGCAGCTGTTCTTTTCTAAAAAAAAAAAAAAAAAAAAAATCTTTTACAAGAATGTGCAGGACATCTATTAAAGGATAAGAAGCCCAGGACAGAAAACATGAAAACAATATCCAGTTACCTTCAGGGAGCTTAACATTCCTCACTGGCAAAATTACAAGGCTGGCTATTAAACAGGTAGATTTTAAAGGCAATCATTGGGAACCACCCTAAATGAATTAAGAAAAATCAGGCAAACTCACCATAACAGAAGGAAAAATACTGTAGAACAGCAGTGTATTCATCAGAATTTATTTCTGAATCCCAACTCAGGGACCAGGTGCAGTTGCCCACGTCTGTAATTCCAGCAACTTGGCAGGCCAAGGTAGGCTGATCACTTGAGCCCAGAAGTTGAACAGCCTAGGCAACATGGCAAAACCCCATCTCTACAAAGAATACAAAAATTAGCTGGACTTGGTTGTGCACACCTGTAGTCCAAGCTACTCAGGAGGCTAAGTTGGGAGAATCACCTGAGCCTGGGGGTTCGAGGCTGCAGTGAGCCATGATTGAGCAACTGCCCTTCAGCCTGAGCAATGGAGTGAGACACTGCCTTAAAAAAAGAAAAAAGAAAAGAATCCTAACTTAGCCTCAAAATCACTGTCCAAACTTTAGCAAGTTATTTAGCATCGCTGAGACTCATTTTTTTTTTTTTATGAGGTTGACGTAGTAACTGTGGTTGTGTTCAGGATTAATATTACGATGAGCTAATGATTCTAAAGCAGGGCTTGGCATGCTGTTTCCTCTCCCCGTGTGGGATAATTGCTATTAATATGCAAAATAGTTGAAAAAAGGAGAGTCTGAAGTTAGGAATACTTACGAAGGAGTTTAAAGAAAACTTGAATTGTTGGGGACTCATTAACATTTATATAAAATCATTCAGAGTCCCAGAAAGAAAAAAAGGGTGACTCATGCTATTATACCTACTTCATAGAAAGGCTATTTATACACAAAGATTCTCTTAACCCAGCTATCACATGAGTTAGCGCTGATGTTTGCCTTTGCCTGCTTCCAACTTACAACTGTTACCTAATACACTGACCTGAACTGTGAACCCATTATTTAAAATGCCACTAAAATGTCATTACTAAATAATCTTTCTAGCTCTAAAATCTAAATAATCTGGAAAATATAAAAGAAATAATCAAAAAGAATTGATAAATATTAAGCCAAGAATGGAGATTCTAGGGTTAAGGGTTTTTGGTGGTATTTTCCCCTATAAAAATAATCCATTTTACTAAGATTGTTCTGTGGGATCTGTTTTCCAAAAAGGTATCAAAGTTAAAAAATCTATAGAAATAGCTTGACTGTATTTATGTTATCATCCTTGAAAAATGCTCAGTTCAAAAAATTATGAGCTTTTGGTGGCTTGCTTTTAAATCCAGTTTTATCCACTGATGATAGTTTCTTCTGTTTTAAAATAGATGAGAGTGCTTTGGTGATCATGGTTACACAGTATAAATATTGAGGCCACACGCTATCCCCTGCTGTCATTCAGGAGTTCATTTGTTCACAGTTCACCTACTTTGAAACATCTGATTGCCTCAATTACCAGCAAACAGTGATTTCCTGAACATAGATGTTCTTCCATTAACTTCTAAAGCAAGTAGTTTGCTAAGAAGCTCCACCCCATCTATCCATCATAATAAGCCAGATCTCTTTTCAAAGGCATTCCTGCAGTGAGAACTCATTCAAGTGTCAAAGCGTGGTTCTAATTGTAAAGTTAATGTTTTACCCTGGTAGGCTTGAAACATCCAAGGTTTAAATTTGATTCCCTAGACCCTACTAAAATGTAGAAGTCTAGAATGTTTCATGAATTGTAGAGGGTGCCCTAGATGGGATGTGATATATAACATGATAGGGGACCCTCAAACAAGTCAGAGGAGAATCTGGAAAAAAAATCAATGACTCTTTCTGGGGAGGAGATTGAAGTATTGATTAGGCAGAAAGTGGCTGATGGTAAAAGGTAGAATTACCCTATCCCTCCACCCCAAAGATGACAAGAAAGATTTGTATCCTCAGAGTAAATGAATAGAGGAGATAAACTACCCATGGCAGAGAAAGGTAGTCACATCAACAGGTTGCAGCCTTGGTGTGGGTAATCTCTGGAGGTTTCTCATCTTAGTGACGAGAGAAATCATGATGCAGATGACCTAAGTCACACCTGCTTGAGGAAGGAGGGCATGCTGAGTAAGCTAGGAATGGAGAGGCACCTGCAATAAGAAATAAGTTCCTCCCAAGAGGCTGGCTAATATGGTTTGGCTCTGTGTCCCCACCCAAATTTCATCACAAATTTTAATACCCCCATGTCAAGGGAGAAGCCTGGTGAGAGGTTATTACATCATGGAAGTGGTTCCCCCATGATGTTCTTGTGAAACTGAGGGAGTTCTCACGAGGTCTGATTGTTTTAAAAATGGCCATTTCCCCTGTGCTCCCTCTCTCTCCTACTGCCTTGTAAGATGTGCCTTGATTCCCCTTTGCCTTCCACCATGATTGTAAGCTTCCTGATGCCTCCCCAGCCATGTGGAACTGGGAGTCAGTTCTTTTGTTTATAAATTACCCAGGCTCAGGTATCTTCATTATAGCAGTGTGAAAATGGACTAATATAGAGAATTGGTACTGGTAGAGAGAGGCATTGCTATAAGGATAACCTGAAAATGTGGAAGCAACTTTGGAACTGGGCAACAGGCAGAGGTTTGAACAGGCAACAGGCAGAGTTTGGAGGGCTCAGAACAAGACAGGAAGATGTGCAAAAGTTTGGAACTTCCTGGAGAATTGCGGCATGGTTTTGATCAAAATGCTGACAGTGATATGGACAATGAAGTCCAGGCTGAGGTGGCCTCAGATGGAGATGAGGAACCTACTGGGAACTGGAGCAAAGGTCACTCTTGCTAGGCTTTAGCAAAGAGACCGGTGACATTTTGCCCCTGCCCTAGAGATCTGTGGGACTTTGAACTTGAGAGAGTCTGGCAGAAGAAATTTCTAAGCAGCAAAGCATTCAAGAGGTGACCTGGCTTTTCCTGAATGTATACTACTATATTTGCTCACAAAGAGTTGGTTTGAATTTGGAACTTATGTTTAAAGGGGAGGCAGAGCATAAAAGTTTGGAAAATCCACAGCCTGAACATGTGATAGAAAACAAAAACTCATTGTCTGGGGAGCAACTCAAGGTGGCTGAATACATTTCCATAAGTAAAGAGGAGCTGAATGTTAATCACCAAGATGATGGGGATGATGTCTCCAGGGCATTTCAGACATCTTCAAGGCAGCCCCTCCCATCACTGGCCCAGAGGCCTAGGAAGGAAAAATGGTTTAATGGGCAAGGCCTAGGGCCCAGATGGCTCTGTGCACCCTTTGGACATGGAGCTTCATGTTCCAGCCACTCCAGCTTCAGCCCTGGCTAAAAGGAGCCAAGGTACAGCTTAGCCCATGGCTTCAGTGGGTGCAAGCCCCAGGCCTTGGTGGCTTCTATGTGGTGTTGGGCCTGCAGGTATGCAGAAGACAAGAGTTGAGCTTTGGGAGCCTCCACCTAGATTTCAGAGGGTGTATGGAAATGCCTGGATGTCCAGGCAAAAGTCTGCTTTGGGGTCAGAGCCCCCCTGGAGAACCTCTACTAGGGCATCGCAAAAGGGAAATGTGGGGTTGGAGTCCCCACACGGAGACCCTGCTGAGGCACTGCCTAGTGGAGATGTGAGAAGAGGGCCCTGCAGAAAGGTAGATCTACCGATAGCTTGCATCATGTACCTGGAAAAGCCATAGGCACTTAACACAAGCCTGCGAAAACAGCCGTAGGGGCTGTACCCTGCAGAGCCACAGGCGCAGAGCTGCCCAAGGCTGTGGGAGTCCACCCCCTGCATCAGTGTGTCCTTGATGTGAGACACGGAGTCAAAGGAGATTTTGGAGCTTTGAGATTTGATGACTGCCTGGCCAGGTTTAGGACATGCATGAGGCCTGTGGCCCCTTTGTTTTGGCCAATTTCTCCCATTTGAAATGGGAACATTTACCTAATGTCTGTACCCTCATTGTGTCTTGAAAGTAACTAACTTGCTTTTTTTATTTTACAGGCTCATAGGCAGAAGGCACTTGCCTTATCTCAGATGAGACTTTGGACTTGGACTTTTGAGATAATGCTGGAATGAGTTAAGAGTTTGAGGGACTCTTGGGAAGGCATGATTGGTTTTGAAATGTGAGGACATGAGATCTGGGAGGGGCTGGAGTTAGAATGACATGATTTGGCTGTGTCCCCACCCAAATATCATCACAAATTGTATTCCTGTTATGTCAAGGGAGGGACCTCGTAAAAGGTAAATCGATCATGGGGGTGGATCCCCCATGCTGTTCTCATGATAGTAAGGAAGTTCTCACAAGATCTGATTGTTTTAAAAGTGGCAGCTTCCCCTGTGCTCCTTCTCCCTCCTGCTGCCATCTAAGACATGCCATGCCTCCCCTTTGCCTTCCATCATGATGTAAGTTTCCTGATGCCTCCCCAGCCATGCAGAACTGTGAGTCAATTAAACTTCTTTTGTTTATAAATTACCCAGTCTCAGATAGTATCTTTATAGCTTTGTGAGAACAGACTAACACACTGGCCCTTAGTTCAAGGGCAAGAAGTAAGCTATGCCTGCCTCCACTTAACCCTGTCCTCATCCATGTCTGCCTCGTGTCATAGCAAAGCATCAGTGCCCACGATCAGAAAGAAGACCCCTGTTTCATATTTCTCAACAACTGCTCAGCCCATATGGCCACTCTCTTCCTTCTTCTTTACCTCTTAGTACTGCTTGTAGTATCCTAGCCAGCCAGTCTGCTTCATGCTTCTGCATCTTGAGTCACAGTGGTGTCCCCAGCTCTACCACTCCGGCATATCTTTGCCTCCCATCTTCCCTGGGAAAGTGCTGATTTACTTTTTCAGCCTCCTTTCAGGAATTATCTCCAGAAAGCCTTTACTGACATCACCCTAGCCCCACACACTGAAGCTGAACAAAATGCCCCTCCTCTGTGCATACTTGTCACAGCCACATTAGTTTAGTTACGTGTAACTCCTTTAAACCACAGGCTCTTTGAAGGCAGGCAGGCAGGGGCTGTGCAATATTATCTCATACCTCCTGTCTCTGACATGTGAAAATGTAATAAAATTAAATGATCTGTTACCTGTACCTCCTTTAGTGGTACCTGGCTGATGGCCAGAGAAGCATCTGTCTCACATACAAGTGGGATCTGAACTGTTTAAATTAACAGGATAGTCTCCAAAGGCACATTTTGTGTAAACTTGAATCAAGGGGCTCCTGAGAAAAACAGATGATTTTCCTCAATTAGAGACTGAAATCTATGCAGATGGAACCAGAAGATTAAAACTGTCATGGCACTGGAGCTGTAAAACATGAAAAGAAATGAGAGTGAAATGATGGGTTCAAGAATCCAAATTAGAATGCAGGAACTAAGTAATCATCCAAGAAAAAAAAAAAAAGGAAAAGAAAAGAAAAATTAAAACCTCAAAAACCAGGATGGGGAAGAAGACCAAAATCTAATGTTCAGTGATCAGTAATATGTAAACCTAAATTGGCAAGTCCACATAGTCACTCAGTTTAAGTCAAGGCCCCTCAAGGATCCTTTAGGAAAAATTCTAACAAAAGAATCACCTTATCTCCTACTGTTTTTGATAGAAACCTAAATGGACTGAGCCCTAGGCTCAAGAATAAAACATACATATATACACAAACACACTCATATATACTTACATACATTTACTCAGGAAACAAAAAGACTGAAAAACTTAACTTAGCCTTAAAAAAGACACTAGATTAAGTCAATCAGGCAACCAGTATGTTGGATAATAAGAATAACCACCAGGAACCACAAATGTTGTTAGCAGTGATACCAATTCTAGACCAGAAACAGGATTTTACAACCACTGATGGCCCACAAAATGCACATCACTGATAAAGCTTGTGTTATTGCTTGCATGAAAACTAGGATATGAATTCCTAGCTCCTATGAGAGAAGGGATTATTAAGGCGACACATTCCCCATGCATAGTGAGGGTGTTTAAAAGTTCTAGGCAAGCTGAAAATACAACACCCACTACACAGATCTAGCTCATGCATTCCTCAAAGCTACCCAGTGAGGAAGGTATTACCCTCCAAAATTTACAGATGACAAAAGTGAGGCAAAATGGGACCATAACTTGCTCAAGATTATAGGGCTAGTAAATGTCCAGTAAGATTAGAATCCAATTCTTTGTACTGCAAACTTCATAGTTTTCCATGTAATATGTGCTGTCTCCCATGAGTTCCTGGAAGCTGCACTGAAAAGTGATCATAGACAGGAGAAATCAGAGAGTCTCAGAAAAACTCTTAGGAGAGCCAGAAAGCCAAGCCTTCACCTACCTCAAATACAGTTCTCAGAGCATCATGTCAGTCCTCAGTTACCCAGTAACTTTGTGGATGCCTGGTCACTGGGCATTTAGTAAGCCCTTCTCCCACTTCCTCCCACATTTCCTATGCATTTTTTTCCTTTCCACAATTTGGGATAGACATTTAAAAATGCAGAAGGATGAAATGCTATTTTTTCCCCTCTACAGCAGGGGAGTGGGAGGGCTGTGTGGATTAACATCCCCTGTTAATTTTTTCAAAATATAAAGCTTCTTTTATCTTCCTTGCCTGAGATTCTGAAGGCCCCTTTCTCCCTGCCTAATTAACCACGAATCAACATAATTTATTTACATACATATGTTGTCTGCCTGTTTTCTTGCTTGCCTTTTCATCAGTTTTCAGTTATAAAAACCTGCGCTGAGGGTTGGGCAATGTGATTTCTGGTCCCGTCTGTGACTCTGGCAGGTTACTTTCCTTCTCTGTCTCAGGTTCCTCAATAAGAAGGGCAGAGTGGGGCTGGGCATGGTGGCTCACACCTGTAATCCCAGCACTTTAGGAGGCTGAGGCAGGCAGATCACGAGTTCAGGAGTTTGAGACCAGCCTGGCCAGTATGGTAAAACCCCATCTTTACTAAAAAATACAAAATTTAGCTGGGCGTAGTGATGTGCACCTGTAGTCCCAGCTACTCGGGAGGCTGAGGCAGGAGAATCGCTGTAACCCAGGGGGCGGAGGTTGCAGTGAGCCCAGATCGCACCACGACACTTCAGAGTGACATAGCCAGACTTCATCTCAAAAAAAAAAAAAAAAAAAAAAAAAGCTGAGGGGCTGGGGAAGGGTTCTGACCTCTACTGACTCTTCTATCTTCACACTCTATCATTTCTTTCCTGTCCTGGGTAATTCACAGAGCCACTGAGAGGAACACATGAGATAATAGAGTTCAACGAGCTATGAATAATATACAGTGTCTAAGGACTGTAGCATTATTTAAACCTGCAGCTAGTCCATTTGTTTTTAAGTTCCCATAGCATTGTGTGCCCAGCCAAGAACCTTCTTGCCCCCAGTATTAAGTGTTGATGAAGATAAAAAATTGGAAAGAAGAGAGCACAAGCAAGGGAGAGAGGGGATGTTTGGAAGGGCCTTGTGATTTGAACTCTTCTTTTATTCCAGTTTTCTAGAGATGATAATCGGGCTTTTGGTTCCAACAGGAGCATTCCACGTTGTTGAGAGATTCGCAATGAAACTTCAATGCTGGGAGAAAAATGTGCTCATGTCTTTCTTTTCAAACACTTCATTCCATGTCCATCCCACATACAAGCACTGTGCAGAGAATGATAGGAGCAGGCAGATAAGTCATTTCACCAACAGTGACAATGTAGGACCTCATTTTAATTTAATCATCAGGATAGACAGGATTTTTGCCTGGTAACAAATCACCAGGCCCTTTTGCTGGTGCTGGTTTTACACTAGATTGAGCCCCATCATTCTTCATGCTGCATTACATCCACACCTTCATCGGGAGGAAATCCAATTTGCTTTGTATTGTTTGCACATCTTGCAGTGATATTAGGCAGTTATTTTCTGAGGCAAACTCCCAGTAAATATTTGGGAGTGATTGTGTCTTGTCTCAATTACAGATTCCATTTGAGCAAGGCTGACATTTCTGAAACTCAGAAAAACTACTAAACCTTTTCTAAGGAAACAAATTACTTTAAACAATAAGTGTTCCTGTATTAAAGCATTCACACCCCCAAATGTACTTAAGTATTTCTTTTCTTGCTCACCCTACTAAAAAGGCATAAAGCAGGACATGTGGCTCTCCAAAAAATTCATATATGCTGGGAGAGTTTTGAACAAAACTGTGAATTAAGAAGAGAGGGACTGTTTTAACCAGGGGTGACTTTCTTTTCCTTGCTTTTCTGAATCCTCCTACTCCCATCTTCCTCTTCCAATACTTTGCAGGAACAAGCCTCAAGCTGTGAACAGATCCAACTATATTGTTATTAGAAGAGTCTCTCATTCATGCACATTTGAAGAGAAGACCCTCAAAAAGAGGCAAGCGCTTAGATCAAAGGAGTCAATAACTAAGGTGTGTTTTCAGAAGTCACATGGCAGAAAACTTTGGTAGGCACATGAGATGTCTCAGTGACACCAGTGGGCAGGTATCACTACCTGGGTATCACTTGGAGGTCCCCAAACACCAGTGGGACCTCAACCCCAGCTGCTGTCCAGGCTCTTGATACCGTTGCAAGAATGAATTCAAGGACCAGTTGAAAAACAGTGAAACTATAGAGATTTATTGCGAAGGGAAAAGTACATACTCAATAAAGTGGAGTGTGGGCATACTCAAGAGAGAGTCACGCCCAAGAGGCTTTGGAGCTGCTACCTTTATGGGTTTCTTTTACCAAGGGGTGGAATATTGATGAAAATTCCTTGAAGAAGGTGGAGGTTTCCTGGAACTGTGGTGCCACCCATTTTTACACCAAATATGGATGTTCCTGGAACTGTCATGGTGCTGGTATGTGTGTGATTTAGTATGTTAATGAACATCTAATGAGATCCTAGGTGAAACCTAGCTCAAATCCAGTGCCATGTTGGGTTCAGTCAGTCTTAACCCAGGTAGGTCCACACCTCAATGCAGCCTTGAACTCCCAGACTTAAGTCATCCTCCCACCTCAGCATCCTGAGTATCTGGGACTACAGGTACATGCCACTACACCCGGCTAAGTTTTGTACTTTGTAGAGATGGAGTTTTCCATTGTTGTCCAGGCTAGTCTCAAATTCCTGAGCTCAAATGAACTGCCTGCCTCAGTCTCCCAAAGTGCTGGGATTACAGGCACAAACCACTGAATCCAGTCAGGAATTCTCTATTCTCCTGCAACCACCCTGTATTATTCCTGTTCCACCAGTGCCTTTTAAATTTTTCTTGATCAGCAGCCATTTTCTTTTTAATCAGATTCCCCATGTCATATCCAATCGTAACAAGAATTGGACAAAATTTGGGGGCTCCTGTTTTGGGGGGACCTGCGATTTAACTACAGGCACAATAGCAGCAAAGATCTCTGGGCCTTGCACTGTGCCACATACATCCCATATTTTGCCTCCTTAGACTCCACAGCAATCAGGTAAAGTAGAAATTGTGCTTTTTCTTAAATTAATATCTTGGATTAAGTTACTTGTCCAACGTTGTACAGCTAGTAAGTAAGAGAAAAAAAGTTTAAATTCAGATTTAGATGCCAAAATGTTTTTTCTTCTCCACTATACTGCAGGCCCCCCTATGCATGGCATCTTGTCAGTGCTACACAATTTGCCATTAATTGCCCTTTCATTGATTCATGAGGTTAGACTTCCCTCTCAAGAAATTTCCAAACTCCTTTGAAGACAAGGACACTTTTTTCTCTTTCTTTCCTCTCAATGTACGGTAGATGCTGATATGGCAAAAGAACATTCATGACTAAGCATGGAGAGGAATGTAATAGGAATGCCATTACTATGGATTGTGCTGGGAAGGAATGAGGAATGCAGGAACCAAGTAAAGGAATTTTAAGAAAACAACCATCAAATGTGAGGTTTAATAGAATTGCGAAGGACAGAAAATATGTGTATTGGTGAGAAAAAAGAAAGAGGACCTTAGAGGCACAGAATGGCTCCCAGAACCACAAAGAAGGAGGAGATGTCTGCAGGCATTCCCATGGTCACAAGCATCACAGAGACACAGCATTGTCAGGGCTGATGGGGTCTGGGTGAATTTGATGCCAGCGCCAAAGAAAATGAGTCACATGATAATTACAGTAAAACATCACAATGTCTTTATTTGAGTAGATCCCAATAATCTTTCCAAAACAGGGTGTTTCTTGGCAAACTCTTCTATTAACCAGTTTGAAGCAACTCTGAGAACATCTGCTAACTAGGCATAATGAGTTCTTATACCTTACAGAATGTCACCATGAAGAACAAATGGCATCAGCTGCCACCATGCTGTGGCATGCTACTTTACAAAATGATATGTTGTTATTAAGTGGCAAGGGATATTGATTTCTCAGTATGTTTCTTACTTGCTCAATTGCTTTGGTTACAACAACGACAATGTATATGTTAAATACGCAGAGTAGATACAGAAGGTTTATCTTTGGGTTCTCAATCATGTGGGACTTGCTCCTTGCCCTGGCAAATGACCAAATCCCCTGAGACCCAACTTGATTCTGTTCTTTCAAAAGAAGTCTAGTCTTTTTTCTTTTCTTTCTTTTTCTTGCTGAAACATTTAAAATGTGAGAAATCACCTCATTTGGAGTTGAGATGGCCCTGTGCTTGAAGGGCATGGTCTGGAAATCAGACAAGCTAAGCTGGGTCCCAGCTTTACAACTGATCACCAAGTCACCCTGCAGGTCATTACACCAATATGGTCTTCAGTTTCTCCCTCTGTAAAGGGAGAGGGTTGCCCTCAATCATTTCTAAGATGTTTTTGGTCACTAGAATTAAATTATTTTCTTGAGCTTTAAAGAATAATTTTTAAAAATTCAATGCACATTTATTTAGTGCCTAACGTGTCAGGCATTGTTCTAAACCCTAGGAATACTTCAATTTAAAACAAAGAACGTGCCCTCCAGGAGCTTAACTTCTAATGGATGGAGAAAGACAGTATAAAAGTAAATAAGTAAATATGTATCAAGTTAGATTGTAGAAAGTGCTGTGAAGATAAATTAAGCAGAATAAATGGAATCTGGTATGGAATTCTGGAAGTAGCAACGGGATAGGAAGTAGAATGCTAATCTATTTTGGGTAGTCAGTAAAGCCCTTGCTGTAAAGTCATTTCACCTCAGAGAAGAGAACAAAATAGGAAGTATATTACACAGATACTAGGCAAAGAGTACTCTAGGTAGAAAGACAAATAAGTACAAAGTCTCTGAGGCAGGAGTGGGCTTGAAATGTACTAGCAATCTGTCCCCACATGACTTGGAATGGACAGCATCCAGAGGCTCATCTGGAAACTGCCATGGTCCTTGACTTGCCCTCTGCTCCTGCTATTGGGTCAATACAGAGAGGAACCTGTTGTAGTAGCATTGTGATATTCTGGAAAAATGCCTGCCTTCGAGTACAAAGGAAGTCCACAGTCACCCCTCTGAAACTGGTGTGCTAAAGAAGAGAAATGTTTCAAGAGTTCATATGAGTTCCAAGTTTCCTTTGAGCAAGTTGACTTTCTTCTTTAAAAATAGTAAACATTTTGAAATTTTTTCCCCCTGAAAAAGGCAAAATTGAAACAGGCAGCTACATTTGGGAAGAAGGTAAAAGCAAAATGTGCTCTGTGAAGGTGGGAGTGAGTGGTCTTCTGCCTAAGTGTCTGCCATGAAGAGAGCATTTGTAATTACAGCCACGAAATCACCCTGTAGACACTTAATAGCTTAATAAGAGTTTTAATGGGTCTATTTGAAAATGAGAAACCCCACTGTATAAAATGGGCCCATAAAATGTTATGCAGCTGTGCTGTGGCCTCAAACAAATTGCAAATAGATCTCATGCAGTATCCTGTAATATCAACTGCTGAGTTTAGGTGGCTGTAGTATTTTGGCTACACTTGTCTCCAAAAATACTTAGGAAAGACTTCAGATGCCTTCAGAGAAGCCCTACAGAGACTGGTGGCTGACCCTGTGGGGAATCCTGAAAAATTTATGTTCATGTTTACTGCTCCGCTAATTACCTCAGCTTACACTGATAGCCTTCTTCTCTGAATTTCTATATTTTTATATCATTAATAAATTTATTTACCAATCTCTGCTATGAGAAAGAAGATACAAAGAACACTTTATCTCTGCCCTTCGGGTATTTACCCCATTCCAGAGCCTGTAACACCTACCCAAGGAAAAAGGATGTTAAGTATCATGAGACTTGCAAACCAAAGGCCATAGGAATTTAGAAATAGGAGGTAGAATTGCTGTTGTAAATAATCAAGAAAGACTTCCTGGAGGTGACAATAGTTTTGACAAGCCTTGACGTGAGGACTCTTCACAAAAATGAGCAATGCTACTGAGGGAAGTTGGTGGCATGTTGGCAGAACTGTGAGTAAACAAAATAGGTAGACTGAGCAAACTTGAGGACAAAGGTAGTGAAGGCTAGAAAGCATGGTGAGAATCAGGTAAGGTATACCCTTTGTGAACCCTGAACATCTGAGACAGTCTCAGTTAATTTAGAGTTTATTTTGCCAAGGTTGAGGATGCACACCCATGACACAGCCTCAGGCAGTCCTGATGACATGTGCCCAAGGTGGTCGGGGCTCAGCTTGGTTTAATACATTTTAGGGAGAAATGAGACATCAATCAGTATATGTAAGAAGTACATTGGTTCCATCCAGAAAGGTGGGAACAACTCAAAGCAAGAAGGGGACTTCCAGGTCACAGGTAGGTGAGAGACAAGTGGTTGCCTTCCTTTGAGTTTCTGCTAAGTCCTTCCAAGGAGGCAATCAGAGATGCATCTATCTCAGGGATGACTTTGAAGAAAATGGGAGGCAAGTTTGTCCTGAGCAGTTCCCAGCTTGACTTTTCCCTTTAGCTTAGTAATTTTGGGGCCCCCACATTTTCCCTTCACACCTTAAATAAAAAGTATTAAACATTTGGATTTAAACTCTGGGCAAATGGGTAGCCTTCGAAGGCTTTTGAACAGAAGTTACATAAAGACTAAAATTGTAGCAATATATATTTTTAAGTAAAAGAAAACAGCAAATGATGTCCACGGACTTAAGAAAATACAACACCTAAACCAGAGTGGTAGCAATGGGAATGTCAGGCGGAGATGCAAAAAACAACTCTGACCTATCAGCCATTCTAGCAAAATGTTAAACTGTTTGCCAATTGTTTTGTGCAAAATAGTCTGGGACAGAGACTATTCTCCGCAACCCCATGTAGCACAGGATTGGTCACAAAGCAGACCTCTATAAATATCTCTTGACTGGCTAACATGAAAAGCACCCATCTCCTGCTTAGCCTCTTCAATAGGCAAAAAGGGAGGGTATTCCTTGGGTCCATTCCAGTCAAAGAATGGGCTAGAGTCAGAGTCATGGTGTCACATCAAAGGTCACTGCTAGAAAATTTCCTCTGCGGAAACTCTAAAATATTGGCACATTCAGTCTAAAAATGTACTTCAACAGCTATTTTCCTGCTTCCTTTGCTATGAGGAGGCAGAATGCCAGGATTCTTTGTAGCATGGGAGTCTTGAAACTGCCATTGCAAAATTATAACTGAGAAAATTATGACACTGAAAGAGATCTGACCTAACTAACTCTATCTTTCTTCTCACCTCCAAGCTGTCCTTGCTCATTCCTGGGTGTAGGCCTAACTAACTTTGGGAGGAACTTAGTTTATAGTTCATAGTTTAAAACAAAGACAATAACAACCCTTTCCCAAAACAAACCTCCTTCTTGCCTGGGGACTATACTGCCTTTGTAGGACTAACAAATTAGCCACAACAGTAGAAATTATGGTGTAGGAGTCATGCAGCTGGGGGTTATGAGATTATGACCTTCCCCAAATTGCTCGTGGGAATAACATCACTATTACAAAACCTAAGATCAGTGCTTGAGATATTTCGCAGACCCTGCACTTGATGGATCAGCTGGCACCACCCAGGTTGATAAATTGGCTCATCTGGTCTCATGCCCCCGACCCAGGAATTCACTCAGAGCAGGAGGACAGCTTTGGTTCCCTGTGATTTTATATCCCACTCGACCAATCAGTACTCTCGACTCATCGGCCCCTATCTGCCAAATTATCCTGAAAACCCCCAATCCTAGAGTTTTCAAGGAGACTGATTTGAGTAATAATATAACTCTGATCTCTCATATAGGCAGCTCTGCATGAGCTCTCTCTCTATTGCAATTTCTCTGTCTTGATAAACCAGCTCTGTCTAGGCAGTGGGCAAGGTAAACCCATTGGGCGGTTACAGTCTCCTAAATTAAATTTTAGAGCAAGTAATGGTGCCCTGCTTTTGACTATGGTCATATAATGTCAATATTTTCAGATAAGAAGTGGAAACATTTATCTAGCATCAGTATTTTTAGTCTACTCTTACATTCTGCAAAGAGGACCGTATGGTCCTATGAAGAACTCTCACAGCATTAGTGCTTTGAAAAAATCCAGAGGGAAAATGTGAGCCCATTCGCAGGACACCCAAGAAACCTGAGTAAATTTGAATGGGTTCTGTAGCCCCGCCTCATGCTCCACTATGCCATATTTGATGATTGCATGTATGGAGTCATGTAAGCGGTCTGTAAACCAAAAGTATCCAAGACAGATCTCAATCAATTTAGTTCATTTTGCCAAAGTTTAGGACATGCCCCTGTCACAGTCATAGAAGGTCCTGAGTTCATGTGCTCAGGGTGTTCAAGTGATAGCTTGGTTTTATATATTTTAGGGAGACATATGACATCAATCAGTATATGTAATATGTACATTGGTTCCATCCAGAATAAAGGAACAACTTGAAGCCAGGCAAGGAGTCAGTGGGAGGGTTCCAGGTCATAGGTGGATTCAAAAATTTTCTGGGAGGCTGAAGCACAAGAATAGCTTTAACCCAGAGGGGTGAAGGTTGCAGTGAACTGAGATCATTCCACTACACTCCAGCCTGGGCGACAGAGCAAGACTCTGTCTCAAAAAAAAAAAAAAAAAATCTGATTAGGAGTTGGTTGAAAGAGTTTATATAAAGACCTCGAATTAATAGAAAGGAGTGCCTGCGTTAAGCTAAGGGGTTGTAGCGACCGAAGTTTTTATTATGTGGATGACGCCTCCAGGTAACAAGCTTCAGAGAGAATAGATAATCTTAAGGTCTGTTTTAATGTTAATGCTGACGAGTTGTTTCTGAATTCAAAAGGTGCAGGGCATAATGAGGCATGTCTGACCACCCATTCCCACCATGGCCTGAACTTGTGTTTCAGGTTAACTTTGGAATGCCATTGGCTGAGGAAAGCAGTCCATTCAATTGTTTGTGGGGGTGGCCCTAGAATTTCATTTTTGGTTTACACCTTTGTACTTCTGAAAAACTATGCAATTTATTCCCCATGAACAGTTTTGGATGAGGAAGAATTTTATCTCTTAATGTTTAAAAACAGTGCTTTAGGCTGCATTGGTAAATGCAATTTTTCCCAGGGTTTTCATGAGAATATGCAACAATGACAGGACACAGTGATTCCCTTTTGGAGCTTCACAACTCTCCTGAAGTAGAATTTATGAGCCCATTTTACAGAATCTTTTAACAAGATAAAACAAAAAGATTGTTTAAGGTCTTGGGAAAAATTACTGTGGAAGACTAGGCTACATTGATAGAAATTTTAAAGATTTTAAAGACAAAATCCAGTGTTGAAAAGAGTGTGAGAAATGAGTGACATTTTAAAGGGATACAGTTTTTTTAGGAGGAAATTTAGTATTCTTTATCAAAATTACTCACAGACATATTCTTTGACCCTGAACTTCTGCTTCTAGAAATCCGTCCTATAAAAATAATTATGAATGTACACAAAGACAAATATATAAGAATGTCTATTACTCCATTGTTTGCCACATAAGAAAAATGATGGCAAGTACAATGGTGTAGGTCATATTTCATCTATACTATGAAATATTATAAGGTATTTCTTAAACAGGGAGAAGCCTTTTACTATTTTATTGTGTGTATCTATCTATAGCTTGAAACATTTTACAATGAATATCTACTTATATATTAATTTAATTGTTTAGCTTTTATTTATTTATTTTTTTTATTTTTTTGAGACAGGGTCTCATTCTGTCACCCAGGCTGGAGTGCAGTTGTGCAGTCACAGCTCACTGCAACCTCTGCCTCCCCGGCTCAAGCGATCCTCCCTCTTCAGCCTCTGGAGTAGCTGGAACTACAGGCACACAGCACCATGCCTGGCTAATGGGGTTTCTCCATGTTGTCTAGGCTGGTCTTTTACTCCTGGGCTCAAGTGATCTGCCTGTCTTGGCCTCCCAAAGTTCTGGGATTACAGGCATGAGCCAGCATGCCCAGGCAATTTTTAAAATATTTTAATGTGACAAACTGGGCCAGAGTCCAAATTCTGAATTCATATCTACTGTTCGTTTCATGGTGGAATAAATTGTAAAGGGCTTTTTTAGATCCACATGTCAAAAAATTTAGCTCTCCCAGGATCTGCAGGTCACATAAGTTTTCTGGGGCAGATGTGTTATAACTTGAACACAGGGATGTGTGTATAAGAGTCATTCCCTTAGGAGGTCTGGCAGTGCTTTCTTGAGCTTGTTATCTGGCAGAGAACGAATAGATTGGGTATCAAGAGATAACACATGGGGGACAATACTGCTTTTTTACTGGTCTAATAGTTACTCTAATCTCTCCATTCACCTGTCACCTCTTCTAAGAAGTCTAATTTGTAATTCATATATTTATTCATTAAAATCTTTATTGTTTTGTATGTGTCAAGCATAAGAGTCATAAGATACTGAACTTTTTTTAAAGGAAAATAAAAGAGTACACTGGTATATAAGCAGATATTGAAAAAAGATAGTAATAGGGGTCTACATGGTTTCTTTCCTGGCCTTTACGTTATGTCCCCAAACTGACTTTGATTACATATTGACAGTACATACCTGAAAGAGTGTAGAGGAGATGTGATAGGATAAATAGATGGACTGAGAATCAGAAGCTGGGGATACTAGTCAATTTCAAATTATGAGAACATAGACCAGCTATTCAATTTCTCCAAAACTCAATTTCCTTATTCCTGCCTCTCACACTGATTTTTCAGAGAAAACAGTCAATATAACACACACATAAGTAATGCATGTAAACTACAAAAGAGCATATCAAAATATAAATTACTTTTGGCCTGCATGGTGGCTCACACCTGTAATCCCAGCAATTTGGGCGGCCGAGGTGAGTGGATCGCTTTGAGCTAGGGAGCTCGAGACTAGCCTGGACAACATGGCAAAACCCCGACTCTACATAAATACAAAAAAATAGCCGGGTGTGGTGGCACATATTTGTGATCCCAGCTACTTAAGAGGCTAAGTTGCAAGGATCACTTCAGCCCACAAAGCAGAGGTTGCAGTGAGCCAAGATTGTACCACTGCACTCCAGCCTGGGTGAGACAGTGATATTCTGTCTCAAAAAATAAACAAACAAATAAATAAATTATTTTAATGTATTTTTACAACAGTTTGGAGACTTTGTAGAAAAATCTTCAAATTGTTTAGACTTCCACTTTTTCAATCATTGCATATTTTAAGGACACCACTGCTGGGTGAGGTATGCAGTAGAAATAACATTTTTGAGTATGGAGTAATGTGTGTAAATTGTTAGGTGGAAAATAACTTGTATTAATAGAATCTGTTTATTATATATGAGTATGGGTGTGTATGTGTCTGAAATAAAGGTTCCCTCTATAAACTAACAAGATAATGACACAGGAAGGTGTTAAATAAAATGTTAAACTGAGATAAGACCAAAAAACAAAATTGTCTATGAGATCAAATATATAAACAACCTGTCAAATCGAAGGACACATCCTTAATAAGGATGAAGAGGCTGCAGATATAGGAAAGAAATACCTTTGGTAAGGGTTTGACAACTGGGAGTTATCATTCCAGCTCCTAGTTATCTCTTTTACAGCATTCAACACTTAGCTGAAGGGATAAAATTTTCCAGTAACCCCCTACACAGAACTCCACAAGAGACAGCTTCTCCCCTTGAGAGTGAGTCCCAAAGAACCTGCTCAGATATGCCTGTTACATCATCTAAAATGAGAGATTCCACAAGGAAGACTTCATCTTTCAATTCGAGAATTAGAATAACATGTGACCTGCCACTACCTCCTCCCCCAACCTCTGTTGCTCTTTTCTAGGTAAAGGAGCAGAAACACACATTTTCCTTTTGTTGTTGTTGTTGTTGTTATTTGTTTTTTTGTTTTGTTTTGTCCTGCAGACAGGGTCTCTCTGTCGCCCAGGCTGGCATGTAGTGGTGTGATTGAAGCTCACTGTCATCTCAAACTCCTGAACTCAAGCAATTATCCCACCCAAGTAGCTAGGACTACAGGTGCATGTCACCACACCAGGCTAATTTTTTAATTTGTTTGTAGAGAGGGTGTTGCTCTGTTGCCCAAGCTGGGGGTGCTGAGGTATCCTCATAGCTCATTGTCATCTTGAACTCCTGAGCTCAAGCATTCTCCTGCCTCAGCCGCCTAAATAGCTGGAATTTACAGGCATGCCCCACCATTCTAGCCTTTTTTTTTTTTTTTTAGAGAAAGGGTCTTGCTCTGTTGCTTAGGCTGGTCTTGAACTCCTGGCATCAAGAAGTCATCTCTCCTCCGCCTTCCAGAGTGCTGGAATTACAGGCATGAGCCACCATGTCCTGCCAGAAATAAACATTTTCTAAAGAAGTATCCATCTGCCTCGTGCTTTTGGTATTTAGGTACTCTCAAGGAAAAACTCTCTATACTAAGAAAGCTGTAAATGAAAATATAAATAAAATAAAAACTTAACTAGTGTTACTGCCCAACAGGTTCACCTTGCCCTCTGTCTAGACAGAGCCAAGTTATTAAGACAGGGGAATTGCAATAGAGAAACAATAATTCACGCTGTGTGGGAGACCTGAGTTTTATTATTACTCAAGTCAGTCTTGTGAGCATTCGGGGATCAGAGATTTTAAGGATAATTTGGTGGGTGGGGGGGCCAGTGAGTTGGGAGTGCTGATTGGTTGGGTCAGAGATGAAATCATAGGAAGTCAAAGCTTTCCTCTTGCACTGAATCAGTTCCTGGGTGGGGTCCACAATTCAGATGAGCCAGTTTATCAATCTGAGTGGTGCCAGCGGATCCATCAAGTGCAGGGTCTGCAAAATATCTCAAGCACTGATCTTAGGTTTTACAATAGTGATATTATCCCCAGGAGCAATTTGGGGAAGGTCAGAATCTCAGTCTCCAGCTGCATGATTCCTAAACCATAATTTCTAATCTTGTTGCTAATTTGTTAGTCTTCCAAAGGCTGTCTAGTCCCCAGGCAAGAAGGGGTTTTATTTTGGGAGAGGGCTGTTATTGTCTGTTTTAAACTATGAACTATAAACTAAGTTTCTCCCAAAGTTAGTTCAGCTAACGCTGGGGAATGAACAAGGACAGCTTGGAGGTTAGAAGCAAGATGGAGCTGGTCAGGTCAGATCACTTTCACTGTCTCAGTAGTAAACTTTGCAATGGCAGTTTCACTTGTGCTTTGAAATCCTAACACAAATGTTTTCAAAAGTGAGGAGTGGTGCATCTCCTTTGTTTTGCTTTGGCAAAGGTATATTCAAGGGTCAAAGAAAGTTCCTTGAGTGACATCACATTCATGGTGCCCCCCTGCCCCATCAGTACCTTGGAGAATTCTCCTTCTCCTGCTGTTCTAGAGAAAAGACCTCCCCAGAACACCATGTTCTCTCTTCCAAACTTGGAATCATTCTTGATTATACTTTGGTATACCCCACTTCCCTGAGATTTATATATATTAAGCACAAATCTATGACAGAAATTTGATTTTATCTACCTTTTTATGGTTTGTCTTATTTTGCTTATTTTGTAGTGTTCTTTTTGTTTTTTAAGACATTTTAAACACAGAAATTTGGGAGAAACAATGATTTTACTGTAAGTTTCTTCCGATAAGCCAGAAGTGCACCACAACCCTGTTAGTTTCAAGTCAGGCTTAGTAAAGATCCGAAGCCACTGTCTGGGAAATGTCTGTCTTCTCAGAGGAACAGGAGATGACAGCAGATTTCCAGCTACCTTACCATGCAGTATATCAGAGGCGAGAAACAAGGTGCTGGATTTGGTAGTTGGGAAAAATGAACAGGCATGTGCTTCAAGACTTAAATGGAGATACTCAGCTGCTGTCACTTTTTCTTAATGAGAGGATTCTTGGCAGCCTGAGGTAACAGCCATCTTGGAAGAAACGTCATTACGCTGAAGTTATTGTTTTCTCTTCAAATAGCAAGGCAATTGAATGATGTCTGATTTTTTAAATCTAGGAGATGCCACTGACTTAAGGCTGAAGTGCTCATAAAGTGATGTTGCCTGCAAAAGTGATAAGGCAGACTGAAGAAGTGGGAGAATTTCCCTCAGTCTCTATCATTATATGTGTCATTCTAATAAGCTACCATGCACGAAATGCAAGCAAGTTATGAAGCCTAGGCTGGCTGTGGAGTTGACGAAATAGAATGAGTATTCAGGATGGATCCCAAAGTGCAATAAAAGTAAATTTAAGTATCATAGGCTCAGCAATTAAAAGGTGCAAAGCATGACTGCCAGAATCTTTTAGATGCCAATATGGACATTCCATATTGTTGACTCTTTAAGTAGGTCCAATCATCTAGAACACCCAATTCCAGAGTTTCTGGAAAGGAAGGTCCCTTGCTCGAAAGTCAGCTTCCTCTTGGTTCACATATGCCTGAGTTCACTTTGTCAAGGTAGCCAAGCCATTTCTTTGTGAATTAAAGACAAGGCTGAAATGGCAACTCAGCTTCAGTATACTGAAGTATAAACAGGACTGACCCCAAATTTGGAAGAGAGAGGACATGGTATTCTGGAGAGGGCCTCTTCTCTTCTAGATCAGCAGGAGAAGGAGAATTATCCAAGGTCCTGATGGGGCAGGGGGCAGGGGGCAGGGGGCACCAAGAATGTGATAAAACTGAAATGGCAATTGAGCTGTGGACCATAAGCAAAAGAGACTAAAAGTATCCTCCAAAGTACGTGATTGGTGTCACCCTTTGCTGAGGGATGGATTTTTTAAAAAAGGAGTGAGAGAATCATGTAGGCACTACATATCTGAACTGGTGAAGGAAGGATTCAGGCATACCTGCAATAAATACCACCTTATCATTGAATTCAATCTTTTACATTTGGTTGATAATTTTTGTGTCTAACATCATGAGAGATGTTGATCTCTTTTCTTTACATGCAGTTTTCTTTTTTACTTTAATTTTAGCCTCAAAAAACGAATTATTTCCTCTTCTATTTTTATGGAAAGTTCACATTGCATTCTGCATTAAATTTTTGATAAAATTTACCAATAAAACCACGTGGATCTGAGATATTTTGAGAGGGAGGTTGTTAAGTATAAATTTAATTCCTCTAATTGTCAGGGATATTCAAATCATCTATTTTATGTTGAGTGAGTTGAAGTAGTTTGTGTATCTTGAGGAAATGATAGATTTCATCTAAGTTGTCAAATGCATGTTTGTAGAGATGGTCATACCAATCTCTAATTATCCTTTTGATGTACTCAGGGTTTGTAGTGATATCCTCTATTTCATTCTTGATATTGATGATTTGTGTCTTCTCTGTTTTTTTTTTTTTTTTTGCCTGTCTTGCTAGAGATTTGTTGATTTATTGAGATTTTAAAAAACCAGCTCTTTGTTTTACTAATTTTCTCTACGTTTTTGTTTTTAGTTTTATTGATTCCTGTTCTTTTCTTTACTTTTTTTCCTTCTTCTTACTTTAGATTTATTTTGTTTTTCTTATTTTAGGTACTTGCAGTGGGTGCTTAAATTAATGATCTGAGCTTTTTTCCCTCTTCTCTAGTGTAAACATTTAGGGTCCAAAATATTTTTCTCAGTACTACTTTAGCTGTATCTTACAAATTTTGATAATTCATTTTTATTCTATTCAATATCCTTTTATTATTTACCTGGAGACTTCCTCCTTGACCCATGAACTATTGAGAAATAAATTATATATTTCCAAAGGGTTTGGAGATTTATCTGTTGTCTTTCTGTACTGATCTTTAGTTTGATTCCATTGTGATCAGAGAACACATTGTATGATGCTTCGAAATGTAGTAGGTATGTTTTATGGTCCAGCATGTGATCTACCTTGGTATATATTCTTTGAGCACTTGAAATAATAGTTATCTGCTTTTTGGAGGTGGAGTGTTATGTTGAGATTTTGTTGTTTGATGGTGCTGTTGAGTTTTTCGATATTTTTGCTGATTTCCTATCTAGTAGTTCTATCAGTTCTTGATAGAAGAGTGCTGAAATGCAACTACTAAAATTGTGGATGTGCCCATTTCCTCTTTTCATTTTTATTTCACATATTTTGAGGCTCTGTTTTTTGGGTTGTGGGCATTTAGGATTGCTATATCTTCTTAGTAAATTCTACTTTATTTTAATTAATGCTTGCATGATTTTTTTTTCCCTGTCTTTGTGCTTTCAACCTCCCTGCATTCTGTATCTGAAGTGAATTTTCTGTAGACAGCATGCAGTTGGATCATATTTGTTTAATGTGTATTTCTGTCTTTTCATTAATGCCCTTATATTATTTACACATAGTGTAATTATTGATATGTTAGAGTTTTAGTGTGCCTTTTTGTTTTGTGTTTTCTCTTTGTTCTCACTGAGCTTTTGTTTCCTTTTACTGTCTTCCTGTGGGTTACAAAATATTTTTCAAATTTTGTTTTGATGTATTAATAGTGCTTTGAGTGCGTTTTGGTAGATGACTTTTTTAGTGGTTGTGCTATGATTACATTATACATACATAACTTATCAGAGTCTATTGGTGTCATCATCATCCCTGTTAGAGTGAAGAACAGAAATCTTATTCCCTTTAGATCTCTTCTGCCTCATTTTCCATAATATTTCTTCTACATACATTTAGAAGCAGAGACATTGTTATAATTTTTGCTTTAACTATCAAACATCGTATAGCAAACTCAAGAGAAGAAAAATCTATTGTATTTAGTCCTTTGTTTAATTGTTTTTTTTCTTCTTAATTGATGTTCCAGAGACTTCTTCTTTTATCATTTGCTTTGGGTTTAAAGAACTTCCTTCAGTCATGTTTTGTAAGGTAGGTGTCCTGGTAAAAAAATCTCTTAGTAATCCTTTATCTGAGAATATTTTGATGTTTTGATTTTTCCATCTTCCTTGAAGGATATTTCTTACTGAGTATAAATTCTGGGTTGCAAGCCATTTTTTTCTCAGCACTTGAAAAATATTGTGCCTCTTTATTTCTGGCCACCACAATTTCTGATGATAAATGCAATGTTATCTACATTGTTTTTCCCCCATAGATAAGCTGTTGTTTATCACTTTTTTTAAAACCTTTTCTTTTAGTTTTTAGAAGGTTGATTATAAATTTTCCTGGTTGGATTTCACTGGGTATATTCTGTTTAATGTTCACTCAGCTTCTTCAATCTATACATTTATATCTTTTGCCAAATTTGAGTTTTCAGTCATTAGTTGTTTGAGTACTTTTTGTCTCTGTCCTCTTTTCGGGACTTTATTGACAGAAATGTTATATCTCTTGTTATTTTCCCACAGGTTTCTGAGGCTTTGTTCTTTTCATAAATTTAGTCTATTTACTCTTTGATGTTCAGATTATACAATTTTATTGTTCTATCTTCATATTTTCTCTTTCCCCCCTTCATTCTGGTGTAAAGTTTATCCACTAAGCTTTTTATTTTGGTTATCTTCCAGTTCTAATATTTTTATTTGGTTCTTTTTTATATCTTCCATTTCTTGTTGAGACTTCATATATCTTTTTGGAGGTTATTTTTTGTTTAGTGTTTGTTTGTAATTGCTGTTGAGGCATTTTTAGTATGACTTCTTTACTTTTTTCCCCTCAGATAATCCTTACAGCTCTGCCATCTCAGTGTTGACATTCATTGATTATCTTGTTTTATTTAGTGTGAGTTCCTCATGGGTCTTAGTAAGATGAGTGATTTTCAATTAAAGCCTTGACATTTTAGATATTATGTTATGAGGTTGTAGATCTTATTTAAATATTGTTTTATTCAACTGCCTTGTCCTGACAACACTTTGTCAGGGGAAGGGAACAAGGTAGCAGCTCCTTACTCTCATCACTGCCAGGTAGGGGCAGAAGTTCAGGTTTCCACTCAACCTCTGTTGACACCTAAATGGGGAGAAGCTCCTCGATACCACTGGGTGGAAGTGATAATTCTAGCTCTCTGTTACACCTTTACAGATACCTTTTTGGCTGGGAGGAGTGGAAGTGCTTCATTTGTAGTTTCCATTCTGCCTTCACTAAAACCAGAGGGCAGAAGGGAAGGTAGCCCCATTATTAATGGGGCATGGTAAAAGTTTTGACTCTCCACTAGGCTTTATCTAATGCTATCTCAGCAAGATGGGGGAGAGGTTTTTTATTGTTTTCCTGGTTCTTTATCTAGAGAGAGTAGACTTTTATTCTGACCTTTATGCTGTGCACCCATTAAGATTTCTAGGTTGTCAGCTTCTCTAGCAACCCATCTGGGATATATAAAACTTTTCTTCTGCAGAAAAACCCAGAGAACTCACCACTTTATAAATCTGTGGCTCCATGGTTCCTTAGTTGATCTGACTTCCCTCTACTTTTCAGTATTTTTGTTTCTTATATGCATAATGTCCAGGGTCGTTAATTGTACTTAGTACATATAGTGGGAGGAATTTGGAAATATATCTACTCCATCTTCCCAGATGCAATAGATCTCTCATGGCTAACTTTTAAAGTAAACTTATTTGTCAGTAACAAAGATATGGCATATGAATCCTACAAATTGATAGTTCCACTGTACTCTGGCATTGTTGCACCTTATCAAAAGTGCTGAATTTTATTTACAGAATCACATTTTAAAAAATGACAATAGCCATTAATGCACAGAAGAGTAGGGTACCATGAATAATATTATATTAGAAAACTTTGTCATATGAGGAATTGTTGAGAGACCTAGACCTGATTAGTGTGTTAGACTTTGTTGCCATACAGTAGAGTCAGTTTGTCCTTTGTGAATTCTGAGGGCCCAATAAGATTAATAGGTTTTAGCTAAATGAGGCAGTTTAGTCTTAATAAAAAGGACTTGCTAATAATTCTAATAATAATAGCTTAACCTAAGTATTTTTGGTAGCCAGTCATAGTGCAAAAAGCTTTACAGGCATTCTCTCAGTTGGTTTCTGTCACAATTCTGTGTAGAATAAACTGTAGTATCTCCATCTTTAGAAATGGGAAAACCAAATCTTAAAGAAATTGAGTCATTTGCCTAACCCCACACAATTAAGGAGTCATGTCCAGATTCAAACTCAAGTCTGTCTGACTTCAGGGCCATAGTAGAGCTTCTCAACAATCAAACAGGCTGCATCTGGACTCTGTAAAAACACTTCATTACTGCAGAAATAAGTATTATTTCTTCACATGCCTGACATCTTATGGTGAAAGAATCTTTCATTACCTTGTTTTTAATACAAGAGTTGACTAGCTACGTGCTTCTTTATGATCTTTGCATGTCAGTAATTTAGTCATTTGAAATTAACTGAGCCTGTATACACATCTGAGATGTGCTGGTCTTTGTTCCCCATGTATCCCAGCTGGTCTATTTGAGAAATGAATTTCTCAAGCTATGCATAACAAGTACAGGAAAGCTCCTCACTACCAGAAAATTACAGCAAATGGCTGATTTTTTTTCTTTTTTTTTTTTTTTTTTACTGTTTTCTCTTTTACATTTTCTTGCCTCAGTCTCTGAAGATTATATTAATCTACATGCATTTTATTCTGAATGTTTCTCATCTTGTCCTGAAGGGAAGATTTTCCAAATGGAAAAATGAGTTTTAATCATGGCAAATTGTTCAATTCATGCTTTGATAGCAATTCTTTTTAATCCAGTTCTTAGGTCCATACAAGTCATGTAAAAGTAACTTTATGCTTAGGATCTGGCAAATTCTAATGAGGGTAACATTGGTTTTAACACACAGTAATTCTGTGTATGTGTGTGTGTGTGTGTGTGTGTGTGTGTGATGGTTAGAGGGACTAATTTTAGTGTCAGACGAACTGCTTTTTCTCCATTTACTAATTGTAGAACCTGGGTCTTCTCCCCATTTGTAAAAATGGAGCTAATTGTAAAACTTCACTCAGGTCGGCTGTGTCATAAGTGAGGTGATATTTAATACACCCAGCAAAATGTCTAGAACACATACAATGTATTTCAATAACATTAACAATCTTCCCTTTCCAACATCTCTTATCAATATGATGAGAAAACATTTCTTTGTCATGCAGTCTATCATAATACCTGAGCAGCAGTTGCTTACTCCAACAGCAAGTAAAAAAACCTTTCCTGAAAAAGTGTTGCATATTTATCTAATGTGCACTTATCATCTGAGTGAATGTTCTGATTCTCAAATTCTCTAGAATACTGTCCTGTGGAACTTTCCAAACAATGATGAAAATGTTCTGTATGTGCACTGTCCAAGTCTCTAGCCACTTAACACATCTGTCTACTGAGCACTTGCAATGTCGCTAATGCCACTGAATAACTAATTTTTAAATTTTATTTAAGTGTAAATAGTCACATGTGGTTAGCAGCTATTCGATTGGGCAGCACGGTTATAGAGACTGGTCCCCTGTAGAGCTGACTAGCTTTTTCAAAGCATTAAAATGCTACTGAATTCAGTATCCACTGAAAAATGTGATAGGCTTTCCAGGAGTTTTGGAAGATTTGATAAATCAGTGCTGCAACCTACAATCTTCTATTCTTTCATTTTCTTATGACTTCCACATTCCAATTTCATACTTTTTTATACCTTATTTCAACCCCTCCACAACATTATTCAAGCAGATGAAATCAGGTTAAACTAAACATCAAATAAATTACTAAATTGATCAAACAGATAACCTAATAGCTATATGTAAAAGACTTTCTTTTGACACTCTTGTTTCCTTTAGCGAAGGGATGGCAGAATGAGAAAGTTGGACTGGTGTTTCTAGCATCTATAGGTGTCTTCTCAAAAGGGAAATTGATATGGTTTGGCTGTGTCCCCACCCAAATCTTATCTTGAATTTCCAGGTGTTGTGGGAAGTACCCAGTGGGAGGTAATCGGATCATGGGGGCAGGTCTTTCCCATGCTGTTCTCATGATAGTGAATAAGTCTCATGAGATCTGATGGTTATTTTAAGGAGGAGTTTCCCTCCACAACTCTCTTCTTTTGTCTGCTGCCATGTGAGATGTGCCTTTCACCATATACTATGGTTGTGAGGCCTCCCTAGCCACGTGGAACTGTAAGTCCATTAAACCTCTTTCTTTTGTCAATTACCCAGTTTTGGGTATGTCTTTATCAGCAGAGTGGAAACAGAGTAACACAGCAGTGGAGCATGGTAATTCACTGCCCTTGCAGAATAGTATTTGCTGAGGGCCTAGCATCAACAATATCATATAGGCTTTTGTGGTGGGTCTATTAACAAGGCAAAATAAAAGCATATTAAATATTATGGTTACTCAGTACAGTCTCACTCAATATCCACAGGAGATTGCTTCCAGGACTACTAAGGATACCAAAATCCTCTTATATACTTTAAATCATCTCTGCTTGTAATAACTAATACAATGTAAATGCTATCTGTATTTTTATTTGTATTTTTTTAATTATTGTATTGTAATTTCTATTGCTTTTGTCATAATATTTTTAATCTACAGTTGGTTGAATCCACAAGTGCTGAATCCATGCATAAGAAGGACTGACTATTCTCTGAATCTTTTTAAGGAAAAGATCGAATTTTTTAACTATTACATGCATCAGTCACTTTGCCAAATGAGGCACAAAGAGATTTGTGCCAGATTGAGCAAATCCTAGAGTTCCTGATTCCTAGGTTACTCTCTTCAACCTTTCACTCACTAGCTTCACTCACCAGCTTCACTCACCCTTGCACAGGACAAGGCATTAGTGCTCCCTGGGCTGATTCTCTTAAAGGCTAATTGAAAATATCATTAAGTGACTTGGCTGTGTTCATAGGTTTTATGATTACAAAACAGAGGGGTTTCTCCTGGTTTCTAAAGCCAACAGATTGGTAAAGACCTCTCAGAAGTAATCTTGGATTCTAGAGAAATGAACTCACTACATGAGATATAAGTCATGGCAATAATTCTCTCTAACATAAGTCCAGATCATAAATACAATGGTGATGATTCTCAGAAGGGAATGCAACATGAAAGAGAAGAAACTTGAGATGGCAAAGCCCTTCTTGACAATGTAGATTAGTACTCAATAAATATCTCCTGTCATAAGGGTTTCATACTAAGTGTTGGGGGGAATTTGGCAAATTATTTTGGGTTGTGCCTACTGTAGGTTAACAATCAAATTATTCATGGCACAGGTGACAATTTCAAAACAACATGGAGAAATGTGATATTACAGTCATTAAAGGGGGGGGTAATATTAATGTATAGATTGTGCCACTTCTCAAGGCCTAAGGTTTTCAGAGGAGTGTTTCAGTGAGTTAGACTCTAGAAGTTGGTGCAGAGTCAAGATCATGCCTTGGAAGAGCTAGAAAGGCCAGACACACAGGAAACAACATCCTGCTAATGAAATAAGGGAAGCCACACACCAGTCTCCAGGCACGCTGAAGCAGATGCCCCAACCAATGCCATCTAGAGGAGTTTGTGGTGTGACTGGCATCATCCAGTGAGAAATCTCATCGACCATTACCAATTACATTCAATGATCATGACTACTGAACTGCAGTGCACAGCTCAGTAACGTAGCCACTGTTGGCACTGCACAGCAGCAGCTGAAATGAGCCAAAGCGTGTTGCAAACTCTTTACCTGTGCCCATCCTACTAAACTGAAGCTAATGCTTATTGATAGCACACCACACATACTGAAATACTCTTTGTATTCTAGAAGGGAGGGGTGAGTTGTAGTTTGTACAGCTATATCCCCACTATGTTAATTTGCTTTCCTTAGGCCAATAATGTATATTTTTAAGTTAGCCAATAAGAGGTTAGAAATGTTTTTTCTCTGAGGAAAAAAAAAGACAAAACAAAAAAAAACCAAGAATATCAAATCCATGATCTTGGTCTAATTAGCCCTACTGAATTAACACCACACGCTGCATCCAACTGAGTTAACCAACTCAGACAAGGCGGCCAGTCATTAGGAAAGCCCCAGGGAGTGGCTGACTGACTTCCTGAAATGTTTCCAGTGGGTGGGTCTCTAATCTGACACATCTGGGAAGCACTGAGATGGAGCAACAATTCCTCCCAGGGGCCATTTCTTAACACTAAGGTAAAAATAGAAGCTTTCTCCTTCTGCGAAATGTCACTTCACATTTTATCACAGTCTAAGACTCAAAGGCCCTTGTTACATTGAGCCCTAAATGCAGCCATCCTTAGGTGTTCTGATGTCCTCTGTGGTTGCTGGATTAATATGCAAATAGGCTATGTTTTATACCACATTTAAAGGATGGCCAGTGTTAACTACATGGGAAAGTGGGGAGGGAAAATAGGGAGGTGGAAGACTGGAGGGAGAGAGGATATCTACCCTGTCACAAGAAATAGACAATAGGGGCTAAGAATATTGATGGGGATATTGAAAATCAATTTTAAGTGTTTCCTACATGAAAAATCAAAAGTAGGACATTTCCTACATCACTACTGGCCTGATTCTTTCATTCCATGCCTGTCATTTTGACTTTGTGATTCTCCCCTGGGCTCCTTGCCATTATTGTCAGGTTGTTTTCTTCTTGACAAAAGTGGGAAAAAAAGCAAAGCTCACTGGAAATATTTCTAGACTAAAATTTCTCTGTAGAAGGAGTTATATAAGCCGTGGTTTCCTCAGCCCTCCCAGGTCTAGTCAGACACACAGTACCGATCTGAATTCCAGGGGTGTCAAGCATGCAGGGATTGAGCAGTCCACAGAGGTGTGCCCACTCTGTTCTCCACAGGGCATTGCTGAAATGTACATTTGTCTGTGTGGCAGACTGTGTGTCTAGACACCCATATTTAGCATCCTCTTCTGTGGTGCCCTACCTGTAGGAGGATTAGACACCATTCCGTGGTTGAACTTGGCAGGACCACATGACTCACTTTGGCCACTGGGATGTGAGTGGAAGTGTCTGTAGGTCACTGCTGGGCAGACTGAGTGCCAATGCGTAGTTTACCAGGCTGCCTTTGCCCTTTGCTTTAGCTTTTAGTAAACCGAATAAGTAAAACTGTACTTAGTCCTCCAAGATCTGACTCTTTGAAACCTATATATAGAAACCATTATAAAAATTTCAAAAATCCTGTGTCTTGTACATGGAAAGCTTAGATTTCTAAACTGCTGTTTCTGGTGTGGGCTTTACAACCTCAAAGTTGACCAAAGATTCCTCATACTCACCAAATCTGCTATTCCCCTGAGGGCAGCACCTACAAAAAGCTCCCCCTGTTCCCCAAGAGATGAGAAAGAATTAAAGAAGTTCAGTAATAGGAATCCCTGTTAATATCTGAAAATTTCATCCTAATTTATGTGATGAAATATACCTCAGGCAGTAAAGCAGCACAGGCTTGTCACACTCTCTACATGCACATTACCTATTCACAACTCTCCATCCCAAATCTACCTATTCACAACTCTCCACCCCACCATCCTCTCTTTTCATTATAAAGCCCCATGGCTCTGATGTTTTCACTCTTAGAGGCCATCAATAACTTATAGACCCCACCATTCCACAGTCACATGTACTCAAAGAGACAATAATTCTATTACTAATTCTCTCTACAGTTATAACTTAAATAATACATCAAATTCATCAAAATACCTGGTAAAGAATGGAACTTCTGTTTTTGTTGGAGGAGTGATTTGGAAGCTGAGAAAGTCATTTTTGCTAATAGAAATAGCATTTTTTCTGGGAGTGGTCACTCTGATGGATGGTCCTATTTATTCCTATTTATGATTACTATTCTTCCACTATTTGGGGGGAGAACTGAAAGTTATGAAGGAATCTGAACACAGGCACTTCAAACTCAGATATCATGCTCTCTTTATTTGGGTGCTATAAAATAGGTATTAGCTTTTGCAAAATTATGCAAATCTGCTTATTACATTTTCCCCTAAATCAGGGTTTAAACCCCCCCTTAACGGAAAGTTACTTTTTTGAAATGCATGCACATGGGCTATTGCTCAATAGCTGCAATCAGGAAGTTGGGAAAAAATAAGAATATGAGGTACATTCAGTCCTTTTCTCTAGGCTGAAATGAAGACAATATGAGGGTAGAACAGAGTTGGGTTTAGGGAAATCTGGAGTAGAGTTCTAGCCCTCCATTTTTAAAGTGATCCAGGACTAAGTGGCTGATATGGTTTGGTTGTGTCCCCACCCAAATCTCATCTTGAATTGTAATTCCCATAATTTTCATGTGTCATGGGAGGAACTTGGTGGGAGGTAACTGAATCATGGGGGTGAGCCTTTCCCATGTTATTCTCATGATGGTGAATAAATCTCATGAGATCTGATGGCTTTAAAAAATACGAGTTTCCCTGCACAGGCTCTCTCTCTTTGCCTGCTGCCATCCATGTAAGACATGACTTACTCCTCCTTGCCTTCTGCTATGATTGTGAGGCTTCCCCAGCCACATGGAACTGTAAATCCATTAAACCTCTGTCTTTTGTAAATTGCCCAGTCGCAGGTATGTCTTTATCAGCAGCATGAAAATGGACTAATACAGTGGCCCTAACTTAGAAAATTTTAGAAGCTGGGAATGGCCTTAGAGTTGTGGGAAGAGATAAGTAAAGCAGATAGAAGAGTCAGCTCTGGAGGGGAATTTTTTAAAAGACTTTTCTCCCTCTGGATTTCAGAAAACTGAGTCTTAGGCTTTGAGAAGAGACTTGATCAAAAGCTACCTACTAGGTGCAGTTGGTTCCTGCAATAGGCCAGAGCTAAGGGACCCATTGGAAATTTCCCTGAGGAGGGACCACAGCCAATGGACTTTTAGAAGAGTCGTATCACTTTCCAGGTTTGATTTTCTACATTTTTTCTTTAACTTTTTATAAAGTCTAAGCACTAGAAGCTGTCCTTAGCCATCACTGTGTGGAATTATGGGCAAGGCTTGACCCACACATTAAATAAAGAGGTGCAGAGGGAGTAACAGGTGCCTGAGGAAAGGTGCTTAACCTGCGGCACTTCAGAAGAATGGTACAATGGCCCGCAGCTGGTGCCTGGCAGCAGTAGGCAACCACTACCCGGAGGGATCTTTGGAACCAAACTTATCACCATCCTAGACATGTCCAGAGATATCTGAGAAGAAAAACAGAAAAAGTGTGACCTTTCACAGGCTCGCAACATGATGATTTGGATGCCAAAAAGAAACTTAGCTTTAGTCACAATCTGCTGAAGGCCATAACATCTGAGTTGTAGCAACCATAATGCTTTCCCATAGCTAGGGTTGACAGTCCACCCAAAATGTTGAAATATTTCCAAACTAATTAGGAAACAGCCACTGTCTTTGGCTACTCCAGCCCCTTCTTAAGCACTTACTGGATGTTCCCACAATCCAGCAACTAAAGGGTGAGTACCAGGCACAGTGGGGGGCTCCAGAGCCTGTTTCATTGCAGGCTTAAAGTATACAGAGTCAGTTCCTGTATTCCCATAACATGCTGGTTATTAGATTATTTGGCCATTACATTTGCCTACATTTAGCTGAGTCTGACTGGGAGAGATATAAGAAAATAATTTTAAATGGTATTTATTCTTAAAGACTTTATTTGGGGAAAAGCAAAGACCAACTCACATCAGCTAAATAAAAACTAACACAGTAAATGTCTTATGAATACAGAGCCAAGGAGCAAAGGTTGGAGTGATCAAGGAGGCTGATGAATGTCAAGTCAGGGGAGAGCATGAGTCTTGTTAAAAGAGTGTGGATTTCTCTTCTATTGTGGTTTGGTTGATATTTCTGTGTTACCCTCACTTTAGCAACACAGATCCTTTCCACATGATAAAATGCAGTTATCTCTGAGCTGAACAATGCTACAATTCAAGCACTCTCATTTATTTGCCAACAACTCAACACCAACTTGACGTTTCTATGCAGTAGTAATTGGGGAAATTATGGGAATATAATACGAAGAGAGAGAAAATGGGTCATCTCTTGTCCTAAGTTATAGAGATGCCAAAATTGTCAGTGCCAACTCTTTTATTATTTTATTCTCAATAAAATTTGGAAACAACTGTGTATATGTAAATAATGACCCAATTATTTCATTTAAATGAACTCACTAATTTAAAATGAATTGTGATCCATTGTTAGGAGCAGCTTACATTATCCCAACATCTTAGATATTAATTCCACACAAAGCTGACTGTATATTTAACTCAGAATGAAGGCAATAAAAAGCAAAGCCATGAAATACAGAATATATGAGACTAAAACTAGAGAAATAAAAAGAATCCAATTATGTACACTTTTTAAAAGTTAACAGTTTCTAAAATTCAGTCTTATTATCTCAATACAAAAAAATCATCATCTTAGTGACACCACTTGTCAAGTTACTGATAAAAAGAAGTTATAGTAGAGAAAAAAATAAATTTTCCATTCCCTTTAGCTGACCAAGCAAAATATTTGCTTAATTAGGTGCCATAATTTAACTTTTCACTGTTTTACTGCCCAGTAAATAAAAGCTATATTCAAAAGTCAGATAATTAGTTGTCAAAAGATGCAATATCTGTTCAAGTGCATGAGAGAAAAACTTTAGGAAAAGGAAATTTCTAGAAGGTTTTATGAAGCATGTAGTGCATGCTTCATAAATGTGTTAGTAAAAACTTTTGTGAAAGTTATTATTTTAACCAATGAATTAAAAGAAGTGAATTGCCAGAAAGGAGAGCTTCTGGTAACATGACTCATATAAAAAGGGCTTGGCCATTTTCTATGAACCATTATCTTTCTTACAATGTGTGAAGTTCAGCAGGGCCTCCATTACGTACCATGAGCTCATCTCCATGAATGATGCAACACAATGTTAATCAGACCCCGCTTCTCTGATGTCATTAAGAGAAGGCTAGCAGCAAAAACCTCCACTCTTCTAGTAGAAAGCATTTTTTTATGAAAACATTTTATTCTGATTTCAAATATTTAAAAATTGTGCCCCAGTTTTCAGACCATAGAAATACAGAAGTTTTGTGACTCAAATACATCATTTCTTCCTTTTTGTGTATTCTCACCACTCCTCCATTGTAGGCAGCCACTTTTAGGCTTGTTCCTAGCACCTGATCATCCTATGACCCTCTGTTTCTTTTGTGTAAGCTGTTCTAAGCTGTTGTAAGCTTTTGTGTAAGCTGTTGACATGACGCTTAGCAGAAGCCCTGCCTTCTTCCAGGGTTCCAGGAGATCTCATTAAAAGAGACAGTTGGTCTGCCTCTTGACAAAACTTCATTTCCCCACAAACTTTTCCCTGAACCCTGGACTAGGCTAGACTCCACCCTCCCCCACCCATAGAGACTCCCACAAGACCCAAAGCTGTCACGTTCATCATAGCTTGTCAACACTAGTCCCTCGTACTGTACCACGAAAGAGGTGACAGCATCCAGTTCCTGTTGTAACCATCACCATCCAGCTACACCTGGAACACAGCAGCGTATGTTTGCTGAACATCAAATAAAATATATCACTTATCATAGTAGCCTCTATTTTTTAATTTTTGTTCTCGTGGGAAGTTTCTAATCAAATTTTTGTCTTGGAAATATTTATTTTTTATCTGAAATATTTTTCTCTAGAGTAACTTAAAAACACAAAATAGTTGTTAATGTTAATATTTGTTTTCCAATAAAGATTTCTTTTTTTTTTTTTTTTTTGAGATGGAGTCTCACTTCTTCACCCAGGCTGGAGTGCAATGGCGCAATCTTGGCTCACTGCAACCTCCACCTCCAGGGTTCAAGCAATTCTCCTGCCTCAGACTCCCCAGTAGCTGGGATTACAGGCACATGCCACATCTGGCTAATTTTTGTATTTTTAGTAGAGATCGACTCTGCCCTTATTCCTTAGAGCTCTGTCCTCCAACGCCAAGGAGATAGAGCCAGTCTTTCTACTAGGTGACTTCGCCTGTGGTTTAAAAGCTTTATTGATCAGTCATTTATATCCTCTGATGTTCATTAGTTTCATTCTGGAAAGAATGTTTTTGATGAGAGAGAGAATGAGAGGCCATAAGATACTTCATGTGGGGAAGAAAGGGCATAGTGTGGAAAAGATAAATGTCATGAACACAGCTCAAGTTTTGCAAGCCTTCATCAGGCCCAGGAGTTTTTCCATGGGACAAATTGCGCCCCAAGCTTGCAGTTTGCAGCACCATTTTAAATTCTTTTATTTTTACCACACGAGAATTGATGGAAACCTTTCTAGATGCCGAGAGGTTGTATGGTCCAGGCATAAGCCCTCCATGATGTTCTAGTGAGGACAGGACAGAGCCTATTTGCTCAGTTGACCAGAACCATCATTTACTTTGAAGAGCTCTAGTAATGATTAAGAAAACAAAAACTTGTCCCAGAAGCTGTTCTTTATGATACAAGAAATAACAGTGAGGCCAGCATTCATCATTTCTGTCTGAGCCTCAAGAATATTTCTTTTTTTTTTTTACTAAAAAGAAAAAAAATGGTTAAAAACTGTTAATTATAGCTTATAATAGTCATAATCCCAAAGAACGTGATCATTAACATAGTTAATGACCAGTTTGTGTGTTAACTTCTCTCAGCTTCATCCTGGGATACACAATTAGCAAGTCAGTCATTAAATACTTGTAATGACTATTGTTGGATTAAAAGCTGAAATATAAATTCAAAAAATGAGATTGAAACCTTTAAGATAACGGGTTAATGTGTCTTCTCCTTACCATGGTTGTACCGTATATAATGTTCCTATGAACAGTGTTATTTCTAGAGAGGATACGGCTGTTTCCGAGTGGGATTCGATTTATGTCTGCAGCAGATGTTTAATCTACCACATATTGGCTATTGTTTTACAAGCCCCTCTACTTCCTTGTAATGGAATCTCCTTAACTCTCATATTCCTTGGGTCTATGGAGAGTCATTTTGAGGTGTTTAGGTTTGTATTCAGTTTTTTTTCCTCTGTCCTCACATTCCAGTTTTAAAGCTGTATTCCTCACTTTGCTAGTACCAGTATCACATACACTCTGACATCTGTGCACATTATCAATATTATTATCATAAACTAGTATTGATTCCACATAAGCCTGGTCCATGACTATCTCAATAGAACAATATACTTTATTACTTTTGGATAGAATTTCTTATTTCAAAGTGATTTTAGGTCTAGTCACATAAATGTGAATTCACATGTCTCGTCTCCTCTGATACACAAAGCACATCTGAGACAGAAAGACTGACATTTATATTAGCCTCATTTTTTTAAAACAAGAAAGCTAAGGCAAAGAGAGGTCACATGAAATGCCTGAGGCCACACAGCAGGTTTATGTCAGAATGAGAGCTGAGAGTAAATGGTATAGTGGAGGGAGCCCTGGGCTGGGATCAAGGGACCTGATTCTTTTCTAAGCTCTGTCAAGGTAGAAATATGTATAAATTTTGAGGAGTCCAGATTTCTAGATTGCAGCTTCCTCATGAGTGAAATAAAGGTTTTACATTTGATAACCCCCAAGGTTTCCTTCTGTTCTGTCATCTTAATTCACAGATCTGTCTAGTGTTACACCATGAGGTAGTTTAATTAAACCATGGTAGAGCTCAGTTGTGTAAAAGCAAATGCATTAAGATTAACTGAATTATTTAGGGACAAGTTTGTTTTTGGGAGAAAAAAAAAAAGACATGATGGGTGTCCTAAATGACAGGTTCTAGGGAACACAGGATAGCATTTTTGGTTAAAAAAAAAAAACAAAAACAACAACAAAACATTAAAACAGAGTTGGAGAAACAGGACAAACCCACTTATAAGCAAGACAACTACATAAGATAATGAAAAAACACCAAACTTACATTTTAGTACGTTAAAATCTGTAGCGCTTCAGAAACAGGAGACATCAATAGTTGTTTCTTTGATAGTCTGTGGCATTTCTTTCCTGCATCATGGTTTGAGTGAAAATACTTATGGACATTTCTCACCCCTCCTTCTTGCTCTGTGTGAGTCTCAGCAGGACAGTCTAGAGCTTTGAGTCCTATAAGTGGCTTCAAAGCCAGATTGGATCATTCAGTTGAAGCCCCTGGGCCCTTCCAAGATTCTACACACTCCCAAATTCTGCCCACCAGAGACACATATGTGTGCACACAGACACACAAATTCTTTTTTCTTATATTTAGAGGGAAATTCAAAGTGCAAGCACACAGGCAAAGTAAATGTTTGGGTGAGATATGAGGTTATTATCTGGGTAAGTGAAGTCAAGAAAGTTACTAAAAAAATTAGAGAAAACAATTATTTTTTAAGTTAGTCAATACTGACAAATTATCTCCCACATTTGAATTCCTTTTGATGACCGATATTAGGTCTTGAGTATATCATGCTTCATTCCTACAATGCTTTATACTTTTCAAAGTTTCTTTCCATCTGGGTCTTATTTAGTAAGCACAAAGTCCTGTATGGTTGGTAGGGTTAGGGTCACAATTCCCAGCTTATAGATGAACTTCCCAAAGACAAGAGTTGGATGGAGAGTTTGAATGTAATGTCCCTTCCGAAATTAATGTTGAAACTTAATCCCCACTGTGGTGGTATTAAGATGTAAGGTCCTTATAAAAGAGGCTTCAGAGAGAGTTTGCCCCTTGTTTCTCTTCTAGCTTCCTCTAAGAGAGGTCGCCACAGTGAGAAGTTACCATCGATGGAACAGTCCCTCACCAGACCCCAAGGCCGGCCCCTTGATCTTGGACTCCCCAGCCTCCGGACTGTGAAAGATAAATCCCTGTTCTTCATAAATTACCCATCTGTGATATTTTGTTATAGCAGCACAAACATTAGAGTGTGTTGTAAATTTTAAAGCTTCATATTTCCCTTCTGCTTCAATATCCACATAAACAGGCTTTGAGCACCCTGCCCCGGTGACCACATGCATCATGTGATAAGGTTAGACTCTGCCACCAGTCCCCCTTCTTGCCTTCCCTGCACTGAGTCCTAGTAACATTTGGAAACACAAATGAAATCCCCTTGCACGTTTTTACTTGTGTGTTCCAGCCTGATCTCCAATAAGGCATCTGCCCATGGGTTTTCTTATGTATGTACCTGTGTGTGTGTATTGTAGAGTTCATGTTTAGGGGGTGTGTGGGGAGTGAGACTGGTTGACGGAAGCAGAGAATTCATATAGAGCAACATGGGCAATTGATTGCTTCTAGGTCAATCATCAAATAAGGATTTGGAGTACCTTGGGATCGATCTAATTCTCTCATTAAGATTACTGAAATAACCAGCTCACTAAACAGTCAATATGGTTATTTCATCCATCTTAATGACCTAGTCAAATCAGCTCTGGGGAGATCGTCAACACCAACTCCAGAGGGAAAAACTCATGCAGATATAACAGCAGCTTTTGTTGAGTTCTCCTAATTTAAAAATGGAATAAGTCACAAAGAGATCCCTAGAGGAATGAGAATTGGGCATTTGCTGTTTATAAATCAGGATTCTAAGGGCCATATCTTAATGAAGCAAAAGAGAGCATTATAATTTTGAATAAATGAACTAAGGTAGGAATAAGAAAACTATACATAAAGGATCTTGGATCAGGGCAGTAATTCCATGTTGCAGAAGTATGAAAAGGTAACAGACAGTTACAAAGCAGAGCAGAAGAGCAAACTGATGGGGCAAAAGGACGGTCAAATATATGATATCTTGATCAATGATCAATAGTTCAGACTCTTAACGATGTAGCAAAATTTCAATAAATGTTGACTATGTTGACAATATTAATGATGGTGGTGGTGATTATTTTGATGACAACAGTAATGGGGTCTGACAAACAAAACAATAACAGTCAAGAAAGATTAATGGTAGAAATGATGAAAACAGAGGTCTGAGAAAGTTTCTATTAATGAGTATAAAACAGGAAGTAAAGGTAGCCACCCTGTGAAGCAGTCTTAATAGAGTGATGGCTATAAATATACAAAGGAAAAAGCAATGGTGGGGAAAGGACAAGTCCAGGGACACTCGCCTCAGTAAAGGAGCACAAAACGTGCAGTTTCTGTCATAGAAAGACAAAGTAGTCTACTTAGGAAAGGTCTAAAGAGAAGGAGAATGCCTTCCCAGATTTGAGCTCTTACAATGGGAAGAAGCAATATCAAATTCTTAGTATCAGCATAATAATCCAGAGCTATAGAAAGAACTTTTAAGGATGCAAACTCAGACCCCAATATTTGAACACTATAATACCAAATATAGATATTTGAATACATCAGGACATGAGACTGAATATTTTTTCAATTCCATTCCCATTTTTGGCACGTGCAACCCACAACCAGATATAGAAGCTTTTCTCAAATTATCCCAGTATGTTAAACCTAAATATATATTCTTAGAAGAACTGTGAAATGGATGTTTGGTGACTGAGGAGGGATGGGGAAGTCCCTCCTCTTCTTATCAGCACTAATCAAACCAAATCATCAGAACTACAGCATTAATACTTGTATTCATCAGGATAGGATAAGCTATAATACAAGAACAAACAGCCACAAAATTTCAGTCATTTAACATAAAAATTTTTGTTTTGTTTTGTTTCATTTACAAGATGTTAATGTAGCAACTCTGGGGTCCAAACTAGCAGAAGCTCCAGCATGCTGCATTTCTCTCTATTTAAAATCACACAACTTACCTAGATGAGAAAATGAAAGGTCATACACGAACAACTAAACGTTTAGCCCAGGAAATGACATATAACACCGGGTTTACATCCCATTCCCAGAAGTAATCCCCAGCCCCATTTATGCAAAAGGTACGGGGAAGTTTCATCCTTCCAAACACGACAGTAGGTTTCAAGCTTTAGCTTGCATCCAAATCACCTTGAGTGCTTGTTAAAACAGATTTTGGGGTCTCACCCTCAGAATTTCTGATTCTGATTAGGGCAACTAATAATTTGCTTTTCTGAAAAGCTTTTGGGCCAGACGTGGTGGCTTACACCTGTAATCCCAGCGCTTTGGGAGGCCGAGAGGGGCGGATCACTTGAGGTCAGGCGTTCCAGACCAGCCTGGCCAACATGGTGAAACCCTGTCTCTACTGAAAATACAAAAATTAGCCGGGTGTGGTGGCGGGCGCCTGAAATCCCAGCTACTTGGGAGGCTGAGGAAGGAGAGTCGCTTGAACCTGGGAGGCCGAGGTTACAGTGAGCCAAGATCACGCCACTGCATTCCATCCTGGGTGACAGATCGAGGCTCTGCATCAAAAATAATCATAATAATAAAGGTTTCAGGTGAGGCTGATGCTGCTGTCCTGAGACTTCCCTTTGAGATCCCCTGGTTAGAGCAACAGTTCTCAAGCCCACCTGAACATTTACATCAACTGGACAGCTTGTTTAAAAAAGGTGCACGCCAAGGTCCCACCCCTAAATATTCTGTCTTAATTGGTCATCTAAAAATTCTCCTGTATCACCAGAGTTGCTAGTTCAGAAGAATACAAATTTAACTATGGGTGTAAGATTTCTATCAAAGTGTTCACATTACAGATGAAAAAACAAGTCCAACATCACACAGTAGGCTAGTGACACTTCCAAATCAAGAAACTGAATATCCTGGATCCCAAGTGGTGCCATATCCCTTAATGGGTCAGCACACAGAGCAGGCAGTATTTTAAGACCAATTTACTCCACAAATTTCTTTCCCTCTGCTTAAAATGGTTCGGCCTCTTTCCAGAGGGATGCTGGCTCTCAGTGCAATAGCTGCTGGGCTCAGGGAGGAGAAAGTGGATCCATCTCCAATTCTCCCACGTGGCTGAGAAAGAGCCTAGAAGCAGCTCTCCTCCCTCCCATTCCTCAACTCTGAGCAGCCCTGCCCTGGCTCCCGACCCAGCCTCACCCAGATTTTGCCTCTGCCCCAGGATCTGCGAGCCAAGTGGTTGACCCGGGAAGACAAGCCCACTTACAAAGAAACGTAAAAGAAAATGAACAAAACTGCTGCCAATGTGCCCTTTGGTCCCACATTGACTAAATCCAGGCTGCTAGAAGGCAGCGCGAGAAGAATCTCATTTTAAAAAGCAACTGAGAGAGATAAAACGCAGCTACCCAACCATTTTGGATACTGGTCGTCCTCTGCTCCCATCCCCAACACAAAGGCACAGCGTTCATTCTCCCATCATGAAATTTTACTGAATTCATCAACTCTAAGTAAAAATAAATAAATAAGAGCTGATCTGCCATCCTTTACAGATTTTGAACCGATTTAACAGCCATCTGATAAACACGCCCTGCATAACTAACGGCCTCTGGCCTGGCATCTTCCTGTAAAACTAAGAAACATCGCCATCTGCTGGCCAGGGAGCCCTGGTGCATGGAAATTTCCAATTCCATTGCCTTCAAGCAGCAGTGTCTGCACAGCAATAGGTCCATTAATTCTGCCAAAGGGTTGAAATTCATTGCAAATCATTTAATTTCTTTCACCAAGACAAACTACAAACTACATCATGAAATTTTGTTTAACTTTCTTGTGTTTTATGTATGTGCATGAGCTGGTTAGGGTGGGGAGGCTTTTTGCATGGTTACCTTCCTACTCTTTTTGTTGCCCCTATTTTCTCGAAATTCTCAATGTTGTGAATTTTATAAGTCCATTTAACTAACATTAAGTGAGCTTATTCTACGTGCTAAGTTGTCATACCCAAAGAATCAAACGACAGAGACTGAGGAGGGAGGAATTGGGGAATTGGGCGGAAGTCTCATTCTCACATTCCATATTAACTGGAAACCTGAGGCTCTGTAGTTTTGACTCTCGTACTTTTTTTTTTTTTTTGAGATGTAGTCTTCCTTTGTTGCATAGTGTTGTCTCAAACTCCAGCCTCAAGCCATCCTCCCACCTCAGCATCAAGCAGCTAAACTGCAGGCACATGCCACCGTGGTGGGTTTGACACTCACACATCTTAACAGTGAAACTGTGTTGGACAGAGGTTTTCAGCCCAACCGGGTTATTTAGACTTAAGAATGCCAAAGAAACACACTTTTATGGCCTCTTCCACACTAAATCCTTCTTAGAAAATGGGAAAGAGAGACTCTTGTGACCTAAAAGATGGGGGGTTTGATTGATGATCTGGGTGTTGATTTCTCCTCCTGCCCTTTCCTCTTCCAGTCCTCAGGTGACACCCACCCAAGCCCATCTCCACATTCTTCATCTACTTGCACAATCTTGACTGACATCTCTGATAGCCCAAAGCAAATTGAATAGTGAAGTTTATCTTGCTTTAATGCTTATGCTAGTGGAACTTATTTAAATGTATTTAACATGTACAGAAAAATTAACAGGAAAATAAATCGAGGAAGAAGTGTCAACAAAGAGTGCAAGGTACAGAAACAGGTGCTATTTTTGTATTTGGTGATGAGACCTGGGGGTAAGTGATGGTTGTTGAGCTGATGATGATCGTATTTTCTTTAATACCACGGACCACCTCTTCATCCAGCCTCACTAGCTGTGAAGCAGCTCTGAGGACCATTCTTACAGTTCTTTCCACATCTCTGTCTCCACTCCCCAGACCTTCCTAGTTGAATAGGCCTATAGGACAAGGACCCGCCCCCCTGCCCCCCATCTGTTATGACTGGGAGTGGAGAAATGGGCAATGAAAGAGAATGTGTAGGTGTAATGCCAGGAACTAGAATGATTTCCTGCCAGTGATGAGCTGTCTTGGAGGCAGCTCTGTCTGCTTTGCCATTCAGCACTGACCCACCATAAAGACAAAAGAGGAGGGCTCACTTGGGACATGGAGGTGAAAGTCCAAGCCTGCCCTGGCTCTTATCTATATGTAGGGTTAGCTATTCTACTCTCCAAGAAGAGTCATGTGGAAAAACAATGTTTAAATTCCTAAATGATTGAAGCAAGAAGAAAACACAAAGATGATTGTAAAGTGGACCAAACTGAGATCTCTGGAAGAAAAGTAATTTGCCCAGGGTCTCATAGCACACAAGTGGCACAGGGGAGTCTCTGGTCTCTTAGACAACATTTCTCACAATAAACTGTTCCTTTGTCACAAAATAGAGAGGTGCTTCTAGCCATTGGAAAGTTTTTGACACTGGGATCACCAATCTTGAGAAGTCCTGGACTCTTTTCTATCGCCATATCTTAGTCAATCTCATAATCCCAGGACATCCTTTATCTGAATATCTCTGTACATCAGAGTAAAGCAATTAATATCACATAAAATTTTAGAGATCCAGATTACATATGTATTCTTCAACATTGAGGACAGGAGCAACTGTAACAATGATCACCAAGAAGAAAGTTCAGGGAAATCAGCTACATTCTATAACAAAATGCTGTGTGGTTGAGTGGTTACTGTCCTAGGTTCTGAAAGGAAGATGCTGGAGTTGGAATCCTGGATCTGGCCCTTAAGAGCTGGGAAAATTGCTCAACCTCTTGTAGCATTATAATAAGGATAAAATAAGTTGAATCAAATAATGAAGGCATTTTGAACAATATGTGTGGCACATGGTAAGCAGTCCATCAGTGTTAGCTTTTGTTTTTATTGCTATTATCACTCAGTGAGTGACCAGCTGCCAACCCTGACTTTGAAGGAAAATCATTCTTACTCATCATTCAACATTCATTATACACCAGTCTTCTCTCTACTCTTTTCCAGGATAAAAGAAGAAAAAGTTAAAAAGGGAGAAAATGCCAGAAACTTCCTGAATCTTTTACAAAAAGTTCTAAGGTAAGGGGAAAGCATCCAGGATATGCTTTGCAAATTAACCTAATAGCAAGTATCTCTGCAAAACTTTTGTTGCTTTTTTTTTTTTTCCAAATGACTGTGGTTGTTTTGGCAATAGCTAGAAACATGAGTCAATAACCTCCTATGTGGCTCTCAAGAAATGATATTTAAATCAGAACCACAGCTGCGCAGGAAGGGCACATGAAGTCAAATTGCTTTAATGTTAATGAATACACAGTGTCATATGTGGTGATTCAATATAGCAAAAAAGTCTGAAAGTGAGTTTTAGTACTGGACTCATTGTGAATTTGCTATAAGATAGCCACTTGAACTCTCTGGGCCTCAGTTTCCTCTTTTGTAGAGTGAAACATGGCACTAAATCATATCCAAAGTCTCTTGGAGTTTTAACTTCTAGTGTTACCCTTCCCAGAAGTATTTTTATCTATATAAAAGTACTACAGGGGTGGGCACGGTAGCTCATCCCTGTAATCCCAGCACTTTGGGAGGCCAAGATGGGCAGATCACCTGAGGTCAGGAGTTTGAGACCAGCCTGGCCAACATGGCAAAACTCTGTCTCTACTAAAAACAACAAAATCAGCTGGATGTGGTGGCACATGCCTGTAATCCCAGCTACTCAGGAGGCAAAGGCAGGAGAATCACTTGAACCTGGGAGGTGGAGGCGGTTTCAGTGAACCAAGGTCATGCCACCACACTCCACCCTAGGCAACAGAGTGAGATTCCATCTCAAAAAAAAAAAAAAAAAAAAAAAAAGGTATTGCACGGCAAAGCTTACAACAAGGAAAGGAATTATTTGTGGTAAATCTTCAGGCCTCAGTGAAATAGATGATTGGAGGTTGGGGGTTAGCCCCCTTCCCACTACATTTTTGCTAGTGAGTGATCACTCCGTGTGGCCACTCCCTTATGGATCTCCCTTATGGATCTTCCTGGCTGCTTAAGGCTTGATGAATGGAGCACTGCTCTTTCTGGAACAACAGACTCCTGTACCTGGTCACCAAATCTCTCACACCCCCACACACCTCATTTGTTTCCATAGTTTCAATTTCTTCCCTTCCTCAGCTGAGCCTGTGGAGCCTTCCCTCTATATAATCTTCCAGTAATATCCATGTGATATTTTGGTAGCTGGAGTTCCTTGAGGAAAATTTTAACATGAATCATAGTATCATAGACCTAATTTCTCTGGACCCTATTTCTGTATTTGAGGTCTACACACCAAAAATTCACCATACAATTGTTGCTTTTGATGCAAAAGGGTAGACATCATTTTAGTTTGGCACTGCAACTAGATAAAATATTTTTTAACAGTGACAACTGGTTTCAACATGATTTGAAACCACTAGAATTTTTTCTGACTAAATCAATGAGGTGTTCAGTGAGTGGTATTTGCATGTTTCAAGAACAATTCTACTGTGGGTCAAACTAATCTATCTAAAACTTTCTATATGGACAGTTTAGTTTAATAAACCAACCTTGATTTCTATGGTTCTGCCAAACTTAACTGGGAGGATAAAGTGATGATCAACTTGTTTGAAAAAATACACCAGCTCAAATGACCTGCAAAAAGTCCAGCCAATGTAAGTGCCTTCACTCCTTGAAAGTCTGCTCATGTATCTTTGTCATTGCTGCGCATTTTAATCGTCTAATTCCACAAGAGGCTATTTGAGTCCATCCCAAATTCTGCTCTCACTGAATGATGGGGAATATGTGTATGGAAGCTGTTTTGTATGCTTTTTTATTTGAAGCATTTCTTCCCTTCACTTTAAAAGAAGTTAATGTACATCTTTCCACCTTTTGGTATTAAGGAGCACAAGACTTCACAGTTTTATGAGCTCCAGCTGGAGTTGTAGAAGCTGTCCACTGCAACATCAGTATGATTTGTGTAGCATTAATAGCCCTTTTGTTCCATGAACTTCAATTCCCTTCAAAATAGAAGAGTATTGAACTCACCATTTCATAAGGAGAATGAAGGAAAATGTACAACTGGATGTGAGCTTATGTGCTATGGTTATTGATACTGACTTCAAGATCACACTTCCTTCTGGTCCTTGGGCCCTGTGGAGCTCAGGGCATTCATTTGGGGAAGTCAGATATGTTGCAGGTCAGACTGGAAATAACTAAATCACAGTGCTGCTCTTAACAGTGGGATTTTGTGGGCTGCTGCTATGCCAAGGAATCTTCTCCTTTATCCAGCAAGAAATAAAGTATTATGGACATGATATTAAAGTCTCATGTGTGAACAAGTTTTGTAGCACAAAGGGGCTTTCAACTCAAACATATCTTATTTAACAAAATACAATACAATATCTAGTCTGGGTCAATATTTTTAAAGAAATTTTATTTTGTATAGCTGCCTCTCAAAACAATGATAGCAGAACAGGAGTAAAATGTATGGGAAAAAAATAGTTGCCTTGTTCCAAAGAATGCTGCTGGAGGAACTTTTCAAACAAACTCAGCCTCCTCAAGTTACTGTCAAAGGAGAACCAAAAAAAAAAAAAAAAATGATTTCCAGGACGTAGAATTTAAAGTAAGGTGAACAATCACCAGATGCTCAATAAGGTGAACTGAGCTTTAAAATGTATGATCACACACAAAAAAAATCATGTCTTAATTGATGCCAAGCCTTCCTCCCACAAGCTGACCCTCACGCTGCTGGCAGGTTTGTTTTTCATTATACCATGTGTATTAGCCACTCTTTTGCTACCCAATTGCCAAACTCCTCTACCTGGCATTCAAGAGCCTCCTAATTGGGCCCCAATGAATTATCAACCCTCTATCAAGCACAAGGCTTATCACCCCCTACTCCTGTCATTTTGATCTACCCGCCTGGCATGGTATCAGTTGGTCACTTAAGCAACCAAAGGTATTTTTTATTGGGCACTAACTAAACTATGTAATCTGATAGATTCCTTATTGGTGAATACAAAGAAATAAGCTATTATTGTTATTATAAAGGTACTTCTAAAAGGCAAAGTAAAACTCTGGGATAGAGTGATGCATGTCAACTAGTATTTAACAAACAGTGAGTGGGGAATTCTAATCAAAACTAGAGTCCTAAAAAAAATAGATATATGAGTTTAAGGAGTTTAGTTTGGGTCAAATTATTAAAGCCTCTTGAATGAATTCTATTTATCTTCCAATGCCCAATTCAAATGCAAACTCCTTTATAGTCACTTCAGAAGGCTACTTTTTCCATAAAGAATTATCTAACACTCAACCAAAAGTGATTTTCTTTCTTTTCTAATCTCTTAAGAATTAAGGCACACTACACATGTATCAGTAAATGTTCATGCTCCCTTATATTTTGCCTCAAATGTATCTTATTTTTCCAGATAGCTTTTTATTAGTTTTATTGAGGTAAAATTTACATACCATAAATTTGCCCATTTTAATTTTTAGTAGAGTTGTGCAACTTTTATATAACATAATTCAAAATTTTCATCACTTCAAAACAGAAACTATGCTCATGTGCACTCACTCCCCTTCATACTCCTATCTGTAAGCAACTCTATGTTTGCTTTCTATCTCTATAAATTTGCCTTCCCTGGTAATTTTATATGAATGAAATCATACAATATGCGGTATTTTGTGTTTGGTTTATTTCACTTGCCACAGTGTTTTTGAGGTTCATCCACCTTGTAGCATGCATTGGTACCCTTTTTGATTGCTGAGTAATATTCCTTTTTATGGATATACCTTATTTTGTTTATGCATTCACCAATAGATAAACGTTTGAGTTGTTTTCACTTTTTGACTGTTCTGAACAATGCTGCCATGAACATTCATGTAGAGATCTTGTGTGGCCATATGCTTTTATTTCTCATAGATACCTAAGAGTGGAATTGCTGGATCATATGATAAACTTACATTTAACACTTTAAGAAACTCCCAAACTGTTATCCAAAGTGGCTGCACCATGTTACATTTCCATCAGTAATGCACGGGAGTCCCTAGACAGATTTTAAATTCCTCAAAACCAAATTATTTTGAGAAAGATACTTTTTGGAATACCCTGTCAAAATTCTATTCATCAAAAAGCACTCCAAGAATACATGTATCATTTTTCAGTTTACATAGGGCAAAGAGGAGGCAAAGAAATAATAAGCCAACACCCTCAACGTGATTTTCCCAATGGGTCTAGGGAAATACAAAAAGAAAAGTAAGAAAGTATTGAAATGGGTACTCCAGAAAGTAAATAACTACACAAGAATAACAAATAGTTTATTTTGAATGTGACTTTAAAGTTATCTGTGGGGTGTTAGGCTGCACATGAAAATTAGTTTTATAGCTTTATAGTCATACCACATATAATAAAACGTCATAGGTTTTTACTCTTAGAGGTCAAACTGAATTAGTAAAAAGTCATTATAATGAAATGCTTGAAAATAAGAGTGATTGTTTTTAAAAGCATGTAACCTCACCAACTGTAGAAGTGAACATCTTTACCAACTGTAGATTCTTGAATGTCCCTAGGCCTTTGCTCATTTGTGTGGCTTTTTACTGTGTTAATTTTCATTGATCCTTTCTCAGTTATTGACATTTATCTGAGATTTCAAGTTGTCATTCAAATACCATCCCTCTTAGATTTTCTTCTAGTTCCCAGTCCTTAATTCTTTTTTATACATAAATTTATCTAGCATAAAATTTTCACATCAATTATGTCATTTAATTGCATGAGGTAGGCATTATTATTAGTTTTACTTTACAGATGATAAAAACCAAAGTTTATGGAATCTATATGAGCTGCTATATACTGCCCAAATAAATGGTAGAGTTGAAATTCAAATCCAACTTTCCTGACTCCAAAATTCCATTTTTATCAGGGCATTGCCTCAATCCTCTAGTTTTAACTTATTTCACTGCTATTGAATTATTCCTTGGGTTCTAATGAGTTGTTTTTTAAAAAAATAATCCTTTCCTACTGGTTCTAAGGACATAGAGAGCAAGGATTGTATTTTACTCACTTCTGCATTCCAGAAGCACCTAACATAGGCTTTGAATATAGTATTCAATACAAAATGTGCCAAATAAATAAAAATGTACGGACAATAGAACACCAGCTAGACCTCCCGAGACAATGTTACTGAATAAACTCACTTGCCTCTAATTAGTGACACCAAGGGTGCAAAACAAGGGGGCTTTTTTTTTCTTTAATTAAAACTGTCATTTACTTGAAAACTCTTCTTTCAAAAAAAAAAAAAAACACAGAGGTAAATGTCAATTGAGCTCTGCCAAATTACCATTATCTCAAAAGTGAAGAGGTAGATATTTCTGAAACCATGACATCGAAATTTATTGCTAGCATGAATCTCAGAGAAAACCTTTCCCCTATTAGTTCTAAAAATAAGAAAAACCAAAGCCAGAGAGCATGAGTACTGTGCTCCGTCACACATAACTAGCTAGCAGCAAACCAGTCCTGTGACTCCCTGGCCTCCACTGCATCTCATCAGGACACCCTTGATTTGATATTGTGTGGCAATACTCTGAGGACTATTTCCAGCTCTTCTGTCATTTCTATGACCTTGGGCAAGTCACGTAACTGTCTCTCTGTCTTTTTCTGTTTATAAAATAAGGATAATGCATCTATTTGGAAAGCACTTTAAGTCACGCTGATTAAAGATGCTATTTAAAGTGCCAGGTGCCATTCCACAAATAAATGGAAAACAGTAGAAAGAGAAGACCCATACTCAACCATCCCCAGTCTCATCTGTCCCCCAGTCTCGCTCAGCTCTCCTGGAACCAGGCAGGCACCTAGCCAAGTGGAAGGATGAAGCTAAGCAGAAGATGATTAACCTTGGATCAAACCTCTTCATCACAAGATAATAATTGAAACAAATATTCCTCACAATCTCCCACACACACTATTTCCTAGGACACATGATTACTTCCTGATCATTTTTTTACCTTTGTTTAATTGGGAAAATGTAATTGAATCATTTCAAATAGTATATAGTCAACTGGAGATTTGGCAATGACCTTGTGTCTGTGAACACAGGGAAAACTGCACAGTCTGCTGATGAGGAGAATTGGGCAGTTATTAGGTTGTTTTCAGTGTTGCTAGGATACATATAAGGAATGATCCATTAATGCAGTTCAGTTAGGAGCAGCTAACCATGTCCCTTTTGTGCAAAAACTCTAGGGAAAATAAGTCAGTTTACTTCTGTACTCTGCCATAACAAAATAAATGTGACATTGACGCGTGTGACAGCTATTATCCTTCATGATTAAAATAGATGGTAGATAACTTCACAAATCCATTCGATTAGTAAAGCTCATATAATAAAACCAAGTTTTGAATGTTTCTTCTTTATCTTTAGTCAAGGCAGTGGTAACCTCAATAATGGATGGCCTGGAAAGCTCTCATTTAAGTAGTATGTGGAAATGTGAAAACAGAGTTAAATACAGGTTTGCAGATTTAATCCATAATCTCACATATTATTCATACTTAAGTCTGATGCACAATCTTAAGTAAACAGAGCCAGGAACAGTATTTGATAAACATGGGCACTCAATCAATAGTTCTTGATGAATAAATGAAAACCAGAGGAAGATTTTTACTCATCTCTCCTGGATTAAGGAATGAGCTCAAGTACAATTTCAAAAACAAAGAAAATATCTCTCCTGATATGCTTATGTATAGAAAAATTGAATATCACATACCTACTCTTTACAATACAAATTCCAGATTGATTCAAATTTACATCTCTCCCTAAACATCACTAAACTGATATCCCAAACACACATCACATTACTGCCCCCGATGACACGCAGTGCCCCTCCTGTGTGAAGCTGCACTTCTCTGCCCTCTGTTGACTGAAATGCTATTTATTCTCTAGGCTTCTGCTTTAAGCCCATAATTGCTTCTCAGAAGCATTCTCTCTCTCCTCCGACCCTCTCCAACCCTTATTCTATCAAGTACATAGCTTCTTTTATCATCTTTTCCTTACCTTTATGCACTTGAGGGCCTCAATGTTCATCCATCAACCAGGACCACATCTACTTCTTCGAATTTTTCACAACCAAAAGAACAATGTGCATCTAGGAGAAACTCAAAACTGGTGAAATTGGGGAAGAAAGAAGACAGAGGGAAGAAAACAGTAAGAAAACAAGGAAAGGAGTGATGAGGGGAGGGAGGGAAAACCACCAAGTCAACACAATCTTATTTTGTGATGAATTTCATAGACTCAGCAATTAAACAATGCTTTTTTTTTTTTTTTTTTTTTTTTTTGGTTTTGAGACAGTCTCCCTCTGTCACCCAGGCTGGAGTGCAGTGGTGCGATGTTGGCTCACTACAAGTTCCGCCTCCCAGGTTCACACCATTCTCTGGCCTCAGCCTCCCGAGTAGCTGGGACTATAGGTGCCCGCCACCACACCCGGCTAATTTTTTTTTTTTTTGTATTTTTAGTAGAGACGGGGTTTCACGGTGTTAGCCAGAATGGTCTTGATCTCCTGACCTCGTGATCCACCCGCCTTGGCCTCCCAAAGTGCCGGGATTACAGGCATGAGCCACTGCGCCTGGCCAGACAATACTTTTCTAATAGCAGATAATGTGTTTCTAGGCAGTTACAATGGAGTTGAGGAATTATCTAATGAGGGTAATCATAGGTAATAGTCAATCTGTACAAATCATGTATGTAAGCCATTTCTTCTTCTAAACATCATGTGGCGTGGTTAGCATATTTTAGGCCAAACTGATGTCTACGTAGTGTGTGTGTGTGTGTGTGTGCGCGCGTGTGTGTGTGTGCGTGTGTGTGTGTGTGTGTGGTGTTTAGGATAGGTGTTTGGAAGAGACAGCATCAATACCTTACCATCCTATCCAGGCCTACTGCTGCTAAATAGTGATATTTACCATATTTTAATTGTAGTAGAGAAGAAAGCAGATTGTCCACCCATGTTTCTAGCTTAGGAAAAGGGTTTTTAAAGGCATGAGTTTGAGGAAAGGCCTCTCCTGAATGGGGAGTTATTAGATATATGGTAGAAAGAGAAGGCCTATTTCAGTTAGGGGTGGGAGAAGAAAGAAAGTAAGAATAGAGCCAGATTTTGAAAGGCCTTGAGTGAAGCTAACAAATGTGCATTGTATGCTGTGGGTAAAAGTGACGATGTATAGAATTTTGAGTAGGGATGTGATGTGATCAGATTTGCTTCTAGGAACTATGACTCAGGTTGTGAGGGGTGGGAAGACCAGACCAATGAGAGAATAATGAAAAATGGCCTGTAGGCTGGTGAGAAGGAGACAGTATTCCAGATGAGAGAGAATGAGGGCTAATTAAGTCAGTGACAGCAAGAGAATTCACTGGCTGGTGAGACATTGAGGGCAAGGGAGAGAGAGGAGCCTGGATGCATGTGGCCAGGTGTGTATTACTCCAGGCTGAATAGCACAGGCTCTGCAGTGTGTATGCTGCAACCTGTCCTGGAAGCAGAAGGAGGCTAGGCCCAGTGGTGAGAACAGGCCCAGTGGTGAGAGAACAGCCCCTGTGAGGGAGTTTCCTAAAGGAAAAGTGGGATTTCCCTACATGATAGTTTGTCATAAGGGATGGAAGTGAGGCTCCTTCAGTAAAATCTGTTATCCATGACAGCCTGTGGCAATGGCGCTTTGGGAAACTGAGGCTTGTGTACAGAAACTCCTCTCTATGTTCTTTCCGTGGAAGCCAATATAACAATAGCCATAGGGAGAATGGACACCTTCAAATTCCAGGCAATAATCAGAAGCAAGGTAGAGAACACGAAGGGGCAGCTGAAAGAGATTGTGAAAACACTAGTGAGAAAAGAAGATCCTGTTTCTGTAGGAACTGACCCAGGAACTAATGGGAAAAAAAATCCTGCTTATTCCAGAGATAGGTGATCTTTATGGAGGAGAGAACAAAGGGGAGATTGTGATACTAACACAATAAGTGCTATCCAGATAGAAGACACTAGGGATGAATAAACATTAAAAATGTATTGGAGCCACATACCTAAAATTCTCCACTACTTAATATAGCAAAAAAAATTGTAGAATGTTAATAGGGCAGGGGTTGGCAAACTGTAACCTGTGGGCTAAATCTGGCCCACATCCTCGTTTTGTAAAAAAAAAAAAAAAGCTTATTGGACCACAGTGATGCCTGTTTGCTTTTATTTTATTTTTACATTGTGTATTATTGCTTTCATGCTACAACAGCAGAGGTGAATAGTTGTGACACAGACCATATGGCCCACAAAGCCTAAAATGTGTACAATCTGGCCTTTTACAGAAAAGGCCTGTTCACCATTGTTACAGAGGAAAAAGCAACAGCACTCAACCAGTTCTCAGAAGAACCTGATCCTGTCTTAGCACTATGCTTATTGTGTCCTTGGGGAAATCACTTAATATTGGTAAGTCTAGGTTTTCTAATCTGTAATATGAAACTAATGGTTAACTCACCTGCCTGACAAGGTTATGGTGAAGCTCATATCTGAAAATGTAAGTGTACATTAAAAACTATAAAGGTCTGGCTGGGTGCTGTGGCTCACACCCGTAATCCCAGCACTTTGGGAGGCTGAGGTGGGTGGATCACCTGAGGTCAGGAGTTCGAGACCAGCCTGACCAATGTGGCAAAACACCATCTCTACAAAAATACAAAAATTAGCCAGGTGTGGTGGCGGGCGCCTGTAGTCTCAACTACTCAGGAGGCTGAGGCAGGAGAATCACTTGAACCCAGGAGGAGAAGGTTGCAGTGAGCTGAGATCATGCTACTACACTCCAGCCTGGGTAACACAGCCAGACTCCATCTAAACAACAACAAAAAAACCAAACCTATAAAGTTCTCTATAAATGTATATAAATATTTCTATTTAACCATACCAATACCAGAGTGTATTAAATTAGGAATTATATTATATTTTTTGGTGTTTGGGGAGGTAAGATGTTCACATGATCATAAGGTAATATAACTTATAAGGTAGTTAGTTGCAAGTTTGTTGATTGTGAATAGATATTTGTAACTTGAAATTCATTTCTCCCCACAAATAAAATTACAAAGAATTATTGTTGCATCTTGCCTTTTCATCTGACTCCAGCCTCAAAGACCTGCTAGCAGTTGTCTGAATGTGGGTTCCGTGTCACTCCTGTGCCTTTGCTCCTAGTGGGCCTTGGTCTGGACCCCTTCTCTTAGCAGTGCCTCCCCACCCTCTTTCATCCGGATAACTCTTTCTGTGCCTTAGATATCAGCTCAGGTATCACCCCAGCAGGAAGCCGTCTCTGACACCCCTCTCCTGGATGACTTATCATTCCTAAAGGTTTGTTGAATGGCCATTGTAAATCTCTGTTATTGCATTTTTCACGGTATGTTGTAATTAACTGTACATGTTTTTATCCCCTCTAAACTAACTAAGCTCCTAGGAGGACCAGAAATGTGTCTCAATCAAATAGCTTCCATTTACTGAGAAAACACTAGTGCCAGATAATTTTCCCTTTTAATTTTTCCAACTCCACAGTGAGAAGGAGGCTTTTCACCCCATTTTATAGAGGAGGAAACTACAGACTGGAGAGAAGTTCCTTGCATGGAAGGAAACCACAAATGATTGGTAGAGCCATACCCAAAACTGTTAGAATTCCTCCCCCACCAAAAAATCCGACTCTTAGTCACGTGTTTATTCAGGGGTCCTCATTTGCTGAAAATTTATTATCTGATTCCCACAGTAATGACATTTTAGGGAGGAAAAAATTATTTAAAACATGAAAAGATTTACTAATAAGCCAACTATCTACACAAGTATATCCTTTTACCTCCCCACAGTTCTTAAACCTAGCCTACCCATCCTTCCTGCTCTACCACTCTGGTAGGTGTCTCTTGTTTATTTGCACTGCATTCATATATGAATATGGAATGCAAAATGACTGCAAAGTGAAATCATACATTTTGCAGAAGATTCAAGATTTCCTGAGGTCTATGAAAATGATCATAGAAAACCACTTAGAACACACAAAAGCCCTTGAAAAATCAGTATAGAGTTAAACTAGTTAACAACAAAAATGAGAAAAAAAAAAAACAGAGAGACAGAATAAGTGCTTCAGAAAAGAAAGATTTAAATAACAAAGAATTAAGGTGGCTTTTTGATATATCTTATGAAGCCCTCAAATACTTAAACAGAAAGGACTTTCTCCATGAGGGTGCTGGAAAAGCCAAATGTAAAGCAAAGGATGGTTAAGTTGTTGCATATTCTTTATTTTTCTTACAAGAATTAGCTCAGAGTTCCAATTACAATATAAAATCAACTTTTCATATTTTTATATTTTATTTTTCAAGAGTTTGTTTTTTCTCATGAAATTTTTTTTTGTGTTATTTGCCATGAAACTCTCTGCCAATCACAGTACTCCATTTCTTTGTTCATAGTGATTTTTTTTCTTTTCTTTTTTTTTTAGATGGAGTCTCGTTCTGTCACCAGGTTGGAGTGCAGTGGCACAATCTCAGCTCACTGCAACCTCCGACTCCCTCATTCAAGCGATTCTCCTGCCTCAGCCTCCCAAGTAGCTGGGATTACAGGCAGGCACCACCATGCCCAGCTAATTTTTGTATTTTTAGTAGAGAAGGGGTTTCACCATGTTGGCCAGGATGGTCTCAATCTCCTAACCTCAGGTGATCCACCCACCTCGGCCTCCCAAAGTGTTGGGGTTACAGGCATGAGCCACCGATTTGTTGAGGATAAGCAACCTGGCCCAAGAAGAGCAAACTCATTGCCATAGAATTTTAGAACGAGAAATAAAAGCATATTTTTGGTTGCTCAGACTAAAACAGGTACAGCTAGGAAAAGCCTGTGCTCAGATTTCCAGCCATGTGACCTAGAAAAACTACCTGCAGGGAGACAGACTAAAGCACAGAGGCACAGCATCAAGAGAAAAGGGAGATTCTGTCCTTGGTCCCAACACCTAACACATTCCTGCCCTTGAGTCTTCCCGGTAAACTTGAAATAAATTATCCTTGTGGATTCCTCTAATATGGTTCCCTGAGTTTTTATCATAACTGAAAGCGTCTGAATCAAGCAAAAGATGCCTCTCCAGTCATACTGGAGCATTTCTCCAGCCATGCCCTCCACAGAAACCCAAGGGGATGTGTCTACCTGGAGCCCACATTCCCCAGAATCCTATTCAAGAACCCCTTCTCTGTACTATTCGATTCAGGGTAGATTGAGTGACTGGTGTAGATGCCCTTGGGCCAAAGGGATTGCTCCAGGAAGGCTGTGGGAAGGGTATAGGTAAAGCTTAATCTGGGGCATTTACTGATGCCCATATAAGGTACCTCAGAGTGCAGAACAGAGACATGGGTGGGAAGCCAAAGATGTGGTCTTAGGCCAGAGGGGTGTGTTCAGGTATCTAAACTCAAACCTGTCATTCCAGGTTATTATAAAGATATATTAGCCAAGGAAGGAGAAAACAGAATGCATTAGATTCAACAATTCACTATCTTGATGTATAACTCTTAAATATTTAGACATATGGAATGTAAGCTTCCATTTTTATTCTTCCCTGGATGCCGCAAACATTGGGAGCAGGTATGACATATTAGGATAAAGGATTGTCTTTGAGTCAACCATATTGAAGTATATATCACGACCCCAGAACTACACTAGGTTCTATGCAGGGCTTAAAATTATATCTCATGAAAGGTACTGAATTTCATGAGTTACCTTTCCAGAAACAATGAAATTCCTCTATCTAACCTACTTAACTAAACCTATGTCAAATTTAGAAAGATCCTGGTTAAAAGAAAACCAAGAAGGTAAGCTAGCACCTTGCATATAGGTAGACTTCTCTTAACAGAACAAAACAAGGTATCTGGTTTCATATTTTAAGATAATAATTATTCCCATAATTTTAAATTATGGGCGGGAAGTATGAATCATGAAACCTAAAAGTCCATCAAATTATCCTTAACCATAGAATGTTTCTGTTATTTTTGCCTCTATTTTAGACTTCATCTGTATGAGAATATTAATATCACTTTTTAATTGAATTATACGTATGGCTATCTAAAATTCATATTTGATAAAATTAATAAACTTCATCTAGTCAAGGCCTAAAATGCCAACTATTTTTATCATGTCTTGTCTTCAGTAAACAGTGCTTAATATTCTTATAAAGGTTTTGGTCCAGTTATAATGAATGTAAGAATCCAACAATAGAAATAAAATAAAAAAACAAAAACTGTTAGAGTGGGAAGATACAACACTAGGTTGTTTGGGCCCAACTTTATCACCACCACTTTACAGAGAACAAAGTTGAGCCTCAGAGAAGTGAAGTAACTGGCCTCAAGTAACAACTTATAATTGACAATCCTTACTATTTTTTTATTCATCTTCAAATTTCACACATCTATTTTAAAACACTTGCTTTTTAGATTTAAAAACAAAACATGTCATCTAAAAATAAATTATAGGACACTAAAAAATGTAAGCAGGTTGGAAATCAGCATTTTTCCAAGTGACTTTTTAATGAATATTCCTTTAATATTCTAATTTCTGCAAACATTTAGCATAAAAACTTTTCCCAGATTTCTCATTTTGCTTAAGCATTTATAAGTAGCCTTTAAATATCTTTCTGAAGTTGCACTGTTTTTTATCCCCGCCTGGTCTACATTATGCCTCCCATTTACTTAACTTCAGAGTAAGTGGTGCTGATTCTATTTTAATTATCATGTCAGGCTTTTTCTGCAATTGTTGCACACATTTAGGTTGCACATTTAATGGTCACCATGCCTAAGGCCAAGCAATAAAAAAAGATGCTAAAAATAAAAGTCATTTTAATTTACAAATATCTAAATTCCAACAAGATTCTAAGTATAATAAATGCACACACACACACAACTGGAAAAAAACTAGGTGCAAGGTTAAAAAAAAACACAGAATTATCATGTAGGACATAAGATGAACACTCACAAACAAACAGAATGATCAAAGAGATGGGTCATGTAGAATCTGCTCTCAAAGAACGTAGAATAGAAGCTTCTTGAGGAGACACTATTTTTAAGCAAAAAGGCATATGAGTAGTAAAACTATAATTTAAAAATCTAAATCAGTGCCATGGAAGTTCAAGGGAGAAAGAGATGAGTGCATGATGAGAGAAAATCTTAAAAACAAAACAAAATAAACAACAACAAACTAGGAGTTAGTACTGAACCAGCTAGCCAGAAAGAATTATAAGGGTGTTAAGGGTTTCATTTGTTGTCTCATTGCCTCTTGAAGAAATCTCAGCTCCCTCATCTGTAAAAGTGAGATAATGAGAGTACTTTCTGCACAGGGTTGCTAAAGACTATATTGGATGCAGCACTTAGCTTTGTGTCAAACTCTAGTCAACAGTGAATGTTAGGTTTGCCCCACACTTGTCATTTGACAAGTGTTAGAATGGAAGATGCCATCATGTTACACACCCTGCTTCCCTTACTTCCAGGAGGCAAGTGCTTTGAAACAGGCTTGAGAAATTTGAAAATGGATAAATGATTCATTAGAGCCTCCAGGAGGCACCTGATCTAAGCTGGTTTAACCATAGTACCTCACTTTCTAGCCACAGTGACTTTCTAGCCACAGAGGAACAAATTGAGACAAAATTAGACCATATTTGAACTACATAATAAGGAAAAAGCCCCTGTCCTCTCTGATGACCACCTGTCCAGGTTGTCCCAGGACTGAGGGGTTTCTCAGAATGCAGGATTTTCAGCAGTGAAACTAGGAAAGTCTCAGGCAAACTGGGAATTACTGGTCACAGCTGGAAAGATATGAGCTCCAAACAGCCTATGGAAGAAGCCAGATCACAGTAAGAAAAATGATGACAATATACAGAAAGAGGTGGAGGTGGGAGAAGAAGAGAGTGCTGATCTTTGGTCTGAATCATCCTCAAAGCCAGCTAGTCCTCCGTTACGCTCAAGTTTGATTACATGATGCAATAAATTTCTCTCTGTACCTGAGTAACTTGGGTTGGGATTTCTATCACTTGTAACCAAAGGAATCATAGTTGATATGCTGACCTATGGAAAATTTTTCATAAATATTAACTATTATAAACTAGGGAAAACAACATTTCTTGGTAGAATCTAATAATAATTACTACAGAGGGGAAAAAAATAATTCTGCACTCATGGAGACACAGCTAGAGACCACTTGGGCTAGCTTGAGTGATACTGTTCCTTCTACTGACCAAAAAGCTGCCTCCAAAACAGTTTAAAGTCTGGGCAATTGCCTATGTCTAGAGCTACACTAATGACTCTCTGTCCACTAATTGCATCAGAGGAAGTTCAACAGTCTCAGCTACTATTCTGATTTCTGGTGAATGATTTGCAAGTGCAGGCTGCTTGCAAAGGACAAAAGATGTTTTCCTCAAAATGGCCAACATCTATGCAACTCTGTACAGGTTCAAAAACAGGAGGTTTTCCTGATTATTCTTAAAAATCAAAATTGTTCAGGAATGAGAGGGAATACATCATTACCTTAAAAAATATTGACTGCTTTGAATACTTTACATTCCAGAATCCTAGATAATGATTTACAGTTCTTTCCATATACTCTATAACTTGAAGTAGAATATCTTCAAAAGAAATTTTCATAATTTATCATTGTTTTCTTTATAGATACACAATCAACATTTTCATTATATCTTTTTATTTACATATTTTTAATACAGGTAATTGCAGATTATCTCCGGAAGTTGGAGAATGCTATGCCTATCTTTGGTTCCATTTTTGTAAAACAAATTTGCTTAAACCAAGGGAGTGATCCATGCACAAATATCTCTCTAGAAAACATTATTTTTTAAATGTAACATTATTAAGTACTTGCTGGGTAGCTTCAGCTCTCCCTACATCTTCTCCTGAGACAAACCTGAAGGAACAGGCCCCATATGGATCAGCCCAGTCTCATAGCAAAGAGAAAAGACCAATAGAGGAATCCCTTAATGTCTCTTGAAGATTTGCCTGGAAGCAAAACATATCCTTTTTATTCACATTTCATTGGCCAAAGTAAGCCATATGAAAAAGCCAGTGGAGTGGGAAATTATAATCTGCTCACCAAGAAGAGGGAAGGAGAAAATTGTATGGAACAGTAATACAATCTAAAAGACTTTATATTACTCTAATGGGCCTCTCTCTTTTCTTTACTGGCATTATCTTCCTTCTTTCTGGCAAGTTCTAACCCAGTGATCTCTCAACTCCCAGCCACACTCCCTAACTTGCCTCACCCTGTTTTGTTTTTATTACCCCATGTCCTCAGCCTCAAGCATCCCTTCTTAAACACCTTGCATTTATATAATAAAATAATTTATCAGTATAATGGCTAGTAATGGCTCAGAATAAAATCCCTCTTAGATAAAATTTGTTTTATAACTAGGTCTTTCAAAGTATCTCCACAAATATTTCTAAACACTTGTTATGTATAAAATATCATGCTAGGTATTATACATAAATTTTCTTAAAAATCTATTAATTGGGCAGAAAAGACATAATGGACAAATGTTAAGTAAAATAAAAAATCTAAGTAACATGTAAAGACAAAAATAGATCTGTCAAAAAGCAGTGAATGATTAATTTTCAAGGACTTTTCACATATGTCAATTGCTTCTGGGTATAAGAAAAGAGTTAAGTGTTTTTTTCAATTAAAAATTAATTTTTAATTAAAAAACTGTTCAGTTAACAAAATCAACAACAATACATTGTCATATAAATGTCTCCAGCTTTCCCTCACTGTCAACTAAAGGAAGATTAAGGAAGATTTGGCTTTGCACTGAGATTTTTCTTTTTCTTTCTTTTTTTTTTTTTTAACCTCTCATGACCTATAATGAGGGTTCTGTCTTACCAGGCAAGCTCTTCCAGGGTTTATGGTACAGAATGGGAAAGAAAGAGACATAGATAAAGATACATTGGATTAGGAATGAAGAAAGCCTGATTTGAAAAATCCGCAAAAGATATAAGAGTTGCTGTCTTTTGTGAGAGAAGCTAATTGAGGAAAAAAAAAAAAAAAAGTAACGTTTTAAGAAGTATTTTGTAAACTTTGTATCCATCTTAACCAGTTCAGGTTACTACTATAGAATACCGTAGACTGAGTAGCTTACAAAACAAACGTTAATTTCTCAGACTTCTGGAGGCTGGAAATTCCAAAATCAATGTGCTGGCAGATGCAATGTCTGGTGAAGGCCTGCTGCAAACAGATGACCATCTTTTTGTTTCTCAAATGGCAGAGAGCAGGGAGAGGGGGTTTGCTCTCTTCCTTTTCTTATAGGGACACTAATCCCTTCAGGAGGGTTCACCCTCGTGACCTAATTACCTCCCACAGGACCCATCTCCCCAAACCATCACTTAGGGCTTTAACATATACATTTTGGGGGGACATAAACATTCAGTCCATAGCAGTATCCTTTTCCATTTGTTGAAGAAATGCAAATAAATATATTATTATTTTGCCATTATTTTGGAATTAGACCCTTCTTTAACTCTGGCATCACTCAGAGATTGGAACACATGGATTACAGCTTCCATGAAGTTACTAACATACATCTACTCAGCAGGAATATTTGTCAAGTGCACCTTGAAGGGCTTGGGTGCACAGTGGTAAGCAAAAGAAGCACAGTACCTGACCTTAGGAAGTTAAATCATAGCTAGTTCTCATGGAATGAGAAGATTTCGAATATGAAAAGAGTAGGGGAAAGCACTGAGAAATATTGAAAAGGGAAATACTTGGATCAACAGGTTTTTCAATGCTCCTCAAATTATACTATGAAGTCAGAAATGTACTCTCTGTAAAATTAATAGAGCCATCCCTATAAACCATTTATTAAGTATATTTTATGTGCCTGGCAATTTCCTATGTACTTTACTTGGACGATCTCATTTTATTCATAGGATATTAGGTAGATATTTTAATATTATCCCCAGGTAATGAGTAAGCCGTGGATTGACTGACCCCTCCAGGCACCTGCTTAATAACTACAATATACTACCTTATGCTCTAATGAAGGCCTTGGCAGTTTACTCCATTTTTTACCCAAATGTGATGTAGCTCCTTTCAGTCCCCACCCTTGAGAAAGAGCTGACAGCACTGTATGTGCCATGAAAACTTCAAGAATCCTTTTTAATTTTAGATGACTCCTTATCTATGTATCCCCACAAATGTCACTTCCAAATTTCTTCAGGAAGGAATTCCAGGGCTGGTTTGCTTTGCTTCCAACTTAAGGAAACTGGAAAATGCGAAAATACTTAGGGCCAGCATTCTCTTTGTAAAATGCTTTTTTTTTTTTTTGAGATGGAGTCTCACTCTGTCCCCCAGGCTGGAGTGCAGTGGCGCTACTATCTCAGCTCACCACAAGCTCCGCCTCCCGAGTTCACGCCATTCTCCTGCCTCAGCCTCCGGAGTAGCCGGGACTACAAGCGCCCGCCACTACGCCCGGCTAATTTTTTGTATTTTTATTAGAGACAGGGTTTCACCATGTTAGCCAGGTTGATCTCCATCTCCTGACCTTGTGATCCGCCCGCCTCAGCCTCCCAAAGTGCTGGGATTACAGGCATGAGCCACGGCGCCTGGCCTGTAGAATGCTTTTAATCTCAAAGTTCCATGACCACCCTAATTTGTATACTTTACAGTAATTTTTATGTATATATATATATAGTCATTTAAGATAAACAGAGTGAGGTAGATAAATTAAGAATTATAACCATTTGTTAAAAGAGTAACAATCCTCCAAGAAATTAAATGACTTGCCACCAAATCTATGCACAGGTAAGAAGTGGCAAAACCCAGGTTTTCATACCCTGGTCAAGTCCTCTTGCCTCCTACTATTCACCAAGTTAAAGGTCAGCTCATACTAATTGGTGCCTTGGAGTTGCTGCCTAGGGAGTAGATTTTCTCAACTGCTCATTCTATCCCTATCCTCTCCACAAGTTACACCAGGGCCACAAAAGCAATTACTGCTTGAGTAGACTGGAAAACAGCAATTTTAAATGATTAAAAAAGGGAAACATTTTTAAAAATAATTACTATCATTATTTTTTATTTGGGAGGAAGAGAGAGATAAATATATTGTGAATCAACAGAAGCCTTGGCCCATGTTCTCTAAGCCTTATTTATCTGGGAGTTGTTTATCTCCCAGAGTTCTCCCTCAGAGGAAAGAATAATAATTATTGTTTAATTATAGCAGAAGTAAATTTTCTCTTCCAGTTCTAAAGCAGGATGACTCATAGCTCTTCATTTATTAAAAAATAAAATGTCTTTCAGAGAAAAATATTTTTCAAAAGCCAGAGTGTGAAAGGGGCTCAAGACTTCCATCTGGGACGCTCAGTGACAACAGAGCCATTTTCACCTGACATTACTCACCAGTGGGTAATGTTCACACCTGTGCAAAGTGTAGTCAAGAGATGCATTTTCCTACTGGGACCATCCTTCTGCTACTCAGAACTGCATGAGACAAGGAGCACTTTTCTCTTAAGATGTTTCCAGCTGAGCTATCCAATTACTGGGGTGTATCTATCTTCTGAGCAATAGAGGGCCCATCAGAACGTACCTGATTCCACAGTAAATCTCTTGTGTTGTTACTGCTGATGATTTAATTTTTGCTTACTCATCTAGGAACCTGGAACCTGGTCCCACAAACAACATATTCTCAATTTCTAAGCCTAACAGGGTTCCTCAGCCCCAGTTGATCTTCCAGTCCTGCTATCCCTCCCCAAGCTTCATCAGGAAGATTTAAAGTTCAGTCAGACCCACTCGAGATTTCAGTCTCCAGATTCAGTATGAAAAAATCATGGTGATATCACCTGTATTCATTTATAAGGAAATGAGACAAAGACTAAACATAAAAACAGATTAGACAGAGAACCTGATGGTGGATATACTGCTCCCTGACCATCTCATTTGCAGGAATTATTGTTGTTGGTGTATTGTATACTGAACTTTACTATATCCTCTCCTCATTGAAATGCAAACTCTGAGTCTAATGAGACATGTCCCACCTGTCCGGCTGTCAGGCTTCCTGAAAGGCGTGGGAGGAACCCACAGGACAATAAGAGGAAAGCAAATGGGCAGAGTCAGACCTGATATAATAAAACTGCCTTTTAAAATATGGATTCCAGAGCTGGGTGTGGTGGCTGATGCTTATAATCCTAGCACGTTGGGAGGCTGAGGTGGGAAGATCATATGAGGCCAGAAGTTGGAGGCTGCAGTAAGCTATGATCACGATGCCACTGCACTTCATTCTGGATGACAGAGCAAGATGCTGTCAGAGAAAGAAAAGGAGAGAGAGAGAGAGAAAGAGAGAGAGAGGAAGGAAGGAAAAGAGAGAAAGAGAGAGAGGAAGGAAGGACGGAAGGAAGGAAGGAAGGAAGGAAGGAAGGAAGGAAGGAAGGGCCAGCCCAGAATTTTATAGAATCTTTTTTTATGATCCATTAAGAAACAAGGTGGGGCTTTGTGTGTGTGTGTGTGTGCGCGCACGTGTGTGTGTGTGTGTGTAGGCAAGAAAGCCCTTCATGTGGAAGGGCACAAGTAATGATTTTATAGTGCTAGGAAGAAAGGATTTTCAGACCAGCAGAATCAACATGCCATAAAATCTAATCTAATCTAGTACTTTGGAATAAGTATTACCTCAGAATACTAACAATACCACAGCAAACGTAAATTGCTTTCTAATTTTAGAAAGTAAGATAAATATAAACACTCTTATGAAAGGTAATATGTAATGTCATTAACATCTTAGTGTGAATTAATTTAAACAAAGAGAAACAGACATGTGTGAAAGAGTGTGAAGAAAGAGAGGAGTTAGAGAAAGTGCAGCTGCTGGACACAGTTTGACTACATGTACATTTTACCAAGGACATGGCCTGGCCAAAGACATAGGCACCCTCTGCTCCCAAACCAACACCACACACATCTTGCACAGTACATGACACACATCTTTGTTCAAATCCTTACCTAATAATCGAAGTTTTGGTAGCTGAGAGTTTTTTTGCCTGGAAAAAAAATGTTTACAACACTGATCTTGTGATCTGTGGCAGTTCTAATTTTAACAGCATTTTCTGAGAATAGAAAAAATACTCTATTTCATTTTCTCCCTTGACCTACTTTAGCATATTCTGCCCCACTTAATATTTTCTATCCTTCACATTCTCCCTCCTGCATGTTACACAAAGAGATACTGAGCTGGAGAAAATAAGCTGCATTTGTCTTTCTGCCTCTTCCCTAAAGAGGGGTGTAGAAACCTGAATGCATTCATTGATCATGCCTCCTGCTGTGCCCAGCCTGGCCTGCACAGGGTGCCCATCTTACAGAAAATCTCCTGTGAATCAGGAAGACACAGAAAGGAATTTCAAATTACCCACTCTCCACCATTGTCCTTACATTACACATTTTCCTGAGATTACACGTTACATACTTAGATTATAATTACATATCGCCCTTAGATTACAGCTGAGTAATCTAATAAACCAATCTACTGAAATGTGATAAAGTGAGCCAATTATTTCTAAGATGTCTGTCACAGAACAAGCAGCCCTTTATTGCTTACTCACTTATTTTGCTTGTGGCCTAGCAAAGTATCTCTTGTGGACCAGTAGCATTGGTATTACCCGGGAACTTGTTAGAACTACAGACTCTCAGGCTTAGGCTGACCTCATCAGAGCCTACATTTTAACAAGCCCCTCAGGTGATTCATATGTACATTACAGTTTGAGAAGCCTTGGCCAAGTTGCTCATTAAAATCTTGCTGTTCCTGACTGCCTCAGTGAAAAAGTTACTTACCAGAGTATTCCAGGGAGCCACTTAGTGACAAAAGCAAGTTCATCCTACTGTGGGCCCCCATCAGACACATCAGAAGGAGAGAAGTCTGGGTCTTATTATTCTAACTTATGGAGGTTGCTTGATTTCTGACTTGGCAGACAAGCAACCTCTTCAGAGGTCTTCAACTTACCCACCAGGGGTCACCCTAGTTGGTTCATCTGTGAGACCTAGCCTGGATAAACATATGTACTCCCTATCCCTTTACAAATGAAAGTCCAACACTTTGTTATAAAGAAAATTACTTTCCAACTATTAAATAAATGATAGCCACTATTTTTGTTGGCTACTTGTTTTGGGAGAAGGCATTTCAATAGATTGTTGTTCTATACTCCTGAGATTTTTCCTGCTGCTGAGTTTTTTGTTGACATCTTGTAATTATGATCTTTTTAATATTACAGGGAGAAAGAGAAATGAAAATAAAATAGCTACATTATGCTGAGCTCAGGCAGATAGAAGAAATAAAATCAAGACCTATCATATTTAGAGGGAAAAAGTAACAAATGTGGAATTTCCAGGAATTCCTTGGGGAGAAGGGTCCTAATACAAATTGCCACTTCTTTAATGTATACAAAAGACATGAAAAATGTCCCTTTGGTCTTAAAGAAGGCTGGCTCCTGGTTCATGAGAGCTGCCATTGCCTGCACTAGCTGGTGATCACTGCCAGAATACATACAAAAATGCATGCAGTCAACCTGTTAGTTTTATTGCTGGTGTATTAGTCAGGGTCCTCTAGAGGGACAGAACTAACGGAATATATATATATATATATGTATACAAGGGGGAGTTTATTAAGTACTAATTCACATAATCATAAGGTTCCACAATAGGCCATCTGCAAGCTTAGGAGCAAGGACAGCCAGTCCGAGCTCCAAAACTGAAGAACTTGGAGTCCAATGTTCGGGGGCAGGAAGCATCCAGCATGGCAGAAAGATCTAGACTGGGAGGCTAGACCAGTTTCTCCTTTCACATTTTTCTGTCTGCTTATATTCTTGCTGTGCTGGCAGCTGATTCGATGGTGTCCACCCAGGTTAAGTGTGGGTCTGCCTTTCCCATCCCACTGACTTAAATGTTAATCCCCATGAGCAACACCCTCACAGACACACCCAGGATCAATACTTTGTATCCTTCATTCCAATCAAGTGGACACTCAGTATTAACCATCAGAGCTGGTTCTGGTGACTTCGGAGCATGTCATATCTTTTCTTGTCATGTATATGTCCTGGTAGATGCTGTATATATTTTTAAGTGATCCCACCCTAATCATACATTCTATCTTTCCAAATTTCTCCACTGTTCAGAAATATTATCAAAAGATTTGATATATAAGATTCGTTATGTGTATTCTGCTTCTTCCCTTATTATCAACCGTGACCTCATTCTCTTCCCTATTTTATATTATAGGCACAGTCTACCTCTTAAATGTCAGGTGTTCCCTGATATTTCTCCCCTGGGAAAGGTGATATGGGGCTGTTTTTTCCCTGCAACCTGCTTGAGCTATAAGCCTCAAAAGGCAAACAAAAGTAGGGTTCCTCTCATCCCCCAAGGTCTCCAGCTTTGGAAGCTCTGCTACATCCTCAATATTCTCCTTTCTCATCCCTGAAATCCTATTTGTGGTCAACCCCTGCTCACTTTTCTTCAATCATGGCCACCTCTCTCAACCTTACCTCCTGGTTGCAGGCTGGGTTCCTGGGAAACAGATTCTACTTTGAGATTTGCATTATGGAAGTTGATTGACAAGTGCTCTTAAAAACAACATCCATGAAGGAGTGAGAGAAAAAAAAGCTGGGGAGAGAAAGCAGTTGCACCATGATACACTTGCAACAGAGGCTCCAGCTCACCCTATAGGGAGCTTGGTGTTGGAATGACCCAACAGAAAAATCCTGAAGTGAGAAAAGGAGCCTTTCAACCTAGTCTCGACCCGTCATTGAATGCAAACTGACGTAGAGGGGGATGTAATATTTGGCAAGTCAGTTCCCTTCAGCAGAGGGCAATTTCGAGAAAGAGACCTATCTGTGAGCTAGCAAGAGTTATCATTCCCACTAGCTCTTTATAGAAATGAGTGTCTTGGTCCTGAAGGGAACTCTGGGAGGTCCACCACAATATCCATCACACTTGCAAAGTTTCAAATTATTCCTGATAGAAAAATATTCTACAATGAGCTACAGAAGGCTTACAAAAAACAAACAAACAAAAGACCCCAGTTTAAATCTTTGAATTACATTGTTTCTCCACCACCACTTTGTGGAACTAAAATTCCTGTTGCATTCTGCAAATACCAGCTATGGCATTTCAAAAAAAGAAAAAAAGCAAGTAAAATGACACACAAAGTAGAATTTTTACCCTTACGGCTCTGCAGCTGAGCAGCAGACATATATTTTCCAGGAGCATTTCACTGGTCAAATGTCGCCAAAACAATTTCCAAGCCAACCTGCCCTCATTAGTTCTCTGAGCTCTTGATTACAAATTTATAAGAGGCCTGCCCTAGATAGTCAGAGAGCTCCTTCAAGATGGCCATCATCTTGGCCCTCAGCATTTCCCACTGGGAACATTAGAAGCTTTCCCATCAACCAAAATAAACAACTCCTTTCATGAATAGACCCAATGAAAGCCCTATAAATCACAGCTGTCAAAAATGTCGCTAGCATTGCAGAAGACAGAAATCAATCTAAAATTCATTAGTTTGCCTGACAAGAGCCTAATCTCTTATTGTTTAATACCAACGATGGCACCTCAGGTAGAATAGGAAGCTGCAAGAGATCATCCTAGTTTCTTGTGACAGAAATGTTCAATGTTTACGGCTTAATCTGGCCTTTCGACTATTCCTATTCTGTGGGCAGAAACCTTTGCCCCCCTGCTTAAGGTCAACTTGCCTGTGGTATGAGGCAGGAATCACTCTGATGTTGTCACCATATTTCACAGCTATTAGTGTTACGGTTGGGTGGGTTGCAGTATTTCAGGTAAAAAGGACACAGACGTTGCAGCCTAAGTGAAGTGTTCTGTATATACAGTGAGTCAAAGGCTCAAACGTAGCTGCACCATCATCAGAAACACTCCTGCAAGCCAGGGGTTAGCAAGAACACTCCCTTTCCCTCTTCCTCTTCACATAACCCCTGATGTGATAGCTCTTTTGTGACTGCATCTCTCCTTTGAGGCTTCTCTAGTTTATTTTAATCAGATCTCATCTGTGTATACATATTAGCAGTGATATTCAGGATTAGCATGGGACAGAGGAGTCTAGAGATAGATGGGCAGTGCTACCACACAGGACACAGCCTCTTGAACATAGAAAATGATTCAGGCTATACAGGAGATCCACCAACCTGCAAACATTACTCTGACCAGGCTAGTCTCCTAATGTTCTCCCAACTCATGTACACATTCAATGTCTCTCCTCTTTCCTTATGCCACTGGAATGACTTGGATTCTTCACTGACTCTCCAATGTCTTTCTGGACATAAACTCCTCAGGGAACTTTATTCTTATTCATATTAATGTATTCCATCAATGTTCTTCCAGGTTCTTATTGTCTGTGCACCTAAGGGCACTTAATCCTGCCTTGGATTGTGACTATCTTTTAACAAGCAAAGGCCTGCATTCCCAAAAACCTTGTTAAAAACCAAACTTGCTGAATTTACTATTCATCTTGACCAAGAATAGTGGAAAGTTACCCAATGAAGTATTACTACCATAAGGCACTAGGTTAACAGGATTTACATTTTACTCTGCCAGTTTTTTTTTTTTTGAAATGATCAATTTTTGACAAACATTTTAATAAAGTATGATTATTTCATGTTCCATAAAATATAGCATCACCTACATCAGTATACTAAAAATCTTAAGAGAGTAGAATTGTGGCCTGTACCCAAAAGTGTCCTCTTCCTTCACCGAATAAATACAATATATAGAAATCTATAAACATTTATTGTTTGCTACTAATTTTGATTAAAATGTTGGAGCTGTCAAATTCTATTAAGATTTCACATCAAGTCTTTAAATTGGATAAAGAAGAAACATAATGAAAAGTCACGGTGGCTTATTTTTATAAAATAAGAATGTAAGTTCATTTGAGGCTATCTCCATGTGGTATTTATTTGACTATTTTAATCTGCCATTCAATTACTAACTAGGCCTGATTCTGCTTAGCTTCCAAGATCTGATGAGGTGAAGTGCATTGAAGGTGGTATGGCTATAGACTTACACAGGGAACCATTATGTACATAAGTCTATTTACTTTATCAAACTAGGTCCTCAGTAGGCTTTGAGAGTATGGTGTCCAGAAGCTTTGCTTTTTCGTAATGTGCTTGTGTTTGTGTGTGCCCATGTACCCACGTGGCAGAGGTGAGGATGGTATGTGAGCTTGTGAGGGATGCCAAGGTGTGGCCTTGGATCCATGGAAACTTGAGTAAGCAAGAAGTGCCAGGAAGTTTCCACCTCTCAAAATATCAGCCCTGTGCCCTCCATCAATAGAAACATCATTTTGCCTACTGGATTCTCTTTTTAAAAAATTACTTATTTTTTTTTCAATAGTTTTTGGGGTGCAGGTGGTTTTTATTACATGGATAAGTTATTTAGTAGTGATTTCTGGAATTTTGGTGTACCTGTCACCCAAGCAGTGTACACTGTACCCAATATGTAGTCTTTTATCCCTCATCCCCCTCCCACCCTTTCCCCCCAAGTCCCCAAAGTCCATTACATTATTCTTATGCCTTCGTATCCTCATAGCTTAGCTCCCAGTTATAAGTGTGAACATATAATATTTGATTTTTCATTCCTGAGTTACTTCACTAAGAATAATGGCCTCCAGCTCCAAGATCCATCCAAGTAGCTGCAAAATACATTATTTTATTCCTTTTTATGGCAGACTAGCCTAACGGGCCCAAGATGGAATGCAGAGGCACCATCTCGGCTCACTGCAACCTCCGCCTCTGGGGTTCAAGCGATTCTCCTGCCTCAGCCTCCCGAGTAGCTGGGACTACAGGCACGTGCCACCATGCCCAGCTAATTTTTTTTGTATTTTTAGTAAAGATGTGGTTTCACCGTGTTAGACAGGATGGTCTCTATCTCTGACCTCATGATCCGCCCACCTCGACTTCCCAAAGTGCTGGGATTACAGGCGTGAGCCACCAAGCCCAGCCTGGGTCCTCTTTTTGAGAAAAAAAAAATCCTGAAAGGTTAAACACAATTTACTAATTATAAGGACTACAGGCACTGTTTTTTCACAGTGGTACCTAGATTCATGTTTAATTTAATAACCATGAATTAAAATCTTGGGGTTCTATCTTTAAGGAATTCTACTTTAAGGAAAGCAGAATTTGGAGTCATCTGGTTCTTGGACAGACCTGGTGAGATGGTCTTTAGGCAGGAATCTATGGGTGTGACAAAAGGTAAAATTGGGAGAGAGAGAGAGAAACTCAACTCAGAAAAAAACAAAGACAATGTTAACCAGCTTTGTGTGTTCCTAAAAGTATTGTGTCTCTGAAAATTAAGGTGCGATAATTATTTTCTCTCTACTAAATTATTTTCCAAAGATTTTAAAATTTCTTTTAGAACTCTCTGATTTTATCCTTTCCCAATATCCTTGGAAAGAGAAAAATCTTAGTGATGAAAAGAAACCGTGAGAGTTCATTGTATCAGGCCCTTACCATCCCCATCCTAGATGAAGTTCCATTTCAAATGCAAAATTTGAGAGCCTGCAGTTAGAGTGAAGCGCGCAGCCCTGCCCTTTCCACACACTGTAATTGGTGGTGGAGACAGACCCAGCAAATGACAGCCTGCCAGATGGTCTTCCAGCCTGTGTCTGAACACTTCATCGAAGAGGAACTTCCTACTTCATCAAGCAGCAGTCCCACTGTCGGACAGCTCTAATTGTCAGGATATTCTTCAGTAACTTCCAACCTTTGGTTTTCAAAACCACACATCTGACTCTCACTAACATAATAATTTGTCAAAGGTTGGATGATGGCTATCAGTTCTGTCTTCATCTGTCTTACATTTTCTAGGCTAAACAGCTAAAATTCCATCTTTCCTCTAGATGATACTTTTTTACTGGATGCCTCTCCATAAATGGCTACTAAAATGTGCCCTCTTCCGTCACACTTCACTTAGAATTAAAGAGAGAGAGAAAGACTTCAGATCAGATGTTATCTATAGTACAGGTATTCACTAAGACCTAAGTCATCATCCAGTGATATTTGTGTCGTTTTTTTTTTTTTTTCTTTTTTGAAACGGAGTCCCAGTCTGTCGCCCAGGCTGGAGCCACTGCGCCCGGCCAATATTTGTGTCTTTTTGTCTCACAAAACTCCTTAATGTCCTTTTCTGAAGAAACATCATTGTTTAGCCATTTTTTACGTATTAGTCACCAATCATCCAAAGAGACTGTAAACATACAAAGGCTAATTCAAAAAGTGAACACAAATGATGAGGCTACTTCAAATGGATTCTTTGTTTCCCCTTAAATCATTTCTACTGGAGATGAAATTTTGAATTGGTGACATAAATTAATTCCTGAATTTCTAGTTGCAAAACAAAAAATGGGGAAATAGAAATAATAATGTCATTCATTGGTGAGCTGTTGTTTTCTTCCTCTTCAAAATATTTTCAAACATTGGCTAATTCATGATTTTACCTAATTGGGTATTTTTGCCTAAAGGAAATAATTAAAAGAGCTACATTTAAAGTAGATGAGAGGCTTCACAGAAGAAAATTGCATCTTTTTTTTTAACTCTTCTTCCTGCTGATGCTTCATTTTTGAGTTTTCATTAGAACTGTTTTCTTTGTTTTTAAGTGAATGAGACATGAACCACTTATCTTTATACTCATTCCAGGATGACTCTAAATAACTTTTTTATCACTGCAAGATGCAAGAGAAAAAAAAAAATCTTAAAAAATGGCATGTCTGCTTTGTTCCCACTCATCCTTATCTCCCTAAATCTATGCTTTCTTCTACTTCCATCAGAAACACTTTCCCGTCTCCTATTTTCCACACAAATCCTGATCTCTCTTCCACACCCAGGTACAGCTCAAGTCCCTTTTCCTAAAGAACACCTTTCCTAACTTCCAGTTCATGCCACTTCATTTGCCAGTCAAATTGTCTCTGGGAATAATTTGGTGAGTCCTTTTCAGAGGTGAAAATGACAGATGAAACTAAGACACCTGTGAAGTTTTAGTGGATGAATTTTACCAGGTGATGGTTGGGGAAAATGTTTGGACCTATTTTGTTTTTGAGGTGAAAAGGTACAGCTTTAGAATCAGAGGGATTTGGGTTCTAGTTCTCTATTTTAAGTCTTACTTTCCTCACAGAAATAATATTAATACATGAGGTCACTGGAAGCATTAAAGGAGATAATGTCTATAATAATGTTGGCACACCTCTAGCACTTAGATCTCAGCAAGTTACTTATTCTTTATCATCACTATTATTATTAATTGCAAAAGAAACATGAGCTCATGCAATCTTGGACTCATTTTATGCTTTCTTACATGGTTGTTTCTCTGAATATACAACTAAGAGTCTAGAATATCTCAGAGTTTTCAGAAGAAATTTTGTATTCTAGTTCTAGAAGAGCTGCCTATCTTGCTAAAGAAGGCTTGCATATGGAGAAGCAGCAGCATGATTAAATCCATTCAAGCAATCTTCATGTGCCCTTCAAAGCTCAGAGGACAATGGCTTGAGCAGTGTGAGGGTCAATGAGGAAGGATTGCTCTGGTATTGGAAGACCAGATGATATGGAGGCACAGGCAGCTTTCTGGTGTTGGAATAAATCAGCTTGGTCGGGTGTCCTGCATCTCAGTGAAATCACCTGCATTTATCTGTCCCTAGACTTTAGTGTCAAGAAGGGCTAAACCTTGCTGGATAAAGCTTCCTCATGGTGGCTAAACAGTCTGTCAAGCTGTTTGGCTAGGGGAAATGCAGAAGTAAAAGGCTAAGACCCGCCTTTCACTTCTTTCCCTCCATCCCTTCCAAGGTGAGAATAAGAAAGAAGTTAAGTGGCCCAGCAGTATAGAGAAGCTGGCAGAACAGCAGACCCATGTCTCTAGAAAGCAGCCCCAGCACTCAAAAATGGGACAGACAAATTAAAGCAGCAGAATTGTGTACGGTGATGAGAAGTATCTATGCTTCTATGCCTTCTAAGGTATCTATGGTTGGATTGATCTCACGTCAGTGAGACAGTATTCAATGGTATCCCCTCCAGGCACAGAGCTGACTGAAGAATGAATGCCCTATATGCTGACTTTATAAAGACACACAGGATACAAGAAAAAAACAAACAACCCCATCAAAAAGTGGGCGAAGGACATGAACAGACACTTCTCAAAAGAAGACATTTATGCAGCCAAAAAACACACGAAAAAATGCTCATCATCACTGGCCATCAGAGAAATGCAAATCAAAACCACAATGAGATACCACCTCACACCAGTTAGAATGGCAATCATTAAAAAGTCAGGAAACAACAGGTGCTGGAGAGGATGTGGAGAAATAGGAATACTTTTACACTGTTGGTGGGACTGTAAACTAGTTCAACCATTGTGGAAGTCAGTGTGGCAATTCCTCAGGGATCTAGAACTAGAAATACCATTTGACCCAGCCATCCCATTACTGGGTATATACCCAACGGACTATAAATCATGCTGCTATAAAGACACATGCACACGTATGTTTATTGAGGCATTATTCACAATAGCAAAGACTTGGAACCAACCCAAATGTCCAACAATGATAGACTGGATTAAGAAAATGTGGCACATATACACCATGGAATACTATGCAGCCATAAAAAATGATGAGTTCATGTCCTTTGTAGGGACATGGATGAAATTGGAAATCATCATTCTCAGTAAACTATCGCAAGAACAAAAAACCAAACACCGCATATTCTCACTCATAGGTGGGAATTGAACGATGAGAACACATGGACACAGGAAGGGGAACATCACACTCTGGGGACTGTTGTGTGGTGGGGGAGGGGGGAGGGATAGCATTGGGAGATATACCTAATGCTAGATGATGAGTTAGTGGGTGCAGCGCACCATCATGGCACATGTATACATATGTAACCTGCACAATGTGCACACGTACCCTAAAACTTAAAGTATAATAATAAAAAAAAAGACACACAGGATAATAATATATATGATTTTTAACAGATACACAGGGAAAATTGCTCTATAATTAAAGGTGCTCACACTAAGAAACACAAATAATAAAAAAGCAGTAAGATATGTTTCATCAATTATATGGGCAATGATAAAAATTTTGATAATAAAGCATTAGTGTATGAACTGGTGGGCTTTGAGAAAAACCAACAAATTTAAAATCCATATAGTCAGTGGCAAACAGGATAGACAAAATTCCTGCTTCCACAAAGCTTCCTATCCAGTTGGGGCAGGGATGAAGAGTGTGGTATGGAAACTAAACATATTTGTTTTAAATTATGTACTTTTAAACAAGGAATTAGCTTTTGAAAAAAATATTTTCTCTTATCTTCTGTTGAGAAGGGTGTTCCTTAGGACACCCCGAAAGAAGAGAGTGGGGAAGAACTTCGTTGTAGCCAGGGCCAGTTGAAAAGATTGCTAAGTATAACTTCATTGAGTTGTGGAGCCTACTAAAAGCAGACTGATAGACCCTTTCTTATAATGTGTACGCCTCTCCCACCCAGGCACTTTGTAGTTTAACCAGATAACTCCTTAAGGGCAGGGGACAGAACTTTTTCATTTATGGTCCTCACAGTGCCCAGCCCAGGCACAGGTACCACGTAGGTATGCAGTAAGTACTCAGTGATTGCTTACAGACTTAACAAAAACCTGTAAACTTCTATTCCAATAATACTACATGTTCCTACATTGTTTATATTTTTCTCTTCTCTCAGTCGATTACATTTTGTTTTTGTATCTCTTGGTCCACCTGCATTAGAATAATTTTATCTGCTTTATTCACAAGTACTTTTCCTGGGGAAAAAAAAATTCTTATTTGCTGCTGGTGGAACCAATGCTATAGTCACAGGCAAGATTCAAGCCTTAACTGTGCACTCAGCACTGCTATGGAGTCAGGATCCTGCTCTGTGTCACTCATTCCAGGACAGCCCTTCTGCAATACTAGCAAGTTCTGTTCACCTCTAGGTGTTTACATACCTTGGATTTGTTTCATCATGTCATGCTTCTTACCTTTCAAAACATAACTCTTGCTGGGCATAGTGGCATGCATCTGTAATGCCAGCTATTAAAAGGCTAAGGTGGGAGGATTGCTTGAGCCCAGGAGTTCAGGGCTTCAGTGAGCTATGATCATGCTACTGCACTCCAACCTGGGCAACAGAGTCAGACTTCATCTCTAAATAAACCAATAAATCTGTAAATAATAAATTATAAATAAATAAATGTAAGTCTGCTGTGACCTCCTCCACAAAGCCTTCTCCCTCCCTTTCAGGCAGAACTGACTTGCCTGTTTTCTCTGGCCCCATGTACTTGGTACCTTATATGGCAGTTCTCTGTGCATGTGTCTGATCCACACACTCTTCACAGACACCTTCTCCTGTTCATTTTTTAATCCTCCATACCTGGCAAAGATTGAGCACTCAACTGATGAACCAAACTGAGTTGAACTATACTGAAGAGAAGCCAATTAGTATGTATCTGTGATATTTTAATATTGTATTAGGCTTGCTTATCTCCAGCATAAACAAAAGATTGTGAGCAGGGCAGCCAGCATAGATGCGAGTTTTTGGAAAACTGCTAGTATCAGTAAAAGGAGGATAATTCCAGATTGTCTGTCTTCTTCTTTCTCCTCTATCTCCCTTTTTTCTTCACCTCTTCCCGCACAGAAATGACTGCCCTCAAAGGAAACAAAAGTCAATATTCCAAATGTTCTTTGGCCACTGAACATTTGGAAATATTAAAGTTCTCAAAATGCAAGGCAAAAAACAGTAAAACACACAAGCAAGCAAACAAAAAATGCCTAGCTCTAAGGTCTTAACATTTACTGGTAAATTTTGAGAGAAGTGATTCCATTTCTTCATGGACATAATTATTCATTGTTCCAATCACTTTTGCATGCACACGATTTTGTCATCATTTTTATGAGTAACAAACAAGCTTGTGAGGTGGTTTGACTTTTCTGCATTTCATTAATCAAATTCCCTGGTTGCCTTTCCAATTGAAATACAGCTGTTATGCTAACACTGAAAATATTAAACATCAATCAAGTACTTGCCAGAAAAAAATGCTATTTCCATTTTTTTTTCATCCTGAGTTTATTTCTAATAACATTTCTCTGGAAACGTCTTTCTATCTCCCCTCAAGTGTGCGATATAATAGCAGCCAGAGTACTGCATGTTCTTCAGCAGGTCTTGGCTCTGCCCTGTGATCTGATAGCAGGAGTGGAGATTCTCATTGCAAGTTACCTGGGAATATTACCTTGTGAAGGCAGATTTACTAGCACATCTTCCACTTTGCACAGTGCATCTGAAAACTCCCATGACTCTCACTTGAGAACATTACAGATTCAATCTGAGTGGTTCCCTATCATTTTCACTTATAACGCAATATCCTGTGGCTTTATTTTGTAATGTGTCTTTGAGAGCAAAATTCAGCATTTTAAGTACTCTACAAAATTAAACAATACTGTTAGAAAACCAAACAGAAGCAATAGGAGGGAAAATCTGAGTGCATAAGAGCAGGGGAAAATGGGATAATTCCAAAGCAGATTTTAAAAGACACACATGCTTTCAGACAGGGCATGCCTCTTAAACTCATACAAAACTGTAAAGTAGAAAAATGTTGACTTCTGTGCTCCTCTTTCCATCACTTTTGCATTATTGCAGATTTCACACCCACCCCAAACCCACCCCAGGATACCCAAATTTCTTTTGTTGAAAAGGTTTCTTTTTTCCCCTTTGGCATAAATGAACTGATAAGGCTGTTGAGACTGAGGTAAAACAACTGCATTCTATACCCTTTGCAGGGTATTCAAATTTACAAGAGAGGTAGGAGAGGGCAGTGGATTTCCAGGAAATGAATTATTAATATTAGAAGTCCAAATAGTAGTGTGGGGAGGGACTCTGAACCAGGAAGTTTTCCAGGACTCTTAAAACACAACACAAAGGCAACTCGTTTTTTTTTTCCTCTGAGATCACACAATCCTCATTCTTACTTTTTACAATAGAACACCAAGGTTCTGAGATTTTATTTTCCCAAAGTCGTATGGCTTGACCCAAACCGCCACATTCTTTGATCCTTAATATTATATTACTTCTCTATTTGTAGTATTAAAATATCTAAGCACAGTTTCCTGTCTTGGTCAGTCCAAAACAAGACATTTTCCTTGCTCATTGATCCTCCCACACAGTGGCCTGCCTAGATGGGCTTTTCCATTGCGGCTAGAGACAGAATTGCAGATTGGCCTGAATCTATATTGACATCCAACGCATACCCAGAAAGCATGTTTTCCTTTTTAATAAAGCCCTAAAATAAACTTTAAAGCATTTACTCTTCTTCTTCAAGGTGGTTTCAGGGAGAATGGCTCTATGAGGCAAGTCAATTTCATCATGTGATTTTTTTCTTACTTTATTTTAAAAGGAGTCACACATCCTCCCTAAGGGATGTGAAAATTATCCAATAAAATGTTTAATGTTAAAAGAAAACCAATGATGCTATCACTGACTCTAAGCAAAGATACTATTGTACCTATTGAAAACTTTCTGTAAACCCTCTGCTGAAGCTTTCAGCAGGAGACAGAGGCAGATAACTTAGCTGGAATCTTCTACCTCAGTCCCCAGTCGTATTCACTGACTCATTTTCTAAATGGCTTAACTCAAAAAGAAAATCACCTGAATGAGCAACACTAATGCTCCTAAAAGCAAAAAACTTCCTTGTTAATATTCACCCAATTGGACAAACTAAAAGCACTAAGAAAAAACTCATCCTGTTTAATGCAGTAGAAGGGATACTATCACTAGACATGCAATGACTTACTAGCCATCACCAGAGATCAGAGTTAATCAGATCAAGCTGTGAAGTGAAAAACAGCCATCACATAGAAACTCTTCTTGTTCTAGTCAAGAGGAGCTTAGCAATTCAAAACAGCCATCTTAATTCCCTCTAGCTGTCTGGGTAGATACTCTTTTGGAAACCAAACTTAAGCCAAAATTCGAAGGAGAAACTCAAAGGTTGAAAGCTGACAACTGGCCTCCATATTCCAGCCCAGGAACTGGGGAAAAGTCCAGGTTAAGAATTGATGGTGAAGCCAGTAGCAAAGTAGGACTTACCTCTTGTGATGTCAGAGTCCAAGATTTACTCCCTTATTTGCCAGACCAATCAATCTTTTAGGACTAAGACATTCTAAAAAGAAAGTTTTTCCTCTTCCACCATTCCAGTAATGCCCAAAGGCCACTTAAACTTTATTTTATAAATTTGTATAGAAAGGAAACTCTTCACTCATCTCCATTAAAATGCACATTCTGAGATAGCTTTGAATTTGCTTCTCTCTAACGAGCCCATCTAAGTTGTCTGAAGAATACAGGAGAAATTAAGACACAGTCCCCACCCTTGAGGAACTTACAATCTAGTTGGTAATCAAAGATTAATAAATTTGCAATAAAGTTAATCAGATCCTTTTTCACAGGTTGCCTGAGGAAATCTCTGTCACCCTTCTAGGTATCCTCAGCCTTTCCCACCCCTGTCTACTTGGTCTGCCTAATCTCATCTTTCTCATATTTCAAAATCCACATCTTTCAAAATGGAGTCAAGTTAGACAACATACATGTCCTAAGAAATATTATATAAAATTTGGAAACATAGGGAAAAAAAGTCAAGCCCTTACAATCTTATACTGGAGCACCATGTAATAGGTCTCCCCCAAGATTATTTAACTCTCTAAGATAACGGGTCTATTTTGATATAGAAGGTATTATTGTTACATTCCAGATATTCTTAAGTTACATGTTAATTTGTAGATTCCTGTCTCGTAGAGGGCACAAATGATTTCTGTCTAGTAGATAAGATAAACTCAAAATTAGAGTTGTGTTGCCCTGAAATTGTATTTTCAACTTAGCAAACTTAAGCATGCCTTTTCTTTCTAAATGTGTAAATATGTGTTGCACAAATGCCTAATGAACCAGCTTTACTATCCTGATGGTTTTTTCATAATTGAGTTAAATAAATATTTGACATGGATTTAGTCTTTATTTGTCTGAGTTAAGTTTTAACTTTTGTTAAATGTAAAATGATGCATGAACTACCATTGTTATTTTCATTGGCATGTTGTTTATAAAAGCAAATACTAAGAAACAAATCAGTTATCTATCATTAGGGAATCAGTAAATAAATAATGATATACAGGAGATGGGTAACTTTGCAGTAATTTAAAATTATGATATATATCTCTAGTTATTACCATTAAAAATTGATGATGTTGACAAAAGCAGCTTTCAGAAAAAACAGCATACTGGTATGATTCTTTTTTTAGTAAAATTATATGAATGTATCTCTGTGTATATACATATGGAAAGATATCTAGAAGAGTATTCACCAAGATATTTGCAATGATTGTCTCTGAGAAGCTGGGTTTTATATGACTTTTATAAGCTTCTTGTTTGTATGTCTTCTCTGTACATTTCTTTCTACAAAAAGAAACTATATTTTGAAATTCTTTTTTTATTGTTGTTGTTTTCTTGAGACAGGGTCTCACTCTTGCCCAGGCTGAGTGCAGTGGCTCAATCAATCACGATTCACTGCAGCCTTGACCTCCCAGGCTCAAGTCATCCTTTCATCTCAGTCTCCCTAGTAGCTGTGACTAGAGGCATGTACCACCATACCAAGGTAGTTTTTTTTATTTTTATTTTTTGCAGAGACAAGGTCTCACTATGTTGCTGAGGCTTGCCTCGAACTTCTAGATCCTCTCACCTCAGCCTCCCAAAGTGCTGGGATTACAGATGTGAGACACCACATCCAGCCTTGAAATTCTTAAAAAAGTCAACCCAAGAGTCATTTTTGTTTAAAGTTTGGAAAGACATGCCTCTATGGACTACCTAGTCTATATCCTGATAGCTAATCTAGGTCCTTCTAGCCCTTTACCTGTGTGTCTAGGCTATTATCTTTATACCTTGATGCTGGTAGGGCCCCTACAACTTGAGAAAAAGACTGCCCAAACTGACTCCAGCTTCTACAATATGGTTTGCTAGTTAAATTTGTAGCTGCTCGTCAGCAGGTAAGAGCACAAGCAGTAATCAATGACTGAGCTCTACTTTCTCTTGGGTACTGTGGTTGGGAATATTTTCATTCAATCACTCATAAAATATTTATTACACATAAACCATAAGATAGGCACTTGGCTGTGCTTTGGGGATTTGAGTGTGAGCAGGATGAAGTTGGTTCTTTCCATCACTGTATTAGCCCATTCTCACACTGCTATAAAGAAACACCTGAAACTGGATAATTTATAAAGAAAAGAGGCTTAATTGGCTCACAGTTCTGCAGGCTATACAGATTCTGGGGAGGCCTCAAGAAACTTACAATCATGGCAGAAGACAAAGGGGAAGCAGATAATATCTTACATGGCCAAGCATGAGGAAGAGAGAGGTAGGGGAGGTGCTACACACTTTTAAACAACTAGATCTCACAAGCATTCACTCAGTATCACAAGAGTAGCACCGATGGTAACTCTGCCCCTATGATCCAATCACCTCCCACACAGCCCCACCTCCAACATTGGGGATTACAATTTGACATGAGATTTGCATGGGGACACAGATCCAAACCACATCAATCACTAAGCTTAAAGTCCTGATGTAAGTCCTGAGAATGATGTTTTCCTCAGTAATTACAATGGCTCCACAGGATCAGAGAACAGGCTGCTTTCTACTAATGGGTTTTGCCCCTGGAGGACAGTCAACCAAGTCATTTTCTAATCCCCATGAACATCTCATGACCCAGATTTTTTCCTCCCTTTTTCTGGTTGTGTTACTGAGTTCCATTATTACCTCGCACTTGAGATACTTTATTAAGGGTTTGTAGGCTCAGAGAGACAAATCTATAACATACATTCATCTGCCACCCCCTCCCCTTAGGCTAGTCAGGATGTACTAATTCCTTCTGTGCTGAGAGTTTCCTGAAGGAACTCATTATCTGTATCAGTAGAACAAACACTTTCAGTTGTTTTTAAAGACACATTTGTAATGAAACAGCTTCATGTTTCCTCCCAGGGCCATTTGTGATCAACATGCTTTTCAAGAAAGTGGTAATGAGGAATAGACTTTGTGGTCAAGCAAGACGGTAAAGTTAACTAAATTGTTTAGGGGTCAAGTAAAACTTATGACTCAGGTTTTGTTAATATTGTGCAATGATCTATGAATTTATGCTAATAATTCATTGAGCCACAAAACCTATGCAGGATAAAGTGATGTTGATCATCCAGCTCCCTATAATAACATGCAAATCTGTCTTGATAGTGTAAATCAGAATCATTAAGGCAGAAACCTACAAGTGATCCTTGACATCTTCCTCCTTCCCAAGACTCTGTTACTAAGTCCTCTTGATTTTCTCCCTGGACATATCTTTTTTCTCTCTCCATCTCCAAGACCACAACACTGGTCCAAGAAAACTTTTCCTTATCACTCACTGGGACCACAAAAATAAACTACTAACTGATTCTAAGAAAAATCTCCTTAGATCCCTCTTATTTGTTCTGCTAAATGAACATAAGATTATATCTCCATCCATATAAAACCATGTAAGCCCTTTCTGAAGCTGTTAGGCAAAGGCCACGATCCTTAACATGGCCTGCAAGGTTCTGCAACTGTCTGACCCAGACCACTGCCAATTCCAATTCATACATGTCCCTACCCCAACCCTAGTCCTGTGATGTCAAGGTTTTTTGTTCTTGACCTCAAAGAACCACGTTCTGTCCCTCCCAAGTTTTGGGATCAAGTAGTAATTACATGTAGTTCTTTCTTATTGGCTTCCTGATAGTGTTTTTATTCACTTAATTTGATGCCTGGCATTTAGGAGACATTCATTAAATATTTGCTTAATTGATCAATGAATAGAAGAATAAGTGGGTATGCCTATTGAGTTTTAAAATGGCAGACTTAAAGATTTAATGCACTTATATTATTACACTCTCTTCCATTGTATGATAAAATCCATTAAAAATTTCTGAATGAAATTCCCTTTGAAAATTTGAATTTTTTGTTCTGTTTTATATATACATTGTATTCAGTGTGACTATATATTAGGAAGACCTATTTCACAAGTCAAGATGATACATAGACTTATTACTCAGAGTGAAAACACTTTTATGACAGGGATAATTCTGCTGTATTCTAAATTTTTTGAAATGTGCCAATTTATCTAAAAGATAGTATAAAATATCCACCAATGTTAATTACCAAGTAGTTAAGTTCAATAAAAACCTTTATCCAGAGAAGAGGGAGGGCAAAATGACCGACTAGACATAACCAGGTGGAACAGCTGCCATGGAGGGACTAAGGTGACTGGCATACTCCTAACAGATCTTCAGAGAGAAGGTATCTAGAGCAAATAGAGGGAAGGCACAGAAGCTGAGCAGAAGCGGGAGAAAGCTGGGAATCCTACACAGGGCTATTGCACACCTGGACTTGTTCCTGACCCGCCAACAGCTTTGGGGAAATGATTGAGTCAAACTGGCAAGGAGCAACCCACTCTCACCACAGGCCTCTGGAACCCCAGCAGGAGGAGATCCCTCCATCACCACAGGCACTCAAATTGGCAGAATTAGCTATTTAGAGAAGTCATAGGGGGAGCAAGTCAGCTGATGTGGAGCCCAGAGTGTTTGGTGCAGGAGTATTTGCAGCAGAACATGGCCAGGGATGGCCATCCTTCTAGGCTTGACTTGCTCCCATAGAAGATTTTAGCCCTAGGGAAATGTCAGGCCTGAACTCTGCAGGGTGGTCTTGCCCATCAGACAGGGCTAGTCTGACCTGAGTGCTCTTTGGTCTTCTGGCCTCTCCTGGGGCAAGCCTGACCACACCTGCTAGCATGGCAGCCATGGGTGCCCTGAGGGCATGTATCATAGCATCTGCACTGGCAGACTGTGCCTGATGGGTTGAAAGTGCCAAGGGGACAGTCCCCATGGCCATGCACCCACCTGCATGCTCCTTCCCCACACTGCAGCTTCCCACTCACCCCGCCCTGCATTCATGACAACTCCCCACATTGTTTTGGTTACACATGTCTGTGCAGGCAGGTTTTGCTTTCCTTGTCCAACCAGTGTGCGAGCGAGTATGTGCACACACCACTCTGCCACTGCTGCAGTGAAAGTACAGCCCACTTCCATCACTCCCTAAATGTCATTGCAGATAGAGACTTGATGAGCACAGAGGCAGCCAGCCCTGCCCCCACCAGTGCCCCAACCTTGCACTAACACTGCCACAGGAGTGAAACTAGGTGCGGAGAACAGTGAATCCTCCCCTGCACTGAGCAATCACTCCTGCTTGCAGCAAACAGAGAAGGCACAGAGACCTACACCAGACAGCATCCCACCCCCAAGCCATCACCACCACCAGCACGATCATTCAAACAGTTGCCACAGTCCCCTGCCCTGCAAAGCTGCATTGCCTCTGTCACTGTGGTGAACACCTGCAGAGAGGCAGGCACCCCAGCACCCATGAGCACCTTGCTGCAGCTGACAAATGTGCAACCCACTGCACTGCTGTTACCATGGTTGCTGGCAGGTGTGAGTGAGGATGAATCCTGTGGTCACCACACCACACTACAATACACTTTGGCTGATACCACTCATCAGAGTGCAGGAACCAGAGGTTTGAGGGCACATTTGTCACTCCAGCACAGTGGATTTCTAATGTTGAGGAGCAAGAGAACAAAGCTGGGGTCCAACACAAGTCCCCCAGAGTTAGAGGACACAGCCCAGGAGCTGGAACTGAGCATTGACCCCTTAAAATCTTCTAGAAATGAAGCCCCTCAGCTAAATCCACCTTATACCACAATCAAACCCTCAAGGTCATCAAGTAAGATAAAATAAAATTTTAAAAAACCCATCCAAAGGATAGCAACCTCTAAGACTGAAGGAACATAGGCCTGCAAAGATGAAAAAGAACCAGTGCAAGAACCCTGACAACTCAAAAAGCCGGAGTGCATTCTTTACTCCAAATGACCACATCACCTCTCCAGCAAGGGCTCTGAACTGGGCCAAGATGGCTGAAATGACAGACATAGAATTCAGAATATGGAAAGGAATGAAGATCATTGAGCTAAGGAGTACACTGAAATCCAATTCAAGGAAGCTAAGAATCATAATACAACAATTCAGGAGCTGAGAGACAAAATAGCCAGTATAGAGAAGAATGTAACCAACATGACAGAGCTGAAAGACATACAACAAGAATTTAATAATGCCATCACAAATATTAATAGCATAGTAGACAAAGTGGAGGAAATAATCTCAGAGCTTGAAGACTGGCTTTCTGAAATAAGACAGTCAGACAAGTATAGAGAAAAAGAGGCCAGGCATGGTGGCTCACCCCTGTAATCCCAGCACTTTAGGAGGCCAAGGCCAGTGGATCATTTGAGGTCAGGAGTTTGAGACCAGCCTGACCAACATGGTGAAACTCCATCTCTATTAAAAATACAAAAAAAATTAGCTGGGCATGATGGTGCATGCCTGTAATCCCAGTTGCTCAGGAGGCTGAGGCAGGATAATCACTTGAACCCGGGAGGCAGAGCTGAGATTGTGCCATTACACTCCAGCCTGGGCAACAGAGCAAGACTCTGTCTCAAAAAAAAAAAACAAAACAAAAAAAGAGAGAATAGAGAAAAAAGAATGAAAAGGAACAAACAAAACCTCTGAAAAATATGGGATTACGTAAAGAGAACAAATCTATGACTCTTTCGTATCCCTGAAATAGATGGGGAGGGTGGAACCAACTTGGAAAACATATTTCAGGATATCATCCATGAAAACTTCCCCAACCTAGCTAGACATGCCATCATTCAAATTTGGGAAATTCAGAGAAACCCAGTCAGATGCTTTACAAAATCATCCCCAAAACACATAATTATCAGATTCTCCAAGGTTGAAATGAAAGAAAAAATGTTAAAGGCAACTAGAGAAAGGTCAGTTTACTTGCAAAGGGAAGCCCATGAGGCTAACAGTGGACATCTCCACAGAAACCCTATAAGCCAGAAGAGATTGAGGGCCAATATTCAACATTCTTAAGAAAAGAAATTCTAACCCAGAATTTCATGTCCAGCCAAACTAAGCTTCATAAGAGAAGGATAAATAAGATCCTTTTCAGACAAGTGAAAGCTGAAGGAATTTGTTGTCACCAAATCTGCTTTACTAGAGCTCCTGAAAGAAGGATCAAATATGGAAAGGAAAGACTGTTACCAGCCACTACAATAACACACTGTAGTACACAGACCAGTGACACCATGAAGCAACCACATAAACAAGTCTGCAACATAACCAGCTAACATCATAGTAACAGCATCAAATTCATACGTATCAATACTAATATTGAATATAAATAGGCTAAATGCCCCAATTAAGAGACACAGAGTGGCAAGCTGGATGAAGAACCAAGATCCACTGGCATGCTGTTTTCAAGAGATCCATCTCACATGCAATAGCACATATAGTCTCAAAATAAAAGAATGGAGAAAAATCTACCAAACAAATGGAAAACAGGGAAAAAAATTGAGGGTTGCAATCCTAGTTTCAGACAAAATAGACTTTAAACCAACAAAGATCACAAAAGACAAAGAAGGGCATTACATAATGATAATGGGTTCAATTCAACCTAACCATCCTAAATATATAAGCACCCAACACAGGAGCACCCAAATTCATAAAACAAGTTCTTAGAGACATTCAAAGAGACTTAGACTCCTACACAATAACAGTGGGAGACTTTAACACCCCATTGAAAATATTAGACAGATGATGGAGACAGAAAATTAACAAAGATATTCAAGACCTGAACTCATTACTGGATCAAATGGGCCTGACAGATATCCACAGAACTCTCCACCCCAAAACAACAGAATATGCTGTGATGGTTAATACTGAATGTCAACTTGACTAGACTGAAGGATGCAAAGTATTGCTCCTGGGTGTGTCTGTGAGGGTGCTGCCAAAGGAGATTAACATTTGAGTCAGTGGACTGAAAGAGCCAGACCTACCCTCAATCTGGGTGTGTACCACCTAATCAGCTGCCAGCGTAGCTAGAATGAAAGGAGGCAGAGGAACATGGAAGGAACTAGACTGGCTGAGTCTTCCAGCCTCCATCTTTCTCCTGTGCTGGATGCTTCTTGCCCTTGAACATCAAACTCCAAGTTCTTCAGCTTTTGGATTTTTGAGCTTACCCCAGAAGTTTGCCAGGGGCTTTTGGGCCTTTGACCACAGACTGAAGGCTATACTGTCAGCTTCCCTACTTTTGAGGTTTTGTGACTTGGACTGGCTTCCTTGCTCCTCGGCTTGCAGACAGCCTATTGTGGGACTTCACTGTGTGATCGTACATGTACATACTTCTTAATAAAGTCCTTTTTATGTATACATCTATCCAATTATTCCTGTTCCTCTGGAGAACCCTGACTAATACATATGCATTCTTCTCATCACCACAGGGCACAAACCCTAAAACCAATCACACAATCAGAAATAAAACACTCAGCAAATGCAAAAGAACTGAAATCGTAACAACCAATCTCTTGGACCAGAGCACAATCAAATTAAAAATCAGGACTAAGAAATTCACTCTAAATCATAAAAAAATGTGGGAATTAAATAGCCTGCTCCTGAATGACTTTTAAGTAAATAATGAGATTAAGGCAGAAATCAACAACTTGTTTGAATCTAATGAAAAAAAAGAAGATACCACATACCAGAATCCCTGGGACACAGCTAAGGCAGTGTTAAGAGAGAAATTATAGCACTAAATGCCCACATCAAAAAGTTACAAAGATCTCAATTTAACAATGTAACATCTCAACTAAAAGAACTAGAGAACCAAGAACAAACAGACCTCAAAACTAGTAGAAGACAAGAAATAACCAAAATCAGAGCTGACCTGAGGGAGACTGGGACATGAAAAACCATTCAAAATATCAACAATTCCAGGAACTGGTTTTTGAAAAATGATAATAAGATAGAGTGCTAGCTAGACTAATAAAGAAGAGAGAAGATCCAAATAAACACAATCAGAAACAAAGGGGATATTACCACTGACCTCGACAGAAATACAAATAACCATCACAGAATATTATGAACACCCCTGTACACATAAACTAGAAAATATAGAAGAAATGGATAAATTCCTAGACACATACGCCCTCCCAAGACTGAACCAGGAGGAAACTGAATTCCTGAACAGACCAATAACAAGCTCTGAATTGAGGCAGTAATAAATAGCCTATCACCATCATCCCCACAAAAAAAAGGGAAAGAAAAGAAAAAAAGCCCAGAACCAAAACCAGACAGATTCACAGCTGAATTCTACCAGAAGTACAAAGAGGAGCTGGTACCATTCCTGCTAAAAGTATTCCAAAAAATTGGGGGAATACTTAATTCACTCTATGAGGCCAGCATCCTCCAGATACCAAAACCTGGCAGAAACACAACAACAACAACAACAAAATACTTCAAGCCAATATCCTTGATGAACATCTATGTAAAAGTCCTCAATATAATAGTCATAAACTGAATCCAGCAGCACATGAAAAAGCTTATCCACCATGATCATGTAGGCTTTATTTCTGGGATGCAAGATTGGTTCAACATACACAAATAAATACATGTGACTCTTCACATAAACAGAACTCAAAATAAAAAACACATGATTATCTCAATAGATGCAGAAAGGGGTTTTAATAAAATTCAACACCCCATCATGTTAACAGCTCTCAATAAATTATATGTTGAATGAATATAACTCAAAATAATAAGAGTAATCTATGACAAACCCAAAGCCAATATCATGCTGACTGGGCAGAAGCTGGAATCATTACCCTTGAAAACTTGCACAAGACAAGGGTGCCCTCCCTCATTGCTCCTATTCAACAACATAGTATTTGAAGTCTGAGCAATCAGGCAAGAGAAAGAAATAACAGGCATCCAAATAGAAAGAAAGGAGGTCAAACTATCCCTGTTTGCAGATTACATGATCCTCTATCTAGAAAACCCCATAGTCTCAGCCTGAAAGCTTCTTAAGCTACTAAACAACTTCAGCAAAGTCTCAGGATATGAAATCAATGTGCAAAAAATCACTAATATTCCTTTACACCAACAACAGTCAAGCTGAGAGCCAAATCAGAAACACAATCTCATTCACAATTGCCACAAAAAGAATAAAATACCTAGGAATGCAGCTAACCAAAGAGGTGAAAGATCTCTACAAGGAGAACTACAAAACACTGCTCAAAGAAATCAGAGATGACACAAAGGAATGGAAAAAAAAATTCCATGCTCATGGATAGAAAGAATCAATATTGTTAAAATGGCTATACTGCCTAAAGCAATTTATAGACTTAGTATTATTTCTTTTAAACTACCAATGACACTCCTCATAGAACTAGAAAAAGCTATTTTAAAATTCATATGAAACCAAAAAAGAGCCTGAATAGCCAATGTCATCCTAAGCAAAAAGAACAAAGCTGGAGGCATCCCACTATCTGACTTCAAACTATACTGCAGGGCTATAGTAACCAAAACAGCATGGTACTGGTACAAAAACAGTCACATAGACCATGGAACAGTATAGAGAACCAAGAAATAATGCCACACTCCTTCAACTATCTGATCTTTGACAAAGCTGACAAAAACAAGCAATGGGGAAAAGACTCCCTATTCAATAAATGGTCCTGGGATATCTGGCTAGCCATATGCAGAAGACTGAAACTGTATCCCTTCCTTTAACTCAAGATAGATTAAAGACTTAAATGTAAAACCCAAAACTATAAAAAACCCTGAAGACAACCTATGCAATACCATTCTCGATGTAGGAACAAGCAAAGATTTTATGACAAAGACATTAAAAACAACTGCAACAAAAGCAAAAATTAACACATAGGATCTAATTAAACTAAAGAACTTCTGCACAACAAAAAAAAAACTATCAACAAAGTGAACAGACAACCTACAGAATGAGAGAAAATATTCACAAACTATGCAACTGACAAAGATCTAATATACAGCATCTATAAGAACTTAAACAAATTTATAAGAAAAAAACAAGTAACACCATTAAAAAGTGGGCAAAGGACATGAACAGACACTTTTCAAAAGAACACATGTATGTGGCCAAAAAGCATATAAACAAAAGCTCAACATCAGTGATCATTAGAGAAATGCAAATCAAAACCACAATGAGATACCATCTCACACCAGTTACAATGGCTACTATTAAAAAGTAAAAAATGACAGCTGCTGGTAAGGTTGCAGAGAAAAAGGAACAGTTATGCTCTGTTAGTAAGAGTATAAGTTAGTTCAACCATTGTGCTCCTCAAAGACCTAAAAACAGAGCTACCATTTGACCCAGCAGTCCCATTAATGGATCTGCATCCAAAGGAATATAAACTGTTTTATCATAAAGACACATGCACACCTATGTTCATTGCAGCACTATTCACAATAGAAAAGTGATGAAATCAACCTAAATGCCCATCAATGGTAGATTGAATAAAGAAAATGTGATATATATATACACCATGGAATATAAACAGCCATAAAAAAGAGGCTGGGTGTGGTGGCACACGCCTGTAATTCCAGTGCTTTGGGAGGCCAAGGTGGGCAGATCACTTGAGGTCAGGAGTTCCAGACCAGCCTGGCGAATATGGTGAAACTCTGTGTCTACCAAAAATACAAAGAAATAGCCAGGTGTAGTGACACATGCCTATAGTCCCAGCTACTTAGGAGGCTGAGACAAGAGAATCACTTGAACCCAGGAGGCAGAGGTTGCAGCAAGCTGAGATTGTTACACTGCACTCCAGCCCAAGTGACAATGCAAGGCTCTGTCTTAAAAAAAAAAAAAGGAAAAAAAAAGGATGAGATTATGTCCTTTGCAGGAACATGGACAGAGCTGGAGGCCATTATCCTTAGCAAACTAGTGCAGGAACAGAAAACCAAATACCACATGTTCTCACTTATAATTGGGAGCTAAATGATGAGAACACATGGACACATAGAGGGGAATAACACATACTGGGGCCCATTCAAGGTTGGAGGGTGGGAGGAGGGAGAGGATCAGGAAACATAATTAATGGATACTAGGCTTAACACTTGGGTGACGAAATAATCTGTGCAACAAACCTCCATGACACAAGTTTACCTATATAAGAAACCTGCACATGTACCCCTGAACTTAAAATAAATATTTAAAATAAAAAACAAAACACATTTTTCCAGCCTCCAAAAATACACATGTAACCACTCTGGTGAATCATGTTCCTCGGAATTAAATAATCGACGGATTGTTTGGCATTAAGTAGAGAAAGTTCACAAAGATGCTTCTCCAAATCAATGAATCATCCCTAATTTGAGCAACAGTAAATTGCAAGATATTACATTTTCAGTACTTTGAATTAAGTCCTTTCGTTGCTCTACAACATTAACAAAATACCAAACAAAAGCATGGGGAGAAACTGTGTGCATCTGCACCAAGAAATTTCAAAAACTTGGAACTTACAAAGCTTACTTGGTTTTAATTGTTAATAGTCAAACTATTTATCTATTGTAAATGATGGTGAAGTTCTCATACAGTAATTAAGTTCTATAATTCCTCTGTGTCTTAAGCTATCAAAGGTAGCTGCATCTAATCTTTTTCTCACTCACTTCTTCTTTCTCCAACACAAGATTTTACTTTTCTTACTTCCTTCAGTTTTTTTCAGCCCCATTAACTGTTTCCTCTTTAATTTTTTTGTCCTGCTCAGACATGCAAGGCAACCTAGAAGCCTCATTGTTTCAGATAGAATTAGAATTAGTGGACGTGAATTAGAAAAGATGAGATTTATGGAAAATGTGATGGCCTGTTTCAAATATCCCAGCACTAAAATGAGAAACACACTTAAGGATATGCCAACAACTTCATGGGCTTCTGTTGGTGAATCTCAGCCTTTGTAACTGTAGCATGTAAAAACCTGTTAGATGAGGATGGAAAATACTGTAATTTTTTTGACAAATTACTAAAAGTGTTTAACAAGGAAACAACCTGTTATTTTCATGAAAAGAAATAGTGAGTTATTTCCTTTTTTTACCAGCATCTTATTTTCTTCAATTTTAAAGAAATAACTATATTGTTATCCAAAAATGGGACACTTACCCGTGCAAATTGTAAACCAAAATGAATCATAAACCCCTGTAGTCAGGGAATGTTGAGGTGCTAGCAATCATAATAAAGTAGGAAGGGTTGAAGAAAGAATATGTAATCAGATATAAGGCAATCTCAGCACACAGGCATTTAACGTCTGCAATTTACCCACATATGTTTGGCAAACAAACCAAAAAAAAGGGTGAGAAAAAGAACCAACAATTTAAATAGTGTGGGCGACCCAACCAGCTATTCTCCTCCACTGAGCATATGCCTCAGAGTGCGCTTGAGGTGGGAGCTATCAATCTGCTGTTTCTAAGTCTGGTTCTAGTTCCCTTAAGTGAAAACCTAATGAGAACAGACACAGCTTTTACAATATGCACTAAGTGCAAGCTGACCACTTCATCTAATACTCAACTATAGAAATAACTGTATGCTACAAAGCTGGAAGAAAAAAATAAGCAGCACTGGATTTATCAAGAAATGGCGTACCTGCTTCCAATATGGCACCTTCCTAGTCCTTTCAAAATGCACCGCTGCACAGAATTCAGGTGACTGAACTAAATTTGTTCTTGTCAATTTTTTAAAATTCTATCAAGTTATTTGGTGGTTGCTGTCATCACAAGCATTCCACAAAAGAAAAGAAAGTGCATTCATTCATGTAGAGTCTGCATGGTATGAGTTTACAGAAATGGAAGTTTATGGAAGTTGAAATAGATCTCTTTATAGAATTGACTCCTCTATCCCAGAAATATGGAATATTCTTCTATAGATTCTTCTTAATGATGTTTTGTAATTTTCAGTACAAAAATAATGCATATCTTTTAATCAACTAATTCTTAATTGATGCTTTAAGAAGCTATGGATAATTGTGTCATTAAAAAATTTTGTTTCCTATGTGTCGCCAGTAAATAGAAAGTCAACATGGCAAGCTTTCAGTATTTCACAATTAGGTATATGTGTTATTTAGCAGTATCTAGTAGAGCTGAACATATGCATATCCTATCAACCAGCGATTCCACCCCTAGGTGCATATGTTCACTATATTTATAAGAATGATTATAGCAGCATTATTCAAAATAGCCTCAAGCTGGAAACCACTTAAATGTCAACCAACAATAGAATGGATAAGTAAACTGAGGCAAATACACCCTGGAATACTATATAGCAAAGAGAATGAAATCACTATAACTATATGCAACAGGATGAATCTCATAATATAAGAGTGAACAAAGGAAGCCAGATACAAAAGAGTACCTTCTGGATGATTTCACTTATATAAAAGATCAAAATGAGGGAGAACGAATCCATGCACATGGAAGTCAGTATAGTAGTTATAATTGGAGAAGGTAAATGAAAGGAACAGGAGAAAACTTTGGAGGGGCTTATAATGCTTTGCTTTTTGATCTAGGTGCCAGTTACATGGGTGTGTCAGTTTGTGAAAATTCACTGAGTTGAATAGTTACGGTTTGGGCACAGGGGCTTAAATTTCTACTTCGAAATGCAAAAATGGGGCTTCACTGATTTCTAGATTTAATGCATTGGGGATTTTTAAAAATGCAGAATTAGTATCACATATAAGGCCCATAGGACCCATCCCAACATACCTGCTGCCATTTAACCTTTTGCTTTATATTCAAGCCACATACATGTAACTCCATGAACACTCTATGTGCTCTCCCTCCTCCATTCATCACTTTTCCTGATATCTTATTTTATCAGGCACAGCATAGTATAGCCATAATAGCACGAATTCAGAGGAATTTGCCTTAATGCGAATGAAGGCCCTATTACTTCTTAGTCTTGTAATCTTGGGCAATTTACATAACAGTTCTGTGCTTCAGTTTCCTCGCCTGTAAAGTAGGATGGCAACAGAGTTGCCTCATAGATTCTGTTCAGGTGCCAACTTTCTGCTTGTCCGAACTGTTAAAGTAGTGGTCCCCATTCTGTGCTTCTTTATCCCTCATCACACCTCTAACTGAAATGCATTAGAGATGTTATTAGTTTGCTAAGTACCACAAGTTGAGTGATTTTAACAACAGTAATTTATTTCATCACAGTTCTGGAAGCAGGAAATCCAAGATCAAGGTGTTAGCAGAATTTGTTTCATCCTGAGGCACCTGTCCTCAGCTTTTTCAAAGATAGTCTTCTCCCTTTTTCTTCACATGGTCTTTCCTCCCCGCATGTCTGTGTCTTAATCGTCTCTTCTTATAAAGACACCAGTCCTATTGGATTGGGCCTACCCTAATGACCTCATTTAACCTTAATTATCTTTTCAAAGATGCTCTCTCCAAATACAGTAAATCACATTCTGATTTACTAGGAGTTAGGATTTCAACATATCAATTTTGGGGGAACACAATTTCGCCCATAAAAAGATATTTATCTCTCACTCTCCTGTAATTATGATCTCTTAGGGCCATGTCTTATTGTCTTTGTATCTCCAGCTCCAAACATAGCATCTGACAGGTGGGAGACTTTATAGTTCTTAGGAACTACAAAGGGAAAGAAGTTTAAACAAATAAGGTTATGGGAGCAAAATTTATTATTTATTGAAACGCATCAGTGATGTAAGGAAGGCAGGAAAGCAACATTCAATCAAGTAAATGATTAGAGTTGAAAACAAAAGTCAATGAATGCAATAAACTGACCCAGCTGGAACAGACAGAAGCATAGCTGTAATTCTACAGCAATCATTCCAAAGAGAAGTTTGTCTTTTCTTTAATAACAAATAGTTTTTTAACATTGATTTAGCTAGTAATTCCTGCTTCTCTGCCATTTTGTGTAAAACCCAATGGGGATAGGCTCTGTAGTTTTTTCCATTTTATTTTTGATTTAATTGTATTTTAATAAGCAATTAATTAACAGATTAAAATAATGATATAATAAGGTATAGGTTAAGAAACCCTCCTCTCACTTCTGTGCCTATCTTCTCCTTTTTCAGCTCTCCTCAAACACAGAATTTCTTCATGCAGTTGAGAGTACATGTGAAAATATATCTTATCCCTTTTCTCCTTTTTTAAACAAATGGTAGCATACTACATACACTGTTCTGAACTTTGCTTTTTACACTTCCCAGAATATCCTGGGGACTTTTCCATACCCATAAATAGTAATCTTCCTTGTTCTTTCATCCAGCTGTGCCGTATTGCACTGTGTGGATGTGCAATGGTGATACGGTTTGGCTCTGTGTCCCCACCCAAATGTTATCTTGTATCTCCCATAATTCCCACATATTGTGAGAGGGACCTGGTTGGAGATAATTGAATCATGGGGGCAGTTTCTCCCATACGGTTCTCATGATAGCGAGTGGGTTTCATGAGATCTGATGGTTTTAAAAAGCAGAGTTTCCCTGCACAAGTTCTCTCTTTGCCTGCTGTCATCCACGTAAGACATGACTTGCTCCTCCTTGCCTACCACCATGATTGCAAGGTTTCCCCAGCCATGTGGAACTGTATGTCCATGAAACCTCTTTCTTTTTTAAATTGCCCAGTCTGGGGTATGTCTTTATCAGCAACGTGAAAACAGACTAATACACACAGTTTATGTAACCAGCCCTCTAATGATGGATACTTGGACTGTTTCTCACAGGTTAACATTACAAATAATGCTAAAATGGATAACTCTTCCCACATGCCATTTAAAATATGTGCAGGTGTGTGTAAAGAATAAATTCCAGATATGGGTTTACTAAGTTAAAGGTTAAATGAGTGTATAATTTTTTTTTTCTTAAGATGGAGTTTCGCTCTTGTCTCCCAGGCTGGAGTGCAATGGTGTGATCTCAGCTCACTGCAACCTCTGCCTCCCAGGTTCAAGCAATTCTCCTGCCTCAGCCTCTCAAGTAGCTATGATTACAGGCATCTGCCACGACGCCCAGCTAATTTTTGTATTTTTAGTAGAGACAGGGTTTCACCATGTTGGCCAGGCTGGTCTCGAACTCCTGACCTCAGGTAATTCTCCTGCCTTGGCCTCCCAAACTGCTGGGATTATAGGCGTGAGCAACCATGTCCGGCCCCATAACTAATTTTGATACATATTTCCTGCTCTCCACAAGGGCTGTACCTGTTCATACTCTTATCAGCAATATATCAAAGAGCCTATTTCACCACAGTTTCACCAGCAAAGAACATTTCAAACTTTGAGTTTGATAATCTGACAGATGGGAAAAAAAAGATTCCCTGAGCTTATGTGGATACAGGCAAGGCAATACTATCCTACAGGTACTTAATCTGATATGCAAATTTCAGCTGAGGTTAGATCTTTATTTCTTAATTGTCTTAACTCCCAGTTTATCAATGATGGTAACTTATGATGAAGTAAGACCATGCAGGAAAGAGATTGTGGAGGATGGTGTGACTTCCTGGAGGTGAATTCTGCAGGTGAAATATAAGAATTTTACCTGCATCTCATGGTCCAGGCTAGATACTAGGTCCAAAGTAAATGCGAAGACAGCTAGAAAAAAAATGTCCCTAGCTGAGCATCCACTTCCTAGAAACAACCCTGTGACATGGAAGGAAAGAAGAAATCTTTGGAGGATAGTTAGAGGTCTCAGCCACAGAAATACATTGTTGTGTTCTGCTGTTATAACTTAATTTCAAGGGTTTCACACAAACACTGAACTTGAACATAGAAACCACTTTTGTTAAGCTGTGGAGTTATTTTTTTAATACAATTACTTCCCAAAACAATATTTTCTAAATTAGTCATCTCCCAAGTTCTTTGGCCTCAATGTCCTTATTTGTAAAATAAGAAAATTGAATTCGATCATTTCTAAGGATCTGCCAAGAAGCACCAATTGCAGGGATCTGGGATTGTTGTAGTTTAATGTTCCCTGCAGTAAATGAGTGGTTGGCCACAAGCCGATATCTTCAGTACCACCAAGCTGACTTTTTGGTTTCTTCCCTCCTCTGTCCTTCCTGGGTTCTTGCAAGAGATGTAGAAATACAGTCTTATCTTACTAGGAGGCTAACTTTAGGGAGGCATAGCTTCTGAAGATATCCTCAATCTCTTTGCACTTCTCAAATCAAAGAGGTTCCCTATTTGCTGCTGACTGAATTATCATTGAGTCATAATCTTACTGATAAAGGACTTTCATTAAATTAAAAAATATATATTGTTTCACTAGAAGAATTTATAAAGTGCCTACTGTGTCCAACTGAACTGTACTGAGGGTACAAAGATGAAAGAAGAAATTTAAACCCAGGAGAGGTATATGTTCTGACTCAGAAATGCAACAGTTAAGGGATAAAGAGGTACAAAATAGAGCTCCAGATCCAAAAGAGCTTATAATTTCTTTCAGCATATTTGGCATAGCCACACGAAAAGATGACAATATGAGATTACAAATCATTTTCTGCCAAGATGAGTAAACGGGGGAGGGCACACAGTGTGAATGAGGGCAGCGAGAGTCCTAACCTGAGTGACTTTTATAACATCAAGATGACGTTCCAACTGTGTAATGTGAAGCACAAAGGAAGCAGAAGCTCTGGTAAGCAATTCCCAACCATGCAAAGCAAACATGACCTCCCTTGGGGTCCTGCCCTTGACGGAGGCTGAGGTCGAAACTCCTTTCATTCTTGCCTGTAACCAGCACCTTTAGCTATGATGGGGAGTATATGCTTGTCAATCATGTGTTCCAATCAGAGAAGACACTAAAACCCATGTAGTCCAAGAGAATCTTTTCAGTGATAGATAAAACTCAGAAAGATCAAAGATCATCCATGCCTGAAACAGATGGAATTAAGAAAAATGCCATTAACCTCACCTCTATTCTCCTCTTGTTGACAGAGTTGATAGTCCAGGACCTGAGCTTGCTTTTGAAAGTGTTCCCTTTTAGAGTTGGGAGATCTTTTGTCTTCTTGTTTTTCCTCAGTATTTCACTTGGAGATTTAAGGCAAGAAAACATTTAAATTGTTTATCTCATACAATTGAAATGTCATTATTCTATGCTATCATGTTATTTAATTATTAGTGTTCTTCATTTTCAGGAATGTAAATGATGATTTTCCATTGTGTGGCTTACAAAAGAGTAATCCAGTTACATGTAACTGGGGCACAAAGGTCTATTAAACACAAGTCAGGAAACTCTATCTTCACCCCTGCACCTCTCCCTGCCTTCAGCAGCCACGAGGTAATACAAATTCTACTTACACATGACTTTCAGAACCAAAGCCATGTTTTTTTTAAATACATATCTGTGGCTTCTTTTTAATTTTTTATTTTTTTTTCAATTTTTAATTTGTTTTTATTATGTTTAGAGGTAGGGTCTTGTTCTATCACCCAAGCTGGTGTGTAGTGGCATGATCATAGCTCACTGCAGCCTCAAACTCCTGGGCTCAAGCAATCCTTCTGACACGGTCTCTATATGTCGCCCAGGCTGGCCTCAAACTCCTAAGCTCATTTGATCTTCTGACCTTGGCCTCCCAAAGCACTGGAATTACACACGTCAGACACCACACACAGCTCAGAGACATTTCTGAAAACAATAAAAAGAGTCAGCAAGCATGTAGCTGTGTGGTTTCCAATATGAGAAAAAAAAAAAAACAGGAGAGGAATAGCTAACCCTAGTTTATAGACAAAGAAACTGAAACACCACTTGTTTACATTACTAGGCCAACCCAGACTGGAACCCAGGTCTTTTGGTTCCAAGTTCAGTGTCCTTTCTACCATGTCTCTCTGTGAGTGTGGCCTTTCATATGCGCTATAGCAGAGAAATTAGTAGTCCACAGAACAGGAGGTCAGTGTTACAGCACACAGGTCCAAAGTCTTCATGTGATATCCAATACTTGATAATTACAATTAGATCTAAAAGGAGCTGAAGCTCTCTGGCCCAACCTACTCATTTTACAGATAATGACACTTAGACCCAAAGATGGTAGGTAACTTAAACAAAGTTGGAGTTAGAGAGTCCCCCATCTCCTAGTCCAAACTCATCACCCAACCATAAACTTGCCGGATATTTTGTCACATCATTCGATTGTCACTGCAAACTCCTCTAATCACATCTGATAAACTTGTTTTTTCAAGAAAACTGCATTTCTCTTTTAGATGTACATAATTCATCCTTAGCGACACCTCTCTCTCCTTTTCTCTTTTTTTTTTTTTTTTTTTTTTTTGAGACAGAGTCTCTCTCTTGCTGCCCAGGCTTTAGTGCAGTGGTGTAATCTCAGCTCACGGCAACCTCCACCTCCTGGGTTCAAGCGATTCTCCTGCCTCAGCTTCCCAAGTAGCTGGGATTATAGGCATCTGCCACCACATCTGCCTGATTTTTTTGTATTTTTAGTAGAGACAGGATTTCACCATGTTGGCCAGGCTGGTATCAAACTCCTGACCTCAGGTGATCTGCTTGCCTCGGCTTCTCAAAGTGTTGGGATTATAGGCGTGAGCCACCACACGTGGCCCCTGTCTCCTAATCATTTGTCTACCCTTCCTGTTTCCAAGCTCTGAGACTGAATATGATCCACACAGCAAAGACAAACATTCACAGATTTGTAGGGAACAGGCCAGGGCACCCCAAGTTTGGGGGAAGGGACAGCAGCTGGTCCTAAGTAGGTGAATACAAATGTTTCAAAAACTGCAGGATAGAGGCTAGAGTACACAAGGAGCAAGTCTGCCTCAGCTTCTGGCAAGGGCGTCTAGAAAGGAGGCATGTGCTAAGGGATCCTGAAATGTGACCTCCACATACCTGAGATGATTGTAGGGATGGGTTTGGGGCTATACGTTATTTATACCTTAGTGGGATGCAATTTAATTAAATTACTCTGCTTCTAACACATATTTGATTGAGCTCAGCCCCAGGAGGAGTGTAATAGCTGTAACTAGAAATGTAAGGAAGTAATTTTGAAAGGTGGGCAGTTCTGGAAAGGGCAAGCTTGCCCTGGGGAACTGCAGCATGAGGCTTTGGCACTATGAGAACATTGGTCTGTTAGGAGGTGGAATTCAGAGATAAGACTTGAGAAAGGGAAAGGGTGTCATGCAATCAGGAGCGAGGAATGGGAGGGAGGCAGGAGGCAGGTAAAGCCCCCAGTTTTCCAAGTCCCAAATCTGAGAGTTTCTTGTGTTGGTTTGAAGCTTTCTGAAACTTGATGAAGATTTAAGGCCTGCTGTTTCTTTGTTTTCCTCCTGGATAACTTCTGTCGGCACTTTACCCTCCCACAAAATAAACAGAAATGTTTATGAGGAGGATGCAAAGCAATATACTGTCAAGGAAGATGACACAGATCACCCACCCCTACAAGCCACGCACTGCAGCCGCCAGCTATGCAGGAAGGTTTTTAAATTGTGGTTTAGCTTTCTTGGCCCTGGGAGATTTTATTAACCCCCTGTAGCAATGGTTTCCATTTGAGGCCATTCCTTTTTTACTGGAAGAAGAGTGTGGCCGAACCCTGGTCACAGGATCAGGGATCTAGAAGCTGGCTGAACCCATCTCAGTCACTTGGTGGACTGATGAATGCGAAGTTGTTCAAAGAGGCAAGCTGCATCGTGTTTCTTCCCTGCTTAAACTTTCAATGGCTTCCAGTTGCCTAATGGAGAAGAGCCAAGCTCCTCAGTAAGGCCTGGTAAGGCTCATGCCTCATGGCGGAGCACACCTCACCCCCACCGCGCAAAGATCACCTCCACCTCCCAAAAGTGAATTTCCTAAAGTTTTCTAAATAAATTCAGCACCCTGCGGCAAACACCTCATTCTCTCTTCCTAGAATTAGCTTCTTCTCTACATCCTTTGATTGCCAATCCAAGCATCATACTGGGTAGAGAGAGGCAAGCGGGCAATAGAGACTGGAGCTCAAACTCTGGCTCCTGTTGACTGACTGGCTGGGCCAGTCACTCAGCCTCTCATTGCCTTGATTTAATCCTCTGCAAAGTGGGAAATAATACTAATCATAGTATTACCCTCACAGGATTGCTGGGAGGGTTACCTAAGTTAACCTACATAGCGCATTTGGAAGAGTGCATGGGATTTGATAAGTTCTGAACAAATGTTAGTCATCAGTCTGAGGTGTCTCTGCTAACCCACTCATGGTAGGTCAATAAGCTCCTGCTCTCTGCCACCACTGGGCTCAATATGTCCATTTGTTATCACATCTGTCACACTGGAGAGTTTTTTGTCATTTGATACCCTGTTTTCATCCAAAAAGGACTTGATTTGTGGTTCAGTCGCTAGCTTGCTTGTATTTATTGAGATGGAGTCTCACTGTGTCACCAGGCTGGAGTGCAGTGGTGCAGTCTCGGCTCACTGCAACCTCCTCCTTCCCAGTTCAAGCGATTCTCCTGCTTCAGCCTCCCGAGTAGCTGGGACTACAGGTGCGCGCCACCACGCCCAGCGAATTTTTGTATTTTTAGTAGAGATGGGGGTTTTACCCTGCTAGCCAGGATGGTCTCAATCTCTTGACCTCATGATCCACCTGCCTCGGCCTCCCAAAGTGCTGGGATTACAGGCGTGAGCCACCACGCCTAGCCAGCTTAGTTATTTATTTATTTATTTATTTTATTTATTTTAGTGAGTCTGTCTTCCCCATGGGTTGTAAACTGAGAGCACAGGATTTACGTTTATTGTGTGCTTAATTCCTAGACCAGTGCCTGGCACATGATAGATTTTCCATAAATGTTTGTAATGTGAGATGTAATTATTCCAGAAGAACATACAGAATGAAAAGTTCATTGACATGGCATCAATATCTGGAGGTTTCACTCTTGACTTTGCCTCTGACTTGTTCTTTGACTTTAAATAATTTTCTGGGCCTCATGGTTCCCATCTCTAAAGTAAGAAAATCTGGAGCTTAGCAAGGTAGGTCAGGGCCAGTTTTAGAAACATCTTAATGCTCAACTCTCATTGAACATTTCCTCTAAAACAATAATAAAATTCAATGAGGAAGGAAAATACTTTCTATATCAAAAAGACACCTGCACCTGTATGTTTATCACAACAATATTTACAATAGCAAAGATATGGAAACAAACTAAATGTCTACCAACAGATGATTGGATAAAGAAAATGTGATCTACATGCACAATGGAATACTATTCAGCCATAAAAAATGAAAACTAGATGAAACTAGGTGTCATTATCTTAAGTGAAACAAGTCAGACACAGAAAGACAAATACTGCATGTTCTCACTTATAAGTGGGAGCTAAAGAATATGTACACATAGATGTAGCGTATAGAAGGATAGACAATGGAGACTTGGAAGGGTGAAGGGGTGGGAGGAGGAGAATGATGAAAGATTGCTTAATGGGTACAATGCATATTAACTGAGTGACGGATACCCTAAAAGTCCTGACTTCACCATTATGAAATCTATGCATGTAATAAAATTATACTTGTACCCCATAAATTTATAAAAATACTAAGTAAATAAAATTCAATGAGAAATCAATCTATTGTATTAATGATTAAGATTTATAGTCAATGTTACTAGCATAGTGCCTAATATATAGTAAATCCTCAATACGTGGTAGCTATTGCTACATAGTACTGCTAAAATATTATTTTAATGCGAGAATAATATCCTAAGTATGTAACACATTTAACCATCTGTTATCAAATGTAGGTATTTTTTTCTAATATTCCTTATTTTAAATAAAGGAACATTGCAATGAATTTCCTTGAATATATGTTTTTATTTACTGCTATAAAAACACTCTTTCTTTAAACATGATTAGTGTCTTGGAAGGTATAAATGTGTTTAAGGCTTTGACACATATTGCCAAATTGTTTCCCAATAATTGTACCAAATTTCTCACCTGCCATGTATGGGATTGCTTGTCTTTCTTTATCTTCACCAGCAGTATATTTTATTGTTATTTAAATCTATGCCAATTGATAGGCAAAAACTAGTTATCTCTTTTTTATTTTGTATTTTTAATTACTAGTAAATTAATTTTTTATACTTAATAATTTATTTATTCTCTTCTATAAATTAACTTTTCACAATTCTTATGTTAAAATATATTTGGTTAGCCAAAAAAATAATGAGGGAGGCAGTTACACTAAAAAGTGTTTTAGTTAAAATGCACACAGATTACCTGGAAAGTTTTATCCCACAATTTGTTCTTAATCATTGACTATCTCATCAATGTTTTCTCAAACACAATTAGTTCTTCCCCTCCACCTCATGTCTCTTTCTTTCTGCCTTTTCCAGGGCTATATTCCAGTGTCACCTCCTCCAAGAAACTTCCTCAACTCTTTTTTGTCTTTTGCTTTTTTCTTCCAATTACACTATAGGCATCTTGGTTGCTGGGACTTGGATGTTATTTTTCTTTAAAATCTTCAGCCTCTAATATTGTATTCAGGGCCAGGCTTGCAGCAGGTCCTCAATGACTGGAAGATTCCATACCGTCAGTTTCATTAAGAGGGGCTTGCACTTGAGGAAGAGGAATACGAGCTCTTCCTTTGCAGTAAACTTATACGATAAACTTCATCCCTCTTGCAGGGCCATTCTATCTAATATGTTAATGGTCTTCACTCTATTTTATTGATATTACATCCTTTATCAATATCTAACAAATAGTTTTTAGTCCCCTCTTTTCTGTGATCGGTTGTTGCAGAAAGACGGAAGTAAGGGGAAATATCTGTTTCCCCAGAAATGAGGATTACCCAAGACCTAGCCATTTACTATCTATGCCAAAGAATCTCAGAACATGAACACAGGACTAAAAGCCATCTAAAGCAACACTGGTATCTTCTTAAGTGTCAGTTCAGTGATCTAAATGAGAGGAAATTAATTGAATCTATTTTTGTCTGGCATATTTACTGGTAGGGTAGATAGAGCCTAGGGTCAATTTTGCCAAGATTGGTTTAGGGATGCAGGTAGAGTTAACACTTGAAGCTCTGCAGATGTACTGCCCTCCTTATGTCCTTCAGAGCACAAGATGGAGTCAAGGGCTCAGTCTGAAGTCCACAGAGCCTGCAGCAAGTCCTGACATGCCGAGAGTGCTTTAGGTAAATTCCAGAGCAGAATATTCAACTTTACAAAATAAGCTAATTGGTAAAATGGAGGAAGACCTATAATGTAAAATAATTGTGTTATTTCATCTGCAAAATGTTGGATTACTGCATCTAGTAAGTGTCCTTAATACAACTAAGTCCTAGTTTTTAAGATTATCAGTCAATTGACAGGAAAGCTGTGAAGTAGGAAGCAAGAGTGTGCATCATCAAATTTAAAGGCAAAGGTCGAAAAGCTCAACCACTGAAGATGAATTCAAGATGAAGATGTGGTCCAGTATGTTTCAACAACAGTCACAAGAGCCTGGGGTTAGAGGTCTGCTTCTATTCCCTAATTAATTATGTGACCCTGGAAATGTTATTAAATCTATGCCTGTATTGTTTTCTTTATATGTGGTTACACTGCTATTTTCAAGATCTCTTGCCTTTTAGAATCCTGACACTCAATTACTCTACCCTGGTGTTAGCACAAATCAATCCTCCTTGTTTTTTGTCCCATGGTAAACATGTCTATAAAGCAAAGATGGTGACACCTGTTCTAACCTAAATGACATATGAGATCCTAGCTGGGTAAGTGCTGGGATACGCTCTAAGCGTTCCAAGAGAATAAGGCAATGCCATCACTACCATCATTTTTAAAACTTCCAGCTTTTTGAAGGGCTAGAATTCAAGCCCTTATGTCTCATTTTGTTGTATCTTTCAGGAAAGGAGCCTGGTCTTGCATAGATTCTTCCAGAAAGATGTAGAGAGAGGAACTGGCTAGGAAGAACCATCAGTTCAATGGCCCAGGCTATTTCTTATAACAGCAAAATGAAGATAACATTTGGAATTGCCTAAAACTTATCATAGAGCTTTCTCAAACATTGTTTTACTCTGTCTTCACAGCAGTGAAGATTCTGATCCACTGCTAGTGATAAGAAAACTGAAGCACCAAAAAGTTAACATATTTTCTTTAACTCACACAACTCTTTAGAATACTTGAAATGAGCCTAAATATCCTAACACATGGCCTGAGACTGGTCCTGGAAATGACATAGCCCCTGATGTCCACTCTTGACTGCCTCTATGAAGCCATTTCCTACTTCCTAGATGGCACAATCAACCCCTCCTCAGGGGTTTCATAATTCTTCTCACAAATGTTTAATTAAACATATTCACATGGCTATTTATTTTTGTATCTATCTTCCTCTCTGGACTGTTAGCTTTCTAAAGCTTAGAAACCACATTTAGAGCCATAGACCCTGACGCAGTGGTTACCACAAGCTGGGGCTCAGCAAATGGTGGCTAAATACATGACCAACAAAAGGATCATCAAAAATTTAAAAGAGTGGGAATTAAAGGTGGGGGCAGGAGGAGAGAAAGGAAGGTCGGGGAGAGGGAGAAGGCAGAGGAGAGGCTGGCTGGCTGTGCAGTCTGACCACATGCCAAACCCAAAAATCTGAGATTTTGGTGCACCCATCACCCGAGCAGTGTACACTGTACCCAACGTATAGTCTTTTATCCCTCACCCGACACTGAACCTTTCCCTTGAGTCTCCAAAGTCCATTGTATCATTCTTATGGCTTCACATCCTCATAGCTTAGCTCCCACTTATGCGTGAGAACATACAGTGCTTGGTTTTCCATTCCTGAGTTACTTCACATAGAATAATGGTCTCCAATTCCATCCAGGTTGCTCCAAATGCCATTATTTTGTTTCTTTTTATAGCTGAATAGTATTCCATGGTATATATACAACATATTTTCTTCATCCCTTGTTGATTGATGGGCATTTGGACTGGTTCCATATTTTTCCAATTGCAAATTGTGCTGCTATAAACATGCATGTGCAGGTATCTTTTTTTGTATAATGACTTCTTTTCCTCTGGGCAGATACCCAGTGATGGGATTGCTGGATCACACTGTAGTTCTACTTTTAGTTTTCCACAGTGGTTGTACTAGTTTATAGCCCCACCAACCAGCAGTTTAAAAGTATTCTCTTTTCACCACATCCACGCCAACATCTATTATATTTTGATTTTTTGATTATAGCCATTCTTGTAGGAGTAAGGTGGTATCACATTGTGGTTTTGATTTGTATTTCCCTGACCATTAGTGAAGTTGAGCATATTTTCATATGTTTCTTTACCATTTGTATATCTTTTTTTAAGAATTGTCTGTTCATGTCCTTAGCCCACTTTTTGTTGGGACTGTTTGGTGTTTTTGTTTGTCGTTTGTTTTGTTTTGTTTTTTTCTGATTTGAGTTCCTTGTAGATTCTGGATTCCTTTGTCAGATGTATAGATTGAAAAGGTTTTCTCCCACTCTGGGTTGTCTGTTTACTTTGCTGATTGTGTCTTTGCTATGCAGAAGCTTTTTAGGTTTATTAAGTCCTATTTATTTATCTTTGTTTTTGTTGTATTTGCTTATGGGTTCTTGGTCATGAAGTCTTTGCCTGAGCCAATGTCTTGAGGGCTTTTCTGATGTTATCTTCTAGAATTTTTATGGCTTCAGGTCTTAGATTTAAGTCTTTGATCCATTTTGTGTTGATTTTTGTATAAGGTGAGAGATAAGGATACAGTTTCATTCCTCTACATATGGCTGGCCAGTTATCTCAGCACCATTTGTTGAATAGTGTGTCTGTTATTTCCCCCACTTTATGTTTTTGTTTGCTTTGTTGAAGTTCAGTTGGCTGTAAGAATTTGGCTTTATTTTTAGGTTCTCTATTCTGTTCTATTGATTTATATTTTTACATAATAAAACATATTTGTATTTTTATACCTGCCTATTTTTATAACAGTACCATGCTGACAAACGATAATATTCAAATACAGAAAATCACCAAGAAGCATTACCTATATAGTGATGAATTATCACACAACATTTATTGTTTAGGCCAATGACAAGGTCAAAGACTAATACTTTAAGCAGTTAAGGTGAAAACTTGTACAAAACACAAACAAAACCGAAAAACTTGCACCTAACTCAGAGATGAGTTATTTTCTGGAGTACTAACACTTCAGTTATCTTGTTTCCCAGCCCACATCATATTGGAAGTAGCTAAGAAGAGAATGCTGGAGGGAGCAACCAGATGTAGACACAATTACAGCAACACAAAGCAAAATAATCATAGCCTAAACAATAGCAAAGTTAACAGGCAAAAAGTAGTTACTGTGTTATGCCCTTGACTTTCATTCCTCTCAACAACCCATGTGGCAGCTCTATCATAAGGCACCTACTATGTACATTCTCTCTAATTCTTACAAGTTGGCATTATTGTGCCCAATTTACAACTGAGGAAACTGTGGTTCAGAGAAACTAAATAATTTGTGACAAGATTCCTTAACAAGCAAGCAAGGCAGGATGTGGACCTGGCCCTAAGTAAAGTGACTGTAAATCCCAGTTTGAATAAGCAGTCTCATCTTATTCCTGTTGTCCTGCTTAAATAATAACAGTGTCCCAGTTTGGATGTTGAGTTATGCGGTCCCCTATCCAAAGGGCACATCCTGTCTCCAGTCAGTTGGTAGCACCGTCTCCACACAAGAGTGGCCTTCAAAGCTGACACCTTGACACTGAGGCAAGAGAAGCATAACTGTAAAAAAGAACCTGAAACACTCAAAATGCATGCCAATTCGAGACCATTCAGAGAAAAGGAGAATGGTTTATTCAGTTTAATTATTCCCAAGAGCAGGAATCTATTAAGGAACTAACAAATACCTATACAATGACGCTGTCCCCAAAAGAAATGGTTAAACAAATTAAATGTAAACAGAAGAGTATGTAACACATTATAAAAGGATTTTTATCCCAAGTTGTTAAAAGTTAACTTTTGAACCTAAAGAGGGTAAGTTTTAGTTATCTAGAAAATTCATTGTTTTTTGACCCTTCCTTTCCTAATCATAGTCCAAGGAAGAATTACTGTATTTTTCCTCCACAAAATGCCTCCCCCTCCCACACTCACAAAAAAATTTGCTTCTCAGCTCAGTCTCTGAAAGTCTGAGTTCAAATGCTCATCACATGCTGTGTGATCTTAGACAAGAGTTTTGTCCTCCCTCATCCTTTTACTCATCTGTAAAATTAAGACAATAACCATACCTGGCTCACCAGAATGCAGGGAGGATGGTACAAAATAATGCATGTAAAGCACTTGGAAAAGCGAACAGTATTTAGCACACAGGCCAAGCTTAACAATTTTACTTATGATGATGAATATTAACCTTATTAATATTCCTAATGTTAATCCCAATTCAAGTCCTTTTCCCTTTTGAAAAGTGAAATCCCAAGTAGAAGAAATATGTTCAAAATCCAGCCAAAATTATACTGGCACTAGCATTTATAAAATACTCCCCAAAACAGGTTTACAATTCAAAGTCAAAGGAGTCTAAGGCACCTAGTCCAACTACTTCATTTTACAGAAAAGGAAAATCGAACCAGAGAGGTGATGTGACTTCCCAAACACATAAAGCCAACTTAGTAGCAAAGCTAGCTATTATGGACTTCATGCCAAAAATGTCCTGAATGCAGAAAGAGTATGGGCCTTTGTGGGGAATAAAGCTCATCTTCCACATGATAGTTGTGTAACCTCAGGCAATTTTACTTAACATTTCTGAAGCTTGTTATTCTCTATTGATAAAAATAAGGATTAGAGTTTTCCTTTGTCAGGGTATTCTGAGGAATAAAAGAACACACAAAGAGGCGGGAGTCACACTCATACAATATGGTGGATGCTTGAAGTGGCATAGCCACTACAGGGAATTGGTCACTATCTACCAAACCATGAGATGTACAAATCCTTCCACACATGCATTCCATTTCTAGAAATGTATCCTATGGGAAGATATGTATGTTCAAGGATGTTTACTGAAGCTTTCACTGTATTAACAACAACCAAAAAAATTAAATCTCTAAGAGGGAAATGCTGCTAACAACAAAAAACAAAGAGTAAGGAAGATTTATATAAAGTGCAAATAGTAAGCCTTTTAAAATTAAGCAAATTAAAATGTCATTGAAAAATATGCAGAGTAGATTTTGTTAAGCAAATTAGAATGTCATTGAATAATATGCAGAGGTTTTGAACTCATGCATGACAAAACAAAACATTAAGATATGAATGTGTATATGTATATGCAGATGAAGTTGTTAATAGATACATATGATGAAACTAGTGGTATTTGAGGGAAAAAAGAAAGATAATTTTGATCATTTATCACATATACTCCCATATCTTTTAAAGTTTGTGTCATATAAATGTATTCATATATTATTTATATAGCAGAAAAATATATAGAATGCCTAGCATATAAAGGATACTAAATATTTCTTTCTGCCTATATACCTCAATACTCAGTGTTACAATGTTTATTACTATAATTGATATTTCTATCATTGTCATTGTAACTTCAAACACAATTTTTAAAAACAAATATTGTTTCAGTGAATCCTCTGTCCCATTAGAGAGCTTTTCCATCAAGTTTCAAATCTGGCTGTTCATTTATGACCTGCATTAAAGGTCTACATCCCACAGCCTGAGCTAAGGGATGAAAAAAGGTTAATAAAAACACATAAAGGCAAGGCGGGAGGAGTCAGTCTCCCTTGCGTCTGTTTGTGGTGTCATTTGTCTCCCTGTTAAAATGCAATAAAGACAATAAAAGGAAATCAGCTGTGGAAAATGAAAGAGCCCTTTATTCATAAAAACAGTTCAAATGAGAAAAGTCTTTTAATGGGGATGAGACAACTACCATGCAAAACAGTGGGAGAGGGACACATAAAACCTTTAGGACAATTCATTAACCACAAATTGTTGTAGGCAATTCAAATCTTTTCCCCCAAAACAGGTTTATGTTCTAACCATCAGCATGATAGATGCCTTCAAGCAAATTCTCAGACTGATGCTAAGGCAGCAGGCAAAAACAAGATATTTGAATTACAGGATCTGCCCTAGCAATCTGAGGGTCCTTAGAAGAAACATGGTTCTGTAATGGACATGATAAAGGAAGAATGATAAACAGAAATGGTAGAAGGAAGGCCACCTAGCTCACCCTTAGATCTGACTGCTTGCTCCACTTCAACTAACTCACACCCCTAAATAAACAAATCTATGATCTTGGGACAGCTAATCACCTTGTTTTTGGACCACCTCACCTAAAATGAAGGTAATAATATGTGCCTAATCTATCTATCATAGCTGTTATGATGCTTAATTTTTAAATAGAAATATATATGTATGACTCCAAATTGTTCCTATTAAATCATGCCAGCCACTCAGACACCACACAGCCTGCACCCATTGAAAGAGCAAGCCTGCTCTCAGCAACAATTGTGGACCCTTCATTTACTACCACCCCTACTTTTCCTCTTCCTCCCCATTCCTAAGCTTGCAGCATAACTTCACATTAAACTGTATGTTGAAAAGCTCTGCAGTGAATGGAAACAAAATGCAATTTTGTTTTTCAACGTATAGTTTACATTTTTATCGCACCACCCCATTAGAGGACTAAAATCTGAGATCCTACATGAGTTTTGGCAGGTTCCTTTCTGTTCTAATTGATGCACTGCCAATCTGTGCTTAGCCTGTAGGCTGCTAGCCATGTTCATCTGCCTCTTTCTGCTGAGATCTCCTCACCCCTCAAAAACAAAGGCCTCAGTGCCACCCTTTCCTGGGCTCCACATTCAGTCCAAGGAAATACTCATGCTTCCTTTACCTCATGCTATAGTTTGAATGTATCTCCCAAATTTCATGTGTTGAAAACTCAATCCCCAATGTGGCAGCATTAAAAATGGGTCCTTTAATAGTTGATTGGATCATTCATGAAGACTCTGCCCTCTTGAATAGATTAATCCATTCATGGATTAATGATTATCATGTGGTTAACTAGTGGCTTTGTAAGAAGAGGAAGAGAAACCTGAGCTAGCATGTCAGTGCTCTCAGCCACCCACTATGTGATGCCCTGTAGCACCCTGGGACTGCAGAAAGCCCCTACCAGCAAGAAGGTTTTCACCAGATGTATCACCTCAGCCTGGAACTTCTCAGCCTCCAGGACTGAAAGAAATTCCTTTTCTTTATAAATTACCTAGTTTCAGGTATTCTGTTGTAAGCAACAGAAAATTGATTAAGAGATCCCACAACCTCTGAGGAGCAGGCCAAGCTCAGTATTGCCTTCTTCTCATCCTGTCACCAAAGCAATATGGAAGCCATATTGAAAGTCATGCCAGTGGTCCCATTGGAGCTTGAAAAGTCTCACTTTAAGTATTGATAGCTTCAGTCTAATCTCCTTATCCTTTTTTCTCTCCATCCACAATCCACACTTCACAAGGTGAATGAGTACTCACATTTAGAAACAGAGTCCTGACCTGGTGTGGTGGCTCATGCCTGTAATCCCAACACTTTGGGATGCTGAGGCAGGCGGATCACCTAAAGTCAGGAGTTTGAGACCAGCCTGGCCAACATGGTGAAACCCCATCTCTACTAAAAATACAAAAATTAGCTGGGCATGGTGGCACACGCCTGTAATCCCAGCTACTCAGGAGGCTGAGGCACGAGAATTGCTGGAACCTGGGAGGCAGAGGTTGCAGGGAGCCAAGATCGCACCACTGCACTCCAGCCTAGGTGACAGGGAGAGACTCCATCTCAAAAAACAAAAACAAACAAACAAACAAAAACAAAAATCTCAGAAACAGGGCGCTGTGGAAAGCTTCACTTGTGTTCACTAGGTTAGATTAATTGAGGCATGAGAGAGTGTTAGTCATTTGGAAATTATCAAAGCATCAAAACCAAAGAGTCTACACAACTGGGTGCCTGAAGATCTGTTTTGACTCTGCCACCAACTAAGAACAAAAGGAAGAGGTTCACCTCTCAGGGACATCACTTTCTCTGTATGTACACATTTTTCTGAGACAACTGGACAAAATGAAGACTTTTCACACTAAGTTTTTTCTTCAGGCTCATGTGGGAACCCACCATACCCCAGGACAGTCATGCATGAGACAGGAAAAATTCAGTATTATTCCTAATTCTGCCTCTCATTCTTCTGCAGCTTTGCGGTTCACCATTATTAATTGACATCAGAAAATCTAAACTAAAAGTGCTTATTTGATACACTGTATTAACCCAACCTCCGTCTTTTCTGGGATAGCAAAGTAAAGTCTATTTTTACAAATACAGCAGTGAGCTGTCAAGCAGATAACGCTTCTGAAAAACACACAGAGAAAATAAAACAAAACAGAACAGAACAGCACTGCCCTCAGATACAACTGCTTTGTAGAGTCAGATCGTGCTTGATTGGTTGTGGCTAAATCCTTCATCTACATGGGTGTCAGTTGCCTACTTGTAAAATAATTATGCTAAAATTAATCATCTCTTAAGGCTACTTCCAGATCTAAAAGTCCACTCAGCATCACTCTGTAAGATACTGTTTTAAACTTTCTATAAGGTATCTTGCAAATTTTAACTTAGGAGTTTAGGAAAATACAGGATTAGTTGCCCCATTGCATCCTTGGTTGGCCATCTGTTCATGGGAACTAGGGTCAGATACAGTAAACTTGAGGTTATATTCAGGAAATCCAAGGGTATCTATAAGAATAGCATATCCAGTCTTTATCTTCTACAGGCAATCTGTCTCATTTGTTGTGTTTTTGTTAAAGGTATTAGACAATTATAATGGTAATGGCTATCACTTTGTGTTTCTGCTAAATGTATTAGAGAATTATAATGGTAATGGCTGTCACTAGAAGGCAAATTCCCTGAAGGCAAGGGACTTTTTTCTATTTTATTCTCCGCTATCCCTTATTTTTTTTTTAAAAAAAGCAGATTTATTGAGATATAATTGTTATATTATTAAATTCAACAACTTAAAATATACAATTTAATTATTTTTAGTATATTCATAGAATTGTAGACCTATCACAAGATCTTCAATTGGGAAAATAAGAATGTTCTGGGTTTAAATAGTACTGGTGGTGGTTTCACAACATGGGTTCTGTACTTAGTGCTACTGAATTGTTTAGAATGGTTACTGTAGCAAATTTTATGTTGTGTGTATTTTACCACAATATAAAATTCCAGAAAAAAATCCCACTGAAGTACTTTTTAACATCATTTGTGTTTTCATTCTGCAGCTCAAGTATTATCACTGTTTACTGACTTGATTCTTTAATAGGTTCTGGGACCCTTATGGAATAGTCATCTTTGAAATCTCTTGGACAGTAGTTTTCTCCAGGCAATGAAATTAGGGAAGATTTCCCCTTCTTCTTCAGATCGATCTATATTTTCTAAAATAAGCATGCATAACTCTTTAGACAGAAAACAATTATAAACATTATTTTTTAAATATTAGGAATATATGTAATTAGAACTTTTGAGTGAAAAACTGCAAAGGGCTTTTTAGAATCTGAGGAAGATAGAAACCTTTTGGAGATACTACCTTCTCCTATGGCATTGAACCACATGCTTTTATGCTTATGGCTCATTTGTGAGATGTAACATTTTGCATTTATCCTGCCTTTCCTATACAAACTGTGTTACATGGTTTATAAAATTTCTATTGGTAAACATATTTCAGAAATATACCCATAGATACACCTATATATACATGTAATAGATGTATAAAGTAAGAATAATAGAGTTAGAACAGCCTCCTTTTGCAACCTTTAATGAACTGATGTATCTAGTTATTGATCATCATCACCTGCTAAAAGAGAGGCAACCAGACAGTAAATGCTTAATAAGGAAAAGCACAGCAACCTTTATCAAGTAGAATTGCTACAAATAAACCTACCTGTATCTGATTAAACCACTAGCACCAATGCTCAATTTACAGGAACAGCAGAGACTATAGGAAGATGTTAAGCAACACCATGGTAATATAATTATCAAAATCCAGATGGCAGAAAACTCTACAGGATAAATAACCTGGTTCCTTCAACAATGGAAAGAATTAAAAATTTTTGGACTTGATTCACACAAATTGCTACAAAAATATAGTATTTGTAAGAAAATTTGAAATTTGAATAATGGCTAGGTATTTGATGATATTAAATTATTATTTTTACTTGTGACTGCAACTGTAGTTCTTTTTTAAAGTATTATGTTTTGGAAATACACTCTGAAATTGTTTTCAAAGGAAATAATTTGACTTCTGGGACTTGCTTCAAAAAATACTCAATGAGTGTAAGTGAATGGAGGTATTGATGAAACAATATTTGTCATGATTGTATAATTTCTGAAACTGGGTAGTGAGTGCATGGAGTTTTACTTTATTATTATTTCTACATCTGCATATGATTGAAAAATTTCATGATACTTTAAAAATGTATTTTTCCAAATAAATGTAATGGTGAGAAGGGGTATTTGGAAGGTTTTGTTTGTTCATTAGTTTTCTAGCATTTAGTTTGTTTTTATTCTTTTGAATTTGAAGAATATACAAGATATAATTCACCAGAGTAAAATTTTCTATCTAGGTGCCTCCACTTACCACTGCCATATATGTAAACTGAAGAGGGAATTTTTTCATGACCAGCCTTCTGGGAATCGCAGAATCGCAGAATGTGATAGATCTGGAATACTCTCCACAGTCTATGGGCTGATGTCATGTGGCTCTCTCATAAATGGGAAGGAGCTGTGAAATGGCAGAAAATACTCAATTTTACAACTATTTTTGAAAATCTTTAATATTCCTTATTTTAAAAGCACGTTAGTACATCTGAGATAAAGTTGGAATGTAAAATGAATCAGGTTGTGAGCAGAATTATGGTGTAATAAAAACATGCAGCAGAACTGGACAGTGAAATAGCTTTGAATTTCATTGAAATGTGTTGTATCATTGATCATGGATATAAAGCACAGCATGTTTACGGATTTGGCAAGAGAGAATGTACAGATTTTTTTTTCCCCAGGACAAGCAGACATACTCTCGTACCTGTGGAAAATATATAAATATATTACAGCAGAAGAGATCATCACCATTATATTATAAAACATACAGTGCAGTGTAAAAACACACACACACCCCCACAAAAACCATCAAATCATTTTAAGTAACTATATTTGTGGTAATGTTGACGCTATTATTCTGAGGCTGATGCATGTATATTGTTAGACAAAATTAATAATTACATTGATATTATTAAGAACCAGGAGTTTTGGCATATAAGAAAAAAAGATACATATGTAAGATCAAAGAGATTACATTTAAAAAAAACCTTGTAATCCTAAATTTAAATCTGAAGTTTTTTATCAGGTGAATTTGCGATGTATTTTATCATATACATTTAAAAAGCACCAAAACTGGTAGCAATGACTTCTCCCTAGCAACCAGATGATGATCTATAAGCATAATTTTCTACTAAAACAAACAAAAAAGGGAAAAATAGGGAGGAAGCCTTACAGCTACAGAGGAGTGGAGAGACCAACAAATCTTCTTACCTCCACAAGAAAAGGATAAAACTGGACACAATTGTCAAAAACAACCATCTTGGAACTCTAAAAATTGACTAAATGCAAAGAACAATTTGAGAAATACATATTTATGAAAAACTGGTAGTCCTTCAGCTACAAACAATAGCGTCTGTAATCTTGTCTGGAGCCAATATTCACCACCCATCCCAGCTTGGTCAATAATAATGACAGCATTGCTATTGTGCAGCTGGCCAGGAAACCTATAACTTTGATGCCAGACCAGGTGGGCTCAATTTCAGGCATAGGACAAAAACCTACAACAGGCAGCATTGTCAGTAGAAAATAAATGGGTGACTGACAAGTCTACTAGCCTAAATTTGTGGTACTGGTTGGGGCAAATGGTAAACCAGGCATAAACTTAGTGGAGAGCTCTTAGGAATAAGAGGGCCATAGAAGAGATGAGAGAAGCTCTTCATGAACACCTGGCTGACTAGGAAGCTATACATGTGTGTGGGGCAAGACCAAGAAAGTTTGAGTTTAAAGTGAAAGTCACAGAAGACTTGAAAACTGACAACTTTGTGCCCACACCCAAAGACCAGTCAGCAGAGGGAGGAAGAATTATGGGCGCATGGAATTTGAATATAGCCTATTCCAAATCACTGGATGACCACTAAGCTATGTAGACACTGGGATGACCCCTAGGAAGCCAGGCTAAATAACAAAAATAAAAAATCTTAGCATATATACAAATGGCCATATGCTACAGGGGAGATCAATTACACAGTTAAAGTTCAAGTGAGTTGCAAAAAAGAAAAAAGAAAGAAAAAGTAAAATCAGAACACAAAATTACTATATTACCTCATATGTCCAGTGTACAGCCAAAGATTAGAGTATACAAAAAATACTAAGTGTGAAACCATATTTAGAGAAAGTATAGACCAGATTTAGAAAAAAAAAAAAAAAACCACTGAATAGAACTAACTGTAAGTAGACTAAGAAGTAGGATTTTGCAGCAAAAATTTCATTATAGCTATTCTGAATATATTGCATAGAATTAAAAAAGATTTGAGGACAATGATTCAACAAATAGGGGATCTCAGTAAAGAAATAGAAAGCTAAAAATATCTAAATGGAAATCTTTACGTTGAAAAATGTAATAACAAAAATGAAAAATTTACTAGATGGATTTAATAGCAAATTTGTGATGGCAGAAAAAATCATCAATGATTTTGACGAAAAAAATAGAAATTAATTTACCTTAAGATTAGAAAGAAAATAGTTACAGAAAAATAAGCGGAGACTCAGAGACTTGTCAGAAAATTATACACGTACTGAAGGGATTCAGAATGTGCCACCCCAAAATATTCCGCTTTGGTGTATTGATTGTTTTGAACTGAAGGCACTTGAGAAACAGCAAATGCAGGAGGGGCTTTCTGACCTCCTCTTATCTAAAAGCAGGTCATAAAATTTCCCATTAGAAAGTCGTTTTCCCTTTAACACAGAGAAGAATATTCTACTCACTGCACACTGGGAGTCAACATGAAAATGTATCTATAAAACCTACTAAAATAATTCTTATTTTCTATTATTTTCATGTATATATTTCATAGTCAGTTTCCCACAATTTACCACCACAGAAGTTTAAATCCCTTTTCCTTTGTCTTATCACTTCTTCACAAAATTATTATTTTTTTGGTAAATAGATTTATAAGCTCTCAGTCCTAACTGCTTCTTCACATCTTTATTTTTTCTATGAAGGCTGCCAAATACATATAAAAACATTACATAAAATGTATATGCTTTTCTCCTGTTAATTTGTCTTATGTCTGTTTCATTTTCAGGCCAAATTCTCAGGCCTGGTGGCAGAGCCTAGCAAGGCAGATGAAAGCATTTTTTCCTTTCCCATGATATAAACATACATGTAATGAGAGTCCCAGAAAGAGGAAAGAAAGAAAATGGCAGACAAATATATTTGACGTGAACTTCTGTTTCCAGCTCTAATACCAAAAAATAATAGAAGTCATTACTCCCATCCTTTCAACAAGAAAAAAGTTGAACATACTGAAAAATGATGACTTTTCTTAGACCTGTTAGAGAACTGAAATCTAAAGGCAAACTGCCACACCGAATCTGGCAAGACAACTTCAACCAAAGAGTTACAGCCAATACCTGCTGCCTTGGAGGAAGAGCTGCTGGAGTAATGAACTGGTAGAAATATTTAAATGGTAATTTTGATTAATTGCTGGAGCCAGGAAACTAACTTGAGAGTGAGAATATCCTAAGGGTTGCAGTCTTAGGGATACATACATTCTTTTTTTTTTTTTTTTTTTTAACCACTAGGAATCTGATTATACTTTCACAGTGAAGCAGCAACAAAAATTCTCTTGTAGCTTTGGCAGGAAGAGGGTAAAAGTAACTATTGTGAAATACACCCAAAGTGCTCTCCATAACACAGATCTATGCTTTCAAGGGAGAAAGGCTACCAGAGCCTTATCCCTACCTGGGAGAAAACTATTTCCCTAACTACAGGCCTGTCTAGCCCTTGAGACTCACCTAAAGCTGGAAAATCTCCGTAAGTTATTTTCTAGATATCAACAAACTGATTCTAAAGTACATAAGGAGAAGCACAAGACCTAGAATCACCAGCACAGTACTAAAAAAGAAGATAATTAGAGAACTCACACTACTCAACTTCAAGGCTTACTATAAAGCTACAGTAATCAAGATAACAAGGTGTTCAAAAAAGAATAGACACATACATGGATGAAATAGAATAGAGAGCTCAGAAATAGACCCCCACACATATTGTCGATTAATCTTTGACAAAGGAACAAGAGAAATTCAATGAAGAAAAGACAGTCTTTCAACAAATAGTCCTGAAACAAGTAGACATCCACATGAAAAAAAAAAATCATACATCTTTCAAAAAAAAACTTACATCTTTCAAAAAAATTAATGAGAACGAGTGAATCTTAGACCTAAATGTAAAACATGAAACTATAAAACTTACAGAAGAAAACATGACAGAAAATCTAGGAGACCTTGGTTTGGCAATGAGTTTTCAGATTCAACATCAAAAATATGATTGATGAAAGAAAAAAAATTGTTAAGTTGGATTTAATTAAAATTGAGAACCTCTGTTCCATGAAAGACACTGTTAAGAGAATAAGAAGAATTAAAAGACAAGTTATAAACTAGGATAAAATATTCACAAAACACTTATCTAATAAATGATTTGTATCCAAAACATAGAAAGAACTCTTAAAACTCTGCAAAAACAAAACAAAAAACCCAGTTAAAAAAAATAAAGATTCAAATAGACATCTCATACATAAATGACAAATAAGCACATGAAAAAGAAGCACAACACTATTTGTTACTAGGGAAATACAAATTAAAACAATAAAACAAAATAAAAGAGTAAAACAAAATAAAATGTTACTATACACTTATTAAAATGGCTAAAATCTGAAAATTCATAAAACCAGTTGATGGCAAGGATGCAAAACAAAAGAAACTCTTCCATTTGCTGGTGGGAATGCAAAATGGTACAAGTACTTTGGAAGCCAATTTGGCAGTCCTTATGAGGCTAACAATAGGCTTATCCTACAATCCACCAATTTTACTCCTACGTATGCACTAGAATAATTTGAGGTGAACACATCCACACAAAAGCCTGCATGTGAATGTTTATAGCAACTTTATTTGTAATAGACAAAAACCAGAAGCAACCAAGATGTCCTCCAAAAGTTGTGTAGATAATAGAACTGTGGTTTATTCACACAATGAAATATTATTCAGTGATAAAAAGAAATGAGCTACCAAGCTATGAAAAGGCATGGATGAATTACAAATTGCATATTGCTTAGTGAAATATTTTGAAAAGAATCTAAAAAGATTATAATTTCAATTAGATGACATTCTAGGAAAGGAAAAACTATAGAAACAGTGAAAAGATCAGTATTTGTCAGGGGTCCAGACAGATGAGAGGAAGGGTTGAATAGGTGAAACATAGGGAATTTCTAGGGTGGTAAACTATTCCATATGATAGGTAACTGTTAACACATGGTATTATGCATTTGTCAAAACCCACTGAACTTTACACAAAGGAGTAGACCTTACTCTTTGGAGTAACCTTATTCATTAAGAGTAAACCTTAATGTATGCAACTTAAAAAATAATTCAGATGTTAGAGGAATCCCAGGATGGAATGGGATTCCTAACTATATTACAATCTAACTATATTACAAATGTATACTATTTAATACAACCTCAAATAAAGCTGGGGAAAGGAGGCTGACCTGAGCAACTCTGGAAATTAGAGTAGTCTGTCAAACAATAGGCAAAAAGTCTAGAGAACTAATATATATCATGAGGACTATAGGTGATAAAATCATACTGTATTTGGGATTCATGACAAATGAATAGATTTTAGTTACCTTACCAAGAAAAAAAAAGATAGTAAACATATGAGATGATGAATTTATTAATTTGCTTCACTATAGTTAAATACTATAGTTAGATACTTTTTTTCTATCTCTGTATATCCCATAACCTCATGGTGTATCCTTTAAATATACACAATATTAATTTTAAAAAATATGGCTGTTCATAAGCACTATACTTGAAAAACAACACATACCTAATGGACGTATGAACTAATGATTCTGATACATACATGCTAGAATTGGACAATTAAGCAAATGAATTGTGGATGGTGGGAGCTAGGTTTCCTAATATTATAATCAGAGTTTACAAATCAGCACATGGAAGAGGCTAGAATGATCCATGTGGTAATGAATTAGAATTGGAGACATCAGCATGGACCCGTGATTATTTTAATATAGATACAGATGGTTACATATGGAAATATTTCCAGGTATATATGTATACTCATGGGACAGTATACCCATATATATTTCCTTTCTCTGTTAGCTGAGAGGGCCTAAAAACAATGACACCAAAATAGCAACCAGCACTCTTAATGTCCAGACATTGGTTTCGGATAGCATTCTCCAAAAAAGGGGAACCAGAGCTTCTCAGAGAAATGGCTGATTCTAGGACTGGGGCAGGACATATGTAAGATGAACTTGGAGCAATTGCAGTGCCAGAAAATAAGAGAATGTTCTTACCAAATAAGAGCAACAACAAGAAGAAAATAAATATAAACAAAACCACAATGGTGGAATATTATCAAAGGGACACAGGAACAACTGAAAGCTTCTGATGGCCACAACTGGAAAAATTTGAGCAAGAAAATAATATCAAATTATAACCCAAAGTATAAAATAAATAAGTCCATATTGATTTAAAAAAATATTGAATACCTAAATAATTGGGGTAAAATAGACAAATTTTTCCTGCAGAATTCCAAGTAATTTCTATTGATACTCCTCCCTCAGGTTGTAGAGAATAACTTTACCTCTCTTCAAATATAGGATATACCTAATGACTTTCTTTTAAATAATATAATACAGAAAAGGAGGAAAAAAATAACTTTACAGTGAAGTCTGACAAACTTGTTAGCCATGTGATCAAGGTCAACACCAACAGTGATAAGTTATATTGGTTGATATACTTTGATAAAATGGCACTTTATTTCAATGATCTTTTTTCCAAAAACACATAATCTCAGTCTAATCATAAGAAAAACAGCAGACAAATCCCAATACAGGAACATTCTACAAAATACCTGTGCATTAACTCTGAAAGCTATCAAGATCATCGAAAACAAGGAAAGTCTAAGAAGCTGTAATTGCTAGGAAGAGCCTAAGGAGACATGGTGATTAAATGTAATGTGATATTCTGGAAAGAATCATGAAACAGAAAAAGAACATTAGGTAAAAACTATGAAAATCTGAAAAATGTACGGACTTCAGTCAATAATGTCTCCATATAAGATCATTAATTGTAACAAATAATAATGTAAGATGTTAATAATAGGAAATATTTGGTATCAAGTATATAGGAACTCTCTGTGTTAATTTCACAATTCTCTGTAAATCTAAAACTGTTCTAAAAATAAAGTTTATTTGAACAAGAACATTTAAAGAAGTAATCATTGAAGCTTCCTAATTTGATTAAAAACATTAATCTACAGATCCAAGATAATGAAACCCAAATAGACTAAAAACAAAGAGATAAACACCTCAACACATCATAGGCAAAGTGCAGTAAAACAAAGACAAAAGAAAATCTTGAAAGCAGCAAGACTCATTGTGCACAGGAATCACTGGTACTATTTAAAGTTGACTTTGATCAGAAACAATAGAAGCAAAAAGGCAGCGGAAGGACATATGCAAAGTGCTGTCAACAAACAATTATCTAACCAAAAAGTCTCTTCTTAAAAAAGGAAGGCAAAAATAAAACATTCCCAGATATACAAAGATCGAGAGAAATCATTGTTAACAGATCTGTATGACAAGAAACACTAAAGGAAGTCCTTCAGGCTGAAGGGAAATACCAGATGGCAATTTAAATTCACAGGAAGAAATGAAGAGTCACAAAAATGGTAAAAACATAGGTAAGTAAAAGAGTATATAAATATATTTTCTTTCTAATTTTTATAATAAAAATAAAATTGTATAGGGCAATAAGAATAGTACTGTACTAGGGGTTTATAGCTTACAGGGAGATTGGAAGAAACTGAGCTATTTTAGAACATAGCTGCTATATTTTTCTGGAATTAGGTCAGTATTTACTTGAAATAGATTGAGATAAATTGAGGTGTATACTGTAATTTCTGGTAACTACTAAGAAAAGAACTCCAAAAACTTTGTATGTTTTGTTTGTTTTTTGTTTTGCTTTGTTTTGTTTTGAGACAGAGTCTTTCTCTGTCACCCATGCTGGAGTGCTGGAGTGCAAACACAGCTCAGTATGGCCTCAGCCTCCTGGGTTCAAGTGATCCTCTGCCTCAGCCTCCCCTGTAGCTGAGACTACAGGTGCACACCACCATCCCCAGATAACTTTTTGATTTTTTGTAGAGACAGGGTCTCACTTTGCTGCCCAGGCTGGTCTTCAACTCCTGGGCTCAAGTGATCTCCCATCTCAGCCTATCAAAGTGCTGGGATTACAGGCATGAGCCACCATGCCTGGCCAAAAACACAGTCTTAAAAAAAATCAGCAGCTAGTAGATGTTTTTACCAAAGTGGGATCCCAGGAGTCAAAGAAATAAATCACAAGGAGAATTAGAAAATATCTTGAACTTATGTTCATGGGAATGATAGAGCTGGGAATAGTAGAGGCCAGGTGGCTGGCAGCACTTAATAATCATAAGCCAAGTGGTAAAAATTACCATAATAGGCAGCAAGGTTGGAATAGCAGCTAGGGCAGAGCTATTCACTGAAAATGATAAGAAAATATAGTATGCCTAGGAACAAGATGGACAACCATTAAAACCATTGCTCAACAAATCATGATGAGAAAAGATAAACAATGGATGAACAGAGCTGAGATTATCCACTTAATGGATTTGGCCAGTTTCCAGACCTAAGTCAATTCTCAGACTCAGAATCCACCAACTGAAGAAGAGGCCAGGTCTTGATAAAGAAGGATTCTGTAACACCACAGAAAGTAGGCACAATAGTGTTCTTCACAGACTTTTTGAAATGGGATTTATTGCTCTTTACTTCGATAAACATGCCCTGGAGAAAGATGAATAACTAGATTATTTCCAAGACAGTTGTATATAGGATATGAAGTTAATGCCGAGAACCAGCTATCCACAGAAGTCCTTATGGTACCCTGTTAGAGTATAGGTCTCCAGTAATAAATGCAGTATTGGCCCAGAGCTATCTCACAATGGGTTTGATAACTCCATAAGCCCACCTGGTAGTTGTTTCTTAGTTAAAAACCATATAACCAGAAGGGACATACATTGCAGTTAAGAAAACTCATATTGTCTCCTTGACCTGAAAAGTAAAAGCTAATATGTAGGAAAAGTCAAATGGAAAGCATCTAAAATTTGTCCCTTCAGTGAAGATAGTAATTTCTTCAAAACAGTATTGTATTCTGGGGAAGAAAAAAATGTGACTAGTGATACTTCCTAAGACAAAAAAAAAAATCAAGGGGCCCTAAGATCATAACTGCCCACTGTATACTCCAAACTATTAGATGCATCAAATCATGAGATTGGGCAAGTCCAGTAACAATAAATCAAAAAGTGGAAATGCTACATCAGAAGTTAGGTTTGAGCAAATCCATGGGGCTCATACCTATGGTCTTATGAGACATTCACTATGACCATTTAATGGAAAAGAAAGACGTTCAACCTTGGTTCATGGATGAATCAGCTTGAAATATAGGTAGAAACCAAAAATAGACTGCTGCTTCATGACAGCCCCACTCAGGAGTGGTTTTGCAAGAAAAAGATTAGAAGTCCTCTCAATGGCAGAGATTTGGGTGAAGAAACTTGCCATTCACTTTGGGTAGAATGTGAAATGATCCGTGTACTATGTGAGGTACACTTTGGGTAGAATGGGAAGATGATACGTGTACTATGTGAGGTGGCAGATGACTTGCCTACCTGCTCAGAGGCCTTTAGGTTACAACATTGGAAAGCTAGTACAAGAATATCTTGGAAAGAGGCAAATGTTAGACTTAGGGTAGTGGATACAAAGTGTGAGAATTTTGATGTTGAATTTAATGCCCCAAATAAATCATCATTTGCAAAAGAGGTTCAAATAACCAAGTGGAGAAGATGCCTTTACCAGTATATGTCAGTTAGCCTCTCTCCTCAGACATCCAAGGACTTGTGCAATGGAATCAAGAATAAATTAGCCACAACAGGAGGTTAGGAAAATGGCAGATAGGAGGCAGGACTAAATTGCAGCTCCCACTTGGATGGACAGAGCAGCATATGGAGACTCACATTGTGAACTTTCTCTCCAAGAACTATCACAGGAACATACCAGGAAAGCCGAGTAAATCCACAGACCCTTTGAAGGAAGCAGATTGCTTCTGAAGGCCCTGGGAGACAGTCCAAAAACTGTGAGCACCTGAAGTGTAAAAGTGTGAAAGAGGGATCGTCCACCCCAAACACACACCCTTCACTGAGGAACCTGAAGGTCCGAATCACAGGAGAAGAATTTGATCTTTCCTGGAGCTGAGACAATTTTGGATATCCGAGCGAAATACAGGGATAGAAGCAGCAGCAGGATGAGCTGTGTGGTCTTTCTCAGATCCTAGGGAAGCCATTTCTGACTTTCTGTCACAGAGGTCCCTGGGAAGGGCTGCCAGATAAATGGAAAAGACTACCGGGAGAAGAAAACTTCCAGCTGAACTTTGTAACAATTTTGACCACGTGTGAAGTTTCCCATACAGAACTTAGGGAAAGAGGTGAATCTGGAGTGCAGACACAGCACTGAAGCCATGGCAGGTAGGGAGGTGCTGAACCTGAAAAGCCCTGCTTACTTTCACAGCCAGGAGGCTGGCAGCCTGGGGCAAGTTCTCAGCCCTGCTCACTTGCTGCCTGGAAACAAACTTGGTGCTGTTGAGGGGGCACATGGTGGAAGTGAGACTGGCCTCTGGGGCTGCGTGGGAACTGGGTGAGGCCTGTAATTGCCAGCTTTCCCCCACTTCCCTGGAGACCTGCATGACAGAGCAGAGGCAGCCGTAATCCCCCTGAGAACATAACTCCATTGGCCTGGGAATGACACCACCATCTCCAACAGCAGCTGCAGCAAGTTCCACCCAAAGAGGGTCTGAGTTCAGTGATGCCTAACCCTGCCGGCCACCTGATGGTCTTTTTTCACCCACCCTGGTTGCTGAAGACAGGATATATTCTCTTGGGAGCTCTAGGGACCCATCTACCACTTGATTCTCCTTATACCACCACAGCTGATACTGTCTTATAAGTGCCATCTCCTGGCAGGAGGCCAAACAGCACAAGACTAGTGCAATAAACAAAACTATTAATACAACTAAGGATCCTCACAGGGTTCATTTCACTCCCCTGCCACCTCCACCAGAGGAGGTACTGCTATCCATGCCTGAGAGACCTGAAGGTGGTTCACATCACAGGACTCTGTGCAGATACCTCCCAGTACTAGTCTGGAGCCCAGTAGCTCCACTTGGTGGCTATGTCCAGAAGAGAAATGACAATCTCTGACGTTTGGCTCTCAGGAAGCCACATCCCTAGGGAAAAAGGGAGAGCACTACATCAAGGGAGCACATTGTGTGACAAAATAATCTGAACTGCAGCCCTTGAGCTCCAGATCTTCCCTCTGACATAGTCTACCCAAATGAGAAGGAATCAGAAAAATAATTCTGATAATATAACAGAACAAAGTTCCTTAACACCCCCTAAAAAATCACACTAGCTCACCAACAATGGATCCCAACCAAGAAGAAATCCCTGAATTGCCAGAAAAAGAATTCAGAAGGTCGGTTATTAAACTAATCAAGGAGGCATCAGAGAAAGGTGACGTACAACTTAATGATATCAAAAAAATGATACAAGATATGAAGGGAAAATCTTCAGTGACATAGATAGCATGAAGAAAAAACAATCACAACTTCTAGAAATAAAGAACACACTTAGAGAAATGCAAAATGTACTGGAAAGTCCCAGCAATAAAATTATACAAGCAGAAGAAAGAACTTCAGAGCTCAAAGACAAAGTTTTCAAACTAACCCCATCCAATACAGACAAAAAGAATCCAAAAAAATGTACAAAGCCTCCAAGAAGTTTGGGATTTTATTAAATGACCAAACCTAAGGATAACTGGTGTTGCTGAGAAAGAAGAGAAACCTAGAAGTCTGGAAAACTTGTAAGTGCCACCTCCTGGCAGGAGGCCAATCAGCACAAAACTAGTATAATAAACAAAACTTTATTTGAGGACTAATCGAGAAGAACATCCCTTACCTTGCTAGGGACGTAAACATCCAAATACAAGAGTCTCAAAGAACACCTGGGAAATTTATTGCAAAAGGATCATCGCTTAGGAAGATAGTCATCAGGTTATATAAAGTCAAGATGAAGGAAAGAATCTTAAGAGCTGTGAAGCAAAAGCACCAGGTAACCTATAAAGGAAAACCTATCAGATTAACAGCAGATTTCTCAGCAGAAACCCTACAAGCTAGAAGGGACTGGGGCCCTATCTTCAGCCTCCTTAAACAAAACAATGATCAGCCAAGAATTTTGTATCCTGTGAAACTACACTTCATAAATGAAGGGAAGATACAGTCTTTTTCAGACAAACAAATGCTGAGAGAATTTGACACTACCAAGCTAGCACTACAAGAACTCCTAAACGGAGCTCTAAATCTTGAAACAAATCCTCAAAATACACCAAAATAGAACCTCCTGAAAGCATAGATGTCACAGGACCTATGAAACAAAAACACAATAAATTAAAAACAACAACAAGGTATTCAGGCAACAAATAGCATAATGAATAGAATAGTCTCTCACATCCCAATATTAACAAGGAATGTAAAGGGCTTAAATGCTCCACTTAAAAGATACAGAATGGCAGAATGGATAAGAATTCACCAACCAAGTGTCTGCTATATTCAAGAGACTCACCTAGCACATTAAGACTCACATAAACTTAAGGTAAAGGGGTGAAAAAGGATATAACATGCAAATGGACACCAAAAGTGAGGAGGAATAGCTCTTCTTATACAAGACAAAACAAACTTTAAAGCAACAATAGTTAAAAAAGACAAAGAAAAACATCATGTAATGATAAAAGGACTTGTCCAACAGGAAAATATCACAATCCTAAATATATATGCACCTAACACTGGAGCTCCCAAATTTATTAAACAACTACTACTAGACCTAAGAAATAAGATGGACAACAACACAATAACAGTGGGGGACTTCAACTCTCCACTGACAGCAATAGATAGGTCATCAAGGCAGAAGGTCAATAAAGAAACAATGGATTTAAAGTATACCCTAGAACAAATGGACTTAACAGAATATTGTACCCAACAACTGCAGAATATACATTCTATTCATCAGCACATGGAACATTTTCCAAGATAGACCATATGATAGGCCACAAAACAAGTCTCAATAAATTTTTTAAAAATTTAAATTATATCAAGTACTTTCTTGATCACAGTAGAATAAAGTTGGAAATCAACTCCAAAAAGCATCACTCAAAACCACGTAAATACATGGAAAATAAATAACCTGCTCCTGAATGATTATTGGGCCCACAATGAAATCAACATGGAATTTAAAAATTATTTGAACTGAACAATAATAGTGACACAATCTATCAAAACTTCTGGGATACAGCAAAGGTGGTGCTAAGAGGAAAGTTCATAGCCTGAAATGCCTGCATCAAAAAGTCTAAAAAGCACAAATAGACAATCTCCCATTATGAGTACTTGGCTGTGGTGGTACCATGTTGTGCTTTCTGTAAAAAGCAATTGTTATGAGGGCCAAAAAAGAACTGCTGTGAAACCTGATGGGAGTTTAACTCTAACCAGTTTCCAGATTGTAAAGTGATTGCTTTTGGGTTTCTACTATTTCCCATTCTCACTACACTCTTTGTCACTAGAATGGATTTATGTGGTGCCATATTCTGCACACATTACAATGTTTGTCAAGATAATGAATAGTCTGAAAATTTGAATTTCCAATACAGTCAGTGAATTATGAAAGTGTGTCTTAAAAGATTTCCTCACTCTGTTCACTTACCCAACAGTCTCAGCTCTCTCTCCTCTCAAAAGCCTAACTGTTGCCAGGAAGAGGCCTGAGAGGTCAGCAAAGCAAAGATTAGAATATTGAAAAGGTCAGCATAGCAAGGCCGCTTCTTTAATTCACACCGCATATTAGACATTAAAATTCTAGGTCCTCACTCCTACAACAAATGAGAATAAAAAATAGCATAAAATTAATCGGCAATACTTCTTAAAGTGACAAATGGTTATTAATTTCTTTGGTATTCATTACAATAACATTAATCATGAAAAACTCTTTGAATGTGAAAGTAGCCATTATGTGCAGTTCCATAGGAATTTGGTGGTAATTAAGCATTCATTAATGTCCATTTACAATGAAGTGTTACTATATTAATCCACTTTTCTGTGACAAAACCTGTAACAGGCGAAAGACATAAGTCTGTTCCCTCTGTAGACTTTCCATTTCAATTGTGAAGCCAACTTATGTCTTCAGTTAAGACTAAAATTTTAAGTGGTCTCCTGATTATTGTGGCTAGTCTTTGAGTCCAAGGTTCAAAGAATGTTAAAAATCAAGATTATTCTGGGTACCAAGGAGCATAATATAGTTTTTAAAACTTATGTCATTGTTTAAGATGAGTTTTTGCATTAGCTTACAGGTTACTCTAGCCAACTCAGTGACACTGAATGTAGGATTCAGTCTTCCTTGAGGTAAGTAGCTTGATACTATTCCATGCCTCAAACCCTACCCCTACTCCTGGCTTGTTGTCTTGTTGCAAGTGGTTAAAATGAATAGATAATATCCATTCTGGTTACAAAGAGTGCAATGTTAATGGAAAATATTAGAAACCCAAAGCAATGACTATTGTCTGGTAAAAACAAAGAACTCTCTACTGGAATAACAGTCAACTTTTTAACAACACCAATAACATTATCACCGACAATAGTAGTCGATGATAATATCATCGACTACTATTGGACACTTACTCTATTCTAGGCATTACTGCAAGAAATTAACATGCATGAGTTAATTTAATTAATTAACAGCTCTAGAAAAACAGCACTATTATTAGCTCTATTTTATATAGATTAGGAGAGGAACACAGGACAGGAAGCCAGCAACTGGCTGAGCTAAAATTGAAACCTGCCAGCCTGGCTCCAGAATCTATCTTCTGAGGAATTACACTTTGCTGCCTCTTATATTGCCAGATAGGCTGTTTGCAAGAATATTGAGTAAGATGGTAAGCAAAATAACAGGACTAGCATGCACACACACGCGCGTGCACACACACACACAAACACAAACACAGACACACATATACCCTTCAATTTCCTAAGGATTCAGGGAAAACAAGAAATTTGTCCCTGTAAATGAGAGCTTTCCAAAACATGAATGCTGCAACAGGTTCCAGGAGATATTGATGCCTTTGGCCCTGGGGCAGCCAGATGGGGTCTAGGGTAGCCAAAGCCAGGTCAGTTGCAACCCCAATCTGCCGCTTCCAGGCTCCTTGGAGCGTTTTGGAGAGAAGCAGGGTCTGAGGTTCTACATACCTCCAGGCCACTGACAAGATGAGTGATGTCTGTCATTGTTGCTGTGTGCCCAGTTAGGCTGGATGCAGACAGGGAGGTGCTGTACTACTTGGCATTACACCTCAGAAGCCAGCTGCAACGCACAGCCTTGCTGTGGAAATGGAGGAAACAGCCAACAACACTTCTAGAAAATGTCATGTTGTGAATGGTCAAGGAGTGCTATCCAGGCCAAGATGTGGCCAGTTGGGAGTGGTGGTGGGGGCGTGAGGGGAGACGAGGGGCCAGGCACAAGTGCCTAGTATGCTAAGTGCCAGGCAGCACCCTGACTCCCTGCCTTCATAGATGTCAAAACTTCTATCAATTTGCAGCCAATGTGCCCTTTTAATAGAATCCAAACTATCTGCAGCGTGACAGCTCTAACAATGCATGCACATTCTACAAATTAGAACTCCATCATTATTTCTAAATACTTGATAGAAAAAGTCCAATTAGATTTGAATCTTTTCACATTATCACAGGAAATTTTAGTCCATGAAAGAAAAGGAAGGGCTGTTAGATCCTTCAACGTAATGTCAACTGTTGTAAATTGTAAAATAATCACAAAAAACGTTTTAAGTTTTTTGTAAAACCATTGTGAAATAAAACTTCTTTGTCTACAAAGACAATGAAGCATTTGAAGACATCATTAAAAACTCTTTTCAGAAATTGTATGTAATCATTTCAAGCACTAACCTTCACATTAAAAAGGTATATTCATGGAAGAAATCCTAGTTTTCATAATAAAATAAATAGAAATTCATCTGAAATTTTGTAAATATTTAATACTTACTATGTTCTTTCATTTTTTGTATTTACTGTTCTTACATAATATAAAGAAAAGGTAACGACCATTTTAGCCAAGTCCTGTAAGAATTTCCTAAATCCCCTCAGCATATCCCAGAATGCCATACAAATATTCTCATGCTTTTCCTGGGGTTTGTGGAAGAGAAGATACAACAGGAGCTTGCAAAATCACCCAAGGAAGAACAGAAAGCTTTAAAGTCCACCTGCCTTTCTAAATGTTTTAAAATATTTATCATGCCCATGAAGACATTTTTAAAGTGATAACTTCTCACCAGATTAAAAGGTAAACTCAACTGAGCAGAGGGAATCAGGTTTTGAACTTGACAGGCCAGGTAGGCTGCCTGGAGCCTGACAAAACCTCTCTTTGAAGATCCTTGCAAAGCACATGCAAGTACCTGGCAGTTATACTGGGGAAGAGGCATTTGTTTTTATTCCAACTATAAAATCCTTGCCTTCCTAGAATTTTGCTACACATCTACAGCATCTACTACCCTGGCTATCCCTTTAGAAAAAAAAAAAAAAAAACACAAAGGAACAAGTATTCTGCAGCTGCCCACTGAGCCTGGGGGTCCTAGTTACACATAAGCCCTTGTGAATATGGGCCACCCCATGAGTCAGGGAGTGAGGGAAGGCTACCCGCTGTCACCTCCCCTTATGTAGGCAAGGGTGATTGCCTATGGAGGAGTCTCTCGATCTCCTTGAAGAAAGAAGCTCTTTTTTTCATAATACTTAGTAGAAAGGTCAGATGGCATATAGATTCCCTCTGCCATGTATTTGCTGAGTCTGTTGGACAAAGTGCTAAACCATATTGAAACTGTTTCCTCATCTCTAAAATGGGAATAGACTTACATATGTCATATGGTCTTTGTAAAGATTCATGAGAATAAGGTTCATTAGGAACACTGCAAAGTCTTCAATATATTTTAACCAATAAAAATGATAGTTATTATAAATGTTTCTTGGACTAAATTGTTAAAAGTATCATTTAAAGTTTTAACTAGCCTCAAAAGTTCTATTTTTACCTGGATTGATAGAGTCACAAGATAATGTGTGTGTAAATAAATGTGACAATTTTCACATCAAAGCAATGGGCTCTGTAATTCTCTCCTTTAGGCCTGAAAACCTCAGGTGAGTTTATCACTAGTTTCTTTCCCTTTCTCCTCCTCACCCCTTATGACCTAATGGGATGAGACCAGAAAAACCTCCCTGTAATATTGGCTCTCCTTTTTTTCCTGAAGTGGGCTGAATTGGTACATCTGAAGCTTATAACCTATCCTTTAAGCAGCAGGCTCCTCCCATGACCTTCACATCCAGTTAGAAAGCTTCTGATTCAGGGCCACCTCACCCACCTCACTTTTCTAACTGTCTAAGTCTATTCGGACTACTATAACAAAATACCTTAGAATGGGTAATTTATAAACAACATAAATTTATTGCTCACAGTTCTTGAGGCTGGGAAGTCCAAGATCAAGGTGCCAGATGATTCAGTGTCTGAGAAGGGCCATGTCCCTCACCGGTGCTGCCTTCTTGCTGTCTTCACATGGCAGAAGGGGCAAACAAGCTTTTTGGGTCTTTTTAATAAGAGCATTACTCCCATTGATGAGGGCTTTGCCCTCATGTCCTAATCACCTCCTATTAGGGATTGGTTTTCACATACAAATTTTAAGGGGACACATTCAGACCATGCCACTTAAATTTTCTTCCGTTGTTTCTTACTTTTCCTGCCCTTATGAATACTCACTCTCCTTGCATCTACTTCCAAGAATAGTTGACTACCTTCTTTGACTCACTGTTTTTCACTACTTAGCTGCTCCCTAGTTGTTACCCTAATTTCCAGATTTCCCAATCCCGGATTTCCCCTAACTTTAAAGCCCCTAAGTTTGTATTCACTTATTTCTCAGTCACCAGACCAACCCCTTTCTTTTTGCCCACCATGATGGTGCAAGAAGCTGTCACTCTGTCACTGGAACCTGTCCCTTATTCCCTTCCATCACATCTCCTTCCACTCCCTGCCTCAGGAGGGTCTCAAGAAATCTTCTGTTCTTTCTGAAAGATGATGAGATCCAAATATAACATATTGAAGACCTGAGAGCTACCCCAAACTGTGAGATCTCCTCCCTCTTGCCTTTGTTTTAAACAGCCAGCATGAAAATGCATGGGACCTGTAATATGAGGTTAAGAAAAAGGCACGATATAAGAGTTTACAAAGAGTTTCATTATAACTATGTAAAAACTATTATGTTTGCCTGTGTTTTTCTTGTGCCTAGCACAATGTCTACATGTTGTAGATGTTCCATAAATATTTGATGCATACACTTATCAGTTAATGAATGTATAAATAAAATACTAGAAGGCAATATGCCCAAATGGTTGTCTTTGAGTGATAGGATTATAAATCCTTGTTGTTTTTCTCTACTGTTCTGTATGTTTTAAGTTTACTGTAATCATCATGCATGGCTTACACAATTGCAAAAGAACTTTATTGGGAAAAGAAATAGTCAAGTACATTCTCAGTACATATGGAGATTTCCTTATAAAACACCTTTTGAAACCAAACACCAAAGAGTACATATTGCACTATCCCATTACATAAATTTCACAAACAGGCAGAACAAATCCAGGGTGCTAGAGGATGGTGGTGACCTTTATTGGGAACTAGTTAACTTTGATTTCTTTATCTGTTGCTAATTACATCTGTGTGTTCATTTTGTGGAAATTGGAAATGCACACATTTGTGTACTTTTCTGCATTAATATTAAACTTCAATAGAAATGTTACCTTTGAAACTTAGAAACAAAACTAATTGTCTTTCAAGTAAAACGCTTCAGAAGAAAACAGTTTTATTTTAAAGTTTTAGTCTACTGATTCTAACCTCATTCTATTCATAGAAAAGAAATATGAGTATAAAAATAAAGAAGAGAATAAGTGTCACACCACAGCAGTTGAGTAATAATTGAAATGAAAAAGTATTAAGTTAGGAGGAGTAATTATTGCCGTGTTAAAACTCAAGTTTTCAATCTTTAAAAACAATCATGCTCATCTGACAAAGGGCTAATATCCAGAATCTACAATGAACTCAAACACATTTACAAGAAAAAAACAAACAACCCCATCAAAAACTGGGCAAAGGATATGAACAGACACTTCTCAAAAGAAGACATTTATACAGCCAAAAAACACATGAAAAAATGCTCATCATCACTGGCCATCAGAGAAATGCAAATCAAAACCACAATGAGATACCATCTCACACCAGTTAGAATGGCGATCATTAAAAAGTCAGGAAACAACAGGTGCTGGAGAGGATGTGGAGAAATAGGAATACTTTTACACTGTTGGTGGGACTGTAAACTAGTTCAACCATTGTGGAAGTCAGTGTGGCGATTCCTCAGGGATCTAGAACTAAAAATACCATTTGACCCAGCCATCCCATTACTGGGTATATACCCAAAGGATTATAAATCATGCTGCTATAAAGACACCTGCACACGTATGTTTATTGCAGTGTTATTCACAATAGCAAAGACTTGGAACCAACCCAAATGTCCAACAACGATAGACTGGATTAAGAAAATGTGGCACATATACACCATGGGATACTATGCAGCCATAAAAAATGATGAGTTCATGTCCTTTGTAGGGACATGGATGAAGCTGGAAACCATCATTCTCAGCAAACTATTGCAAGGATAAAAAACCAAACACTGCATGTTCTCACTCATAGGTGGGAATTGAACAATGAGAATACATGGACACAGGAAGGCGAACATCACACACCGGGGACTGTTGCAGGGTGGGGAGAAGGGGGAGGGATAGCATTAGGAGATATACCTAATGCTAAATGACAAGTTAATGGGGTGCAGCACACCAACATGGCACATGTATACATAGGTAACAAACCTGCACATTGTACACATGTACCCTAAAACTTAAAGTATAATAATAATAAAATTTAATTTAATTTTTTAAAAAATCATGCAATTATCTAACATACTGATACAATTGGAATAGGTAATATTTGCTTTTTCTTTAATTAAAATGTGATTTATTAGACTTCTGACCTTGCTATCTCTAAGGTGACTGTTCTCTCTCTCAAAACCAAAAGGCTTTATATACTCACTGGTTGTATTAGTCTGTTCTCATGCTGCTGATACTCGATAGTGGGTAATTTATGTCTCAAGACATACTAGAGACTGTCTAATTTTTAAGTATGTCTGGGTATAAGTATGTCTTGAGACATACTTGAGACTGGGTAATTTATAAGTATGTATCAAGTCATACTTGAGACTGGGTAAAGTCTTTTTTTTATGAAGAAGAAAAGGTGTAATGTACTCACAGTTCCACGTGGCTGGGGAGGCCTCACAATCATGGTGGAAGGCAAAAGCCACCTCTTACATGGTGGCAGGCAAGAGAGAAATGAGAACCAAGATAAAGGGGAAATACTTTATAAAACCATTAGATCTTGTGAAGCTTATTCACTACCATGATAATGGTATGGGGTAACCTACTCCCATGATTCAATTACCTCCCACCTGGTCCCTCTCACAACACATGAAATTATGGGAGCCACAATTCAAGATGATATTTGGGTGGGGACACAGCCAAACAGTATCATCCTGGCCCCTCCCAAATCCCACATTCTCACATTTCAAAATGAATCATGCCTTCCCAAAAGTCTCCCAAAGTCTTAGCTCATTTCAGCATTAACTCTAAAGTCCACAGTCCAAAGTCTCATGTGAGACAAGGCAAGTTTCTTCCACCAATGAACCTGTAAATCAACGGCAAGTTGTCACTTCCTAGATATAATGGGGTTACAGGAATTGGGTAAATACAGCCATTCTAAATGGGAGAAATTGGCCAAAGGGGATACAGGCCACATATAAGTCCAAAATCCAGCAGGGCAGTCAAATCTTAAATCTCCAAAATGATCTCCTTTGACACCCTGTCTCACAGCCAGGTTACGCTGATGCAAGAGGTGGGTTCCCATGGTCATGGGCAGCTCCACCCCTGTGGATTTGCAGGGTACAGCCTCTTTCTTGGGCTGGTGTTGAGTGTCTGTGGCTTTTCCAGATGCACACTGCAAGCTGTCAGTGGATCCATCATTCTGAAGTCTGGAGGGCGGTGGCCCTCTTCTCACAGCTCCAGTAGGCAGTGCCCCAGTGGTGACTCTGTGTGGGGGCTTCAACCCCACATTTCCCTTCTGCACTGCCCCAGCAGAGGTTCTCTATGAGGGCATCGCCCCTGCAGCAAACTTCTGCCTGGACATTCAGGCATTTCAATACATCCTCTGAAATCTCGTCAGAGGTTTCCAAACTTCAATTCTTGACTTCTGTACACTCACAGGCTCAACACCATGTGGAAGCTGCCAAGGCTTGGGGCTTGCACCCTCTGAAGCCATGACCCAAGCTGTACCTTGGCCCCTTTTAGCCATGGCTAGAGCAGCTGGGATGCAGGGAACCAAGTCCCTAGGCTGCACACAGCAGGGGGGCCCTTGGCCCAGCCCACAAAACCATTTTTTTTCCCTAGGCCTCTCAACCTGTGGTGGGAGGGGCTGTCACAAAGGTCTCTGACATGTTCTGGAGACATTTTCCCCATTGTCTTGTTGAGTAACATCTGGCTTCTCCTTGCTTATACAGATTTCTGCAGCTGGCTTGAATTTCTCCTCAGAAAATGGGCTTTTCTTTTCTATGGCATTGTCAGGCTGCAAATTTTCTGAACTTTTATGCCCTGTTTCCCTTTTGAAACTGAATGCTTTTAACAGCGTATATGTCACCTCTTGAATGTTTTGCTGCTTAGAAATTTCTTCTGCCAGATACCCTAAATCATCTCCCTCAAGTGCAAAGTTCGACAAATCTCTAGGGCAGGGGCAAAATGCCACCAGTCTCTTTGCTAAAATATAGCAAGAGTCACCTTTACTCCAGCTCCCAAGAAGTTCCTCATCTCCATCTGAAACCACCTCAGCTTGGATTTCATTGTCCATATCATTATCAGAATTTTGGTCAAAGCCATTCAGCAAGTCTCTAGTGAGTTCCAAACTTTCCCACATTTTCCTGTCTTCTTCTGAGTCCTCCAAACTGTTCCAACCTCTACCTGTTACCCAGTTCCAAAGCTGCTTCCACATTTTTTAATATTTTTACAGCAGCACCCCACCCTACTAGTACCAACTTACTGTATTAATCTATTCTCACATTGCTGATAAAGACATATACAAGTCTGGATAATTTATAAAGAAAAAGAGGTTTAATGGACTCACAATTCCACATGGCTGGGGAGGCTTCACAATCATGGCTGAAGGTGAAAGGCACGTCTTACAAGGTGGCAGATAAGAGAGAAATGAGAACCAAGGGGAAGGAGTTTCCCCTTATAAAACCATCAGATTTCATGAGACTTATTCATTACCATAAGAACAGTGTGGGGGAACCCACTCCCATGATTCAGTTATCTCCCACCTGGTCCCTCCCACAACACATGGGACTTATGGGAGCTAAAATTCAAGATGAGATTTGGGTGAGGACACAGCCAAACCATATCACTGGTTAATTTAGAAAAGACTTTAGAAACTACCATTCCCATACCCTTGTTACTAGAGAAGTGCTCATGTTGGGAATCACTCAGACCTTGACCTTGTCTAGCAACTTTTATTTCATAATGGCTCTAAGTGCCTTATCTCATTTGAGTCCTGTGTACCTACAAGCCTGTTATCCAATGAACATCCTCAACCCCACCTTGGAAACTTTCCCTGGGCACCTAATAAAACTAAACTGTGTCCAGGCACTCTTTCCAAGCAGGACAGGCTGTGCACAAACCCAGTTTCCCACAAGATCAGCAGGTGCTAAGAGCTGACATGTGAGGTCCAAGTGCTTGGGGCTGAGGCAGTCTATTTGTCCCCTGGTGCAAGGCCTGTTCTAACAATCTCCTATTTAAAAAGAAAGTAAGGTCAGCATGGTAACTCATGCCTGTAATCCCAGCACTTTGGGGGGCCAAGGCAGGCGATCACCTGAGGCGAGGTCAGGAGTTCAAGACCAGTCTGGCCAATATGGCGATACTCTGTCTCTACTAAAAATACAAAAATTAGCCAGGCGTGGTGGTGCATGACTGTAATCACAGTTACTCTGGAGGCTAAGGCTTGAAAATCACTTGAGCCTGGGAGGTGGAGGTTTCAGTGAGCCAAGATCCTGCCACTGCATTCCAGCCTGGGCGACAGAGCAAGACTTTGTCTCAACAAATAAATTAATAAAATTAAATAAAAGTAAAGGAAAGCAAAAGAGGGTGAGGTCCCTCTTCTAGAGCCCATGCCCAGTGTGCATGGCTGAGATGTTTCCCACTGCCAAGAGGAAGGAGGGCCCACCACACCAGGGACACTGCTGGCGTTCACCTGAGCCCTACCCACAAGAGGCCTCCAAAAAAAAAAACAACCAGTGTAACAGATATGGAGAACTATCTCCTTTAGTGATACTCAATCTTATCTCTAATTACAGTGTCATCAGGAGTCCAAGTTGCACCCTCAGCTTTATCCATCACTGGGATTCAGAAATGTCTGGCAGGCAATTTATTAAAAAGTAAATTGACAAAGGTTATGAGGGAGTTCTGAAGAAATGTCCAAAATATGGAAAAATATTTCAGTTTACCACTAATTAAAAATAAAAATATAATAGCATTTCATATCAAAATTAGCAAAATTATTACAAAACAATTTATTAGAACTCAGTCTAACTTAGGCCATGTCTACATTGTTGGCATATAAAGACTTTGAAATGCAACATAAATACATGTAACTTGATCCATATCAATTTGATCAATATTCCTACTTTTTGACCTAATCATTCCAGGTAATTTATATTAAGAAAATAATATATTCTTTAAAATAGTCATTGCAGCATTATCTAACCTATATTTTTTGAAAAAATTAAGTAAACTATTAAAATCAATAAAATATTATGTAGGTTTTAAAAAACAATAGCAATGAACTCTATGTAACTACAAGGAAAAATATTTATAACATTATTAACTAAAAATTTAGATTCAGAAATGTACAATTTCTATAATTACATACAATATGATTGTATACCAATGAAAATGGAAAGAAAACAATATGCTAAAATGAAGTTAGCTATTCTCTTAGACTTATAAATTGGGATAATTTATGTATTTTTAAAATTCATTTAACTCTGGGCAATAAAAATATATTTAACTGGACAATTAGCTTTTGGACATTATTGCAAATTCCATAAACAACAAAATATATTTTATTTTGCCACACTAAAATATAACAAAATCAAAGATATTTTGCTTAAATACTTAGAAAGTATAGAATAATGGACAAGTCACTTAACCTTTCTGAACTTTTATTTCCTCCTTTACAAAATGGATATGATAATACCTGTCACTTCTATCTCACTGGTTTTATACCACTCAAGTGAGTCAATGCATATAAAATTGCTTATCAATTATGTGTTAAAAATAGAATTTGATAGACCTAGATGTTGAAAGTTTAATTTAAAATTCATACAATGGGGAGATTTTTATCCTTAAACTATATTCCACCATTATTTGGAAATTGATAGCTAGAATAAATATAACAACAATTATTTAATTAATAAACACTAAGTTTCAGGCAAGAGTTGACACTTTACATGCATTTTTCCTTCATCTTTTGTAACAATTAGTAAGATAGATATATTCAGGAAACTGAGGCTAAAGGATGGTTAGGGAATTCACCAAAGACAATATAGTCAATAATGACCAATACCTAATTTAGCCAGAGTTCAAGTGAAAATTTCAGGTTGACTAAAAGCCCAATTATCAACCAATTATGTGATGCTAATTTGTTGCAGTTTCTGTAGTCTTAGCCTATATTAGTAGAAGTGTCATATTTTGAAAGCAGATAACAATATCACAACCACACTCAGGGATCACAAAATGTCAGGGTTAGGGTCATATGTAGAAGCCATTTTTGAGAAGATACATCAATAAGCAATAAAACCAGAAAAGCAGACACAATGGTAAAGAATTTGGAAACCATACCATAGAAAAAGCAATTGAAGAAATCGGTGATGGTTTGAAATGGAGAGAAACAAAATATAATCATAGGGCTGCCATCTTGAAGTAGACTCATATTATTCCTTTTGGCATAAAGAACCATAAATCAACACTTGGAATGGTAGATCACAACAATCCTTTCTAAGAAAGAAGACTATCTTCCTAGGCAGTGAGCTTATAGTAGAAGTCATTGTTATCGATTACTGCCTAGCTTAAACTGCAAACTATAAAATGGGTCAATGTAGGGTGGTTTGTGTGTGCTGGTGTGTGTGCACATTTGTGTTTGTATATGAATGGTTAGCAGAATGCTAAAAATTCAAGATATCAGTCACCAGTGTAAAACTTAATTACCCTCTAAGGAAGATTTTTGTGAAATGTAATGGAAAAAGAATGCAGTGGGCCTGAGAATATCTTGTGAAAATTAAAGAGTGTGACCAGGATCTTAAGAGCCATGTGAGCACAAGAGTGTATTAAAAAAAAAAAAATTGAAATAGCACATTGCTGAGAGAGGGAAAAAAAAACCTCTACAATCAATACATGAGACTTCCAGTTGGAAGGTCAATTTTACTTGTATTAATACTTCTTCATGGTCTCAAGGTGGGCATCAACAGAATATTTTTAAAAATCTATCATTAGAGGTCTTCACATAGAAGCTGAAGTACCTATTGCAAGAGAAAAAATTCCTGCAAAGGGCAAGAGATGGGCTCACATAAACTTGAAGAAGGCTTCAAACCTCAATATCAAGAATTCAATGATTTGCGTATTTTTAGTTGTATTACTCTTCTGAAAAAGATATGTTATCACATATAATCACAATAAATGTGACTATATATTATAGTCACATTTATTTTAAGTTATACCAAGCTGTCTTCATATAAATGAAGTTTGGGGTAGGGGTTTGGTAAAACTTGACATAACAAGATACAGAAATTGAATTGTTGTTGTTATTGCTTTTAATCTGGATTATTTGGCTCTTTTATCTTGCACCTTCTTTCTGAATAGTTTTTTAGGTATCTTTATTGCCTTTACTAGAGTAAAAAGTACCTCAAGTACATTCTTTACTATGTACAGCCAGAACAGGGTCCAGCATAAAATTTTGCATAAAAAAAGAATACCATGCATACATATAAGATAGATGAGTGAATGAAATGGTAGGACAGCAGCTATCCTCGATTTCCATAAGTGGAATGAAATATAAGTCCATCATGTTTAATAAATAGCCTTTATTACCTTCATAAATTTTCTTTCTGAAGAATTCTTCTTATAAGTTAACATTTGTTAAATAAATGCTATTTTTTCATTGATTTCTATGATACATTTCAAAAGGCTTTCATTCATTTATGTGCAATTAATCTCAAATGGAAAATAACCTTTAATAACCTATAACCCTTTAACTATATGTCTGTCTGAAAGCTTCACCATTAAGTTTTAACAATTGAAAAAAACTAAATATCAGGGAAGAGTACAGAAAGTTAAAACCATAATCAATTATCAAAACAATTCTGCATTGAGAAAAATCAGAGTAATGAAACAGAAAACACAAGAGCTTTCTGTGTGGACCCTGGCTTATGTACCTAACTTTTTCTGTGCCTAAATTTTCTGGTTTAGAAAATAAAAAAGTACCTGTTGCATAGGACCTAGTTGGTGTGAGAATTAAAATATTATACCAAATAGCCTGCCACAGAATAAATATTCACTAAATGAAATTTTATTTCTTTAGTCTCTAGATTGCAGAGTACAAGGCATTTTTGTGTGACCCTAGTACTCTGGGGATGGTGGAGGAAGAAAGAACAGAAGTTTTTTTTTTAGAACCGTGACCATTAAGCCGTTAATTCCCACTGTTATGGACTGAACTGTGTCCTCCCCTAAAATTTATATGTTAAAGCCCTAACCCCCAGTGTGACTGTATTTGGGGATGGAGCCTGTAAGGAAGTAACAAAGGTTAAGTGAAATCACAAGGGTTCTAATGCAATAGAACTGATGTCTCTATAAGAGGAGGAGGAAACATCGGAAGCACAGGTGAAAGGCCATGTAAGGAGATAAAGCCAGAAAGTGGTCATCTGCAAGCCAGCAACAGCCCCCTCACCAAAAACCAACCCTGACCACACCTTGATGTTGGCCTTCTAGGTTCCAGAACTATGAGAAAATAAATTTCTGTTGTTTAAGCACCCATTCCTATGGTATTTTATTATGGCAACCTGAACAGACTAATACATCCACACATAAGAGTTCTAGCCTATAATTAGAGTTGGGGGTGAAGCAGGCGAACACCCCATGGTGTTACTGGAAATTAAAGTATCCGTCTGACAATTCATATTTTTACAAGAAGATGAAGATAGAGGTTATTTGCATTGCATGGCATGACAAGCTGGAATTCTGATTCCTACCTGTTATTCCAGGACCGCTGTTTTTCTCTTGCCATGAAATTCACCTATCCAAGTAGAAATTGACTTCCTGGCCATGGATTCATCAGCCCCATGTTCACCCACGGACAGACCTTGTGCCTTGCCTTCACCATACAGCATACGCATATTTCTTTACCCTGCCTCCTTCCCCACTTTTCTGATGCTAACCCCACAGCAAATACAGTTACTAAAGGAAGACCACATATTGTCATTCATTTGTTTTCCCATCAGATAAATCATGTCTTAAGCAGTAAGCAAGCCTTTAATTTCTGCCACAACAGAGAAATACGTTTGTCATCATTTATAGGCTATAATTGAGGGTTAGCTTTAAGTAGCATTTTTACATATTATTGAGCAGAAATTATTATCTCTATAATTGGTGGTTCTGGGGCTGCTTCTGAATTTACACAGAGCCGCATTCTCTACTGAAATGTCAGGAAATATGCTACAAGCAACACTTGCCAAGACAGAAAGCAGACGTGCCCCTTTCAAAAGCCCTTCCCACATTTAGTGAAGGGGTTTCCTAATGTCCATAGTCAGTCTTCCCCACCCAAAGAGTTGTGAAAAGGGGAAATATGGCTTTTGGAAATAACCCTCCTTCTTAACTTTCTCTTTCTTCAGAAGTGCCCCATTTAATAGCATAAGGCTTTACTCCTTGAGCATGGACTCACACAAAGTTTTTCGGGAGTAATTCCCCTTCCTAGAAGCCTGTGAATTCTACAAGAATGCTCCAGAGAAGGCAACGTGTAAGCTCCTGTGTGCACAGTTCTGTCTTAGTTTATATTCCAACAGAAGAGAATCCTGAGATGAAGATAAAGAATTTATTTGAAAGGCAATTCTAGAAAACTGGTAGGAGAGTAGGGAGGTGAAGTAATAAAGGGCTAACAAAGGGTGTGTCCTCAAGAAAGTTGCCACTGTAGACAACTGGAGCTTAATTTATCTTGGGAACTAGAAAATAGTTTAGAACATGGGCCTCAAAGCTATCCCACTTCATGAGGACAGGAATGTGGGTATTTACTACCCACCCAAAGGGAAATGGAGAATATATGGGCAATGTTGGCTTGCTCAGTGGCTTCAACAGCCAGATAACACTCAGGCAGAGCTGCAGGTGCAGGTAGACTGAAGTTTGGAAGTCATGTATGAAGCATCATTGCCACAGGGATGTAGGTAGGGAATTGACAATGTCAGCTAAAAGGTCCTATTTCTCATTGATTTATTCATGAATTACCTGCTTCCTTAAAAAGTGATTTGAATCTCACAAACGTACATTTAGTGAGATAAAATCGTATTGCATGGTTTGTAATAAACCTAAGAGCCTCCTAACAGTGAGAAATTTTAAACTATATATAGATTCTTGAAGAGGTTAATATGCTTGAATAGTTTATGGATCTTCATTATAATCACAACATAATCTGATTAGCAATCTTTGACAAAAGAATTTTCTAAACAAATGCAAACTTCAGCCCAAGTGCTATTTGAACACCTCAAATACTAGCTAACCAAGATCGAATTTGTAAAGGATTTTGTTGGTTGGTCTGCTGCTTTTCTATATGACAGTAACTTTTTAAGTGGTCACTGCACAGTAGCTCACAGAAATTTAGTTGTTTTATATTTTTCAAACTGATAATGCAGCTTTTCAGAAATTGTCTCTGCCCAGAATGCAGCTTTCTGTAACTCCTTCCTGGCTACCTAATAGTATATAAAGGACTTTCCATCTGATCTGATCAATCCTGGAAAACAAGCTGCCTTTAACTGCCAACCACAGTTTCAGAATGCCTGAGGCTAACAGGAAACTTTTTCTATGACCTTATTGAAGATATTTAAAAATAGAATACTTGTCCTTCTTTCCCAGTACCTTCCTGGGCTTTCATAACAGACTGAGGAGGCAATAAGAAACTGCTTGAAAGAAATTCCATCAGTGTGGCATATTCCATATAGAGAGTCTCTTAAAGTCTAAAGAAAGCATTTGTTGTTTGCATTCCTGAATGTCTGCTTGATTAGTCAAACCTTTTTTTTTTTTTTTTTTTTGAGACTGAGTCTCACTCTGTTGTCCAGGCTAGAGTGCAGTGGCACAATCTTGGCTCACCACAACCTCCTCCTTCCCCATTCAAGTGAGTTCCCTGTATCAGCCTCCTGAGTAGCCGGGATTACAGGCACCTGCCACAGCTAATTTTTTGCGCAGCTAATTATTTATTTATTTATTTATTTTAGTAGAGACAGGTTTTCACCATGTTGGCCAGGCTGGTCTTGAACTCCTGACCTCAGGTGATCCACCCGCCTCAGCTTCCCAAAGTGCTGGGATTACAGGCTTAAGCCACTGTGTTTGCCCTGTTTTCTAAATTAAAGAAATATGCATTGCATAATTTTGACCAAGTCAGGTAACTGGACTTTCAAAATAATTATTTAAGTTTTTCAAAGGCAATAATTCATTAAATCTTGACTAGTTGCTTTGTGTGAAACAGGGGTTCAAATTTCTATAACTACCTTAGTGAATATTATATCAGTTGTCAAATTTGTCCCAAGTGCTGTAATTGCTCATACTCAAAATTTTTGTTGTTTTATTCCAAGACCTAAAAATATAGATTGGAAAATTCTTTATTCTTTTAGATGCCTTAACCAGCTGAATTGGAACAGTCAATGGTGAGTGATTCAAGATTTATTGAACACTTGTTACACAGGCAACCTGTGCTTGGCTTTGTGCAGAAGAGAGAAAAACAAAGGAAAAAGAAAGGGAAGGACCCTGTATCATTGTGCTGTGTGCTTTGGCTACATTGTGTAATCTTCTCATCATTCATATGTAGTAGTTATTATCATGCTTGTTTTCCAGAAGAGAAGGAAGTAAGTTTCAAAGCTCAATATAAACTAAGACAGGCCTGTGCACACTTGAGCTTACACAGTGCCTTCTCTGGAGCCTTCCTGTAGAATTCTAGAAGAGAAGGAGCTAAGTCTCTAAATTCATCTGGGAAATGCACACCAATGTAACAAGTTCATATCTCCATAACTCAGCAGTCCATTTGCTTTATATCATATCTGCCTTCCAAAAGAAACCAAAAGATCACTTTGACTCTCCAAAACAGATTGCAAAAATATCAGTTTGGGAGCAATCTTCTTAACATCTTTATTGAAGTAAAATTGACATCCCCACACACAAAAAAAGCATTATGTCTAAAGTATACAATTTGATTAATTTTAACATACATTCATCACTGTGAAATCACCATCACAATAAAAAAAATAAGCAACCCAAAATCCTCACCTCCAAAGTTTCCTTGTAATTATTTGAAATTCTTTTCTCCTGTTTTTCATCCCACCTGCAGGCAATCACTGATCTGTTTTTTTCTAATTAGTGCTCATTTCCTAGAACATCATATAAATGGAGTCATACAATATGTATGCATTTTTAAATCTGACATCTTCCATGCAACATAGTTATTTTAAGATTTAGCAATGTTGTTGAATGTATCAATAGTCTACTCATTTTCGTTGCTAAAGATTATTCCTTTGTATGACTATACCACAATATGTTTATGCATTCAACTGTTGACGGATATTTAGGATGTTTCCAATTTAGGGTTACTGAAAACAAAGCTATATAAAAATTAATATGAAAGCTTTGTATGAATCTATGTTCTTTTTTTTTATGGTTAAATACTCAAGAGTAGAATAATAGGTCTTACGAGAGGTAGATTTTTAACTTTTTAAAAAACTCTCACACTGCTTTTCAAAATAGTTATACCATCTTACGTTCCAACCAGCAATATAGGAGAGTTCCAGTTGTTCCACATTGTTGTTAACACTTGGTACTCTCAGTCTTCTTATTTTAGTTATTACAACAGAGTGTAGTGGTATCTCACTATGGCTTTTAATGTGTATTTTCCTAGTGACTAATAATATTATGACTATTTGCCATTTGAACATCTTCTATGGTGAAGTGTCTCTAAAATTCTTCACCCATTTTTTTAAATTGGGTGTTTTGTCTTCCTCTTATTTAGTTGTATGAGCACTTTATATATTCTAGATGCAAGTTCTTTTTTCTATATATGTTTTACTATGTTTTTCCCAAAGTGGGCCTTTGTATTATCCTTTTTATGACAGTGTATTTTGAACAGCAAATGTTTTTAATTTTGATGAAGTCCAATACATCAATAATTTTTGTAGATTGTGCCTTTGTATTGTCTTTAAGAAATATTTACTAAACTGTAAGTCACTAAGATGTTTTCCTGTGTTTTATTTTTAATGTTTTATACCTTTAGCTCATATTTAAGAATAAAACATATTTCAAGTTAATTTTTCCATACGGTGTGAGACAAGGATTGAGGTTCCTTTTTTTTTCTTTTACAGATAGCTATCCAATTATTTCAGCACTATTTGTTGAAAAAAATTATCCTTTCCCCATTGAATTTCTTTGGCACCTCTGTAAAAAATAAATTAACCATATACATGTGGATCTGCCTTCAAAGAAAAACCCTAAGGTACCTTTAAAATTATAGAACAGATTGTGAAAATATCAGATAGGACAGCATTTTTTTTAATGTATTGTAGAATAATTCATTGAAAAGATGAGTTGACATGACTGTTATGCTTTGAATCTGAATCTGCAATGCTCATTAATAATTTCACAAGTTTGGCACCAAAAATTTGTTCATCAAAGAATATGTTCAAGTTCTTTCTTTGAGAGGTCTATAGGCCAGAAGGAATAGGAAGCATATTTAATTCATACCCACCATACCAAATAGAAGCTGGTAAGGGCGATAAGAGAGGGACAGTTAAAAGTATTCAGAGACATTAAGAAAGGTGAAAGAATTAGAAAAGAATTTTCTAAAAAAATTCCCAGTTAGGGTATTCAGGGGAGCCTTCTCACTGAAGAGGACAGAAGGGTAGGATTTGCACACATAGAAGTGAGAAAAAGTGAATTCCAGCAGGAATAAAATACATGAGCAGAGGCATGAAGACAAAAAAACACGGGGCACATCACAAGAATAAAATGTAAACTGAAGAAAAATGTGAGTAATAGTATGTTTTCCATTCCACAATATTCCTTGCAGATAAGGATGTTTAAAGAGTTACCTTATCTGGAGGGAAATGAACCAGTAAAAAAAAAATACAAAAACAAAAAAAAACACAAAAAACAGAATTCCAAATTCCAATATCTTGCCCAGTCCACCATTCAATCAATTTAAACTGGAAAATTCAAAGAAAATAAATAATTTATTTCTTTAAAACAGTTTAACATTTCAGGTAGAAAATATATAAAAGCAGATACCCAGGTCAAACCACCTTTCTCCACAAAGTCTTCCCTAGATTTTTCCAGAACTTGAGCTTCTCTGAATACTAACAACTTCATTACAGCATCTTATCAAGATACAGTAGTTCCCTCTTATCCAAGAGGGATACATTCCAAGACCCCAAGTGGATGCCTGAAACTACAGCTTGTAATGAATCCTGTATATACTACTTTTTTACTATACTTACACACCTATAATAAAATGTAATTTATAAATTACACACAATAAGAGATTAACAACAATAACTAATAATTATAATAATATTACAGCATCACTACTACTGTGGCTTGGGGCTATCATTAGGTCAAATAAAGGTTACTTGAACACAGAAACTGCAGTACCATGACAGCTGATCTGATAACCCAGACAGTTCCTAAGTGATTAATGGGCAGTGAGTGTCTACAGCCTGCATGCTGGACAAAGGGATGATTCATGTGCTGGGCAGAATGGGAAATTTCATCATGCTATTCAGAATGGCGCCCAATTTAAAACGTATGTATTGTTTATTTCTGGAATTTTCCATATGTTTTTAGATTGTGGTTGACTTCAGAAACCACAAAAAGTGAAACTCTGGATTTCACCTGGACTATTAGATACCAGATATTCTCCTGTGTATTTAGTCTTGCCTCATAAGTAAATATGTCTCTTCCTTGTTTGAATACACAATTCTACCTTTTGGCTGATAAAATTTCTCAGAGTGCACTTTTAGTTTACATATATACAGGAAATATCTTCTTCCAGAAATATTTTTGTTTTGTGATTCATCCAGCAAAGGTTGTGAATGTTGTTGGAATTAAGGTTATTTCTCAAAGGCTAATCTGTTTGTGGTTTGTTTTGAAGCAGCATGCTATCATCCTTTTTATAGCTCCATATCAGCTTTATGTATAATTCAATCAATACCTTGGGGCACACTATTTGATGATTACAATAAAAAAGAGATCTATTTTGTTGTTCTTTGTGAAGCTACTTTCATTATCACGTGTCACTCAGTTACAAGAGTTTATGGGACCATTTACACCCAATGGACACTTTAAACATGCGGTTTTTATGACAAGTAAACTCCAAGATAAATGAAAACATTTTAAAAAGATATTAGGAGCCTTTCCTTGGTCTTTGATTGATATGAATTGGGGTAGTAAAAAGGATTTTCTTTTGTATAGCCCTGCCTGTTACAAGTCGCCAGAGAAATGGTGCTGAGATGAAGTGCTCCAAATAGCTAATGGCCTGGGCTTGTTCACTCAGTACCAGCAGGGTCCCTAAAGCTGAAAATAAAAAATGAAAAATAGGCAAATGATTTTTTAACCAATATACAAATACTTCAGGTCACCTAAACACATTTTGCACACTTTCTACAAGACTAGTTCAAATGTGGTCAATAGCTACCCCTCTGCTCTCAAATAGCAACCCCCATCAATTAGTGCTCCCCAAAGCATTATTTTTAATAGAGCAATGAACTGTTTATTACAAATAGTTACAAATACATTGATTTGTTTTGTGTTTTTATTCTTTTTTTAAGTTAATTTCAACTTTTATTATTGATTAACGGGCACACACACAGGTTACATGGGGTTAAATTGTGTGATGCTAAGGCTTGGAGTCCCCGTAATCCAGTCACCCAGGCAGTAAGCACAGTACCCAACAGATAGTTCTTTAGCCCATGCCTCTCTCTCTTCCCTTGACTTCTAGTGGTCCCCAGTGTCTAATGTTCCCATCTTTATGTTCATGTGTATCCAGTGTTTAGCTACTGCTTATAAGTGAGAACACGTGGTATTTGGTTTTCTGTTCCTGTGTTAGTTTACTTCGTATAATGACCTCCAGCTCTATCCATGTTGCTGCATATTACGATTTTCTTCTTTAAATCTACACAGTATTCCATGGTGAATATGTTCCACATTTTCTTTATCCAATCCCTTGTTGGTAGGCACCTAGGTTGATTCCATGTCTTCCCTATTGTGGATAATGCTGCAATGAACATACGAATGCACGTGTCTTTTTGATAGAATAAATTATTTTCCTTTGGGTATGTACCCAGTACTGGGATTGCTGGCTGGAATGATAGTTTTATTTTAAGTTCTTTGAGAAATCTCTAAACTCTTTCCATGGTGACTGAACTAGTTTGCATTCCCACCAACAGTGTATAAGCATTCCCATTTCTCCACAGCCTCGCCAACATCTGCTGTTTTTTGACTTTCCATTTTATTTATTTGTATTTATTTATTTATTTTGAGACAGAGTCTTGCTCTGTTGCCTGGGCTGGAGTGCAGTGGTGTGATCTTGGCTCACTGAAACCTCTGCCAGGTTCAAATGTTCAAGTGATTCTCCCTCCTCAGCCTCCCAAGTACCTAGGATTACAGGCATGCATCACCACACCCAGGTAATTTGTATATTTTTTTGTAAAGATGAGGTTTTGCCATGTTGGCCAAGCTGGTTTAGAACTCCTGGCCTCAAGTGATCCACCCACCTCGGCCTCCCGAAGTGCTGGGATTACAGGCGTGAGCCACTGAGCACAGCCTTGTTTTTTGACTTTTTAATGATAGCATTCTCACTAGTGTGAGATGATATTTCACTTTAGTTTTGATTTGCATTTTTCTGATGATTGGTGATGTGAGCATTTTTTCCTGTTTCTTGGCCACAAAAGCATCATTTCTTGAGTCATTAATCTATTTTGGTCTCTAAGAAAATCATTTAAAATGCAAGCCCCTTTAATTGGACAAAATTGAATATGAACTATGTGTTAGGTAGTACCATTGTATCAATGTTAATTTTTTTAATTTGATGAATTTTACTGTGTGGTTATGTAAGCAAAAAAAAAAAAGAAAAGGTTTGTGTTCTTATGAGCTGTATGCTGAAGGGATGAAGAGTCGTGACCTCTGCAAATTACTCTCAAATGGTAGAGCAAGATGATAATAATATAATAATCATCAAGATTATAATAGTTATGAGAATAAATATTGTGGATGTTTTATGTAAAAGAGAAAGAGATAAAGCAAATGTGGCAAGATGTTAACAACGGATTGCATTTAAGTGAAGGAATATGGGAGTACAATGTAATATTCTGGAAACTTTTCCTTAGGTGTGAAAAAATTTTAATAAAAAATTTATTTGAGCAGGACTAAGGATCCACCTGACCAAAGAAGCACCCACAGAAAATGGTACCCAAGTGGTACCTAAAGGAGCAACTGTCCCCTGAATGCCCCTTTGCCAGGTCTGTCCCATAGACCCTGGCCAAGTGAGGGATGAAAGGAGTACTCAGACACAGGTATGCAGTGTAAGAGCAGCTAGGGGACTGCCCAGCACTAGTGGCAGAAGAGTGAGTCGTCCTGAACAGCTGGAGCTGCTTGCTTTTATTCAGTACAGACATAATGTCTAAAGCCTGGAGCAAACACAATCTGCAGGTAATTAACATTATTGTTCCCCCTTTCAGGGAGCAGTCACGCATGCAGATGATCAAACGTCAGTTTCCAGACAACATAAGTAAACAAGCCTATTTAAGATAAATTCCCCTACACACCCTTGTACCTATTTCTTCACCCTCTGCATCAAGGTCAGAGAACAGCTGCCTTCAGCTTATTCTCCTCTAAAGCTATGCAGAGCCTTCCAACCTTTCAGAAGGCCTGTTCCTTTCCCTATAGCTTCTCCCACAACTCTGACTGATCTGCTATACCCCTTAGCAATTTATTTCTTTAAACTAAGCCATTGCTGTGCTACATCTACTCCAGTATCTGTAAACCTCCAGCACACTCCTTAGCATCCCTGACTATCCATTCTAGTCATTGTCATCACATGACTTGCTGGCATTTTCTTCACCTCCAGGTTAACCTGTTGACAATATCTATCTATCCTGAGTTGCTGTCTAGGAAGATGTGTCTTTATCACATCCCTTACCCACCCACCAATTGTCAACAGGCCAATAGCATATTCCATCTTCCTTCCTCCAGGATCTGCTCCATCAGTGATGCTCGCCCCTCTTGTGAGGCCACACTTACTTCTCCACTCAGCCTCTTGCTAGTTTTCCCCTCCTCTTGACCCCACCCTGCCTCCCAGCATATGTATGATCTCCTTTCACAACTTTTGAAGTATAAATAAAGGTGACAATGAGGTACCCTCAACTAAGAAACTGGGGAGTGGGGAGGAAATGAGAATTAAACTACAATCATGTATGGATCACATGTTATGGATCAAAGTGGAAACCTACAAGTTACTTTAAAGAGACTTAGTGGTTCTAAAGTCAAAGACTTGGCAAAAACGGGATAAGTAATATCAGTATAGTTATAGAAACAGTGTGGTAATTACCTAGAAGGTAAGTTCAGAAACACAGTAAAGGGGAAACAAAGACAAAACTATGGTGATAGAAATCAGAACAGTGGTTGCCACAGAGTAGAGGGAATGGAGGAGATTGATTATAAAATGGCAAAGGGGAACATTTTAGGGTGATGGAAATAGTCTAAATCTTGGTTATGGTAGAGATTACAAGACTGTACACATTTGTCAAAACTCATCGAATTGCACTTATAAAATTAGTAAATTTTACTGTAGGCAAATATAAGTCAACAAAGTTAATTTTAAAAGTATACCAGTTTTTATTAGTAACAAGATTGGGAGGACACAGCTCACAACTGATTACCACATACCTATAGGAAAGACACCCTGTTTATGAAGCTGTATAATGAAAATGTGTACACTCTTCTGCTATACCCCTCAGGGTCAAAGTGCCCTTCCCAGTCAGTGGTAGTTGCTCGGAAACTGCTTTCCTCTGGGAGCTTCTAGCCTGCACAGAAGCCTAACTGCATGATGTATCACAGTAAAATTGTCCTTTATTTGAATATACTGAGAATTTCCTTCTTGCACAGAGTATACTCATGACATTATAACCTTTTCGGAGAGCTGAAAGGACACACACAAACTTCTTATTTGTTATCAGATATCATTTCACCCACACTGAGCTTAAAATGACCAATAACAGCACTAAAAAGTATGTCCTTCATGTTTCTCTATTTCACTGGGGGTGGGAGGGTAAGACAAAGAAAAAAATGCTCTAATTGTATCCAGGATGGATTTTTCTCTTTTGTTAGGTTCAAATAACAAACCTAGGAAATTTTAAATCCTGGAAGTCCATCTGTCAGCATCTGGTTCCCCAGAGACCAAGAAAATGCTTTCATTTAGCTGAAGGCTGCTACTGGCAGCCACATACCCGCCTGAGAAAATACATCATTTTTTGCAAGTGTGAAAATGACTGCTAAGGGGAATAGGAGCCCTAGTTACATGCCCCATTTCAGAGCCTTCAGCCCCAGCTGCAGGGACCAAATAAGACAGTGATGGCCCTGGGGATTTAAGAATTCAGTTTCTCTCTGACAGCCTCAAAAACCCCAGGCCACATTGAGAAAGAAGAACTGCCTCTGTCACTAGCTCAGAAAACTCATCAATGGCAGGGGCCCAATCTTGGCTCCAAAGGAGCCGTTGCTGGCCCCTCACTTATCTTACCTATATGAGTGAACGCTGCCATAAAAGGTAGCTCTAGACCTACAGCTGCAGGCAAAGAAACTCTCTTCCTCTTGATTTACCATTCTCCTAAGCTGCCTGCCCACTCTCCAGCTTAGTAGAATTCCTGACCTTGCATCCCTGACTGCCATCTGCCCTGCCTCTTCCCACATCTCCCCTCCCACACATCTTGGCAACACCTAGACTGAACAGGCTCAGGCCCCAACATGATTCTACTGCTTCTTTCATATTCATGAATATGTTCAGAGATGTTTATTATTACCTAGATTTACAAATCATAGTTTAGCATATCGTTTCTGACATAAAATACAGAAAATTCTAAAAGAAAAAAATTCAGTGCCCCTTCAGACCTTCAATAAGAGTTACTATGTACAGTAAAATGATAAGAAAGGAAACCCTCAGCTATTCTGAGATGCAAATGCTAGGTGGTCAGCTAGGTCCACACTCAAGCTCATCACTGCCAGAACTTTTACACCTGGCTCTCAGCACATACAATTCAAATTTGTGCCTTAAACCTAGTGCAAGTGGCCAGGGAGCCCCAAAGTCTGAAACACAGAAAGCCAGGACTGTTAAATCTCAGACCACCGAGGCTCCTATATCACCACCAGCACCTGTCTACCCGTCAGGCCCATCCGGCTCCACAGAGAGTGGCAGCCCCAGGCTACATCAAGACCTCGATTTGACTAGCTGAACCCACCTGCACAAGGAGGGGAACAACAGACCCCTTGCTGTTAAAGGGGGCCCAGGCTTCATGTGTGTGCACAGCAGTTTGGCTGAAATGGAGACATTACAATTAATGCTCCTGATGGCCAGAGGCACAACCTTTTTCTCCCCTGCAGGTTGGAAAGTCCTCTTTCTGTTGTGATGGAGTCCTGTTGGTTTTCATTTATATTTTTCACTGTCACATTGCCTATTCTCTCCACCTCACTATCACAGGTCAGTCCCATTAAATCATGCCTAGATGGTTATGCTAACCCTTCCTGGCCTGGCTTCCCAGGCTCAACCCTAGGGGCCAGGTAGATGGACACTAAACCACCACCTATATTTTCCTCTTATATTATTTTTGAGAAACATCAGTGAGTCCCTTTGATTTAAATATTGTATTAGTCCATTCTCACACTGCGATAAGGATACTATCTGAGACTGGGTAATTTATAAACAAAGGAGGTTTAATTGACTTACAGTTACGCATGGCTGGGGAAGCCTCAGGAAACTTATAATCATGGCAGAAGGAGAAGCAGGCACCTTTTTCACTAGGAGGCAGAAGAGAGAAGTGCAATCAGGTGAAATACCAGACGCTTGTAAAACCATGAGATCTCGTGAGAACTCACTCACTATCACGAGAATTCCATGGGGAAAACTGCCCCCATGATCCAATCACTTCCCACCGGGTCCCTCCCTCGACACGTGGGGATTATGGGGATTACAATTTAAGATGAGATTTGGGTGGGGGCACAGCCAAACCATATCAAATATCAGCTCCAAATGTCTTGGCCCATCTTTCCGTGTCCCCCTACCCTACACAGCCTCTCTCACCATTTTCCAGAATGTACCTCCAACTCCAGCTGGACAGATTTACTCACTCTTCCTTGTTCGCTCGGATTGGTACTCATATCTTTCCTCCACGTCCAATTTTCTCCTTTCTTATCTCTGGTATAGAAACCACACCCTCCCCTTTTCTTTATGGCCCAGAACAAGACTTAGGTTCTCAGTGAAGCATTCCTGAAATGTCTTCAGCTGCCACTGTCTTTTCTTCCTTTTCTGGTGTCCTAATGCATCTGTAATTCACACCACACAGGTTAGCACTTCATTGTTTGCAAATTGTTTCACATGTGTGTTTTTTTTTGTACTTTGAGACTTACCCTGTATCACGCTAATACCTGCAGAGTGCTAGACACCTGTGGGAGACTTCCCAGTTGATTTCTGGGCTGAATCAATTTGCGAACAATTGTAAAATTCAGTAATCACCATGTGAAATATTCCCATTTCCCATGTGATTTGACATTTTTACCCAGGAGAACATCTCTCATCTTTTATGCTGCTACTCCACGGCTTTGATAAATAGAGTTCACCTCAAATCTCCCTTCAAACCATATTTAAACTTCCCCCCTTCCAGCAAAGACTCCAGGCTAGATTTCATTGAGCCAGTCAGCTTTGCTAATTTGTAACCAATTTTTGATTTACTAAATGGCAGCATTCAGCTGGAGGACAGATGGAAAAGCTGCAGGTAACTGCTGACCTTCTGATTAGAGGGATTAGATAACCATACCTGATTTCACATTCAGATTATCTACAGAGATTGGATATGAAAGATCTTTCCAAGGGTTAGAGGGAGGAAAGAAAGCATATGGCCCCAAAATGGCATGTGGCTGAAGGATTTATGAATTAACAGAAGAAGGGATTTATTATAACCTTCAAGGCAGATAAGAAATATGCTGGTGCTGTGCTTTTCTGAAAAGCTGAATGCCATTCTGAGAAGGCTGGTTCTAACAGGGAACTTTTATTCTCTAAATAAGTAGAATATACTATTACCAATCAGGGCTTTTGCTCCTAATGAGAGGTACTGATGGCTGCTATCACTAAAGCATCCTGAAAACCTGTGACTGCTCTGTGGCGAGCAGGCCAACTCCAGGCTCAATTGTGCAATACAGGGTGTTTGGTTTGGTTCCCGTCTCACTTCCCCTTTTCTTTCCTCCTTCCTTTGTGTCCATATCTCTTCCAAATCCCCTTCCCAGACCCTTCATGAATATCTCCCGTATTAGCCATCTGTGATGGTTACTACTGGATGTCAACTTGATTGGATTGAAGGGTGCAATGTATTGATTCTGGGTGTGTCTGTGAAGGCGTTGCCAAAGGAGATTAACATTTGAGTCAGTGGACTGGGAAACGCAGATCTACCTTCAATCTGGGAGGGCACCATCTAACCAGCTGACAGTGTAACTAGAATAAAAGCAAGCAGAAGAACGTGGAAAGATTAGGCTTGGCCAGGCACAGTGGCTCACACCTGTAATCGCAGAACTTTCGGAGGCTGAGGTGGGCGGATCACTTGAGGTCAGGAGTTCGTTCCAGACCAACTGGCCAACATGGTGAAACCCTGTATCTACTAAAAATACAAGAATTAGCCGTGTTGGCATGCACCTGTAATCTCAGGTACTGCGAGGCGGAGGCGGAGGTTGCAGTGAGCTGAGATCACGCCACTGCACTCCAGCCTGGGTGACAGAGGGCAACTCCATCTCAAAAAAAAAAAAAAAGATTAGACTGGCTTAGCCTCCAAGCCTACATCTTTCTCCCATATGCTGGATGCTTCCTGCCCTCAAACATTGGACTCAAGGTCCTTCAGCTTTGGGACTTGGACTGGCTTCCTTGCTCCTCAGGTTGCAGATGGCCTATTATGCAACCTTACCTTGTGATCTCGTGAGTTAATACTCCTTAATACATTCCCCTTTGTATATACATCTATCCTATTAATTCTGTCCCTCTAGAGAACCCTGACTAACATACCATCTCACCCCTTTGCACCCTTTTTCTCACTTGTATGCCCATCACAAATTCCTCCCAGCCCAAGGTGAGATTCACACTATGAATGATGGAAAGAGAACTCCGGGAGTGACTTCCCCTCCCCAGGAGCTCAGATAGCCATTTGAACATGGAAAAGACTAACATAACCCATGGAAGTGACAGATTTACAGTTAAATTTTGGAAAGATGTTTTGGCCTGAGGATTATCTAAACACATATTACATTATAGACCATCTGGGTGTTATGAAAGCTTCAGAAATTGTATAGAGTTGGGTAGCCACAGACAAGGTAGGTACAGGAGACTCCGATGTGACCTTGAGGGGCAGCATCAGACAGGCATGGTGGGTGCCTCCAAAGAGGAAGAACAGTGTGCAGGAGTGAGTTGGGTGGCTACCAGTCCCGAGGATTATCTGGATTGGGGAAAAGCAAGCAAAGTGAATTCTGGAGAACCACTTGGTGATGAGTCATGTAGATGCCATGTCTGACTCAGCATAATGGGAGGGGAAGACTTCTGCCTTTTCCACGGTGGCTTCTGGAAAGCCACAAAAATGAGCAGCACTAACCTGTCACAAACGAACTTCAACCTTAAAGGAGAACCAAGGCCTCCTGGAAGGTTAGCAACAGAAAGACAGCTAAATTTTCTTTCTGTAGATTTCTTTTTTTTTTTTTAAGTAAAAAATGACTACTTGCTATTTATGTATATCCCAAGAAAATGCAGAATTATACCTTCAATCACAGTTTTTTTTCCCTATGAGCCTATTTTTATATTCACCACAGACTAGTAACATTTCTCCTTCAGAGATTGTCTAGAAAGATTGCACTGTCATTAGAAGTTTCATGTATTCACGTTAGAATAATGTGGACCAAGTACAGACATGAGAGCATGCCAAGGGTATTTGTGGACTGGAAAACATGACAGGCAACAGAGCCTACATGAGATGTGCCAGAGAGTGCAAGACGTGAGACTAGAAGGGCGAGTCTGGGTCTGGGTGCCCAAGGGGCTCACTGTTGGATAAGAAGATTGAGTTACAACACTGGCCGAGCATTTTCCCATTACCTCGTTCAGATAGCAGAGCATCCTCTCAAGTCTGGTGTTTCACTTCTCCACATTTACAAGTGCAGAAACTAAGGCTCAGAGAAACTAAGTACCTTGCTCAAGATGAGAAATCAAGCCAATAACAGAGCTAGGATTTGAACTCACTCCTGTACACCTCAAAGTGTGTTGTACTCCTATCTCTACTGTTAAAAGAAAAACCTTAGACAAATTAAATTAAACAGAGTTTAATTGAGCAAAGAATGATTCATGAATCAGGCATCCCCCAAGCCAGAATGGGTTCAGAGAAACTCTGGCACTGCCAGGTGGTTGAAGAAGATTTATGGAAAGAAAAAGAAAAGTGACAGAGAGAAAACAGAAATGAGGTACAGAAACAACGGGATTGGTTACAGCTCAGCATTTGCCATATTTGAATGTGGTTTGAGCAGTTGGCCACCTTTGATTGGCCACAACTCAGTGATTGGTATCAGAGTAGGTTATAGTCCATTTACACTTTCAATGACATGTATACTATGCACGTAGAAACCTTTAGACAGAACTTATAATATGTAAGGAAACAGCTTTAAGCTAAATTTTATTTAATACTACCATGCAACACTCTATCCAGTTCATGTTTAAACACTGGAGACACTGAAAGAGGTGATTTGGAAATGTATAGGGGGATGTGAGTGGAATAATTGGAGACCATAAGCCCTGAAAGGTATGCTAAGAGCCACCTAGTTATCTGTGTTTAGGTAAAGTTTTAGTTTGACATTACCAGCCCAAAAAGAATATTCAATCCAAAAAGGCTCTCAGAGAAGTGATTTCACACTCTTGAATGGTAATGCTTTATTTTTGTTGTTGTTGTTCTTGTTGTTAAGTATGTCTGTTTATTAGTTTTACCTAAGTCCCTCTAGGTATGAAAGAATTCCTGCTACTTAACTGAATGATAAAACAAATGCCTCCACTACAAATTTTATTTATGGCATAATTTTCTCATCTCCGAAGAATGTGCTATAGACTCACTGTCTTTTAGAAATATGGACCATCTAAGCTTGTATATGCTCAATAACACTCTAAATGTGTTTATTCAAGCACTCTTCTCCTAATTATTAAGTTTGGGTGTATTTCAAGGGACATTTACTCCATCTCTGAGTCATTTACTTTCAGTTCATTCACATCTAGAAGTAGACTGCAAGAAATATTTGCTTCTTAGGTGGTATCAGAGCGACCACATAACCTTAAAACTTTGTTCACTGGGCCAGGAGAAAATGAAAATGTCAGTTTTCAAGCAAATTTTTGATCTTTGAGAATTAAAGAATGGGTTGTTGGCAAATAGCAGTTGCTTTCTAACTTTACTTTCTGTGCTAAAATTTGAGTCACTCCACACACTTAGGAACACACAAAAGGCAAAGAAATGAGTTAATTTTGTTGCCTGTGCCACTCTCTCTTCTGCCCTGTATTCATGTCCCTGGGTCAGTATTCATGTTTTTGCCCTGAGGCCAAACTGTGCTCCTTTTTTTTTTTTCATGTAGCACATTTCCACATGAACCTCTTAGAAAAAGTCAGCATTCGATAAAGAAAAGCCAAGTCAGAAATAAATCATAATATTAAGTTACAGAGGAGCAAGGCTGAATACTGAACAACCGGTACACCATGATAACACAATTTAGGGCAGCCATAAGTAAAATCCAGGTCAGTGTCAGGAAGTCATGCAGGGTGTTCCTTGATGAACAAAGAGATGCTATGTAAATTACAAATCAAATGGAGAGTACATGCAGGATATTTTATCCTATCTGCAGATCAGCCAACCTTCCGAGAGGCTCACAAATGATATTTTTCCCTGCAATCTTGGCACTAAAAGGTAAAATTCAAATAAGTGATCTTTCAACTGGAATGTATCCTCCACATTTTTTATTGAAATAGTTGAGAAGAATATACAACATTAGCCCTTACTGGAATAATGCAATGCCCAGGGCTGGATAGCAGGCTATTTTACATGTGAGGCATAACATGGCCTGAATTTTTGCTTTTTCCTTTGGATTTATGAATGACTACAAACTTCCTAAAGAACAAAGGTGATCTTGTACCCCACATTAAATGTTCCTGCTGGCTATACAGGTAGTCATTAAATCTCTCCTAGTTGGTTAACCAGGTATTGGGTGATGTGGTCCCTCCTAACTTCTCAAGTTTTTCTCCAGCCACCCACCTTCAGGCAGACTGAATTTTTCAAAACAGACTATGTTTTTGTAGGATGCTGTGCCTTGACACATCCAACTAGTTGTGGAACACCTACCCCATGACTGCTTATGTGGTGAATAAAATCTTCCGTCTTCCAGGAATTTTTTTATACCACCGTGCCCTGTAACATTTAGCTAATCTAATCAGTTGCGTCAACTGGATAGAGGCCATTGTATAATCATCTTCATTACTCTAACCCCAAGAAAAGTCCTGGCACCCTCTAGAAATTGCTAGATACATGTTTTTAGTATGCTGAATAAAAAGCTCCCCAATATGACGAAGACATCAAGACTCCCACTACATTCACAGCCAAGAGAAATCCAATATTTCCAACGCTTTGAAAAGAACCTGTTTTGATAGTCATTTTATTCACATACCTGTTTTTACTTGGCTAGAGGTGGGACCAACATGTTTCATATCTTCTAAGAAAGACAACTGCAAGTCTAAGTGAAAAGCAAAAATCCCTGACATAACCCAAGGCCTAGAGGCTATATGATGCCTGCATTTGATGTGAGGTGAAGCTTGGAAATCCTCCTGTGCTTAGATTCCATGATTACACAGTTACATTTATTTAATAAATATATTATGTTGAAGACAAAGCTCTAATTGCTTTTTGTAAATGGGAACTGTATTGAAATGAACTCATGGGAAATTGTACCTTTTTATCTTGTCATTGTATCCACAATTCAGCAAATATTCACAGGTGACTTACTATATGTTTGGTGCAATACAAGGCCAAACACGATTTTATTTTCTTATGCTGGCTGCCCCCAAAATTCCAGAACTACAATTTTTCACTGGAAAGAAAAAATAAACTCTTTTGCAGAAAGCACAAATTAAGCCAAATAGGTCAAGCTGGGAGACTTTACGTTGTGAGGGTATTATGGAGAACATCCCATGCAATTTTGAAGTAATTTACAGATTGTGTGATACACGACACACTGATGTCCCCATCAATGCCTTCTACTGAAAGAGGGAAAATCAGTTCTCTTCCCCTGCATCTTGTCTTCCTCAATCCTACTAAATGTACACAATAGCAATTCTCTTCGGGGAGATTTTATCATGGCAAGAGAACAGGATTGCTGATACAGTGGCATTAATAACTATTAAAGAAATGTAGGCTGAGATCATGGAGGGAAATCTATTCCAACAAGCATCTCCTGAGAGGAATTATCATTCACTTAGACAGTTAAAACCCTCCCTCACCACTCCATACTATATATGCAGCCTGGTCATGAGGAATCCTCCACAAAGAAGGCCAGATGTACTGATTAGGTCTTTCTCCAAATTAATAGTGGATTCGGGCTTTGCCTTCCCGATAAGCAAGGAAAGTTGCGATCCGGTTTTGTCTTGCAGTAGGGAAAATAAAATTGGCTTTCTCAATGATGTGCATCCCCAGAGCCTTTGTGATGAATCAGCGTTCATAGATTCCTTCTTTGACCTTATTAAGGACAGACACAGCAGATAATTTTAATAATGCAGCCTTCAATAAATCAAGAGTATTGCTTCCAAAGACTGCATAGCTGAAAAGACTAATTAATGTTGTTTCTTTGGGGCAGGAATCTGGGAAAGCTGTATGAAGGTGTAACAATTTAACCAGAACTTGGAGACTAAAATGCTGGCCTTAATTTTTCTTTATCTTATCGGAGTGCCTCACACTACAAATTCAAAGCAACACACTTGGCCTGGCATTTGGAACCATAACCAGCTCACAATCAATGGAGCCCTAATGAGAACAGCCTGCTGAGCAGCCACAATAATCACCTTTTGGACAATCAATAGAGAAGGAAATGTGAAAATAGTTTGGTCTCAGGTATTTCTCTAATCACCCCTAATCAGAGGGGTGTGGTATGTATTCTAGAGATCTTTGATAAGTAGACAATATCAGAATCTTTTTAATAATTACATAATTAAGATGAATGGCCTACATGGCCTGCAGTATATTAAATACTAGGGCTGGGAACCACATCTAGGTTTTAAGGGAGAAGTTACTAATCTTTCCCTGGTGCTGAATACTACAAATCAAGTGCTGAATTTAACTTTACCAGAAATAGAGATTTGAAAAAAAAAAAAGGTGTCTTTGTTCAAAATATCACCCTGTAATAGCAACTAAAGCAATACCCCAAAAATCCACTACCTCCTTCTCAATAGCCAGAGACACAGCCAGTGATTGACTAGAGTCAGTTTCAGCCAGACACTCAAATTTCATATGACTGGCCACAAATTCCTCCCAGAGCCTGCTGTGATGTTCCTCAATTATTCTGCTTCTGAACACTTGTTGTGAAGCAAGAACTCTGGCATCCCCCCAGCACTGAGAGCAATAGAAATTAAAGTTTGGTACATGTTTTGTCTGCAGTCTATCCAAGAAGCAGCATGAAATAGAGGTAACACTGTCCTGCCACCAGCTGTGTGACCTTCAGCAAGTTACCTAGCCTTTATGAGCTTCAATTTCCTCAAGGCCAAAATGAGGATGCGATAAGCATCCAAGTTCCTCACAGATCTGAAATTCAGGATCTACAATGATCTGAGCAGCTTGCTTGTGGGTCCATTTTTACTGGAGTGTTAATTCTTTTTACAGTGAGCTGCAATTAAACATTTGGCAGGTCTGGCCCTGCTGTCCTTCCCAAGGAAGTATGAAGCCAGATGACTACTAGCTATATATGGTGAGAAAATAATCAGATAAACAATGAAACATCAGAACATTTGGGCTATTTCCAAATCCCATCTCTCTCTCTCTCTCTCTCTCTCCCCCCCCCACTCTGTCTCTCTCTCTCTCTCATTTCTATCTCATCTTCCTTCCTTCCTTTCTTCCTTCCTTCCTTTGTTCCTTCCTTCCTCCCTCCCTTCCTTCCTTTGTTCCTTCCTTCCTCCCTTCCTTCCTTCTTTCCTTCCTTCCTTCTCCCTCCCTCATTCCTTCCTTCCTTCTACAAATATGGATTTAGCATTACTATTTGCCAGTCCTTGTACAGAGACAGGGTATAAATCAGAAGTACTCTCTGCATTCATGAAGCATTCATGGTAGCCTGAGGGAATATAGACATTAATAAAATAATCACTCAAACATAAAGTGCAAATATTAAAGGACTATAAGGGAAGATGCAGGTGCAGAGTGTTCAGGACATATATATGCATCACACAATACCCAATTAATAACCAATAAGTATTCTTGGACACTGCTGCAAAGAATGAGTCATGAGGATCATCTCAATGAAGGCACTGCTTCTCTGCTGTTTAATACCATATGGATGACCAAATGCTCCCTAATAAAACATCAAGTTTCCAAATTCGTTTTCAGTAATGCCAAAAGTTGTATTAAGGCTGTGTCAGTTTATCTGTTGTTCAAAACAATGCCATAATTTCAGTCACTTTTATCTTCAGTATAGTTTGGTAGCTTGGAGACAACTGAGGCTTTCCACCCCAGAGGTAAGGAAATCAATTGTTTTGTTTACAATGTGGTTGGGGAAATGAAAATATTTGGCTTAATCTTAATGTATTTCCTCCTTGGAAAGGAGGCACTCTATAAATATATGTATGTGCATGATATTATGTTAATATTGCAAATGGGAAATCACACAGAGCGAGCTAAGTAGGACCATAAAGAGAGAACAGAGCACCTGCCAACACTCTCCATCAGAGGCTATCTCTTGCCCACAGAAGGGTCTCACCACCAAACATGACTTCCTCTTGGTTTAACTTAACCTTAAACCAGTCTTAAAGTGAACTGAGGCATCAGTAATTTGGACTGTACCATTTGAAACCTGAATAATTCTGACTCAGGCTGAGGTCTTTTTCTAAGCTGTCTGTGAGGGGAGTTTTGCTAAGTATATTGATATTGCAAAGTAAAATGCTGAGAACTGGAGTGAGATATTTTTAAAATATTTGTAAATGATTTGCAAGCATCTTCTAAAATGAGTTTCCTGTGGAACACTTGAAAAATATTTCATTTAAATTTTCCTTTGAACTTAGGGTAGTAAGCCTGAAGGTAAAATAGTTTACATGTCACATTCAGCACTGATACTATTATCTTATTGTTGCCTACAAAATATTGAACATGTGTGATGAATGTAGCGTTGTAATTCACTATTCCCATGGAGATGTTTAATAATTTCTACAGGACCCTGATAGTAAATATGTACATCTATTATGTATCAATTTTAAAATTAAATGTAAAAAATAATGAATTTTTTAAATGTTTGCAGGGAATGTCACGTTGCTTATGTTTTGCACAATGAGGGAACTCATTTTCAACCAGGACTTCAAAAGGGAAGTAAGTCTTTCTACAAAATGGAGTTGATCACACCACCTGAACCCTCAACCACCACAATTCATACAGAAATGACTTCACCAAGAAGACCCAGGTCACAGAATGTCGCAATTTCACATAGCTAGAAGCAGCTAAGCTCAGAGACCACTGGAGTGGCAGAAACTCTTACACAAATAACAGCTAATAGAAGTTAGATATATAACGCCTTTGTTTTGGGTAAATGTTTAAGCATAGACTATACCTTAGTAATAGTGCCATTACCCAAGAGTAAGATAGTTAGCATCCAACTTTAGAGAAAAGAACCCTGTGGAGCAACCAGAAGAAAATGAAGCCGGGATCCAAACTGGCCCCTTAGCCACATCACTTCAGTCAGCCCCAGTTCTTTATGGTGAATGAACTGGGGTCCAGTTTCAGGACTTTTTTCCTTTAACTAGGTGGTATACGTTGCATATTATCACTCCTTTCTCTCCCAAAGAATATTTTATTGCCCTCATAAGTCTTATTTTTAAAAAGAAAAGGTCCCTTTGGTTTGGTTGAGCTAGACAACCCCATGGTGACATTGGAAGCATGATTTTCTGGTGCCTAGGTAGGGTAAAACAAGTAACGAGACCCTTGACAAATTCTGTTTTAACTGGCCTAATTTATGCTTGGATGTGCAACAGGTTTTAATAGTCCATATTGTATTTGTGTTGTCTTTAGTAATTTTCACAAAACCATTCTAAGAGAGAAAGATATTAAAACTTCAATTTGTATTTTTATAACCCCTTTGTAATGTTTGCTTTTGTGTAAGTTTTATAACATTTATATTAGGATAGTAAAATATGTTGTTGTAAATAACTAAGAAGAGCAGGGTGCAGTGGCATGTGCCTGTAATATCAGCTACTTGAAAGCATGAGGTGGAAGGATTGCATGGACCTGGGAGTTCAAGATCAGCCTGGAAAACAGCAAGAACTTGTCTCATAAAAAGACAAACTGAGAATAATTAGGATATGCATTGGAAAGTGTTTAGTGCTCATGCGTGAGATTTAAAAAAAAATAGCAACTGGTGGACCATTGCTCTATACAAAAAGATCCTTGAAAAAAGATTATATCTTCTTTTGCTTTACATATTCGAGACTAAGTTGCTAGAAAGTAGTAGACAGTCCATAATTGTATATTGAATAAATGAATGAATGAAGTTATAAATAAAAACAGCTATGAACTTTGTATTCTTCTACCATGTAAGAGCAAATTTTCACCAATTAAGAACAAAACTCTTCAGGACCCAATCATAAGCAACAACTTCAGTGATAGCAATCATCAGCCTCCTTCTATACAGGATACAAAGCCTGAACTCATCATCCCCTCCTGGGTCATCAGACCCCTTTGGAGAAGTCCCTGAAATTGTCTAAGGAAGGCTGGTCTTTCTCATTTGCAGGCTCACTACAGCACAGACAGGTCTGCACCTTGTCATGCTGAGTAAGGAAGAGTCAGTTGTTGAAGAAAATTGTAGCCCCTAAGAAGGAAGGCAGCTATCCAGTGTAAGCTGAGCAAACATTATCCAGCCCCAAACGTGCCCTTCTTACCACCTGGCATAAATCTGGCCTTTTCCCCTTTGCCTTGTCTCTGGCTCTGTTGTGATTTCTCCCAAGCAATAGGGTGGGTTTTTGCTTTCCCAACTCCCCTTCTGCTTTTATTCTCTCTCCACCTGTGATAGACCCAAGTCTACCAACCACAGCCAATAAACAGCTGACTGCTTCCCTGCTTGGGTTGCTGTCTGAGGTACTAGACAGTGATGGGCTCTAAATAGAGTAAAAATGAATACCTTTGTATGGAGTCATTTTTTTGAGGAAGTACATTCTGGAGTTGCCCAATCAGCAGAAAATCTGGTCTGGCCTTGTGTTTTTCTGTCTCAGAGGAGAGATCTTGGTCCCATGGTTTGTCCAGCAGCAATGGCCTTCATGGGGAAATCAGAACTACTGGTTGTGATTTTTCACGCATTATGTTTATATCCTTTTCTGTTCACAATAATAAATGGCACCAAATATTTATTTAGTAAAATTTTCCTCTACACAAAGTAGGAGTGACAGTTAACTTCTCAGCCAACTAGAAAGGCCTGAGAGAGAATGTCTTTGCTTTTTTGGAATGAGATGCTTCAAATGGCCAGAGGTCTTGGATAGGACACAGAGGCAGGTGGCTTTTCAGGAGGTGAAGGGGGTGCATAGAAAAATAAAATGTGATTCCTGATTTCAGCTGGCTTACCATTTAATTGTTAGGTATCTCATATAGGCATCAACTAAAAATACAAAGCAGTAAATCTTCCATCATGCCATGGATGCCAGTGGGTAAATGTTATAGAAACTTCAGAGGATACAGAGGCAAACGTTGGTTATAGCAGTCAACGACATCATCAATGAAGACATGACTTGCTTAGAGCCAAGAAAAAGTAGGATTTTGAAAGGCACAGAGAAAAGGGGTGTACTAGAGGAGAACTATGTAAGCAGAGGTATAGAGGAACTAAAGTATAAAAGAGTGAGCCATAACTTAGGGTACCATAAAAATCAGTGAAAAATATCACTGTGAGAGGAAAGTGTCAAGGGCTTTGAAAACAGATGGAAAATAACAAGCTAAATGAATCAAATATCTAAATGCAAATGAAATGAAATTATGTAAATACCAGGAAAAAACAGAAAATGCCTGTAAAACTTTAGAGCAGAGAAGGTTTCTCTAACTATAACTGAAAACCCAGATGCCACAAGAGAAAAGAATGACAAATGTGAACACATAAAAATAAAAACTTTTGTTTGGTAAAAAGCATCACTGACAGCCAAGAGAAATGACAGACAGAAAAAAAGTGCAGCCTACATTGTAGACAAAGAGCTAAGATAATTATACAAAGTTCCTAGAAATCTAGAGGAGAGAAACCAACCATCCAATAGAGAAGAGGCAACAGATAGCAACAGCAAATTACAAGTTTCCCTTAAAAATAGGAGAAGACTTTCAATATCACACATACACTAAAAGAAATGCAAATGAAAGCTCTAACAAGATACTATTTTTTTACCTAAAATTTCACAATACATTCTGTAGTTGAAGTACTAGATTATAGATACTGCAGTGCATGGTTTTATATCGCTGGTGAGGTTGGACAATGATACCACTTCTGAGGAAGAGAATTTAGCAATACCTAACAAAATGACAAGTGGATTTTTTTTCACCCTGCAATTCCACTTCTAGGACACTATACCACATATACACCTGCAAAAAAGGTGAAATGGCATTTATACATGATTGTTCACTGTAATAAGGGAATACTGGGAAGAATCTAATTATCCAGCAAGATGAGACAGGTTAAATAGTTACGGTGCACCCTCAAGAAAGAGTGTTTGCAAAGATTTTTAAAGTGAGAATAATATTTATGTACTGATACAGCAAAATCACAATAGCTATCTTAAAATAACCAACAGCAAGACACAGAATAGTATACATAGGATATGAAAAACTATATTTATGTAAACAAAAGACTAGAATGATAAACAAGAAAGTAATTATTGAATTGTTCCACAAATTGGCAAGGGGGAAATAATGAAAGCAAAATATTTATGTGCATGCATTTTGTATTGTTTTGACCTTTTGATTATGTAAATATATTAACTTTTTCAAGAAAATTATATTAGGAAAATAACTTCTCAAGTTGAAAACAAATTGAACTAAAAGAACCTAACTGTATATCAAATTGGTAACAGCAAAATTATTTCATTCAAAGAACTCAAAAATGCAGTAATTTGATTGTCAGTATGTGGTATGAGATATTCTAAGGCAAAAATAACCACACACAGAAACAATTAAACTGCCTCAGTAATTGTATTGCTTGTTGTAAAATTAATATTAACATTTTCAAAATATTTTTAATAATAAATATGAAAACAAATAATTATTTTAATGATATTAGGTATCAAAACTTTCAGTGCAAAAAATGGGATAGAAACATAAAATTTTAAAAAGTAAAAACACTCAAATGTTAATATTTTAGTTAAATTATAAATATGATGTCATGATTTTTCAAATATATATTTAAAGAGCCTGGAATGTCCTTGAAGCAATGTAACCTCAATAGCAATTAATATTCTTCATATCCAGGTATGGCCCTATTACCATTCCCATGGGGGAAAAGAAAAACACACACACACAAGGCTCCTCAGAGAAATGGTTAATTTCAAGTCTGGGGCAGAATAAGAGCAATGTAAGCTTAGGACTTCTCGCACTGGAAAGCAAGGAAGCCTGCAAAGACAAATGGGGCTGTGACAAACAGACCAGGAGCCAGTGTGGAGCCGACCATAGGTCAAAGTTGTGACAATCTGAACCTCAAAAAGAATAATGAGTTTAGTGGATTGAAACAGATTGAATCAATGAAAAGTCAATGAGTCCATAATGATATTTTTAAAAGAAAGTCATAGAAACCTCATTCGTCACCATTTGAGGTGGGTATTAAAACAACTCTTTGAAAACTGGGAAATAAAGTGAAAGAACTGATCTTTTATTTTCTGCCTTTCTGCTAGTAACTGGGTTTCAGGGTAACAAATTTGCCCACCTGGTGAAGAAACCTTTTTTACATAGAAATCCTGGCCGATAAATGAAGAAAGAGTGGTGGGATTTTAAAACATTTTAGAAACTCTAATTAAATTAACTGCTTCAAGCAAGGATAATCAATTGGTGTCACAACAACTAGGTGACTGGTTTGCACAGTAATACTTTGATATAGTGCAAATTAATACTACACAGATTACTTTCTGGTCCCAAAAGAAAAGTGTTATTCTTCAATGGAGGAGTGAATTGTCATTACAGTAATCCAAGGTCAATGTTAGTATCATTAATGATGGGTCAATGAAATATTATGTGTCTTCCAGTGTACTACAATCCCATATATCTAAAATCAATTAAAATCAGCCAGAAATGTTTAATTTGAATGCATTAAGCCTTTCGACATAATTTCTAGGATATGGGACACATGTAAAATATAAGAAACTTATGAGCTAAATGACACCACAAGCCAGATACAGAAGATAGTACATTCATAGGACAACTGATCTATTCTCATTAACAAGTCAGTGCCATAAAAGAAAAAAATGAGGCTGGGCACTGTGGCTCACACCTATAATCCTAGCAGTTTGGGAGGCCAAGGTAGGCAGATCACTTATGGCCAGGAATTTGAGACCAGCCTGGCCAACATGGCAAAACCCTCTCTCTACTAAAAAATACAAAAAATTAGCTGGGCATGGTGTCGCGTGCTAGTAGTCCCAGCTACTCTGGAGGCTAAGGCACAAGAGTCGCTTGAACCTGGGCGGCAGAGGTTGCAGTGAGCTGAGATTGCACCACTGCACTCCAGCCTGGGCAACAGAGCGAGACTCCATCTCAAAAAAAAAAAAAAAAAAAAAAGGAACAAAGAAGCAAGGGGGTGTTCTTCTGCTCTTCTGGATTAAAAGAGACTAGTGGCAAATAGGGGCAAAGATGTGTTAGTAATGTTTCACAACCAATTTGGAGTGATGACGAGGCTTTGATTTGCAATATTTGCTGATTTCCATATTGTAAATACTTCCACCGTGGCACTTTCAAGCTGCCAATGTGACCTCAACCCACTCCTAAAATTCCTGAAAGCTTAACAACTGAGTCTTGTATGAGGTATAAGCCAGCTGCAACATGTCACTGCTTAAGTGACATTACAACCTGGCTCAATGTGGTCCTAGATTGATACAGGAGAAACCAACTGCACAAGTCATGTGAATGTCATCTGGGAGAATATTTGATGAGTTTACAATATAATTAAATGGAAAGGTAGCCATCATTACTAGAAAAAGGAGCAGGTTACGAAACAGTGTGCATAGTATGCTCCATTTTGATGTAAAATGTTGTAAATATGCTAAGGTGGATATTCAACAAGGTGCTAATGGTGGCAGCTTCTGGATGTTGAGAATATGAGAATATGCTTTTTTTTCATTTATCTAAAATTTTCTAAGGCACCTCCACCAATGCTATAACATTTGGTTGTAATATTATGGTGATATTTTTTAAAGAGAGATGATAATGAGGCAAAACATATATTTTGGAGCAGGGAGGTACGCTAATAGATAGTGTCTGGGGTTCAATGCATCTGTTGTATCCTTGGAGGGGCCTTTTTTGGCCAGAGGACCTATTTGGGACCCCTGAAAGAGAAACTGGCTGCACTTATAGAAGTTTGCAAATAAAGTAGGAACTCACAGCTTGTATGGTTTTCTTCTTTCTTTTCATTCCTCTGCGACCACTACAGCCCAATCCATTGTGAGTTCTCCTTCAGCTTGAAGTCTGCCAGAGCACTTTTTCATTGTTTTTTTTTTCACTCAGTCCCTTATTCCTTTACTCCACCAATTGTTCTCCATCCCTTCGCTAAGTATCCCACGCTACTTGGTGAAGCTCGACACATCTCAACTTGGCATGAAAATACGGATGCATGATCCCAGCCCACATCAACTAACTTGGAATTCAACAGTCTTCTTATTCTTCCCCATTATGGGAGTGCCTTGAAGACAAGGGCCATCATTTACACTTCTTTGTTTCTATTGCAAAGTTTAGCACAGAACTATTTACATATTAAAAATTCATAAAATAATTACTGACTATAAGGTGGACTCACTGTTTTTGTAACTTCCTAAGGGACTAATTAAACATACTAACCAGTAAAAACCATGGACTGGTTATCTCCAGACATTTTTAGTCATGTACTCTCCTAAGTAAAAAAAGAAAATAAATACAAATTGAGCATTGCTTCTAAACATATGTACGTTTCATTCTCTATGAATTATATACATATACCATTATGCTAACATAATATAATTTTTTCTTATTTTTAGACGATATTTATTTGCACAGTCTCTGGAAAATACTGGGCTAAACTAGCCTTCCTTTTGCCTGTTTTTTTCCTCCCTGTCCTCCTTCCTACATCCTCATGGACAAGTATAAAATTCTCATGAAAAGGAAAGAGATGGAAATTGCAGCAACCTGAGTTAAAGGCAGTTTTCCAAGCCCCCAGCCCCACCCAATACATCTGAAGGGTATGTCACTTGATGAGTATTGTGCCTACGTATCTTCCACCCACACACAAGCTTCCCATACCTCTTCAATCTGGAACATAAGCCAAGTAAACATAACTTTGTTACCCACTGCATAAATAAGACCAGCCACCATTCAACTTCCAAATGACTCCTGATACACTCTTTTCACATTGCACAGGGATGTGAAGAGAAAATAACTTTGAGCTAGTATCATTTCGGCAGGGAGCTAACTCAGTGATTTTCATCTGGATGAAATAAGGAAGAAGTATCAGGATTTGTCTATTACCCATGCAGGTGAGATAGGAATAGAAACATCCGCTCTGTCAAATTGAATGGACTCCTGCTTTAGCACTCTTAGACTCTGGTTTAACATCAAGATGTCTCAGGCTTTAAATGAAATGTCAAATATAATTTGGCTCTGGATTCCCAAGATATATGATTGCCCTTGGAGAAAACTTGATAACTCAGCGTTCTTGTGTCAAATGTGTATCTACCTGATAGGGCACTCTATAAAGCTGGTCTCCCGCTCTCCCTCCACCACATAAAAAACCTCAGCCAGCCTGATGAGCCAGGTTCCATTCCTTGCTCTAATGGACGTGAGACTCAAAAAAAAAAAAACAAACCTTTTATGTCCATGAGGCAAAAGCCACCGTTCAGATTCTCTTTGGCAATCTAATCTGCATGGAATATGATAACTCAGTATTGGAATGCAGAGACTTTTAAGGTCTTTTCATGCAGTTAGCCATGCCCATGACAGCACATCACACACATCCCCTTCCCTTCAAAGTCCTCTCTCTGAGATGTTCCTCTTTATCACTGCCTCTAGCTTGGCATTAATTTTCTTCATTGTGGGAGAGTCAGGCTCAGCCCCAAAATTCAACTGAAAAAAAAGTAAAGAGAAAGAAAAAATACATAGCAGCCTGCTTCTTTCAAACAAAAGAAACTCAGCCTAAACTTGGAAGGACTGAGGGGCTGAGTATGCACTAAGCAGCTGTTAGACAAAGAAGATAAAGCAGTAAATGTGATCAAAAGACTCAGAGTCTGGTCCAAAGTGATTTTTGAAAATTAACACAGTAAACAAAGAAATCTGACAGCCTTAGCCTTGAGCGTACGTAAACATTTTAGTGGAATTTGGTCTACAGCAAAGGGCCTTTCTCTCATTGACACATTGCAATGCCAGAAATTCTGAACTACAGTTGGAATGCCAAATGTAAATATGACCATGACATATGTATCTGAAAGGGGCAATGAACCATTCTGTTATGAACATACTGATGACTCCTTACTGAGCATTTAAAATGAGCCTGGCAATTTTGATCCATTATCTCTATTGCTCAGAACACCAAAGAAAGGTGTTATGGATTGAATTGTGCCTCCTCCCAACAAAGATATTTTGAAGTCCTAACCCCTAGTATCCCAGAATCTGGCCTTATTAGGAAATAAGAGTCTTTATAAAGGTAATCAAGATGAAATGAAGTCATTAGTGTGGGCTCTAATCCAATATAACTGGTGCCCTTATTAAAAGGGGAAATTTGATACAGAGACAGACACACATAGAGAAAAGATGATATGAAGACACAGGAAGACCACCAGTTGAAGACAGAGGATCAGAGTGATGCATCTGCAAGCCAAGGAATGCCTGAGGCTACCAGAAGCTAGGAGATGCCTGAGCAGATTCTTTCCCAGTGACTTCAGAGAGAGCATGGCCCTACCAACTCCTAATTTTTAGACTTTTAGCCTCTGGAAGTGTGAGGTAATAATTGTTTCTTGTTCTAAGCCACCCAGTTTGTAGCAATTTCTTATAGAAGCAATAGGAAACTAATACTGAAGATAATATTACCATATTTATGCTACAAATGTAGAAACTGAGGTGGAGTTCAAATTTAGCTCCATCTGACTCCAGAGGTCATACTTAAGCAACTGAAGCAGTGTTTCCAAACTGGCTTCCATGGGCCCTGGAGTTCCAAAAATACATGCCTGAGGTTCCAAACATTCAACCCAAAAAATTCTTACTTTTCCATTTGCATTTCAACGGTATTATAGAAAAGATGAGTGTATATGGACTTGTCTTAATTCAAACAATAGCCCACAATTTCCATGTCCAAGCCTATGTTTGTATTGGTGATGGATCCTATACCAATTAGTACTACCTTAATTGTCCCAGAATAATTTAAATAGAGTACAGTATGTTTATTGTGAAAATAATGACTTTGGCACAATGTAAAATCTAAACCGCATCACAGGTGATGGTACATATAAAAAAAGGTCAAAGTAGCTGAAGCAGAAGAACTGTGGGAAAATCAAGTCATCATCACACAATTCATAATAGTACACCCATGCTTACCTCAAAAGGGCCATGCAATAATAATCAGAGCTATATTGATGTAAGGAACAATGATTTTCCTTCACAAATATCATCATCACATGTGAGTAATATTGTTAATATAAATTTTATTGGGTTGTATATTTTTATTTAATGAATAATGATTATGTTTATTGTTCTGTGAAGATTTAGAGTCATTTGAAAAGTTATATCCACTTTTATGTCTATATATGGGTAGGAGAATTGATTGAGATGTTAGGATGAATTTGGGGTCTGCATCATTCCCCTCTTTCATTCCAGTAGGTAGTCAGTTACCTATGTTCTCTAATATCAGGAGAATTTGTACGGTCACAACCAAAACTACTGGAGGAACATATCACACAGGGCTTTTTGTGAATGCTTCGCTGATGGAGGATATATGCTAAGTACACCAAAAAGAGAGAAAAAAAGGCAATGATTGTTGCTAGTAAGAGAAGAAGTAGAGAAAGGGATGGCAGATTTACCCAGGTCTCAAAGGAGAATATCTGAGGGTGCCTCCACATCCTACTCCCTCTCAGGACAAGCTTAGGAGATGGATAAAGTGCTGCTTACTTCACCTTAGGAAACTGGATCCTAGAGATTTTAGATTTCAATTCCTGAGCCTCAAGCATGTCCTAAAGAGATCAGAATAGCAGACTTTAAGTTGCCCTGAAGCGTGGATAAGGTTGTGTCACTGATAATTAACGCGCCAATGGCCTACATGCTTTGGCACTGCCCCAGACCCCCCTCCCAAGACCTTTGGACAACCTTTAGTGGATGTGTCAGCTGAGATTCAGGGAACCCTCAAATAACTAGATTAATATTCCTGCGAGCCTGATGAGAGGATGAAGTCTCAATCTTATTCAATCTGAATGAAAGTACACAAAGTAATGGTACATATCTGACACACCCAAATGGTCTACATACCTATATAATTAATATTATAATTAATAATTATCCAGGTCAATACTTTGGATCTGAAATAATTTTTTTTATTTAAAAAGAAATCTGAACATTACTAGGCTTAAAATGCATGCCATCACTCAGCATTGCCTCCTTTGGTAGCAACTAACAGATTAGCATGGGTTAATCCACCTGCTAGCTAGCTGTCACCTTGGAAACAGAGAAGCAGAGCCCTGAGGGATGAGGCAAGTGGATTTATAGACTTAAATAACAATTCCAGAAAACTAGAGAAGAAATGTCACAGGTAATTCATAATTAATTGCCAAATGACTTGCACAAACATTAACTGCTTAACAATAAGTGTTCCCTATGTTTTCTAAGGTTAGAATGTTATAGAACACTTTCATACATCTTACTTCATTCAGTCTTACTGAGGTGGCTAAAAATAGACTGTGGCCATGTGACCCTGTTCCACGACTATCAAATAAATCCTTTGCCATCCATTTACCAGTGGCTGTTAACCTTCCAGAAGGCAAAGAGATTTGGGAACACAAGACAACTGAGTAACCTAAGGAATATGTAAGAGGGTAACATTTTAAAGGTAAATGAGATTACCTGGGGGACCCAGTGCCTCTTAATTGTTGTTCCTGATTCTCTCCCTTGGCCCCTTCTGACTAGAAAACAACTTCACCCCCTTCCCCTCCAAGAAGCTCTTCAGCAGCCCTACTTCCCTGTTCTGCCTCCAAGCTGCCTCTGCAGTCTTGACTCCCTTCTCCCTGCAGATGACCGGCCACTGTGCTGTGCTTTGAGTTCACCAAGCCCTTTTTTGTCATCAAGCATGTTCTCATGTCTCTGCCCAGTGTTCTCCCTCACTCTCCTTCCTGATGAACCTCCATTTGTTCTCCTAGAGCCCAGTCTCTGCCATGCCTGGCTGCCTGAGGTATTCCTGCTCTTTCTCCGGCTGAATCTGTTCAGTGGCATGGCTCCATTTCAACAATTACCAACATGGTTCAAAATCATTTGTATTTAATGAAATTGTCCTAGAATCTGGGCAAAAACTGAGGGCAATAGAGTCCTCACACATTCTAAAGAAAGAGAAGCTGAAGACCACTACATCCTCCAGGCTGTGTGAAAGACACTAGAAATGTGAGAGGAGGCTCAGGGAGGAATTGAAAGTTCTTGGCTTTTCTCAACCAAAAAGCTGGGGAAGAAGCTTGAAGAGCATCCTTTGTAGATCCTGGGGATGTCTGCAAGAAAGGGAGGCTGGAGGCCCAGCCCCCAGAGGAATGTTTATTATGCCATGAACCACAGGCCCCATGGCAGCTCGGCATTCCAGTGAAGCATACAGTAAGTGATTGTGGGAGAGCTTGAATTTGGGGGTATATGTGACAGAAAGAATGGAGCCTGCTTCCCACTGGCAAGACTCTGGCAGCATAGGGTTGCCAGAGCACTCCAAGATGGCAGGGAGGAGCAGCAGGAAGCAGAAGAGCAGTGTTGGGCTTGAAGAATATATGTGAATTTCCTCTGGACCCAGTGCATGGCTCAATGGGTAGAGAATGGCTAAGCTTAAGACAACTAAATGAGATCCTACCCAAGAGGGCTCCGTGTCTCGGATTGATCTCAGAGGGGCAGGGGCTAGAAGGAGATTCAAAAGGATCAGCAAGAAAATGTGCCACCTGTGTCAGGAAACTGCACTTCAGAAATCCACATGTTGAGGGTAGGGTGTTGTGCAGGAAAACCCTATGAACAGCTTACCATAGTATCTGAACACTTGCTAGAGCCAGGAACACAGATGCCTGTATTACAAGCCATTAGCCATGTGAGTCATTGTTTCCTTTATTCTTCCAATGTCTGTTTCCTCACACCCCTTCCCACCTCCCACAGGGCAGAACTTAAAGGAATATGAAGCAGAAGTGGGAGAAAGTGAAGGAAGATTGAGGACAGACCATATTGGACCCCACTCTGGTCTCCGAGGTGCAATCTGAAGGAAGGAAAAAAGCTTTAAATTAAACATGAGCTTGAGGGTTTAAAAAAAGTCAGAATTTGGCTTTTTAAACCTGGAATGGACTCTATATTGTCAAAAAGTGGTTAAAAGGATTGAACACTTATGGAATCTGCCCAAGATGTCATCAAACTGCAAGGAAAGAAAATGAAAAGAGATAAAGCACATTGAAGGAAATAATCAGAGAAAAATAAAGCCATTTCCTGTTTATACTCTGTAAGGCTCAGCCCAAGTAATAAATTAATTGTATACATTTGTATTTATAAAAGTATATAGTCTGTAGCTTTTTGAGGAATAGAGCATATTTGTTCATTTTAATATCCTCAGCCTCTGGCACCCACTTGCAATGAGATGAAGATGAAAAGCCGTCTCTAAGGCCAGAAATGTCACTACCTGGAGCATACACAAGTCTCAGCCATCAGACACAGCAACCCAGGGCCCACACTTTGCTCTCTTTTTCCACAGGCATCACTTCTAATCAACACTGTGAATCCAGGTGGAATCCTAAGAAGGCCCAGAGTCATTACAGAGACTCCTTTCATCCTTCCAACTCTACTTGTCTTCCAAAGGTCCACAGAGAGGGAGTGATAAATCCTATGGGCAAGGACATACACTCATATGTCACTCACCTCCTTTGTCTGAAGGTTTCTACCTGCTAGCTGTGTCCAATTGACAAATGCATTCAATATGAAAATGGAACCTCCCAAGTCATCTTTTATAAAAATGACTTCTCTGCACACCCACACTTATGTGAGGTCCCAGCAGTAAATGAAATTCCTCTGGAAGAACTCGAAGGTAAAGGGGATGGCTTTGGAGCATTTTCCTGGGTAAATTGCTTAAAGGAATTGGTCTAGTTATCTATTACTGTATAACAAACTAACCCAAACTGTATTTGTTTAAAATTTAATTTTGATTTGACTCACACTTGTGTGGGTCAGGAATTTAGAAAAGGTTCAACTGGGTGGTTGAAGGGGCTGGGACAGCTGAAGCAGGAGGATGCACATTTAATATGGTATCTTCAATTACTTCCCTGAAGCCTGGGCTGGGATGCCTGACTGTTGAGTCTTTCTGATGGCTGGGATCTCAGCTGTGGCTGTCAGGTGGAGAGCTGACACTTGGTCAGGCAAGATGCTACAAGACTTCCTACGACTAATCTCAGAAATGCCAGAATTTTATTCTGCCACATTCTGTTGGTCAAGCAAATCACCAAGAAAGAAGAATTAGACTCCCTCTCTCAATGACAAGAACAGAAAAGAATCTGTTACCAGTTTAATGTACCACAGGTTTGTCGAGATGCATTCTATGTGAAGGGCTGGCAACTCCCTCGTTAGCTGCTGCTTTTTTCACCTGGTCTTTACATAAACACTGTATAGAATAGATACGGTAGTGAGATCAAAAGCTATGCCCTTCTTATGCCCAGAGTTAACCAATTGTTATCACCTTGAACAAGTCATCTAATCTGTATGTGTGTGTGTGTGTGTATATGTGTGTGTTAGAAAATGTAGATTGTTATTTGGTTTCAGTAAAGTTAGAATTCACAAATGCAGAGTAGGTAAACCAAACATAGCTTACATGTTGGTTCAGTGTGAACTTTGCTTTAATGTACATATACATGTATATTTGTGTGCATGCACATATACATACATGAGTTAAAGAACATATCTACTTAATTGACATATTTAAAACCGAGTGATGCTATATAAAATTCAGAAGATCTGGCAACACTAGACATATATTCCAACATGGCAAGAAGTGCCTGGAATTGAGGGTCTGTTGCCTTCTTTGGATGGCGCACACACTCTCTGGTTTGCTCACATCAGTCACGTATGTCTCAGAAAAGGGATAGATAAGCATGAGAGTTTGCTTCTCTACCACATAGTGTAATGGTTAAGAGTACACAGATGCTGGCTTTCATGGCATATCTTCAAATCCTGGTTCTGCCACTTACAAGCTGTGCTGAAGACAATGTTGAAGATGAAGCCTGCAGCAGCAGACCACCCACATCAATTTTCAAGGAAAAAATTAATCTTGTCCCTGACCCAACTGACTGACATTTGACAGCAGAAACAATAGCCAACACCATAGACACCTCAATTGATTCTGCTTATACCACTGTAACTGAAAAATTAAAGGTGAGAAACTTTCCAGTCAATGAGTGCCAAAATCATTGCACTCAGATCAGCTGCAAACAAGAGCAGAACTTTCAATGGAAATTTTAAATAAGTGGGATCAAGATCCTAAAGCATTTCTTTGAAGAGTTATAACAGAAGATGAAACATGTCATTACCAATACAATCCTGAAGACAAAGGACAATCAAAGCAATGGCTACCAAAAGATGGAATTGGTCTAGTCAAAATAAAAGTAGATTGGTCAAGGGCAAAGATCATAGCAACAATTTTTTTTTGAATACTCAAGGAATTTTGCTTGTTGACTTTCTGGAGAGCCAAACAATGATAACATCCACTTATGAGAGTGTTTTGAAAAAGTTAGCAAAAACTTTAATAGAAAAAAACCCAGGAAAGATTTCCCAGAGAGTCCTTCTCCATCAGGACAATGCTCCTGCTCATTCTTCTCATCAAACAAGGGAAATATGAGGAGAGTTTTGATGGGAAATTTTTAGGTATCCACCTTACCGTCCTGATTTGGCTCCTTCTGACTTCTGTTTGTTTCCGAATCTTAAAAAAATCTATGGAAGGCACCCATTTTTATTCAGTTAACAATGTGAAAAAGACTGCATTGGCCTGGTTAAATTCCCAGGACTCTCAGTTCTTTAGGGATGAACTAAATGACCAGTATTATTGCTTACAAAAGTGTCTTGACCTTGATGGAATTTATTTTGAGAAATAAGTTTATCTTTTAATTTCATTTTTCCACAAACTTTTTCAAGTACCCACATGTTTAGTTTTATTTTTCTGAGATCTGGTAGAACACACATAGGTTTGTTATATGTAGTAGAAAACATTTCTGATAGGTAGATTCACCAGTTCTCTTTTGAATACCTTCGAGTAGAAAACTTACTTCTATTTGTGACAATCTTGTAGTAATTCATTCCATGGTTATTAGTTCTAGTTTCAGAAAGTTCTTTCTTAAATTAATACTACACAAAAGTAATTGCATCTCTCTCCATGGAACTGAATTTCCCCATTTCTGTGCAGTTTCATAAAACTTATATTCTGTACTTTTCCTTTAAAATCTATACACTTCCTGGTTTTATCACTTCACTAAATTTTTTTCTCAAATTTCATGTGTCAGATCCTGTTGAAGAGGCCAAGAATACAACAATGAATAACACCCAGCTCCTGCACAACAGAAGCTTAGAGATCAGTGTGCATGTATTATAGGATGCTACATGCACTGTCTTTTATATTATCCTGTAATATACCCATAATTACCCATAATGCTGCCTTTGATTTATCTCATGTGTTATCATTTATTAGGGTGCATCTGCTAGCCTTATATTGATTGATCCACAGAAGAACTCTGTGAAATAAACTTTATTATTTGGAAATGAGGGTTTAGAATTTTAGAGAAAAGAAAACTGAGGTTTGTGCACTGCTTTCTCACACCAGCCCTCTGACCCATCTCCAGGGCCTAGCATGGGGCTGGGCCCCAGGGTACACTCAAATAAAGGAGTCAATCAATAAACTACATCTGAGCTAAGGAGGGTCTGGAATAGCTCTGGTCAACATTGTTCCCAAAGCTGAGCAGCCAGTTCAGGAAAAAGACAAAATAGCCTGAAATATGATGTTCAAATACTTAGCATGGACACAAGTGCTTAAAAAGTGAAAAAAATAAGCAATTATCCACATGCTTACTCCATAATATTCAAATCCAAGTTGGTCCTTTTGCATCTATTTGACTGTTTTATGCTATGAGTAAGTAGTACAAATCCCGATGAATGAAGCCTATAGCAGAAGTTAGAAGACCTGGCACATGATAGATCAGAAAGATCATTGAATCTGTGAGTTCAAGCTTTTGTTCATCCCTATTTAGCTAAGTAGCCCTCACTGGATCTATAAAATCCTTACCAACAATGTCAGGGACATAATGGGAACTCAAGTATATCTTTCATATAAATTAATAAAACAAAGGATGCTTAAAAGAGATTACAAATATAAAATCATATTGTCATTTATATTATACTCCATAAACATGGAATTACAGTAAAATTACACTTTTCCATGACTAAGGGAAAGTATCTGATTATGACTTGGAATCTTCTTTTGGACCCTAAATTTACCCCATTTCCAAAGCAACCACTTATTCTGTCTGAAGATTCTTCTTCGTGCAATTTATGTACTACAATGAGCTAGGAATTATGTTGCAAAAAAAGAAATCAAAGTTATCTAATAAGTAATAGAAAATCTTGACTAAGTCACCCTGAACACAAGAGAAAAGGACTGCCCTTGACCTCTTGACCATACCTGGCCACTTCTGAATGAATGTCTGCTCGGCACCTGTACTTTTAGAAACATTTTGCAAGTACAATTGCTATTAGAGGTCCAAGCTCCCCAAAAAACAATTTAAGATGTTCCCTGGGATAACTTGCACACTCAAAAACTCAAATTCTTAGAAACCAGAAATATGACCACTGAGCTTTCTCCCAGCCTGCCCCATGTTGATCAAACCTAAAGAAACCCTCATTGTTTCCACATCACTCAACATAGTTGGGATCAACAGTCTAGGATTTTCCTCAATAAGCTTGCTAGGTAAGTCATCAATGGAATTCACCTTTTAATGAAATTGCACATAAAAAGTGTATGAACAACAAAAAGGTGAGCACTAAATGCTGAATCCCCTAAAGTTTAAATCGGAAAAATAATAAGGCCTGGAATAGTTAACTTCAATGGGATATAGCACTAGAAGGCACTGCTAAGATGAGGAAGTTTTCAAAGGCATATCTTCATAACTGGGAAGGCAGGATACCAGAGACAGACCTTTTGAAATTCACTCTCCCATCTATGGAAAGCCACAAGTACAGACAATCCCGGGGGCTCCTTCAGCTTTCTTTCCCCACAGCTTTCTCTCAGAATTATCAACTGGAAAGACCACTGCCCTGGTAAATCCAGCACCTTAGATTTTAGCGATTCTTTTACTTACTAGCTGTGTGAGCCCAGTTCATGCCTTTCATCCCCGTGATCCTCAGAAGCTGTATCTGTAAAATAAAGAGGGTGGTTATGATGGTCTCTCAGGACCTTTTGAGCTCTAAGGTCCTTTGAATCAATAATTCTCCTCCCCTGTCATGTCCAAGAGTTTAATTATTCACCAAACTTGGTAACAACTTCTTAGCAACTGGTAGGTAGGGGGAAGAATGAAGGCAGCAGGGGACTTGGTTCAGAAATACTCTCTCAATGTTTTAGTGCTTGGTAGGGGGTTGTGATTGTTAATATTAGAGTCTATGAATAGGGTTTGGCGACATACACATACCTCTAGGGTGAAGATTGTGCCTGTCCATCTGGCATTCAGTTGAAGATAAAGAAGATAATCTACCATCAAACAGTGAGAAACTGGAAAGAAGAAAGGATTGGAGGGGGTAAAAGATTGTAAGAAGTCATGAAGATGTAGAGTATTCAAAAAGCCAAATCATTCATCTTTTACCATATATTTGTTTAGCCCCTTTATGTGCAAATAATTTAAAATGCTGAAAAAACACCTTTCTATTTGAATTATGCTTTATCATTTTAAAGGCAGTTTTATTTTATAGTTTCATTTAATTGTTTTAAACAATTTTAAACAATTGTTAAAACTTGATGGGGCACACGTGGCAGAGTAGCATTTTTCCTGCTTAAAGGAAGAAGAGAACAAAGCTCAGAGAGGTTAAGTGAGGTTAATAAATATTGAAGAGCTAATTAACAAGTCAGGATTAACCTTCAGGTTTTCTTATTCCTATTTCTTATGTTCCTCCTGTTAAATCACAGTCATGGCCATCTGCTCCTACTACAAGTTCATATATTTGTCCTAACAAGTTGGGGGTCTTGGGCCCCACCTTATTAAGGCACCCTTTCCTTCATTTGGCTACTTGAGAATGAAGATTGAAGATAAAAGTCATACAGGAGTTTAGGCTTTGCCCAATAGGAGATGGGAATGTACTTTTTCTCCCCAAGCGTTAATGCACCTTTGAATGCATCACAGAAGGACCATAGATGAAGAGGCTGAAGTTGGGCTCCTGGTTTTGACACTAGCTTTATATCAGTTTCTTCAGGCCTAATGCCTGTCAAATAGGTGATGACACTTGCCCAATCCAATGTAGAGCTTTGTTTCTAGTATCAAATCAGGTGGAGTATGTAGAAGCCCCTTGAAAACAAGGCGTGAACCCATAAATGTGTGGTGTGGTTATTATGGTTGTTCAATGTGTGGCTGAGAGAATAGATAGTAGCCAATACTGGCTTGACTTCAGGCTTGGGGATCAAGCAAGTCCAGAGGAGAGCGATTTGGATCCATTTCCTAAACAAAGAAGCAAAGTCCAGAAGCAGCTTAGAAAATAAGGAACAGTTGGTCTCACAGCTTGGCCAGGCAGGAGGATTGGCACAGATCCTCAGATCATCACACTCTGCCTAGTGAATTGAGTGGGCCTCACCAGGGGCTGGATGTTAGCCTCCTTCTGGCTAGAGAGAAGCAGTGGGGGGTTGTGACCACCTGTTCTCTCAGAATGTCACTGTACCTCTTGCACATTTTCCTACACTGGCAGACAAAGTCCAAGCCAGGCCCTTGGAAAAATCACAAAATAAAAAACTTCTGCCTTCATTCTTCCTAATTTTTTCTTCAGTATTCCCATTTCCTCAACTCATAGTGACTTTGCAGAGATGTCCAGTGGCCCCTGATGGGCCACACCCCTGACTCTAGTGACCTCCCAAACTAGCCTGTGGAGATAATCACTATGTGCCCCAGACATCTCTGTTCCTCACCCATAAATTCACTGACTTGGTACTACCCCCTTTTCATCCCGCTCTCAGCAAGTTGCCAGCTGGAAGTCTGAGCTGATAAGTAGCTTGCACTGTAGAGCTTATAAAAGACAATCAAATTAAAAACTCCTCTCATGAATACTAGTACTTTAGCAATAGGCTTTTAAATAACTTTACCAAAAGAAAAAAAGAATGAATGAATGCCAAATGGATCACCTCCAAAAAAATCAATGGGATCATAGGGTTGCTATTTTGAGGCTAAATCTTAAGTAGAATTAAGAAGAATTCTCCACTAAAAGCCTCTCATTTCTTGATCCTGATAAAGTTGCCCTTAAAAATTAGAATCTTTAAACAACAATCAAAAAATACATCTTATGTATGTATATACATATATATTTATTATATATATTTCTTTATTATATAATATATATATTTATTTTTAAGATTATATATAGTAGCTTTTATCAATTCCAAATTGTGAGTAGAAGCCTATATTTTTTAGTTAAAAAATAAATAAAATGTTCTGTGAAAACATCAAATAGACAGCACAATATTAATAAAACAAGTGGCTCTATGGCTGATGCTGTGGAGAGCTCAGAGCGACACATGTAGTAACTCTGGCTGTGCAGCTACTATTAATTCTGCTTAATAAACTCTTCAGCAAACCAAGACCTGATGTCTTGTCTTGACCCTTAGTGGCCTCACAGACTCTTGAGTGTATCAGTCATCTCCAAGAAATCATCTGAAGGCTTGAAACCTGCCTAGTTGCTCGATACCTTGGTACTTGCTCTGTATCCTCTCTACAGAATGATCCATACTGGGCAGAGACCCAAAGATGCAGCCTATAGTGGACATGTATTTTCTTTTAAACACCTAACATCCCTTCCTTAGGTAAACTGTCTCATCCCCATGCCATAGGGTTTTAGTCAGCACCAGCTCAGGTCCTCTATGAAGCAGACATCAAGCCAGTTATAGAAAACAAGGTATTTATTGGAGAAAATACCTCTGAATGTTAAGAAAGAGAGCAGGAATAAGGCAGGGAGAAGCTTCATTTAGACTACAATGTGAGTTTGACATCTGTAAAAGCAGAAAGGGGAGGAGGGATTGGATAGGAAGGACCTTAGACTACAGTGAAGTTATAAGAGTGTCTCAGCTAGGCCAGTGGGAAAGTCCTTGAACTCATGAGAATTCACTAAGGAATCCCACATCAGGCTGGAATGGCTGGGTTTGAGTATCCCCACTGTGCTTAGTCATTGGCTGGGAGCAGCCCAATGAAAACATGGCCTGGTGTGAAAGACAGAGTGGGTCCCTAAGTGTGGCAGCTGAAGGCTGTCAATCAGCTATGCTCCCTACAGCAGATTCTCTGAAAGGGATATCTGGATGGTACACTTCCACCACTGCTGTATAATGGGACTGTCAGTCATACAACCCAATTCACAAAGAAAGGGAACTATCCAAGCAAGGCCAATCAAAGCATTTCTCTAGAGTTGATATGCAGATATTAGCAGGAACCAGCTCCTTTTTCCACTGGAAAATCTGAAGGAGGTGAATCCAGGGCTGCCAACTTTCCTTAGCACATGCAGTATCCGAACTGCATCAAGGAGAAAACAGATCAAACCACAGAAGAAAACGAAGTTCAAACTGGGGAGAAAAGGGAGCCCTGAAGTTAGGAGCCACTAAATTTCATTTTTCCCCTTATTCTAGTTTGCATTGTATTTCTGCCACAACTAAAAAGTGCTCTGCCTAATACCTAATAGTGCTTTCACTGTAATTATCATAGTATATTAGAGCTTCAAAGGCCTCTAGAGGTCATCTAGCCCTTACTGTACATTGCAATAACCTGAACAACTTAGTGTTGATACCAAATGCTGGACCCCATTCTAATCTAATTAAATCAGAATATCTCTAAGTGGAGCGCATGCATCAGCTTATTCTTGCAAATTATCTAGGTGATTCTGATGTTTATTCAGGGTTCAGAACCAATGGTCTTGTCAAACGTTCATTTTGCAGATATGAAAGCTGAGGTTTAAACATAGAAAGTGATGGGTCCCAAATCCACAGGAGATAGAGCCAGGAGTTAAACTCAAAACCCCTTACTTCTAATCTGATGCCCTTTATTAAAATTATAATGTGACATTTCATTTGAGAAACAAACATTTTTCATCTCTGAGTAAAAATCCTTTATTCTTTTTTAAAAAATGTTTAATTCTTATGAAAAACCCTCCGTTCTTTAAGAAGCCTAAGTTACTGTCTCTCCTGATACTTAGAGTTATTTATATATTTATCAAAACAGGAAGAAGTTACCAGTCCCCAAAACAAGACCCAAATACAAAGCAGAGAGTGCATTTCCCCCACCAGCACACATAACTACTCCACCTTGCTATCTGATGGGAATCCATCCTGCCCCCTTAGAGCTGTCAGCTGCTTATCCCTGGAGAGGGAGTGGAGAGGGATTCCAGACTGAACAATGCCATCATGTTGAGCAGCAGCAATTAGGAAAAGAAGATTGTTGGCATTCACTGTAAGTTACTCTGACATATAACAGCCACTGGGTTTCAATACCCTGATATCAACAACCATCTGCTTTGCTCTTGCAAAAAAAAAAAAAAATAGTGATTTCTACAACTCAATTTCTTTTACCAAACTGGTCTTCTGAAAAGCCACTCTATTTTTGAGTCTTTTTTCTACAGGCATTTCATTGTCATTAAACACACCATCATTCAAAATATTAGTAGAAAAAAGCGGAATGCAAAATGATCAGTGTGGTACGATCATAACTGAGTAAAATGAATAGAAAAATTATGAGTTAATGATAAGCATGTCTAGGTTGTGGAGTTAGAAGTTTAGGACAACACGACAGGGGCCAAAATGAAGGATACTATGAAAAGAATGATGACAAGTGGTCTGAGGACAGATATCAAGTTCTGAGCCAGTTATTCCAAGGCGAAGGGGAACAGCAATGGTGAGTAGACCCAGGGGGAACTGGAAATGATCGAATCAAGGGAAAATTGTTTAAGTCGATAATGCAATGACAATTATACCAGTAATTTTTTGAAGCGTGGAGAAGAAAGCATTTTAAAATGACTCAGGACCAAGAATCCCTGATTTGATTATTAACCCAAATTATAACTTTAGAAAATACATTTTACCTCTCTGGACATTATGACTGTAAGATAATAGGGGTGAACAAGAGCAGTCATTCAACAAATACTTATTGAATACCTTGTTTGGGTGAGGCACTGTGCTAGGGCATAGGACATTTAGTGGTAATAAAACAGATACTTCCTTATTTTTAAGAAGCTTTAGGTCTATGGTAGTAGTTTTTAAACATCCTAATATGACTCATTGTGAGAAATACATTTTAAATCAAATAATCGTGTGTGTGTGTGTGTGTGTGTGTGTGAGAGAGAGAGAGAGAGAGAGAGAGAGAGAAAGAGAGCAGAGAGAGAGAATATTCATGAAACAATATCTAATCTTATTTCATGCAATGCACCTTGCTATATTGGTACTGTTCTATGTTTTAATGTTGTTGTTGAATGGATTTCATGACTAACTAAGGGCTTATGACCATTATTGGTTTGAAAAGCAAAATTCTAGGGGATACTCTCTAGGGCTTTTCGCAGCCTTTTAATGCAATGATTCCGTCACTCTAAAATTCCTCTCATCTCTCAAGATTTTCCAAGCAAGTAGTCCTCTACTTAATCTTTGTTTGAAGTCGGGCCTTTCGTCATCATATGGACAGTGAAAGTGACCTTCCATATCCAGAAAAGATTCACCTATAGGGTAATTTTGATCACAGCACACATTACTTCTATTGCATCCTGTCTACTGACGTCCGTTAGTTACCTAATGTTGAATAGCTTTGAAATGCCCTTGCTTTTTTATTTCAAATTTTCTGCCTTTTTCGTTGTTGTTAGTGAAAATCTACTTTTCCCTAGTACCTCAACTTCCCAAAACAAAAACTGCCTCTTGGCAGAAGGTACACTCAAGAACAACGTATTGATTATGTATTTCCAGGAGAATGCTTTTCCCCCCTTATCATTTTGCCCCTGGTAGAGCTTGGTTTTTACCTGAGAATACAGTGTTTATACCAAAAGTACTCTTCCTGCAAAGAAACGTCACTTTTGAAATAGAAGTGTGCACAGGAATAAAAAATAATTGCACTTTGTGATAGAGAAGTAATACTTTTCTGCTTTTATGAAGAGCAAATTGGGCCAGATGTTCTTTCATTTCTGTATTTGGTTGGTTACTTATTAGTTCCCTAGGAGAAGAATGGGAATTCTAAAAGGTGAAGAGAATAAAAGAAATTTTTCAAACGTGTATTATCAAGAATGTGATAACTCACGTCCAAGAGGCCATAAAACTCTCTTGTATTAGGTAGTGTGGTTGATTAAAATACCAAATATGAAACCAGAGTCAGAAATAAAAATTTTCTCTTATTTACAGTTCAATGCAAATAATGACTGAAGACGTGCACTCTCTACTGAAGAATTTACAAAACATGCCACATGAATTAATGAAAGATGATAAGTACAGCAAGGTGTTTTTGTAGGAATTACATAACAAGCATAAAATCTCTAGTACCCAGGAACTTAACAAATGACAGCTCTTTCTTTTCATACATATCAAACACCTGTCCCTGCCAACAGACAGAGAAGTTACAGATCAGCATAGGCTTGGGGAGGTAAGAAACACAATACTGAACTCTTGAGGTGATCTCACATAGGTAGGTAGGATTTCTAAAGTCCATTGCCAGGGAACTCTGGCAATTGTCTCACTATGTAAACAGTAAAAAAAAGTAATAATAATACCGTTTAAGTAAAAAATAATGTTTTGAATCCCACATTCCTTTCTTTTAAACTTGATCGTGGCTAGCTCTATTTTTATAAATCTCAATCCCTTTATGCATTGAAAAAAGGTTAATATTACCTGCTCTACTTTTTTTTTTTTTTTTTTTTTTTTGAGACAGAGTCTTGCTCTTTTGCCCAGGCTGGAGTGCAGTGGCGCGATCTCGGCTCATTGCAACCTCCGCCTCCCAGGTTCAAGCAATTTTCCTGCCTCAGCCTCCCAAATAGCTGGGATTACAGGCACCTGCCACCACACCCGGCTAATTTTTTTTTTTTCTAGATGGAGTCTTGCTCTGTCACCTAGGCTGAAGTGCAGTGGCAAGATCTCCACTCACTGCAACCTCCACATCCCGGGTTCAAGCAATTCTCCTGCCTCAGGCTCCTGTGTAGCTGGGATTACAGGCACCTGCCACCACACTTGGCTAATTTTTGTATTTGTAGCAGAGATGAGGTTTCACCATGTTGGCCAGGCTGCTTTCAAACTCCTGACCTCAGGTGATCTACCCTCCTTGGCCTCTCAAAGTGCTGGAATTACAGATGTGAGCCACCACGCCTGGCCTACCTGCCCTACTTTTATAATGGTCTTGTTTTATCAAAAGGGATACTTGACATAAATGAATTTTATAAAATTTAGAGGGCCCTAGAAATGAAAGTTAATAACATTTATCACACAAGCATACATTGAGACTGGGCTTGGATCATGGGGCACAATTGTGAATAGCCTGGCCGTTTCCCTCCAACTGCTTGCAACGAAGTAAAATGGGAGAAGAGAGGTAAGTAAGGTTTCACAAAAGAGTTGTTGTATAAGTAGGTTCTTGAAAGATAAAAAGTAGCTCACCAGTCACAGAATACAGCAGGGTTGGGAGAGGAATGGCTGGAGGAGAGACTTAAGAAGATTCCAAAGGGAGAAATAGCATGAACTATAAGTTCAGTTCAATCAAATATATATGCCCAGAACTGAATAACCAAGAAGAATATGATATAGGTTCTGCCCCTATAGGTAAATAAGCTCAATGTAATGTGGCATATCCCATGAGAGAAGTGTGCCCAGGGTGTTGCTGGAGAGTCAGTCCATGAGAAAAATGTTAGTCACATGACATGAAGATGTAGATCACATCGCAGACCAAAGCACCAACTTGTATGAGGACATGTAATCTGCAGGGAGGAAAAATAGCCAGTTTAGGGGAGTGCAAAGAGCTAGCCAATATGTTTTATTGGTGGTAGTGAAAAATACAGATGGCTTGTACATTGCTTTCAACAGAAACTAACGAGTTTATTCTTTATCCTGTGGGTGATAGGATACAGAATAAAATATTCTAAGCAGATAAATGGTAGTGTTCAGAAGAATACTTCTGGAAGCAGTAAGTTGGCTGTACCGACATAGAGAAGACTTCAGCTGTGAAAATAAACCAGGACTAAAATGGTGATGACCCAGACTAAAATAGGTAGGAGAAATGGGGTGAACAGACATACTTTTCTCATCTCTCAGATGGAGGTGAAGTTCTTTCATAGTATCAATTGAATTTATTAACTAATATAAACTTAGTTCATTTTTTTATGTTGAAACTCCCTGTCTTTTAATAATATAAAATCAAAATAGTAAAAATATGGATTAAAAGGATGGATACATGTATTAATTATGACAGCACCAACTGTTGAAACATCTGTTGACATATCAGTGGTTTAACCCAATAAAAGCTTGTTTCTTGTTTTTGCGAAGCCCCATGATGATGGTGGTAGGGCAGATGATGAGGTCCTTGGCCACAGGCAGTCACTCACAAACGTGGGTCCACAGAGGCTCTGACATCTTCAATACATGCTATTTCCAAGACTGCCTTGGGTGTTGACGTCCAGGTCACAAAGAAAAAGAAGAGCTTGCTTCTCCATAACGGCTCACATCATAGCCATTGACAAGAACCAGCCACATGGTCACACTTAGATACAAGGGAGTCTGGGAAAAGAATGTGGTACAATGTGTGGGGGACATGAGCCATCTCTGCCACAGCATGCATTGTTACCTAGTGTGGCTACAATCTCAGTGTGCCCAGAATTTTCTAGTTTGGGCACTGAAAGTCCCATGTCCTGGGAAATCCCCTCAATCCTAGGCAAACTGGAATAGTTGTTATACTATTAGTTGAAAATAGGATGAAATGCTGGTTCAACATATGCAAATCAATAAACATAATCCAGCATATAAACAGAACCAAAGACAAAAACCATATGATTATTTTAATAGATGCAGAAAAGGCCTTTGACAAAATTCAATAGCCTTTTGTGCTAAAAACTCTCAATAAATTAGGTATTGATGGGATGTATCTCAAAATAATAAGAGCTATCTATAACAAACCCACAGCCAATGTCATACTGAATGGGCAAAAACTGGAAGCATTCCCTTTGAAAACTGGCACAAGACAGGGATGCCCTCTCTCACCACTCCTATTCAACATAGAATAGGAGTTAGAAGTTCTGGCCAGGGCAATCAGGCAGGAGAAGGAAATAAAGGGTATTCAATTAGGAAAAGAGGAAGTTGAATTGTCCCTGTTTGCAGATGACATGATTGCATATCTAGAAAACCCCATCGTCTCAGCCCAAAATCTCCTTAAGCTAATAAGCAACTTCAGCAAAGTCTCAGGATATAAAATCAACGTGCAAAAATCACAAGCATTCTTATACACCAATAACAGACAAACTGAGAGCCAAATCATGAGTGAACTCTCATTCACAATTGCTTCAAAGAGAATAAAATACCTAGGAATCCAACTTACAAGGGATGTGAAGGACCTCTTCAAGGAGAACTACAAACCACTGCTCAATGAAACAAAAGAGGACACAAACAAATGGAAGAACATTCCATGCTCATAGATAGGAAGAACTAATCTCGTGAAAATGACCATACTGCCCAAGGTAATTTATAGACTCAATGCCATCCCCCCCCATCAAGCTACCAATGACTTTCTTCACAGAATTGGAAAAAACTACTTTAAAGTTCATATGGAACCAAAAAAGAGCCTGCATTGACAAGTCAATCCTAAGCCAAAAGAACAAAGCTGGAGGCATCATGCTACCTGACTTCAAACTATACTACAAGGCTACAGTAACCAAAACAGCATGGTACTAGTGCCAAAACAGAGATACAGACTAATGGAACAGAACAGAGCCCTCAGAAATAATACCACACATCTACAACTATCTGATCTTTGACAAACCAGACAAAAACAAGCAATGGGGAAAGGATTCCCTATTTAACAAATGGTGCTGGGAAAACTGGCTAGCCATATGTAGAAAACTGAAACTGGATCCCTTCCTTAAAACGTATACAAAAATTAATTCAAGATGGATTAAAGACTTAAATGTTAGACACAAAACCATAAAAACCCTAGAAGAAAACCTAGGCAATACCATTCAGGACATAGGCATGGGCAAGGACTTCATGTCTAAAACACCAAAAGCAATGGCAACAGAAGCCAAAATTGACAAATGGGTTCTAATTAAACTAAACAGCTTCTGCACAGCAAAAGAAACTACCATCAGAGTGAACAGGCAACCTACAGAATGGGAGAAAATTTTTGCAGTCTACTCATCTGACAAAGGGCTAATATCCAGAATCTACAAAGAACTCAAACACATTTACAAGAAAAAAACAAACAACCCCATCAAAAACTGGGCGAAGGATATGAACAGACACTTCTCAAAAGAAGACATTTATGCAGCCAAAAGACACATGAAAAAATGCTCATCATCACTGGCCATCAGAGAAACGCAAATCAAAACCACAGTGAGATACTATCCCACACCAGTTAGAATGGCGATCATTAAAAAGTCAGGAAAACAACAGGTGCTGGAGAGGATGTGGAGAAATAGGAACACTTTTACACTGTTGGTGGGACTGTAAACTAGTTCAACCATTGTGGAAGACAGTGTGGTGATTCCTCAGGGATCTAGAACTAGAAATATCATTTGACCCAGCCATCCCATTACTGGGTATATACCCAAAGGATTATAAATCATGCTGCTATAAAGACACCTGCACACGTATGTTTATTGCAGCACTATTCACAATAGCAAAGACTTAGAACCAAGCCAAATGTCCAACAATGATAGACTGGATTAAGAAAATGTGGCACATATACACCATGGAATACTATGCAGCCATAAAAATGATGAGTTCATGTCTTTGTAGGGACATGGATGAAGCTGGAAACCATCATTCTCAGCAAACTATCGCAAGGACAAAAAACCAAACACCGCATGTTCTCACTCATAGGTGGGAATTGAACAATGAGAACACTTGGACACAGGAAGGGGAACATCACACACTGGGGCCTGTTGTGCGGTGGGAGGAGCGGGGAGAGATAGCATTAGGAGATATACCTAATGTAAATGATGAGTTAAAGGGTGCAGCACACCAACATGGCACATGTATACATATGTAATAAACCTGCACATTGTGCACATGTACCCTAGAACTTAAAGTATAATAAAAATATATATATATTTAAAAAAGAAAATAAATTAACAGTTTAAAATAATAATTTAGAAAGTGGGCAAAATTGCCTTTACATGCATCCAAGAGTTTTACAGATGGTATAAAAACCTGAGTAGGTGATTGGAAACATTCATTTTGTTTTTATAACTTCAACTTTTAGATACTGGGGGTACATGTGCAGGTTTGTTACCTTGGTATATTGTGTGTAACTGAGGTCTGGGGTATGAAGGATCCCATCACTCAGGTACCAAGCATGGTACACAATAGTTTTTCAACCCTTACCATCCTTCCTTCCTGATCTAATGGTCATCAGTGTCTATTGTTATCATCTTTACATACAAGAGTACACAATGTTTAGCTCACTTATAAGTGAGACCATGAAGTAATTGGTTTTCTGTTCCTGCGTTAATTTGCTTAGGATAATGGCCTTCAGCTGCATCCATGTTGTTGTAAAGGAAATGACTTTGTTCTTTTTATAAAAGCATAGTGTTTCATGTTGTATATGTACCACATTTTCTTTATCCAGTCTACTGTTGATGAGCACATAGGTTGATTCCATGTCTTCACTATTATGAAGATTCCTGTGACCAACATATGAGTGCATGTGTCTTTTTGGTATAACAATGTACTTTCTTTTGGATGTACTACCAGTAATGGGATTGCTGGGTTGAATAGTAGTTCTGTTTTAAGCTCCTTGAGAAATCTCCAAACTGCTTTCCACAGTAGCTGAAATAATTTACATTCCCACCAACAGTGTATAAGCATTCCATTTTCTCCACAGCCTCTCCAGCATCTGTTGTGTGTGACCTTTTTAATAATAGCCATTCTAATTTGTGCGAGGTGGTATTTCATTTTAATTTTGACTTGCATTAATTCAATGATTAGTGATATTGGATATTTTTTCATATGTTTGTTAGCCATCTGTATGGCTTCTTTTGAGAAGTATCTGTTCATGTCTTTGCCCATTTTTAATGGTTTTTGCTTGTTTGATTGTTTAAGTTACTTATATATTCTGGAAATTAGACCTTTGTTGGGTGCATCATTTGTGAATATTTTCTCCCATTCTATAGGTGGTCTGTTTACTCTGCTGATAGTTTCTTTTGTAGTGCAGAAACTCTTTAGTTTAGTTAGGTCCTATTTGTCAATGTTTGTTTTTGTTGTAACTGCCTCTGGGGATTTAGTCATAAATTCTTTCCCTAGGCTGATGTCCAGAATGTTTTTTTTTCTAGTGTTTTTTTCAAGGATTCTTATAGTTTGAGCTATTAAATTTAAATCTTTAATCCATCCTGAGTTAATTTTTGTATACAGTGAAAGGTAGGGGTTCAGTTTCACTCTACTGCACAGAGCCAACCAATTATCCCATCACCATTCGTTGAATAGGGAGTCCTTTTGCTTATTTTTGTTGACTTTGTCGAAGATCAGATGGCTGTAGGTGTGCAGCTTTATTTCTGTGTTCTCTATTCTGTTCCTTTGGTCTATGTGTCTGTTTCGTACCAGTACCATGCTGTTTTAGTTATTCTAGTTTTATGCTATAGCTTGAAGGCAGTTAATACGATACCTCTGGCTTTGTTCTTTTTGCTTAGAATTGCAATGACTATTCAGACTCTTTTTGGTTCCACATGAATTTTAGTTTTTTCTAATTCTGTGAAAAATGACATTGGTAGTTTAATAGGAATGTGTTGAATGTGTTGATTGCTTTGGGCAGATGGTGATTTTAACAATACTGATTCTTCTGATCCATGATCATGGAATATTTTTCCATTTGTCTGTGTTATCGATGATTTCTTCCAGCACGGTTTTGTAGTTCTCCTTGTGGAGATTTTTCACCTCCTTAGATGTATTCCTAGATATTTTATATTTTGTGAGTATTGTAAATAAAATTGCAGTCTTGATTTGGCTCTCAGCTTGAGCATTATTGCTGCATAGAAATATTACTGATTTTTGTACATTGATTTTGCATCTTGAAACTTTCCTGAAGTCATATATCATTTCCAGGAGACTTTTGCAGGACTCTTTAGGGTTTTCTAGATATAGAATCATATTGTCAGTGAAGAGAGATTGTTTGACTTCTTTTTTTATTTGGATCCTTTCATTTCTTTCTCTAGTCTGATTCCTTCTAGTCAGTCATAGTACTTCCTGTAGTATGTTGAGTATGAGTGGTGAGAATGGGCATCCTTGTCTTGTTCCAGTTCTCAAAGAGAATGCTTTCAGTTTTTACCCATTCAGTATGATATTGGCTGTGGGTTTGTCATAAATGGCTCTTATTATTCTGAGGGATGTTCCTCCAATGCCTAGTTTCTTGAGGGTTTTTATCATGAAGGGATGTTGGATTTAATCAAAAGATTTTTCTGTGTTGATTGAGATGATCATATGGTGATACAGTTTGAATTTTTGTTCCTACCCAAATCTCATGTCAAATTGTAATCCTCAATGTTGGAGGTGGGGCCTGCTGGGAGATGATTTTAGATCATGAGGGCAGATTTCCTTGTTTAGTGCTGTTCTCATGATAGAGCTCTCATGAGATCCGGTGTTTAAATGTATAGCACTTCCCCCACCCTCTCTCTCTTTCTCCTGTTCCAGCCATGTAATATGCGGCTACTTCCAACCTTCACCTTCCACCATAATTGAAAGTTTCCTGAGGCCTCCCCAGCCATGGATTCTGTACAGCCTATGAAACCATGAGACAATTAAACCTCTTTTCTTCATAAATTACCTAGTCTCAGTCCCAAGTAGATTTTTTTTTTTTTTTTTTTTTTTTGAGACAGAGTCTTGCTGTGTTACCCTGGCTGGGGTACAGTGGTGCAATCTTGGCTTACTTCAACCTCTGCCTCCTGAGTTTCAGCAATTCTCCTGCCTCAGCCTCTTGAGTAGCTGGGATTACAGGCATGCACCACTACTCCTGGCTAATTTTTGTATTTTCAGTAAACACGGGGTTTCACCACATTGGCCAGGCTGGTCTCGAACACCTTACCTCAGGTGATCCACCCGTGTTAATCTCCCAAAGTGTTAGGATTACAGGCATGAGCCACTGCACCCGGCCTCAGGTAGTTCTTTACCACAGTGCAAAAACAAACTAATACATATGGTTTATGTTTCTAATTTAGTTTATGTGATGAATCACATTTGTTGATTTGCATATGTTGAACCAATCTTGCATCTCAACAATCAAGCCTACTTGATCATGGTGAATTAACTTTTTGATGTGTTGCTGGATTCACTTCGCTAGTATTTTGTTGAAGATTTTTGCATCTATGGTCATGAAGTCTATTGACCTGTAGGTTTCTTTTTTCATGTATATTTGCCAGATTTTGGTATCAGGGTGAGCTGACTTCATAGAATAAGGTAGAGAAGAGTCTTTTCTACTCAATTTTTTGGAATAGTTTCAGTAGAATTGGTACCAACTCTTCTTTGTATGTCTAGTAGGAATCAGCTGTGAATCCATCTGGTCCAGGGCTTTTGTTTGTTTGTTTGCTTATTTGTTTGTTTTGGTAGGTTTCTTATTATAGATTCGATTTTGCAACTCAATATTGGTCTGTTCAGGGTTTCAATTTCTTCCTGATTTCATTTTGAGAGATTATGAGTTTCCAGGAATTTATTCATTTTCTATAGATTTTCTAGTTTGTGTGCACAAAAGTGTTCATAATAGTCTCTGAGGATTATTTGCACTTTTGTGGGGTTGGTTGTAATGTCATCTTTGTAATTTCTGATTGTGCTTATTTAGATCTCATCTCTTTTTTTCCTGTTAATCTAGCTGGTGGTCTACTGACCTTGTTTTATCCTTTCAAGAAACCAACTTTTGGTTTTGCTGAGTATTTGTATAAATTTTGGGGTCTCAATTTCATTCAGTTCTGCTCTGATTTAGTTATTTACTTTCTTCTGCTTGTTTTGGGGTTAGTTTGGTCTTATTTTTCTAGTTCCTCTAGGTATCAAGTTAGATTTCTAATTTGAGATCTTTCTAACTATTTGAGGTAGGCATTTATTGCTATAAACTTTCCTTTTAAGACTGTTTTTGCTGCATCTCAGAGGTGTTGGTATGTTGTGTTTCTATTTTCATTTATTTCAAATAATTTTTTGTTTTCTTTCTTAATTTCATTGTTTATCCAAAAGTCACTCAGGAGCAAGTACTTTAATTTTTATGTAATTTTGTTGTTTTGAGAGATCTTCTTGGTTTTGATTTCTATAAGTCCAAAATTTGTTAGTTTTCTGCCTCGATGATCTGTCTAATGCTACCAGTGGGGTATTGAAGTCCCTCACTACTATTAATAATGTACATGTCTAAGTCTTTTCACAGGTCCAGACATACTTGTTTTATGAATCTGGATGCTCCAATGTTGGGTATATATATTTAGGATAGTTTAGTCTTCTTGTTGAATTGGACCCTTTATCATTATGTAATGCCTTTCTTTGTCTTTCTTCACTATTACAGGTTTAATGTCTGTTTTACCTAATGCAAGTATAGTGACCTCTGTTCTTTTCTGTTTTCCATTTGTGTGATAGATCTTTCTCCAACCCTTTACTTTGAGCCTATGATTGTTATGTGTGAGATGGATCTCTTGGAAACAGTAGATGGATGAGCTTTGTTTTTAATCCACCTTGCCACTCTATGCCTTTTAACTGGGGTATTTAAACCATTTACATTCATAGTTAATATTGATATATTAGGTTTTGATCCTATTGTGAAGTTGTTAGCTGGTTGCTTTTTATTTTCTATTGTGTGGTTGCTTTATAAGGTCTGTGGGCTATGCATTTAAGGGTGTTTTTGTGGTAGCAGGTATCATTCTTTCACTTCTATTTTTAGAACTCCCTAAAGGATCTCATGTAAGGTTGATCTAGTGGTAATGAATTCCATTAGCACTTGCTTGTCTGCATGAACTTTTATTTCTCCTTTGCTTATGAATCCTAGTTTGGCAGGGTATGAAATACTTGTTTGGAGTTTCTTTAAGAATGCTGAAAATGGACCCCAATCTCTCCTGGCTTCTAAGGTTTCTTTTGAGAAATCCACTGTTAGCCTGATGAGGTTCCCTTTGTAAGTGGTCCAACCTTTTTCTCTAGCTGTCTTTAAGATTTTTTTCTTTAATGTTGACTTTGGACAGTCTGATGACTATATGCCTCGATGATGCTCATTTTGTATGGTATCTCACATATTTACTCTGGATTTCTTATATCTGGGTATTTACCTCTCTAGCAAGATTAGGGAAATTTTCTTGAATTATTCCTTCAAATATGTTCTTCAGATTGTTTCCCTTTTCTCCATTTCTCTCAGGAATGTCAATAATTTATATGTTTGGTCACTTTACATGATCCTATATTTCTCAAAGACTTTATTTTTTTAAATTCTTTTTCCTTTATTTTTGTCTGTCTGGGTTAGTTCAAAAGACTGGTCTTCAAGTTCTCAAATTCTTTCTTCTTCTTTGTCCAGTCTATTAATAAAGCTTTCAATTCTATTTTAAAATTCCCTGAATTTTTCAATTCCAGAAGCTCTGTTTAAGTTTTTTGAAGATGTTTATCTCTTCATTTCCTGGAGTGCTTTAGAAGTTTCTTTGTGTTGATTTTCAACCTTGTTGTTGATCTCATTGAGCTTCCTTGCAATCCATTCTTTGCATTCTTTATCTGTTATGTCCGAGTTTCTGTTTTGGTTATGTATTATTGCTGGAGAACTAGCGTGATCCTTCAGGGTTGTCACTACATTAAGATTTTTCATAGTTCCAGAATTTTTGTGCTAGCTCCTCATCTGGAGATGCTGGCATTTCTAAGTTTTGTAATTATTTTTGTCTAGGTAGGACTTTTTCCTTTTTCTTTCTTTCCCTATAATATTATTTTTTCTTATTTCCTTTTCCCATTCCCCCCTCCCCACCAGAGGATACGACTTTAGAGCAAGGATCCCTAGCCCCTGGCCCGAAGACTGGTCCTTGTCCATGGTCCATTAGGAACCAGGGGGCACAGCAGGAAGTGAGCTGCTGGGGAGCAAGCATTACTGCCTGAGCTCCACCCCCTGCAGATCAGCAGTGGCATTAGATTCTTTTTTTTTTTTTTTTTTTTGAGACGGAGTCTCGCTCTGTAGCCCAGGCTGGAGTGCAGTGGCGCAATCTCGGCTCACTGCAAGCTGTGCCTCCCAAGTTCACAGGTTCACGCCATTCTCATGCCGCAGCCTCCCGAGTAGCTGGGACTACAGGCACCCGCCACCACGCCTGGTTAATTTTTTGTATTTTTAGCAGAGATGGGGTTTCACCATGTTAGCCAGGATGGTCTCGATTTCCTTACCTTGTGATCCGCCCGCCTCGACCTCCCAAAGTCCCAAAGTGCTGGGGTTACAGGTGTGAGCCACCGCGCCTGGCTGGCATTAGATTCTCATAGGAGCACAAACCCTATTGTGAACTGTACACGCGAGGGATTTAGGCTGTGCACTCCTTATGAGAATCTAACTAATGCCAGATGATCTGAGGTAGAACAGTTTTACCCTGAAACCATCTCCCCTCCCCTGCCACCATCCTTAGAAAAATTTTTCTTCCACAAAACTGGTCCCTGGTGCCAAAAAGGGTGGGGACTGCTGCATTAGAGAATGCTGGGTGGGTGGGTCTTTTGGCTTCTCTTCTATAGCCCTATGAATGTCAGCAGGTTTATATTGGGCTGTGCAGTTGGACCTACAAGCCAGAAGATGGAGCTTGTGGGTAAGAGTCAAGTGTTGCCAAAGCAGCTGGGTATTTACTTAATCCTTGTTTACTGGCAGAAGCTCTCGTTATCTCAGGGAATGGGCTGATTCATGAGGTGCACTGTGGTCAGAGCTCCCTCTTCAGCCCTAGAGGGGTAGGGGACAAGATGGTCAAGGCTGGACTGGACAGGTCTATCTGCCAGTCCACCAATGGCAGGCACAAGCACCAGCACCAAGGGAGAATCCAGCAGGTAGCCACCAAGTGCCCAGAGGTGTGCTTAGATGTGAAGCTGAGAGGCCTCCTTGGCCCCAAGTTCTCTGCACAGGAATCGAGGACAGCCTAAACTTCTGATCCAGGAAAGTAGGTACTCTAAGTGCTTGAAAATCTGCTGTGCATGGAGTGGAGAGGGCTTCCTCCCCCAGCCCCACACCGGGATCTCTGCAAATAAAACGTGGCCTGCTCAGGCTGCTGTTTTAGGTGACCAGTGCTCCAAATGCCTGGAGATCTGCCTGGGCATGGAGTGGAAAGGGCTCCCCTGTTCCAAGATCTCTGCACAGTATGGGTGGGGTGACTTTGGCTGCTGAACCAGGCAAGCAGGTGTTCTGAATGCCTGGGGCTCTCCCTGGGTATAAAGCAGAGAGGGTCCTCTTGTACCAGGATCTCTGCAAAGGAAGGGTGGGGCAGTTTAGGCTACTGATCCAGGTGAGTGGGTGCTCCAAATGTCTAGAATCTGCCTCAGCATGAAGTGGAGACAGCCTCACTGTACCATGATCTATGCACAGGAAGAGTGAGGAAGCTCATGCTGCTGATCCAGGTCAGGGGGTGACCCGGATACCTGGAGATATGCCTAGGTGTGAAGCAGAGAGGACCCCACTGTGCCACAATCTTAGGGTAGCAGGCTGGGGCACCCAGCAATGGCACACACAGACCAGTTCCATGATGCCAAGCTGATCCTGGCTGCAAGTCCCATCATCCAGGAGAAAATGCAGCTGTAGTAGCTCTCCTATCACCCCAGGCCTGCAACAGGGGAGGGCACAATTCCACTGTCTACTGTGAGGTACTTTCCACAGTTCTGGCTGTGGAGGTGCCTATCCTGATGCAGAGAAGGTGCTCTAATCTCTGGCCCAAGACTAAAATTCATGCATAGCCATGCTTCCAGATCACCAAAGAATGGCTGACTTTGTATGTGCCCAGATTTAAAATGCTGTCCTGCTCTTGTTCCCAGACCTGGGAACATGCCTGAAGTTTTTCCCAGTGTCTTTCTCCTACAACATTTCCAAGCCACTCCCCAAGTTAGTTTCAGGGCTTGGCAGAAACACCATGGTATCCCTCAACCTAAGTTGCTCAGATCCCCAGTGGAAAGCTGAGTCACACAAAGAGGCTCTCTAACTCTCACACACAGAGAGTTCACTCACTTTTATCAGCCAGATACCATCACTGGGGCTGTTTGCCTGCATTCTCCTTCCCAGGATCTGGGGTGTCCTTCAGGATTCCAATGGATTCCCATTTTCCTTCTTTAATCAAATCTCGCAAAGTTTATCTTTACACACTGTCTTGCTATTTCCAAGTGGCTGAGGCATATTAAAAGCCTCTAATTCACCATCTTGGGGGAAAAACTTATTTCATTTAGAAATTCTGATATTAAGCAATTTTCTGCTGTTTATGCTTCAGCATACATGGAAAAGATCATCATTAGAGTAATTAAGCATGGAAGGCTGACCATTAAGCCTAACCCTGAATTGGACCAATGAGGAGACTGAGGCCCAGAGAAGACAGACACCCATCCTATATCATGCAGTATTAGTGGTTGCTATGGTTTGAAATGGACGTGTCCCTCCAAAGACTCATATGATAGAAACTTAATCTCCAAGTCAATAATATTAAGAGGTGGGGCCTTGGAAGGTGATTAAGTCATGAGGCCTCTATCCTCATAAATGGATTAGTGACTTTATAAAATGGCTCAAGGGAACTAGCTAGCTCCTTTTAGCCTTTTGCCCTTCTGCTTCTGCCATGTGAGGAGCCTTCTGCCATGTGAGGATACAACAACAAGGTGCCATCTTGGAAGCAAAGAACAGCCCTCACCATATATTGAATCTACTGGCAACATGATCTTGGACTTCTTAGCCTCCATAACTGTGAGGAATACATTTCTGTTATTTATAAATTACCCAGTCTCAGATATTTTGTTACAACACCACAAAGTGGGGGGGACAGTGGTAGCTAAAGGAGAATAGCCCCATTCTTGTGACTCTAATACTCCTCTTGTGACTCCAGAATTACACTCTAGAAACTATCAGTAATCCTCAAGAGAGACCAGGATACGGAGCAAGGATGTGCACCTGGCAGAAGTGACAGAAGCTCTCAGTTTATGGCTCTTCTACTCTCTCATAGGGAGAAGTACAAATCTTTCATCCATCAGGCACACATTCAATGACAAATGTTCACTGAACCCTGCTCAGATCAAACATTCACTGACAAATGTTCACTGAACCCTGCTATAAAAGAGCCCCAGTGCTAGATGCTGGAAATACAGAACAAATAAATCCCAGGCCTATGATAGGTCTAAAATGAGTCCTTGTCAAGGTGAGCAACACTTTGCTGAAGTGGACAGCAAATCCACAAGCATGGATCCACTGGCTAGTGGAATCTGGAATTCCCTTTGCTATTAAGTCTGAAATGCTATCCATGGCACTGTCCCATCTCATGTGCTTCCTGGGGTCAAAACATTGATTTGAAATTCAGTCTCCCTTGGAGAAGGTCTTTTAAACCCTGTCTTGTAAACTGTCTCTGGGAACTGTGCCCTTCCTACAAATTTACAGCTACTGACTAGGGCCCTGCTCAAAACCAGACCAACAACCTGACATGTGTTTGACCTCCAGCATCCCTACTGCTCAAAGACACTCACTGCTATATTTTACCCCATCAGAATATCTTGGATTCTGCTTGAATTAAATCTCAATTTGCCATACATTTGTATCCAAGCATTTGCACTACAGGCTACGTATTTAGGGGTTAACTTAGTCAATTCTCCCAGTCCTAATACTGCCTGATCCGAAGTATTCTCTTTCACATGCTCTATGCTGCAGTCCCAGAAATGCCTTAGAGCAAGATCACCTGAGACAGAACAAAAACAACAGGTAAAATGAGATAAGGATTCCCTGGATACTGGTTAAAAAATACCAGGAAGTAGAACAGGATGGGCAGATACTACACAAACTGGAGCCCCTAAGACAAGCAGAACCCCGATATATGGTTGTTTAGATACTGCTTCATTTTACTCAAAGCTTATTCAATCTGGACTCTACTGTTCCAATTAAATTGTTTGGGTCATTTATATGCAAGTGTGGACCTGTTGTGAGTATTCTCCACCTACAGCCACCAGGTTTATTTGTGTTCCAACCTATCACTATGGTTCTCATAACAGGAAGAAAAGTAAAACAGAAATAAACTACCCAGAACCATCAAGGTGGAGCTCCTCCTTCCTCTAATGAGCCACTGGCAGCCAAACAAATGATGCTTTGTGATAATGCACACATATTGCTGTAGCCATGGAAACACACTTAGCAACAAAGAAACCTTGACCTTTCCCCATCTGTTTAGAATCTTCACAATGACACATTAATTTCAGCATATGAAAACAAAAAAGAAGGGCATAAATGTTATATTTTATAGACATAATTCTCAGGCAGCCAAGCTTAGTGTGGATAAAACTCATAGATGAGGATGGAATGATGCATTTAGCTTTAGTCCAGTACTGCAGGGTGGAACCTGGATGATATTTTACTAGCATGAGCTATCTGATTCAGGTATGTTCTTCTGCTTACCAAGAGATTCCTGGAAAGGCTCCCAAACTGGGCAGAGATGGACCGCTATAAGAACAAACACTAGCCAGTATAAATACTCCCAAGAAACAATAGGAAAGATCTAGAATAACTAAAACTCTGGGCGAGCAAAAGCTTCTTTCCACGCAGCAATTGTTAGCAGCCTAAGGCTGAAGACAATGGAGACAGATTCAGTACAATTCTATTCAATCCAATACACTTTTAAGGAGCTTGTCTCTGTTCTCATGGATAGCTAAGAATGAAGTATAGAGGAAATATACAACATAGGTTCTGTCTCCAAAATAGTACACTGTTTGTAAATATGGAGATAGTAACTCATTTAAATCAACTGTAAAAACCTCATGAAAAGCCAGATAAATGTTGCAGAAGTAATACGCGAAGGCCCCTGAATGAGGTGTCACTTGAGCTAAACTTGAATATATCAGGACTTAAAAAAAATTAACTGTCATGTGAGTAGACAGATGAGTCAAAGATGTACTTAGATCTTTAATGAAGGAATCAGCATTATGACAAAGCTGATGTGATGGAGGATGTGAGAAAATGATATATGTTAGTGGGGGAAAAAATAAGATTGCAAACATAGATTGAAAACTGGCAATGTCTTCCCAGGCAATAAAATCACAGTATTTGGAGGTATCTTTTTTACCCAATAAAAATTATTTGCAACATATCAATCTTCTAAGCTCTAGCATCAAACTTTGCAGAATCTGAGCCCTAATCAAATAAATAATAAGCCAAACAAAGTTACCTTCCTCAAGAGATTTTTTGGGTGGATTTGTTGTAAAACACTCTAGGATGACACTGAAAGGTCATACAGAATGATTCTCCTTTATTTTTAAATGTTAGATAATTTTCCGGGACAATGGTAGAATATAGGTAGAGAACAAAAGTGAAAGCAAAAATCAATAAAACAAAAGAAAGAGTTAGGATGACAAGGTCATTATTCAGTCCTTCACTTAAGTACATTATTAGGAGAAAAACAGCACCCTCAGCTGTAGACCAAATGGAGAAAATATGATTCAGTTTCATTCTGAGAAATATAGTATTGAGTATATAATCTTTTACACAACTGGAAATATGTTGAGAATCATTTTTTTCATTACTAAAAATTATCGTGGGTAGGTCACTAACAGACTAACAATGTGGTAGAAAATCACTTTTGAGATTTACTGAACCCATTGAAAAAAATAAAGTAAGAGCTACATATGAAAAGAAATTTGATTTATTTGGTGCTATTTGCCTGAGAAAAATCTAAAATGGACAACACTTGCTATTTTTAATTAACAACTAATATATTCAATACAACCAACATATACTGAAAATATATATTACTCTTACATTCATGTTTATGCCAACTGGAATGAAAGAAGGGGGAAATGTAGGAAAAGGCAAAGAAATGAAAAAAAGAGAGGAAAGAAAAATATGAGTAAATTATCAGACAAGAATCAAAGGAACAAAAATGAAGAGTAGGAGAAACAAGGAAAAGAAGCAGCTGAGACAGGAGGAATTAGAAAATGTCACAAACTATCAAGAAAGAGGGAAAAGGAAGAAGCAACATATAGAGATTTTAAAAGAGATGAGCCAACAATGAGATACTACTACATAGCTATTAGAATAGCCAAAATCCAGAATACTGACAACACCAAATGCTGGGGAGGATGTGGGGCAACAGGAATTCTTATTCACTGTTGGTAGAAATGCAAAATGGTACAGTCACTTTGGAGGACAGTTTGTGGCAGTTTCTTATGAAACTATGCTTACCATATGTTTTAAGCAGTTTTGGGCTGCTGTAACAGAATACCAGCCCTCCTCCTCATTCACAGACTTTTGCCTTTTTAAAGTATTCTCACATGGCAGAGAGAGAGATCATTTCTCATGTATATCTTCTGCATGAGGATGCTCCCTCATGATCTAATTACCTCCTCAAAACCCTACCTTCAAATACTGTCACACAAATTAGTGCTTCAACACTTGAATTGAATTGTTTGTGCTGTGGACAAACTTTCCATCTATAGCACCATATGATCCTGCAATTGTGCTCCTTCATATTTACCCAAAGGAGCTGAAAACATGTGTCTACAAAAAAACCTGCACAGGAATATTTATAGCAGCCTTATTCATAACTGCCAAAACTTGGAAGTGACAAAGATGCCCCTGCTGTAGGGGACTGAATAAACTGTGGCACATCCAGACAGTGGAATATTATTCAGCACTAAAAAGAAATGAGCTAACTTCATACTTAATAGGCAAAAGCTGGAAGCATTCCCTTTGAAAACTGGCACAACACAAGTCTGCCCTTTCTCACCACTCTTATTCAACACAGTATTGGAAGTCCTGAACAGAAAGAAATAAAAGGCATCCAAATAGGAGGAGAGAAAGCCAAACTATCCCTGTTTTCTGATGACATGATTATATATCTAGAAAACCCCACAGTCTCAGCCCAAAGCTCCTTCAGCTGATAAACAACCTTAGCAAAGTTTTAGAATACAAAAATCAACATACAAAAATCACTAGCATTCTTACACACCAGTAGCCAAGCCAAGAGCCAAATCAGAAAGCAACTTCATTCACAACTGCCACAAAAAGAATAAAATACCTAGGAATACAGATAACCAGAGAGGTAAAAGGTTTCTACAGTGATAATTACAAAACATTGCTCAAAGAAATCAGAGACAACACAAACGAATGGAAAAGAATTTCATGCTGATGGATCAGAGAATCAAAATCAGAAGAATCAAAGCAAAATGGCGTTAATGCCCAAAACGATTTACAGACCCAATGCTATTCTTATCAAACTACCAATGACATTCTTCACAGAACTAGAAAAATTGTTTTAAAATTCATATAGAACCAAAAAAGCCCAAATAGCCAAGGCAATCCTAAGAAAAAGAATAAAGCTGGAGGCATCAAGCTACCCAACTTCAAACGATATTACAGGGCTACAGTAACCAAAACAGCATGGTACTGGTACAAAAACAATCAAATAAACCAAAGGAAACAGAATAGAGAGTCTAAATAAAAAGTCACACACCTATAACCATTTGATCTTTGAGAAAGCTGACAAAAACAAGCAATGGGGAAAGGACTCCCTATACAATAAATGGTGCTGGGATAACTGGCTAGCAATATACAGAAGATTGAAACTGGACCCCTTCTTTACACCATATACAAACATCAACTCAAGATGAATAAAATACTTAAATTTAAAACCCAAACTATAAAAGCCTTGGAAGACAACCTAGGCAATATCATTCTGGACATTAGAAACTGGTAAAGATTTAGTGATGAAGATGACAAAACGAATCGCAACAAAAGCAAAAATTGACAAATTGGTCTAATTAAACTTAAGAGTTTCTGCACAGCAAAAGAAATGATCAACAGAGTAAACAGACAACCTACAGAATGGGAGAAAATATTTGCAAACTCTATATCTGACAAAGATCTAATATCCAGCATCTATAAGGAACTTAAACAAATTTACAAGAAAAAAACCTCATCTTCATTAAAAAGTGAGCAAAGGATATGAACATACATTTTTCAGAAGAAGAAATACATGTGGCCAACATGCATATTAAAAAAGCTCAGTGTCATTGATTATTACAAAATTGCAAATCAAAACCACAATGAGATACCATCTCACACCAGTCAGAATGGCTATGATTAAAAAGCCAAAAATTAACAAATGCTGGTGAGGTTGTGGAGAAAAGGAAATGCTTATACACTTCTAGTGAGAGTATAGCTTAGTTCAACCATTGTGGAAAGTAGTGTGGCAATTCCTCAAAGAGCTAAAAACAGAACTACCATTCGACCCAGCAATCCCATTACTGGGTATATACACAAAGGAATATAAATGGTTCTAGCATAAAGACACATGTGCACATATGTTCATTGATGACTACTCACAATAGCAAAGACATGGAATCAACCTAAATGCCCATCAATGGTAGACTGACTGAAGAAAATGTGGAACATATACACCATGGAATACTACGTAGCCATAAAAAAGAATGAGATCATCTCCTTTGCAGCAACATGGATGGAACTGGAAGCCATCATCCTTAGCAAACTAACACAGGAACAGAAAACCGAACATCACATGTTCTTACTTATAAGTAGATACTAAATGATGAGAACACATGGACACAAAGAAGGGAACAACACACACTGGTGCTTACTTGAAGGTAGAGGGTGGAAAAAGGAAGAGAATCAGAAAAAAAATAACTGGTACCTAGGTGAGAAAAAATAATTTTACAACAAACTTCCATAACACAAGTTTACCTATACAACAACCCTGCACATGTGCCCCTGAAACTAAAGTAAAAGTTAAATAAAATAAAAAGAAATGGGCTATCCAGCTGTGGAAATACGTGGAAGAAACTTAAATGCATGTTACTAAGTAAAAGAAGCAATCTAAAAAGGCTACTTACCATATGATTCCAACTATATGACATTCTGGAAAAAATGAAGCTAGGGAGAGAGTAAAAAGATCAGTGATTGCCAGAGTTTGGGGGTAGCAGAGATGAATAGGTGGAACACAGAGGATATTTAGGGTATTGAAACTATTTTGTGTAATACTATAGTGGTGGATATAGAGTCATCATATATTTGTCTTGAAGGGTGGCAGAATATATCATCTTAAAATACGCCACTTTGGCATAAGAATTATTTCAAACTAAAGACACTTGAAAAACAGTAGACACAGAAAGTTCACTCTGCCCTCCCTGTATCAAGAGAAAAAAACATTCTTATCACTAGAGATGGGAGCAAATTCTTATGTGAAGGATGCCCTCCTGTAGCAAAAAATTAAATAATAAAAAGAAGCAGCTGCATTCTCATCTCCAGAGACGGGAAGTCAAGACTGAAAAAAATAATCTGTACAAATAGACTTTGTTAAAATAACTCTTTCCTTCCTTTGGGCTCCCCATATATTTCAGTCACTGTTCCACAATTGCCACCATGTCCAACCTACTATATAATCATTTCGGTTTTGCCACGTCTTTAGGGCTTCATCTTTCTATGGGGGCTCCCATGTATGTGTACAAATCTGTATGCTTTTCTCCCATGAATCTATCTATGTCAATTTAATTTTCATGCCCAGGCAGAGACCCTAAGAGGGTGGAGGTAAAGTATTGCCTCTCCACACTTCGAAGCCATAGAATGTACTACACCAGGAGTGACCCTCATGTAAACTACGGACTTTAGTGATAATGATATATCAGTGTAGGTCCATCAATCATAACAAACTTAGCACTCTGTTGAAGGATGTTGATGTGCAGTTGTGGGATTAAGGATATATAGAAAATCTCCATACCTGCTGCTCAATTTTGCTGTGAACCTGAAACTTCTCTAAAAGTTAGTTTATTAAGGGGGAGAGAGAGAGAGAGTGAAGGAGAGGAAGATGAGGTTAAAAGAGTGGGAAGTGGGAAGGATTAGGCTAAGACAGAATAATTCAGTAGAACTGAAAGTTAAGGCAAGTTGAAATTTCCATTCCCTTATTATTCACTTGTTCTGAATTTCTTTGTCACACTGTTAGAAGTAGTGATCAGGTGATTGGCCTTTATTCAAAGTTCTTCGATTACTTTATTCCCTCAACCTGGAGGGGAGAAACAGCACTCTGGTCCAGAAGAGAATATCACACTGCCTGAATGAACTCAAGCTCAAGTTTGAGACTGATTTCCCTGAGGTCACAGTTTTCTGCTCCCAGTGAAACACAGAAGCTGGGATCGGGGTGGCCCATATTCCAGGCTAGCCCAGCTTTCACCTGACGGGGACCTAAACAAGTGTCATGGCTCTAGCTGCCTTCTCATGTGGTGGCAGTAATGTGCCCCATATATTGCAAGGATGTAATAAAGCACATGTTTACCTATGTAACAAACCTGCACATCCTGCACATGTACCTCAGAACTTAAAAAATAATAATAAAAATGAAAACAAAATAAAGTTCAATTAAGATAACAGATGAAAACCTGTTGCCAGGAGTTTGGCAGCCTGCCATTCTCAGGCATAGCAGCTGCTGTCAGATTGAACTGGTTAGGGGCTACACCCTTGTGAATGCAGGACACAGGATGATTCTAAAGCCAGTCTCTTCTATTCTCCTTCTTCACTGATAGAACCTTCTCCCTGGGCCTACCTTTTATCTTCAGCTCCAAACACAATTGACTCTGCCTTTAAGAGGGTAATACAAGTTAGATATGAGGTACTGGGAAGTTTTCTGCTTTTAATTTCTGCTTAATGACTTATTGGCCAGGGCACTATAACATCGTCTTACTTAACAGCCTTTCCTGCACAATAAACTGTGCTTGGCGCCCACCTCGGCCCACAAACCCGACGATTAAGCGATCGTTTGTCCTTGGGAGCTTGACAGAAACAGGAGTCTAAGCCGGGTTGGGAGGAGCCCAGACTTATTAAAGTAATAAATAACCTGGAAGCCCCCACCAAGCTGCCTCCTCCCCCTTCTTATTTACTTCCTTTCTGTGGCTTCTGAGATGGGGGACTTAATTGCTTGGAAAGATAGTTGCCTAAGAACTCGACAGTACTTGCATCCCAGAAACAATAAAATAAAACTGGGAAGCTCTAGGGCTACAGCTTAATAACAGCTCTGCTGCTGGCTGGGCTGGGTTTATCGGCCAGCGCTCACTCAGAGCATGTTTCTAGAAGAGCAGCACTCACTCTTGTGCACATAAATGCACTCCATGAGGCGAAGATGCATCAGGCTGGTCAAAGGGAGGCCCTCTAAGATGAGGTTCTTATTCACCTTGTCTTTTGTTTATCTCTTTTTAATTTTTTTAATTATAGTTTTTTTAAGAAAATTATTTGGCAAACATAACTTTAGAGGTAGAAATTCTTGAACATTGCCTTGTACTTAATATTTTTAAATATCTGTCTTCTCTGTATTCTCATTTGATCACAAATTTTTAGATTATTATCACAAAATATATGTGTGTGGCTCAGGAACAACTTATCTAGACAGAGCTCATCTCTCTAGAATGTTCTCATATCCAAAACATTATAGTATCTAAAAAGCGTTACATAAGGAAGGCAATTTTCTAGAAAGTCAAAATAGACATTTCATTTATATACATGCCAGTGCTCACTTTTTCTCCCTCTTACACACAATTCTTACAAATGTATTTTTTTTTGCTTTCCCAGCCAGCCTAGAAAGTAGTAATACTTCTTGGCTGGGTGCAGTGGCTCACGCCTGTAATCCCAGCACTTTGGGAGGCCGAGGCAGGCAGATCACGAGGTCAAGAGATCGAGACCATCTGGTCAACATGGTGAAACCCCATCTCTACTAAAAAATACAAAAATTAGCTAGGCGTGGTGGTGCACACCTGTAGTCTCAGCTACTCAGGAGGCTGAGGCAGGAGAATCACTTGAACCTGGGAGGCAGAGGTTGCACTGAGGTGAGATCACGCCACTGTGCTCCAGCCTGGCAACTGAGCGAGACTCTGTCTCAAAAAAAAAAAAAAAAAAAGAAAGTAGTAATACTTCTTATAGGCTCATTATTACAGCCAGTCACTCATCTTTCTACTTCACTTGTTTGAGTTAAGCTTGTGAAATTTATATAGCATAAACCATTTTAAAGTGAATAATTCACTGGAATTTAGTACATTCACAACGTTCTGCAACCACCACCTCCATCTAGTTCCAAGACGTTTTCATCATCCTAAAACTCCATACGCATTAAGTGGTCATGCCCCATTCCCTCCTTTCCCCAACCCTGGCAACCACCAATTTGCTTTCTGTTCCTATCAATTTATGTAGTCTGTATATTTCACATAAATAGAATCATACCACGTGTAACTTTTTGTGTCTGGCTTCTTTTACTTAGATAACCATTTTCAAGGTTCATTCACATTGTAGCTGGTCAGTGTTTCATTCTCTTTTATAGTTAAATAATATTCAATTATATGGATATACCGCATGTTATTTATCCATTTGTTTATTGATGAACATGGGTTGTATTGTGAACAGTGCACACATAAATATTTCTGTATAATATCAATTAGAATATCTGCTTGCAATTCTCTTCAATATACCCACGGGTGAAATTTCTGGGTCAGCTGGTATTTTTATGCTTTACTTTTTCAGAAACTGCCAAACTGTTTTTCACAGTGGCTGAATCATTTTGCAGTCCCACCAGTAATGTACAAGGGTTTGAATTTCTTCAATTTCTGTAATTGTATTTCACTTACAATTCCTACAAATATATTTATCTAATTTCCCTGCCCCTAGTCTAGAAAGTAGTTGTACTTTTTGCAGGCTCCGTATTAGGTGCCAGTCACTTTTTTTTTTCCCGCTTCCCTTATATAAGTTAAGTTTATTCCCAGAAATGCATGCGCCTACTTATAGCAATTCACAGCATTGTCCAAAAGCTGAAAATTACCATTCAAACTTAGGCAAAGTTGCTGTGAAGAAACCTTAATTTTTCAAGTGCCAAGTTCTAAAAAGATATTTTCAGGTATGCAAGCTCCCCCAATTTTTTTTTTTTTTGACACGGAGTCTCACTGTGTTGCCCAGGCTGGAGTGCAGTAGTTCGATCTCGGCTCACTGCAAGCTCTGCCTCCTGGGTTCATGCCATTCTCCTGCTTCAGCCTCCCGAGTAGCCGGGACTACAGGCGCTCACCACCATGCCCGGCTAATTTTTTGTATTTTTAATAGAGTCAGGGTTTCACCATGTTAGCCAGGATGGTCTCGATCTCCTGACCTCGTGATGCACCCGCCTCGGCCTTCCAAAGTGCTGGGATTACAGGTATGAGCCACTGCGCCCGGCCCCCAAATTTTTATATACATATTCCAACCTGGATTTCAGAGACAGGCTTATTCAGGACTATTATTGTCAGGTCTTCTGCTGTGGTACATATTTTTTTTTTTAACAAGGATGTTTTCCACCAAAATAAAAGATTAAACCAAGTAAGAAGACAGCATGAAATCTGAGAAATAGGGAATCCAAACTTTCTAAACATCAGAGAAGTTTCTAAAATGATAGCAAAAAGTCTCAGGATGACAGCTGGAAATAATTTCCAAGAAAACAGCAGGCCAAAATAAAAGGAAAATGGAAGTTTCCAGGTGGGATGACTCCAGAAAAAAAAATGAAATTGTTAGATTACCTTCTATAATTAACTTAATGAAAAATTATACTGAAGACTATTGAAATGAGAGAAAAGCAATTTAGTACAAAGAAAACTAACCAGATTAAAAATCAAAAAGTTACTAATTAATCACTTAAGGTATACAAGAATATGAAAAGGAACAATCAAAGTGCACTATAGACATAAGGATGCAAATGCAATGATTAACAAAAATGTATAATAATACTATATCAGAAGTATAGGGAGAGGAAGCAAAAGAGTTAATGGTATAAGAGAGTTTTCTGATCAAGTACTATTAAAAATACATAATAGAGTATATCTAAAATTAATGAAATAGAAGATTGCCATGTACATGAATGTTTCAGTTATGTATTAATATAAAAAGTTACCCCAAAATTCAGCAGTTTAGTACAATAGTCATCATTTTATTATTATCTCACATGTATGGAACTGGTTCTGCCAATTGGCCAGGACCTCAACTGGGATGGTTGGCTGAAGCACCTACATGAGGCTTCTCTACACTGCATGAATTACTGTATAGCATAGCAGCTTCAGACCTCTTACATGGTAGCTCAGGACTCTGAAGCCAATTGCCCCAGGAGGTTCATGTGGAAGCTGAACCATTTTTTATGACCTAGTCACTGAAGTCATCAAGTGTCACTTCACCATAATCACAGGCCCACCTTGATTCTGGAAGAAGAAACACAGACACCACATCTCAGTGGGAGGAGTATCAATGTTACATTGCAAGAAGAGCACATGAGATGGAGATCTTACTGAAAAATATAGTTTGCCACACTTATTATTTAGAAAGAAAATATTAAAGCATGAAAAGAGAGTCTAAGAGTCATGTTTGCTTCTGGTGAGAGAAACTGGGGGCAAGTTTTGAAAGTATTTTTCTTCTTATATATTATATAAAAAATAATAATATATTTATTATATATATATAATATATATGATATATACATATATATAAAGAAATAAACTAGTTTTCCTCTCTAAATGGGTACATAAAGCCTCAGGCACTCCAAGGACGTACTGCTGGTTTACGTCAGAGTTGTCAGAGCACACATATGTCAGACTTGTGAAAGCTCTGCGTCTCACTTTGCACTCTGCATAGGCATCACAGCTCAAATATCACCAACCTAAAAAGACAACATCAGTTGTTTGGAACAGTCTTCTTATGTGACAATAAGAACCCTTTATCCTATGACATTTGTATCAACCACAAAATGGCCCAAACTCCTAGTATGTGAATATCACAGAATTAGGCATATAAGCAGTCAATGATTAAATCTCCTGGCCAACATAAGTCTAGTTACAAGAACTCTAAGAAGCTATCTCAAGAATTTAGTTATTTGAGATATTATCAAAAGTAATATTGAATATTTGAATCCATGAACCAATGGAATTGACACTTAGAGATCATTTCATTATTCAAAAATTATCTTTGCTGTTTTCTGTTTTTTTGTTTTGTTTTGTTTTGTTTTTCCAAACCATTTGCTCTAATGGGATTACCTGAACAGGGTAAAATGTTAAATGAGGTGGCTGTAGTGGGAATTAGGAGAGTTCTGGGGTCCCTGCTCAAACATCAGGGATCTGGAATCAAAGCCAGTTTAATTAGTAGTTTTTGTCATGTTCTGCCAGTATTTTTTAAATCTATTAAACAGAGACACCTACTTATAACCTGCAATTCCCTTCTTTTGGAATGTTTTGCTTTCATCTATGCCCCCCTCCAACACAGTTGATATATTATAAATCTGTAATGCATTTTGATATCTGCCAAGACTGTAGATGTTGGACATGAGAGGGAAGACTTAAGTGCCTGTAATTGTGCCAGAAAGTCTAGAAAAGCCCCACTCTCCCACTGTTTATGAAGAACTTCCCAGTGCAACTATCCCTGAGGTAAGTTCACATAATATAGCACACTGAGTGGTTGAAACTGGAAGGGAATTTTGAAATGTTGCAATGGGAGAAGGGGTTTTCCTCTTTCTTATATTAACCTTGTTCATAATTTCTGTCTCAGAGCTAGGATGGAGATGCCCACACTCTGGCTTCTACGTCATAATATTATGACATCAACTTATATCAGAATCCTCTGAATCAGAGAGTTTTTTGACTTTTTATAAGTTTTTCCAGGGCTACAGCAAAGGTAGTTCTAGCTCTAGGACCAGAAAATAGGAGCTCCTTTTTTGAGAAAGGACTAGATGTATGCAAATCCATATGCACACATTTTACAACCAAATGACCCCATCTCTATTTCTTCATGTAACACGGAGTAAATTATTTGATGTCTGCAAGCGTGATGTCTACAGCCTGTATCCAGATCCACGACACATGAAAAACAGTATCTTCTCTGGTTATTTCATTGTATTGTATCTAACACAAAGGCCTATATGGATCAATTCTCTCCACACCTCAGTTTCCTGTTTCCATATGTAAAATGAGAGATTTTTGATCTTTAAATATCCTTCCAATTATAACATTGTCTAGGTCTGTGAAAGTAAAATTAATCATTCTGAGATTTGGCTGCATGGAACTTTGTATGAAGGTGGAAGGAAGTTTAGCTTCAGAAAGATTCCAGAAGTAATTGACTTTGTCCTTGAAAAAGAGGTAAGATTTGGTGGAAATTAGTGAGAAGAGTTAGTTTCTTTCCATTGTCCCATGAAGAAAGCTAAAAACAGACATTGTACAGTTGTCTTAGCTGCATATTTTAGGGCCCTCTCACTACTGGGCATTAAATAATAATTTTGGGGTGAAGCCAAGTGTGGAGGAAAAATACATTGTGGCTGTTTTGTGATAAGTATTTTTGCAGATTATCATGAACTCCTCCAGCTTCACCTGAACATAGGCTTTTCTCATTTCCTCACACCTCTACCCAAAGCTGCATTTTCTTATTCTTTTTCCCCCTTTTAAGAATATCCATGGGATTTCTGCTCTGGCCAAGATGGAGTAACAGGAACCAGATTTATTCTCCCTATGGAACAACTTTTAGAAGGGCAATAAATATAAAATATATAAAATAGTAGTTTTTAAGAGATTGGACATCAAACACCAAAGGAGAGTGATATCTGAGAGTTTAAAAATGGGACTGTCTCAGCTTGCTACATGAGACTGTTCAGGTAGCCGCACAGGGAAGTGGAGCCTGGGTGGAACCTGGTGGACTCCTTGCGTTGAAGAGATGAAGCTGAGAATCTGGGGAAAACCAAGGCAGCTAGAGTCCACAAGACAGAGTACCAAAGAAGACAAAGCTTCACAGAAAGAAAATAATGAATACCTGTAGAGAGATTCCTTTGAGTATTCATCATGTGAGAATGAATGTGAGGAAACTAGCTGAGGCTAGAGAAAGAGCAATCTGAGAAGATTAGAGGAAACAGTGCCCAGCAGTCTTACATGGCTGGGAATAACACCTGTTCTCATCTGCCAGGCTGGAAAACCTTGTAATTCATAAGATGATGTGGAGAATACTTATAAGAGTCTTTCTCCATTCATAGAGAATAGTTAGCTCTGTACAAGATGCAGTTCTGGTCCCATCTAACAAATCTTAAATATCCTTTACCAAAAGGATCAGTTTCCAAGTAACTTCTAACTAAAACAGAGTTCAAAAATTTGTAAAAGGATACAAAAATTCTGATTCTAGATCTTTCAGTCAAATGGTATTTCTGGTTCTAGATCTTTGAGGAATTGCCACACCATCTTCCATAGTGGTTGCACTAATTTACATTCCCACCTACAGTGTAAAAGCATTCCTATTTCTCTGCAGCTTTGCCAGCATCTGTTGCTTCTTGACTTTTTAATAATGGTCATTCTGATTGGTGTAAGATGGTATCTCACTGTGGTGTTGATTTGCATTTCTCTAATGATCAGTGATGTTGAGATTTTTCTCATATGTTTGTTCGCTGCATGAATGTCTTCTTTTAAGAAGTGTTTGTTAATGTCCTTTGCCCACTTTTTAATGGCTTTGTTTTTTTCTTGTAAATTTGAGTTCCTTGTAGATTCTAGATATTAGACCTTTGTCAGATAGATAAATTGCAAAATTTTTCTCCCACTCTACAGTTTGCCTGTTCACTCTGATGATGGTTTCTTTTGCTGTGCAGAAGCTCTTTAGTTTAATTAAATCCTATTTGTCAATTTTTGCTTTTGTTGCAATTGATTTTGGCAATTTCATCATGAAAATTTGCCTTTGCCTGTGTCCTGAATGGTATTGCCTAGATTTTCTTCTAGGGTTTTTATAGTTTTGGGTTTTACTACATCTTGAGTTAATTTTTGTATAAGGCATGAGGAAGGGGTCCAGTTTCAATTTTCTGCAAATGGATAGCCAGTTCTCCCAGCACCATTTATTAAATAGGGAATCCTTTCTCCATTGCTTGTTTTTGTCAGGTTTGTCAATGATCAGATGGTTCTAGATGTGTGATCTTATTTTTGAGTTCTCTATTCTGTTCCATGGGTCTACGTGTTTTTGTACCAGTACCATGCTGTTTGGGTTATTGTAGCCTTATAATATAGTTTGAAGTTGGGTAGTGTGATGCCACCAGCTTTGTTCTTTTCGCTTAGGATTGTCTTGGCTATATGGGCTCTTTTTTGGTGCCATATGAATTTTAAAATAGTTTTTTCTAATTCTGTGAAGAATGTAAATGGTAGTTTATATGGGAACAGCATTGAATCTATAAATTACTTCATGCAGTATGGCCATTTTCACGATAATTAATTCTTCCTATCCATGAGCATGGAATATTTTTCCATTTGTTTGTGTCCTCTCTGGTTTCCTTGAGCAGTGGTTTGTAGTTCTCCTTGAAGAGGTCGTTCACTTCCCTTGTTAGCTGTATTCCTAGGTAATTTATTCTCATTGTAGCAGTTGTGAATGGGAGTACTTTCATGATTTGGCTCTCTGCTTGTCTGCTATTGGTGTATAGGAATGCTTGTGACTTCTGCACATTGATTTTGTATCCTGAGACTTTTCTGAAGTTGCTTATCAGCTTAAGAAGCTTTTGGTCTGAAATCATGGAGTTTTCTCGATATAGGACCATGTCATCTGCAAACAAAGACAATTTTACTTTTCCCCTTCCTTTTTGAATACTCTTTATTTCTTTCTCTTGCCTGATTGCCCTGGCCAGAACTTCCAATACTATGTTGAATAGGAGTGGTGAGAGACGACGTCCTTGTCTTATGGTTTTCAAAGGAATGCTTCCAGCTTTTGCCCATTTAGTATGATATCAGCTGTGGGTGTGTCAAAAATATCTCTTATTATTTTGAAATATGTTCCTTCAATACCTAGTTTATTGGGAGTTTTTTTTAACATAAAAAGATGTTGAATTTTATCAAAGGCCTTTTCTGGATCTATTGAGATAATCATGTGGTTTTGTCTTTAGATCTTTTTATGTGATGAATTACTAGAATGAAGAATACCATTTGACCCAGCATTCCCATTACTGGATATATACCCAAAAGAATACAAATCATTCTATTACAAAGATACATGCACACATGTGTTCACTGCTGTACTATTCACAATAGCAGAGACATGGAATCAACCCAAATGCCCATCAATATTAGACTGGATAAAGAAAGTGTGGTACATATACACCATGGAATATTATGCAGCCATTAAAAGAATGAGATCAAGTCCTTTGCAGGGACAGGGATGAAGCTGGAAGCCATTATTCTCAGCAAACTAATGGGGGAATAGAAAACCAAACACCACGTGGGAGCTGAACAATGAGAACGCATGGACACAGGGAGGGGAAGAACACACACTGGGGCCTGTTGGGGGAGGGAGAGCCTTAGGAAAAATAGCTAATGCATGCTGGGCTT